>NC_000009.12:108220552-108845552 GCF_000001405.40 Homo sapiens
CACCTCACTGGGATGCTCTGAAGGTTAATAATATGACATCATGTTTGTACAACACTTCGGACAGGACCTACATATAAAAGATACTCAATAGATTCTAGCCATTATTGCAATAATTTTCTAGACAGTATTAGTTTTACTAATAAGGATGGCATTTCAGGGACCTGCTGCAGGTGAGTCAAGAAGCATTTCTGGATTGAGGCCTGTAACCCTCATCATATTTTGCAGCTCCTCTTTACTTCTTAAATGCATCAGCTAAGTCCAAGTATTTATACTTTGGTTCCCCATCTCAATCTCTTTTCCCTTACCTATATATCAGATCTTTTTTCTTCTTTTTCTTTTGAGACAGAGTCTTGTTCTGTCACCCATGCTGGAGTGCAGTGGCTCAATCTCGGCTCACTGCAATCTCCACCTCCCAAGTTCAAGTGATTTTCCTGCCTCAGCCTCATGAGTAGCTGGGACTACAGGCATGCACCACCATGCCCAGGTAATTTTTTTTTTTTTTGTATTTTTAGTAGGACAGTTGGTCTCAAACTCCTAACCTCAAGTAATCCTCCCACCTCGGCCTCTCAAAGTGCTGGGATTACAGGCGTGAGCCATGGCGTCTGGCTATGTATCAGATCTTATCGCATAGTTTCTCTATCAGTAGCTATGCTCTACAAAAAAAAATTAAAAAGAGAAAGCCTCCATTTAAATTAAGTGCTTGATTGCCTACTCAGAGATGCTTCTGAGGGATCAAGCATCAAACATCTGAGCCACTGCTAATAGCTATGACTACTATGAATAGAAAACTTGATAGAAAACATGTGGCACTTAGTAGGCACTCATGGTGATCTTCTCAACTAGCAAGAGTAATCACATCTGTCTTGTTTATTTTCATGCCTCCAAGGTCTGGCAGAGGGCCTAGCTTACAG
Source organism: Homo sapiens (assembly GCF_000001405.40). Lineage (NCBI taxonomy): Eukaryota > Metazoa > Chordata > Mammalia > Primates > Hominidae > Homo > Homo sapiens. Next base: position 108,221,464 of record NC_000009.12, read on the forward strand.
TAGGTAATCAATCAACATGTGCCATGCCAATAAATACACTGGACTAACACTATGTCTTTTTATTCTCCCTAGACAATCCCTATTTGATTTTCTAAAAATTACTTTGTTCATTCAAAGTTTTGGTGTATAGAATTTATTGGCGTATTGGATACATGGGGGGCAATTTTCCTTTCTTCCCCCGCCCCATTATCTGCTCTTAGGTCCTGGCAAATCTGGTTAGAAAATACAAGAATTCCCTTCCCATTCACAGATTCAACGTCCACTCAGTTTCCTAGGAAATGAAATAAAAGGAGACCAAAAAAGTAAATAACAATTGAATAACAACTATGTATGCTTTGCTGAGTTAAGTATAGGGATCTACTTAGGTACTGGAACCACTCAGGCCTAAGTTAGCTAAGGCTCATTTCTACAGCCACAAAGGACAGTCCTACCGAAGCATGCTGTGCCCATTTGCCTTGTTTTTAAACCTCAGATATAATGTGGATGTATTTAAAGGACACTGATGAGAAAAATCATGGATACTAAATTTTACATACCACTCATTTATTTCCCTTTGACTGGTAATCAAAATGGTCTCTCATAAGGCATAATTGTGTAGACGAGAACAATTTGCACAGATGATTTAGGAATGATTATTTTATGAAGGTCATCGTTTCACTGATTTCTCTTTTTTGTGCATTTGTTTAATGGAATTGGGGTGCTAAGGAGTTACAAACAGAGAAAAGACTTACTCAGTTTTTAAAAACCCAGCAAGATGTGAACCATATTTTAGAAATGGAAACAGAGCAGTTGTATTAAAAGAAAAAAAGCTCACAAGACTTAGAATCTAAAATGTATGTGTATGTGTGTGCACACGTGTTCTAATCCTTGCCTTCCTCTAACTCGCTGAGTAAACCTGAACAAATCACTTCATCTCCTACAACTTCAATTTCTTTATCAAATAGACAAAAGCATTCTAATCTCTCTCTGGCCCATTTGTGAATCTTAAAGGAAACACTGCCCATCACAGCGCCTAGCATAGCTCCAGGGAGATAGCAGGTTATGTATTCAGCCTTTGTTAAATTTGCTAACGGCAAATGAAGTCTAGCTAGAAGGCAGCATTGCATAAACCAAACATTTGAGTGGTTAATGGAGAAAGAAATAGAAATCTCCTTTTCCCCTGCATGGTTTGGATTTGGTTTGGCCCCACCGTGTCTCATGTAGAAATTCGATCCCTAATGTTGGAGGTGGGATATGGTTGAAGGTGTTTGGGTCATGGGATTGGTCCCTCTTGAATGGCTTGGTGCTGTTCTCACTGGAGTGAGTTCTCACTCTTAGTTCCTGAAAGAACTGATTGTTGAAAAGTTCTTGGTACCTCTTCCTCTCTCTCTTGCTTCCTCTCCTGCCATGCCACCTGTGCACATGCTGGCTCCCCTTCCCCTTCCACCATAAGTGGAAGAAGCCTGAAGCCCTCACCAGAAGCAGATGTTGGGGCCATGCTTCTTGCAGATCCTACAGAACCATGTGCCAAATAAACCTCATTTATTTATACATTACCCAGCCTCAGATACTCCTTCATAGCAACACAGACTAGGACGTCTCTCTACTCCATTTTCTATTTAACATTGGATGTACTGTCACAATTAAGGGCCAGAACTTTGTGAAAGTTACTACCATAGAAATATGGAGCCAAATTGATAAAAAATAAAATAAACAGCTATTGCATGCAAAATGTTTGTGTTATTTGAACTGAACTTCAATCTTGTGGGTTTTGCTAAAAACATACTGAAAATTTCCACTCCCTCAAAAGCAGTTTTAACTTTTCAGTAAATATTTTATGTCCTCCATTGTTAGACCTAATAGAAGTCCCAACAATTGGAAAAATTGACGCTTGGAAAACTGATAGGTTTACAATAATTCTAGTTCTTCATCCCCCAAAAGAAGTTGATTTGTATTTCAAAGAAGGAGGAGAAGCTGCAGGCTACCAAGGGGACCTCATGCTGTTAGGCGCCCTGCTTTATTCAGAGTTCAAGTCTCTACTGTGAGTTCACCTGTTCTGACAACCCTATAAATGCTGTTGCACCCAAGGGTCTAAGAACTCAATTCTTCTCTCGCTACACACTTGTCTGAAGTGATGGCTTGAATAAACTCATATATGCTTACGAATTCCAAATCACCTTCCCAATGTGCTCAACTCCCCAGCACCTCACGTGCAAGGGCACAATGGACACTTGTCCCATTGTGTCCCATCATGTACTAAACCACTGTCACTTATCTTTGTCTTCACTAAATCTGATTCTATCTCCTCGAGAGTGGCACCATCATCCACTCAGGGAACATGAGCCAGAAACTTGGGAAACTTTTTATGCTTCCCTTCTCCCTAATGCAAGTCATATCGACCTTGCCTTCTGCATTTTCATGAGTCAAACCCATCCCCACCCTGTCTACTGTCACTGCCCAGCTTCACACTCACAACATCTTTTACCTGCCATATTGCAGAATGTTCCTAAAAGATCTTCCTTCCTCTTGCCTTGCCTGCACCAACCCATTCGCCACATGGCAGCCATAGTGATAGTCCTAAAAGGCAAGCCTGACCATGTCACCCTGCTACCTACAATCACTGCATTGTCTCCTGGGTTGGAGGCAACATCACTTGGCATCTTACATCTTACGTGTGTTCATGTCAGATTCTCCAGCCTTAGCTTCTGTCACTCTCCTCATTATAATTCTCAGATAATACTGAATTTCTTTGAGTAGCTTTCTCAACAATTCTTGCTATTCCACAGACATGTGCTCCTTTTCCTAGTGTTCCATTTCTTTGTATAGAATATCTTTCCTATACCAACTCAAGCTTTGCTTCCTTCAGGAATCCTTCAATGCACCCCACTGCAGTGGGTCCAACAATGGAGAGCATAAAAAGCATTCTGAAAAGTTAAAATTGCTTTGGAGGGAGTGGAAATTTTCAATATGTTTCCTTCCACACTCTCCTGAGGTCTGTTTCAGAGCAGATAACTAAGCAACATTGTAACCTTTAAGAATATGAGTTCAGAGTTCAAACCCAGAGGGTTAGAATCCAGTCTCTACTAGTTACTAGCCAGTTATCAAACTATCTGGACTCTTTAAGCCCAGTCTCTTGATCTTTTAAAAGGTGATAATAATGACACTGAACTCAATGAATAATTATCAAAATTAAATGAGCTGAGACCTAAAGAATGAGAAGGAGTGAGCCATGCCAAGACTTGGAGGATGCACTTTTCATGGAGAGAAAATGGTGAGTACAAAGGCCCAGCTGATGAAACTTGGGGTACTGACTACTTTACAGCCGAAAGCCCCATCCCTGCTGCAATATTCAGTCAGCCTGGGATTATAGTTTCTAAGAGAGAGCAGTAAAAGCCCCAGAATGAACATGTGGTGCTTGGCAGAACCTCATTAGCTGGGATCTGCTTCATTTCCCCTGCCCCATTTGGCTTCTTTCCAGACTCTACTATCGCATTTAAGCCTTGGGTGAAACTTGAAAGCCCTTAAACCTAGTGAAAGGGCTACATTGGTAGGAACCTCAGGGATGAACTAAATGCTGAGTCCAGCACCCCTGCAAAAGCAGCTCCCTGAGGGCATTATCCAAAATTGTATGCCTCTAGATGAACATTGCAAAGCGCATACATTCAGAGAATGTGGACTTCTTGTCAAACTTGACAGCAGGTTTATTTCAGCATGAGACGCATTTGCCAAATGAACAGAGACTCAGTGATCGTGCTGGTTCTAAAAATGGGTTTTGCTTAATAGTAGAGAAATAAAATGATTTATGAGTTTGTCAGGGAACGGATGTGGCCTTTTGGAAAAAAAATCCTCCCAGCTCCAGAGTGTCATGAATTGCAAATGAACCAATGGGTGATGTATGTGTGTGTATGTCAATACATGTACACACACATGTATCTCAGTGCGTGTCCCCTTTCTTCTTTGCCTCTGTGGTTTGGACCACTGTGTGCCTTCACTGACGCTGCAAGCAAATTGTAATTATAATGCTGAACAGTTACTTCCAAGGCAAACCAAATCTGTGTTCCATTAAAGTCATGGAATAGTTAAACATTTTTTTGTTATTCCCAACCATAATAAAAAACAGGTTCCCCATTCAATCTCATGCTCCAGAAGTCAGAGGATTCCATACAGTCCCTTCTGAAATATTTGGAAATAGATTCTGATGGTGTCCCAAGCATATCAGCAGGAGGTCAGCTTAACTTATGGTTTATCAGGCTTACTGTGGTTTGGACAGCAGCTGCATGGAAGTCCTCAAATGTAATAGATTTCCTCCCTAAGACACTAAGCCTGCTTGCCAACTTCTAAGCATATTCCTTTAGTGTGTCCTTTTGAGATGTTAGATGAAGTCACAGAAATGAGAGCTATTCTTTCTTTCAAACAAGAAACGAGAAAATGCTGCCCTTCAGGATTTGCTTCAAAAGAAAAAAACAATGCTCCAATCTTTCTGTTCACCAGTTTGTAAGAATCATTTTGATATATTTCTGTAAAACTATCTTTGAAATGAAATTTTCCTCTATAATTCACCAGTGATTTTATCCCAATGCCCTAAATTTGTGTGCATTCAGGTTGCATTTTAATGGTAAAAGTAACTCTTTAACAAATATTTGCATTAAGAAACACAAACAAATGCTCTGCAACCATTTACCTCCTATAGGAAGTCTAGCTTACATTCAATATGTATACTCTCTTCAACATTTTGCAATCATGCTGAAAATTACCAATAGACTTTACACGGTAATTTTAAAAGACCATTTCCCCAATTTGCTAGATTTTCTGTCCCCATGCCTTTGTCCAGGCCTTCCTCCTGCATGGAACACTTCTCCCCCTCACTCTACCCTCTCTATCTGAGGATTGTTTGTTCATTCCACAAAACTCAGCTCAGCTCCTACTTCTTCCTTCCCCAGGCTATGGGGAAAGGTCCTCTACATCATGCCATGTTCTCTCTATTACAGCACTTAGCACACGGCATTGTAACTGGCTGTCTCTCCCAATCCTATGAGATCCTTTCCACTTCTAAATTCTCAGAGACTAAGGCAGAAGGGGTGTTTAGTGAGTATTAGTTAAGGACTTAGTTAACATATTAATTTGATCCCAAGCACAGCCTCTTGTGCTACCTTCAAGGCTAAATTACTTGAATTTTCTCAAATCAAAAGGATGTGAAGGGGATGTCCCTTTCTTTTATCCCATGAAACTTCCTTGGTCTTTGCCTAAGCGAGCCAGCCTCCTGTTCCATTACGAGAGATTTATTCAGCAGTGCTGTGAATTGCTTCAGTGTGCTTTGGATTTGGATGGATATGGGGATGGGTGTGTGTGTGTGTGTGTGTGAGTGTGTGTGTGTGTGTGTGTTTGACATGGCAGCTTAAAATAGTCAGTATCTCAACTTCCATTTGCCTTTAGATTCCTCAGTTTGAGCCCATGTCCAAAAAGTCAGCTTATCAACTCCTGGATTTATCTACACTTGAAGCAGTGGAATATGGTCCAGATGGGGATTTGTATCCAAAGGGGAAAGTCCCTCCTCACAAACTGGAATCGAGCTCCAAACTAGAGCCTGTGGAGGGTGCAGAATTCCTTAGCTGTCAAGGAGATTGGGCTCACCATCAGTCAGTGGGGTCAGAATCACAGCCTATGCCTTCACTCCCCAGTCACTAAGCCCAGCACCTTCTCCTTTTTCCATGTCTTATACCAGGCACTTTGCTGCAAGGATGGCCAGAGTCAGGTCTTGCCATCAAAGAACTCGAGAAGTTTGTTCAAGTGAAGACCAGTAAACAGGTAATTAGAATAGAGTGTAATAAGAGATGCCTATGAAAGTAAGAAAGAGAGAATAGAAGGCTTAACAAGGCCTGATGTAGGGAGAATAGAATTCACAAGATCAAGAGGGAGATAAATGTTTTTCCAGATATGTCATATGAAAAATGATTTTGGAATACCCAAAGTTGCTGAGGGCCCCAAATTTTGTCCCTGTGGGTATGCATGACACTTAATGCAAGACTACTTGGTACACTCTGGGGAATCAGATTGGACAGCTGAGCAGGTGGTAGAGAAAGAAGGCAGGATGGAGGCACGGGTGCATGGAGAAGAGAGGCCTGGAAAGCTCCTTTCTTTACTATGCTGGCCGCTTGTTTAATAGAATGAAGGGAGCTAAGAAGAATTCAGCCTCAGTATTGTGGAGCAGTAACTAGAAACCAGCCCCTATCATTCTAAATTCCCTGGTCATCCTACTTTCACCATGGAAAATGTGGCAAATATGATGGTGAAGATAAACAAAGTGACTATCAAAGTTGCGCCATGTAGTCACTCTATACTGAGACCACTGGCTGACTTCAGGATCTATTTTGTAGTAATTAAGGAAACTCTTCAAAAGCCAAAAGGTCAGGATGTGATTATCTATGCTCCAGACAGCCCTAAAGCTGTGCAGCAGTTTTCCTAAAATTGCTATTGATTTTGTTATTTCCCCACGCACTCCCCCCCACTCAAAAAGTCCCTAAACATAATTTCCTGTGGCACAGCCCCTAGGCCCTCTCTGGTTCTTTTATTCTTTAACATATGGCCTTCTCTTGGGATCATTTATATAAAAACTACTACATTGAGTTACAGGTTACCTGAGCTGGGTACAAGCCCTCACTGCACACATATGGGACCTTAGCTTCCAGGAAGGGAAGGGACTTCACTAAGACCACACAGTTTTGAGCAGGCTTATTCCTCCCTTCCACATCTCCTTGTCCCCTGATACTGAGCCTTCATTTTGGGAGATCCAGTCTACTGTCTTGAACATTCCTTTCTCAAAGATGATAGGTTAGAAACTTGGGAAGAGTTTTGTTCCTTGAGTATGATCATACAGATAATAAATGATGGAAGGAAGCGTTTAAACCTGAGATCTTTTATTCTACCATTTTTTTTCCTTGTATACTATATTGGGAAAACCTAGGAAAACAGATCAATGCTAAGAATCACTCATGTTGAGATCATGGCGAATGGGAGGCAGAACTAGATTGCAGCTCTGACACGGATGGACACAGCAGCTTGCAGAGGCTCCTGTCATGAATTCTAGCTCCAAACTGACTGCAAGAACAAACCACCAATCCCAAGAGGACCCCCAGATCCTCTGAAGGAAGCGGACTGCTCCTGCGGGATCCAGGAGACACCACAAATACTGTGCTGGTATCCACAGCTGAAAGACCCATAGACAGTTCACATCACAGGACTCTATGCAGACAACCCCCAGTACCAGGCTGGAGCTGGGTAGACTTGCTTGGTAGACACAGAAGACAGGCAACAATCACTGCAGCTCAGCTTATAGGAAGCCACATCTACAGGAAAATGGGGAAGAGTACTACATCAAAGGAACACCGCTTGGGACAAAAGAATCTGAACAACAGCCTTCAGCCCTAGACCTTGCCTCTGACAGAGCCTACCCAAATGAGAAGGAACCAGAAAACCAACTCTGGTAAAATGACAAAACAAGGCTGTTTAGCACCCTGTAAAAATCATACTAGTTCACCAGCAATGAATCCAAACCAAGAAGAAATCCCTGATTTACCTGAAAAAGAATTCAAGAGGTTACTCATGAAGCTAATCAGGAGGGACCAGAGAAAGGTAAAGCCCAATGCAAGGAAAGCCAAACAATGATACAAGAAGTGAAGGAAAAATATTCAAGGAAATAGATAGCATAAAGAAAAGATAAAACTTCAGGAAGCATTGAATGCACTTATAAAAATGCAAAATGCTCTGGAAAGACTCAGCCATATAATTGAACAAGTAAAATAAAGAAATTCAGAGCTTGAAGTCAAGGTTTTCGAAGTAACCCAATCCAACAAAGACAAAGAAAAAAGAATAAGAAAATATGAACAAAGCCTCCAAGAAGTCTGAGATTATATTAAACAACCAAACCTAAGAATAATTGGTTTTCCTAAGGAAGAAGACAAATCTACAAGTTTGGAAAATATATTTGGGGGAATAATCAAGGAAAACTTTCCTGGCCTTGCAAGAGACCTAGATGCACAAATACAAGAAGCACAAAGAATACCTAGGAATTGATTGCAAAAAGATCATAACCTAGGCACATTGTCTTCAGGTTATCTAAAGTTCAGATGAAGGAAAGAATCTTAAGAGCTGTGAGACAAAAGCACCAGGTAACCTATAAAGGAAAGTCTATCAGATTAACAGCAGATTTCTTAGCTGAAACCCTACAAGCTAGAAGGAATTGGGGCCCTGTCTTCAGCCTCCTCAAAGCAATTATCAGCCAAGAATTTTGTATCCAGCAAAAGTAAGCATCATATATGAAGGGAAGATATAGTCTTTTTCAGACAAACAAATGCTAAGAGAATTTGCCACTACCAAGCCACCACTACAAGAACTGCTAAAAGGAGCACAAAATCTTGAAATAAATCCCAGAAACACATCAAAACAGAACCTCTTTAAAGCACAAATCACACAGGACCTATAAAACAAAAAATACAAGTTAAAAAGCAAAAACTAAAAACAAAAAAAACAAGGTACACGGGCAACAAATAGCACAATGAATGCAATGGTACCTCACATCTCAATACTAACATTGAATGTAAATGGCCTAAATGCTCCACTTAAAAGATACAGAACTGCAAAATGGGTAAGTACTCACCAACCAACTATCTGCTGCCTTCAGGAGACTCACCTAACACATAAGGACACACGTAAAGTAAAGGGATGAAAAAAGGCATTTCATGAAAATGGACACCAAAAGCGAGCAGGGGTAGCTATTCTTGAATCAGACAAAACAAACTTTAAAGCAACAGCAGTTAAAAGAGACAATGAGGTATATTATATAATGGTAAAAGGCCTTGTCCAACAGGAAAATATCATAATCCTAAACATATATGTATCTAACACTGGAGGTACCAAATTTATAAAATGATTACTAATAGACCAAACAAATGAGATAGACAGCAACACAATAATAGTGGGGGACTTCAATACTCCGCTGACAGCACTAGACAGGTCATCAAGACAGAAAGTCAACAAGAAACAATGAATTTAAACTATACTTTGGAACAAATAGACTTAACAGATATATACAGAACATTTCATCTAACAACCACAGAATATACATTCTATTCAACTATGCATGGAACTTTCTCCAAGATAGACCATATGATAGGCCATAAAATGCACCTCAATAAACGTAAGAAAATTGAAATTATATCAAGCACTCTCTCAGACCACAGTAGAATACAACTGGAAGTCAACTCCAAAAGGAATTTTCAAAACCATGAAAATACATGGAAATTAAATAAACTGCTCCTGAGAGAGCACTGGGTGAAAAATGATATCAAGATGGAAATGAAAAAATTCTTTGAACGGAATGACAATAATGAAACAACCTATCAAAACCTCTGGGATAAAGCAAAGATGGTGCTAAGAGGAAAGTTCATAGCCCTAAATGCCTACATCAAAAAGTATGAAAGAGCACAAACTGACATTCTAAGGAACTAGAATGTCTAAGGACCTCAAGGAACTAAAGAAACAAGAACAGGCCAGGCACGGTGGCTCACGCCTGTAATCCCAGCACTTTGGGAGGCCAAGGCAGGTGGATCACGAGGTCAAGAGATCAACACCATCCTGGCCAACATGGTGAAACCCCGTCTCTACTAAAAATACAAAAATTAGCTGGGCATGGTGTCATGTGCCTGTAATCCCAGCTACTCGGGAGGCTGAGGCAGGAGAAGTGCTTGAACCCGGGAGGCAGTGGTTGCAGCGAGCTGAGATCATGCCACTGCATGCACTCCAGTGTGGTGACAGAGCGAGACTCCATCTAAAAAAAAAAAAAAAAAAAAAAAGAAGAAACAAGAACAAACCAAACCTAAACCTAGCACCTAGCAGAAAAAAAAATGAAATAACCAAACTCAGAGCAGGACTAAATGATATTGAAACAAAAAAAAATACAAAAGATAAATCAAACAAAAAGCTGGTTCTTTGAAAAGATAAATACAATTGATAGACCATTAGCAAGATTAACCAAGAAAAAAAGAGAGAAAATCCAAATAGCCTCATTAAGAAATGAAACAGGAGATATTACAACTGACACCACTAAATTATAAAAGATCATTCAAGGCTACTATGAACACCTTTATGCACAAAAACTAGAAAACCTAGAAGGGAAGGATAAATTCTTGGAAAAATACAACCCTCCTACCTTAAATCAGGAAGAATTAGATACCCTGAACAGACCGATTACAAGCAGTGAGATTGAAATGGTAATTCAAAAATTGCCAGCAAAACATGTCCAGGAACAGACAGGTTCATAGCAGAATTCTACCAGACACTCAAAGAAGAATTGGTACCAATATTTTTGACACATTCCACAAGATAGAGAAAGAAGGAACCCTCCCTAATTCATTCTATGAAGCCAGTATCACACTAACACCAAAATCAGGAAAGAATGTAACCAAAAAAGAAAACTATAGACCATATCAATAACCTTGATGAACATAGATGCTAAAATTCTTAACAAAATACTAGCTAACCAAATCCAACGACATATCAAAAAGATAATCCGGCTGGGCTTGGTGGCTCACGCCTGTAATCCCAGCACTTTGGGAGGCCAAGGTGGGTGGATCACAAGGTCGGGAGATCGAGACCATCCTGGTTAACACAGTGAAACCCCATCTCTACTAAAAATACAAAAAATTAGGCAGCGTGGAGGCTTGCGCCTGTAGTCCCAGCTACTCGGGAGGCTGAGGCAGGAGGATGGCATGAACCTGGGAGGTGGAGCTTGCAGTGAGCCGAGATTGCGTCACTACACTCCAGCCTGGGTGACACAGCGACACTCTGTCTCAAAAAATAAGAAAAACATGGATAATCCACCATGATCAAGTGGGTTTCATACCAGGGATTCAGGGAAGGTTTAACACAGGTAAGTCAATAAATGCGATACACCACATAAACAGCATTAAAAACAAAAATCACATGATCATTTCAATAGATGCAGAAAAAACATTCGACAAAATCCAGCATTGCTTTATGATTAAAACTCTCGGCAAAATTGGCATAGAAGGGACATACCTAAGTGTAATAAAAGCCATCTATGACAGACCCACAGCCAACATAATACTGAATGGGGAAAAGTTGAAAGCATTCCTTTTGAGAACTGGGACAAGACAAGGATGCCCACTCACATCACTCCTCTTCAACATAGTACTGGAAGTCCTAGCTAGAGCAATCAGACAAAAGAAAGAAATAAAGGGCATCCAAATCAGTAAAGAGGAAGTCAAACTGTCACTGTTTGCTGATGATATGATTGTTTACCTTGAAAACCCTAAAGACTTTTCCAGAAAACTCCTAAAACTGATAAATAATTCAGCAAATTTCCCAGATACAAGATTAATGTACACAGATCAGTAGCTCTTCCATACACCAACAGTGAGCAAGCAGAGAATCAAATCAAAACTCAACCCCTTTTACAATAGCTGCAAAAAAATAAAATACTTAGGAATACACCTAACTAAGGAGATGAAAGACCTCTACGAGGAAAACTACAAAACACTGCTGAAAGAAATCATAAATGACACAAACAAATGGAAACACATCCCATGCTCATGGATGAGTAGAATCAATATTGTGAAAATGACCATACTGCCAAAAGCAATCTACAAATTCAATGCACTCCCCATCAAAATACTACCATCATTCTTCACAGTTAGAAAAAACAATTCTAAAATTCATATGGAACCAAAAAGAAGCCCGCATAGCCAAAGCAAGACTCAGCAAAAAGAACAAATCTGGAGGCATCACACTACCTGATTTCAAACTGTACCATAAGGCCATAGGCAACAAAACAGCATGGTTCTGGTATAAAAATAGGCACATAGACCATTGGAACAGAATAGAGAACCCAGAAATAAAGCCAAATACTTACAGCCAACTGGTCTTCGACAAAGCAAACAAAAACATGAAGAGAGGAAAAGACACCTTCTTCAACAAATGGTGCTGGGATAACTAGCTAGCCACATGTAAGAGAATGAAACCGGATCCTCATCTCTCACCTTATACAAAAATTGACTCAAGATGGATTAAGGACTTAAATCTAAGGCCTGAAACTATAAAGATTCTAGAAGATAACATTGGAAAAACCCTTCTAGACATTAGCTTAGGCAATAATTTCATGAACAAGAACCCAAAAACAAATGCAATTAAAAAAAGATAAATAGTTGGGACTTGGTTAAACTAAAGAGCTTTTGCACAGCAAAAGGAACTGTCAGCAGAGTAAACAACACACAGAGTGGAAGAAAATCTTCACAATCTATACATCTGACAAAGGACTAATATCCAGAATCTACAATGAACTCAAACAAATCAGTAAGAAAAAAAACAAACAATACCACCAAAAACTAGACTAAGGACACGAATAGACAATTCTCAAAAGAAGTATACAAATGGCCGAAAAACATATGAAAAAATGCTCAACATCACTAATGATCAGGGAAATGCAAATCAAAACCACAATGCATTACCACCTTACTCCTGCAAGAATGGCCATAATCGAAAAGTCAAAAAAACAGTAGCTGTTGGCATGGATGTGGTGATCAGGGAACACTTCTACACTGCTGGTGGGAATGTAAACTATTACAGCCACTATGGAAAACAGTGTGGAGATTCCTTAAAGAACTAAAATTTAGTTCTAGAACTAACTTTTGATCTAGAACTACCATTTGATCCAGCAATCCTGCTACTGGGTATCTACCCAGAGGAAAAGAAGTCATTATATGAAAAAGATTATGGGCACAAGCATGTTTATAGTGGCACAATTCACAATTGCAAAATTATGGAACCAATCCAAATGCCCACCAATCAACAAGTGGATAAAGAAACTGTGGCATATGATGGAATACTAATCAGCCATAAAAAGGAATGAATTAACGGACTTTGCAGTGACCTGGATGAGACTGGAGGCTATTATTCTAAGTAAAGTAACTCAGGAATGGAAAACCAAACATTGTATGTTCTCACTGATATGTGGGAGCTAAGCTACGAGGACGCAAAGGCATAAGAATGATACAATGGACTCTGGGGACTTGGGAGGAAAGGTGGGAAGGGGGCGAGGGATAAAAGACTACAAATAGGGTGCAGTGTATACTGCTGGGGTGATGGGTGCACCAAAATCTTATAAATCACCACTAAAGAAATTACTCACGTAACCAAATACCACCTGTACCCCAATAACTTATGGAAAAATAAAAAAATTAAAAAATACATTAAAAATAAATAAATAAAAAAGAATCACTCATGTCTCTTGGAGGAAATTCATCTCTTAAGTACCTTGAAGTGTCCTCAGACATGCAAGAGGATGTACCTTATTGTGCCCTTCAAACATCTAAGATAATGATTTGCAACAGACTTTCTCCCTTAAGAGAAAAATAGGCATAGCTCTATAGGAATATTTTCTTGTCCATTCTTCAAGGAGTTTTGTGTGGCTGGATTGCATATTATAATGGCCGGAGTGCCTCAGGGAGTGTTAAATATTTGAATTGCTGCAGTAACTTATGCTGTCTGAATTGCATCCGGTACTCTGATTCTTCACATAGCTGGAAAAATTTGTCATATGTTTATGCTATTTTGACAGTAGCCGGACTGAAATAATTCAGAGGCAAGCCATATTTTTGCTTCACTGACCGACCTACCATGGAGCAGGGAGGTTCTTAGCGAGTCATTAAATAGCTGGAGCAAATGGCTTGGATAAAGGCATGTAGTGGGGCTACAAGAGAATCTTGTTTGATGGGTGATAAGGGCACAGGAAAGCAGAGGCTGCCATAATTGATAAATGCTGGGCACCAGTGAGTTATTTCATGCAGTGTCTGGGCAAGAAGAAACCTAAAAGTTCATCTAATCTGGAACTCCTCATTTAAAAATGGAAAGACTTCAATGTAAGACTTGAAACCATAAAAATCCTAGAAGAAAATACAGGGAAAAAGCTACGTGACAAGGGTCTTGACGATGAGTTTTCTGGATATGACACCAAAAGCACAGACAACGAAAGCAAAAATAAACAAGTGAGGCTACATCAAACCAAAAATTTCTGCATAACACAGGAAACAATCAACAAAATGAAAAGTCAACCTATGGAATGGGAGAACGTATTTGCAAACCATATATCTGATAAGGGGTTAATATCCAAAATATATAAGGAACTCCTACAACTCAATAGCAAAAAACCAAATAACCCAATTAAAAAACAGGCAAAAGACCTCAATAGACTTTTTTCCAAAGACATACAAATGGCCGCTAATCATCAGGGAAATGCGAAGCAAGACCACAATGAGATAATGCCTCACACTTGTTGGGATGGGTGTTGTCAAGACAACAAAAGATAACGAGTGTTGTCAGGGTATGGAGAAAATGAAACCCTTGTGTACCATTTGTGGACATGTAAATTGGTAAGCCATTATGGAAAACAGCATGGAGATTCCTTAAAAAATTAAAAATAGAACTACCATATGATTCAGCAATTCTATTTTTTGGTATTTATCCAAAGGAAACAAAATCAATATATTGAAAAGATACCTGCATTCCCACATTCATTGCAGCATTATTCACAACAGTCAAGATATAGGAAAAACCTAAATGCCTGTCAATAAATGAACTTATAAAGAAAATGTGGCATACACACACATATATATACACACACATACACACATATATATGCATACACACATATACATAAACATAATGTAATATTCACCTTAAAAAAGAAGGAAATCCTGTTATATGCAACAACTTGGATGAACGTGAAAGACATTATTCTAAGTGAAATAAGTCAAACACAGAAAGGCAATTACTGCATAATCTCATGTATATGTAGAACCTAAAAACATCAAACTCATAGAAACAGAGTAGAAAGGTGGTTATTCAGGAGTCGAGGGAGGGGGAAACAGGGAGATGGTGGTCAAAGGGCACAAACTTTCACTTATAAGATGAACAGCTACTGGGGCCCTAATGTACAGCATGGTGATTAAAGTCAGTAACAATGTAGTATATACTTGAAGTTTGCTAAGAGAGTAGATATTAAGTATTCTCACCACAGGGGAAAAGAAAGACAACTATATAAGGGATGGATATATTAATTAGCTTGATTGTGGTAATCATTTCACAATGCATACATCTACCAAAACCTCACATGTATACTGAAATATATATTATTTTTATAAATTATACATCAATAAAGCTGTAAATAAAAAGAATTTTAAACTTATCTGACCCAAAGTTTGAATCTCTGGCTCAAGCATTTTTATGAGCTAAGTAGGGTCAGGTGCAATCTCATTTACGAATAAGTAACTCAGTTGTCTGAGAGATTGTGCTGTCACAGGGTTTTCATACAGTTCTACTGAGTCAGGCATTCAGACACTGTTGACTGCCTAGCCCAACTGTCATACCGCACTTCTTCCTGGCTAACAAAACTCTGATTTCATTCATGTGGCCACGTGTACAGGCCCAGATAATCAACTGTGGTTGGTGTGAACCAGTCATGACAACCCCATGTCCTTTCATCAGTTATTTACTCAGAGTTGAACAGGTGATCCAGTTCTGACCATTGAGACATATGGAGAAGTTACTGTGGAGTTCTGTAAAAGGAATCTCTGCCCCCATCCCCACCTCCATTAACACAGAGATAAAGGGGAAGAAACTCATTTTGCTTTCTAACCTGCACCCTCACTTCCTACTTTTGAGGTTATTCCATTAGAAAATGATGCTTGGAGCTGCAGCAGCCATTTTGTGACTATGAGGAGAGACACTGCATACAAACTGAGGATGGTAGAGCCAAAGGACCAAAGGAATCACAATCTTTGATGGCACTGTCTAGCTGGAAACCAAACCTGAATCCTCACACCCCTAGATAGCCTAATCCAAAAGCAAATGACCTTAGAGTTTAAGCCATTCATGAGGAGATTTATGTTACTTGCACTACCCTTATTTTAAGGATATACTAAGAAAACTTTCAATGACGGCTAAAACTTTGAAAAATAATTTACTTGTTATTGAGTCAGTATATTCTTCAAGAGCAAGGACATTTGGGTCCTTCGGCTTGTATTCCTAAGTCTTAGATCAGGATCTAGCACGTTGTGGATGTCTAGTAAACATGTGAAGCATACACACATATACTTACATAGACATACAAATTGCAGAGTAAATTTTGGGGTGAATATGAGTACACTCTAAAACGTTTAAAGAAGGGAAACTAGCATTTGTTGATAACCTTATGTAAGACAGCCCTTGTCGTGCTGGATTTCCCAAACCAATGTAGTACCAAGGGCAGGATGGTGTGAGCGGTCTACCCGGGGTGCAGGCACCAAGGGTTGCATTGACTGTAAAGAATTTAAAAACAATACTGAAAAATGGACTGAAAAGTTGCTCTGCTCTTTATTATCACCATGAGCTAGAAATTTTAAACAATGTCTGTGATAAAATGTTTCAACCCAAGAAAAATGTTTTGTTAGTCTAAATTCTAAACAATTGTTGTAGTTATTACTGTTTTAATAATATATAAGTAAGCTTTAAATTAACACTTTCTGTTGTTAGCTATCCTTGAACAAACATTATATTCTACACAGAAGTTAATTCAGAGAACTCCCAGTTATATAGTTGGCCCCCAACAAGCAGAGACCCCGCCATGGGCATTCATGTTGAGACTACATTTGTGACAATTTAAAATAATTTCAGCTCACTTCAGATGTAGTCCACATCCTTAGCACTTGTGATACCACCTATCTCTATAGTTAAATAAGTGACTCTGAATGAACATTGACAGCACAGTGATTGAAAAAGATGAAGAAGCAAAACTGGAGTTATTTCATTTCTGACACTCAATGTGACTATTTAGAGATAATTCACATATAAAAATTAAAACAATAAAGCCCAGTAAAGGAACAAGAGTGTTATGTTGTCTGGTAAGTACAAATTTCAGCTCAGAAATAAAATATTTTTCCAAATTTGAATATTTTCTGATGGGAAGCTTTATATGACATTATTAGGCACCAAAACCACTATTTACCAATAGCCAGAATCAGCCTGATTAAATGTACAGTAAAACACCTGCTTTAAAATGAATGCTTGAAGTTTAGCACATAGATATCATAGAGAAGGCCACTGACTATACAACAAAATGTAAAGAAATAGACTTTTGACATGAGAAAGATATTCAAATTTCTAAGAAAAATGCCAGGAGAAACAACACAATCTGCTGGTCTTACATTGCTAGAAGAAATCAAAAAGACAAAAGGATGTTCAACTGCCTCAATGAGTTTCACAAGGAACTGGACACTTGTTCTAAAGCAATTGATCAAACAACGTTAACATTAGTTATCACACAGTAATTCTCCCTGATCTTTACAGACAATTTTACAAAATGTAACAGCTATTTTTGATAAATTTGCTGGTGAAGGTATTTTATTTTATTTTAATTTTAGAGACACTTGAAAGCTGATAGAATTGATCCCAAAGAAACAAAGATGTGGCCAGTATAACAATTTCTGGAATTTTATCAATCTACCATATCTATCCTTATGTTTGATAGTTATCCTAACTATTTGTGTATCTGTTGATTCTTCCAAAAAATATTTTGAAATTAAAATTAATAAAAACTCAAATTTTGATCAACTATCAGGGACGATAGGTGGACAAGTCTGGCTATGCTGTTCGTTGAACATAAATAGGCAAAGAAAAACAGTTTTGACAGCCATTGAAAATTTGGAGAAGGCACAAAAACAGAACCTGTAATGTTGTTTTGTACATATAAGTGTAAGCTTCTTCCCTTCTTAACAAATACATTAATGTAATTAGAAAGTATGAATCCTTTAACTGTTTCCCTTTTTGGTAATGTCACTTTTTTTTTTCTTTTTTACTGGCATGATTATATATATGTTCACAGAAAAGTCTGACTGTCTGCATTTCTTTTCTTGCCACTGCTATTATTCGTTCATTTCATGATTACTGTGGAGGATCGTTTCGTCACTTAGAGGAGAGAGGTGTTAAAAATGATATGCCTCCATGTGTCAAGCATGCTAGGCACACCACTTTCAGAAGCAGTGTTTTCCAAACGAGAAAACCAAAACTCAGTGAAGTTAGGTGTTTGAGGCCCCAACTTTAAATTTATCATGAAGAGAGTCCTTCATTAGGATTAGATGATTGCCATCCTTAGAGCCTACGGGGCTCACCAACTCAGCTCATGCACAGGGTAAAGTTAACCATAAGTTGTTAGAGGAAACATTGTGGTCAACTGCGCATATATTTGTAAATTTTACTTGACTATCAGTCAACTCCATTCTAAAGCCTTTCTCCCAGACTCCCTGACTTCACCCAAACAGATTTTTCCACTAAAAAGAAAAAATCAACTGTGAAACAGCTTATTTATGTAAGCAAAAACATTATCAAGCCCCCATTTATTGTGACTCATACATGTACAATAAACTTGATTATACTTTTTGGTAATGTTACATTTCTAGTTAAGTTTATTAAAAACAGAACTCTGAGAGATGCAAAGAGAATCACTGTGAAAATCCACAATAAACCCCATACCCCCAGCCTTATTCCCCTAGTAATGTCATTCTTGACGATATACACAGGAAAGGCAAAAGGGGCCCCTTCTCAGTTGTGTTATACTATATTCTGTTTCCATGGGAATACATACTAAGGGGATGAAATCATGAAGTACTCCAGGAGGTGCTAATAACTCAATGGGGCATAATAACCAGCTGAAGATATCTGCATTCACTAAACTATAGCAAAGGGGGATAATGGAAATTTGGGGGAGGGGAAGAAATGAGCACCACAGACATGAGACTAAGCTGATACTAAGGCCATGCCAGGTTTGAAGCTGCAGATCACATGTAATAGTATTTTATAACCGTGGATCACATGTAATACTAAAACATCACCAATTGCAGTTTAATCTGGTCAAGGTCAGTGTTTATCCTCTAAAGGTCCAAGCACCTCTTTTTCTTCAATCTCTCTCCTCTCCCATAAAATTTCAACCCAATAGATTTTTTGATCATTTTTTCTATTACTGTTACTATCCTCCAGTTTATCAAATTTATCTGTCAGCTATTGTGACCATTAAATGCCAAGCAATTTGCAAAGATGATCTCATTTAAATTTCAGAATGTGCTTGTCGTGTAGGAATTACTTTTTTTTTCTATTTTGGTACTGGGGAAATTAAATCAGAGATCAGCACAGCTCAGGAGCATAATGTGGGACTTGAACCCAGGTCCTTCTGGGGCATTCTCCACTAAATTGTACTTCCTCATTGATGGTCCTCCTTATTCATTTGATTCAGACTTGGCAGTTTATAAACATCCTATAAAATAAGACAACTTTCTGCAGGCATAACAGGAATCCCAACTCCGTCTCAAGCTTCCTAGCATAACTAACCAACTAAGAAGGTGCATGAGTCTTCTCTGTGGGTCAAAGGCCTTGATGGTTTTGGCAGGAAAGATAGAAAGTTTAGAATAGGTGTACCAATGAGAAGGTGAAAGAGAAAGGGAGAATACTACAGTGAAGGTATCTGAGAATGTTCCCTGCTGGGACCCACTAACTCATATGTGAGTCTTGCAGAGGAGGGCTGAAGCCCCAGCTGAAGGAGCTCTTTTCATGAAGGACTATGATACGCGGGGTCTAAGCTGTGCTGACCAGGGCATAAATGTAAACCAGAGTGGGAGAAAGGGCACTGTCCCAGCTCTGCACAGAAAATCATATGGCTTTGGTGTCAGTTAGGATCAGTTATCTCCAATCACAAATAGACCCAAAAAAGTCTAATGGGTCAAGAATAGAAGTGCTTCTTCTTGTTGCTTGTTTGCTTTTGATTGTATGTTTTTGGTTTGTGTGCACATATGTGCAGGTGCTCAGAAATAATAGACAATTCTAGTTTGGCAGGGGGCTGTGTTCACAAGATCTAGGCTCATTCCAAGATCTAGGCTCTGTCACCTTCAACACATGGTTTTCAAAGTCACCTCAGGCACTGATGTCAGAAGATGGGAAGAATGCAGAGAATCACACATAAAAGTTCCAATGCACCAGGCCTGGAAATGATGCCCCTCACTCCCACTCACATCTGCTGGTTGGAAATCAGTCACATGACCAAATCTAACTGTGAGGGAGCCTGGGAAATGTAGTCTTGCTAGGTGCTCATGAGAGGAAAAAAAAAAAAAAAGAAAGAAAAAGAAAAAACAGGTTAGTAACTAGCTAACAGACTTCAGGGAATTTAGCCCACTGGCATTAGCAGCTTTGAGAACATCAGATAATTTAAATATCAGCATTCTGAAAGAGGATTCCAGTTCGTGTGGTGGGAAAGCAACCCCTTGCTGTGGCTTCATTGTCAACAAGAAAGGCCCAAGGTAGGGGACATCTACTAATAAGAACCAGAAAGAAAATGGCTGTTTTCTTAAAGTAGCAGAGATGTCTGCTCAGGGCTCACAGAAAAGGAGATTGGGTAACAATTGGGAGAGCAAGAGCCAGAAATACCTAAAATTAAGAAGTGCTTATTTTAAAATATTCAGGCAATAAAGCAAGGAAATAAAAATAATATAAATATTACTAATTTCATGTGGTGATTAAAGTTATTAACATTTTTGTATGTAGCCTGCCAAAACACATTCCTCTCCTTCCCTCTCTTCCCCTCCTCTCCCCTCCTTCTCCTCATGTTCCCTCTCCTCCTCACCTCTCTTTTCCTCTGTCTAGTCTGTAAGTGTAGAACTATATTTTTACTATTAATGACTTTTACTCCTGCATAAAATGATTGAATAGTGAATCCTTCATGACTGGAAACTCAATTGCTCTTTTTCTTCTCTCTTCTCTGTATTCTTTTTACTTATAAATAAAGCATCAATGAATATTCCTGTTCATATATCTTGAGTTACTGATCTAACTATTTGCATAGGAAAAATTCCAAGACAAAATAATTGATGCACCATGCATCATTTGTACCTACACACTTGGGAGCATAACCCTAAGAGCATGCACGTTTAAAATTTTGAAATACATTGCCAAATTTATCTCAAGAAAATTATACCCATTTAACCTTAGCAGTATATGAATGTTTGATCCCCATAGTTATCAATACTAGATAACTTTGCATTTTGTATAGCAAAAAAAGGAACTTGCATTCTTATTTCAATGTGTGTTTCTTTGATTATTAGTATAGTACAGCATCTATTCAAATGCTTTTTGGCCATCTTTTATTTATTGCATTTAAATATCTGGCAGCTCAGTGTTCTTTCCAATTGCTGCCACTTTCCGAATTTTTTTGCTATGTCAATATTTATATTTAGTTGAACTTTAAATAATTTATTTAAAAAATGTTAATTGAGATTGTGTCTAACATACAGATTTACTCAGATAATAACAGCATCACCAGAATAAATATTCACACAAGAACAATGTGGAACTTTTATTTATTCTCTCTTATGATCTTTGATGCAGTTTTATAGTTTTCTCCATGTAAATCCTGAACCTTTATTTTTTCATATTTTTTCTAAATATTTAATACATTAAGCTGTCTTTTGTATTAGAATGTTCTCCATTGTATTTCTTACCTGATCCTTCTTGTTAGAAAAGAGCTTTTCTAATTTTGTATATTCATTGTTTAATCAGCTATCTTATTGATTTCTCTTTTAATATTTAAGAATTTTTAGTTGATTTCTTGGGTTTTTATGAAATTGGAAATTTGACATTTTAAACATGTATATGTCTTATTTTATCTTCTTAGCTATTTGTATCACTTTTCCAAAATAATGTGAAATAACAGTGGCAATAACAGACATACTTGACTTGTGTCTCCTTTTAATGGAAATAACATTGCATATAAATCTGTGTTTTTATGGTATGTGTATGAATGTGTATGCATATATATGTTTATCATATTGAGGAAATAGCATCTTTTAAATAAACTTTTATTTTAAGTTCTAGACTTAATTCTGTTCCTTTTAGACTTTCAATAGGGAAAGACTGATAAAAGTTATTATGTGCCATTTTAACATCAGTCATGCTACTTGCAGGAAGTAATTCCTACAGCTAGGCTTTGCGTTTGACAGGGAGTTTCCAAGCAAAAATGGGAGAATAACTTTGGTTATATTGCATTCATTGCTGGTAACAGGAAAAGAAAAGACAAATCTCTCTTTCATTCTGTCAAGATACATCTCCTGTAATCTCAAGTTTAGCCATATTATGAAAACGTTAGAGTATTTTCAAAAGTAAATGATGACATATAAACTGTTAAGGAGGGCAAAATGACTGCCATGAAACTGACCAGATATCAAGTATTTATGTGGAAAACCTCAAATCTCATCATCCAACGGGTTTATAATGTGAAACCAAAATAAAGATGCCATAGGCAGGTAAGAGCTAGGTGTATGGTTGCTTTTAAAACTGATAGGATCCTTCAGAGGGATGAAAGAGTTGGTCTTTCATGTCTCTTTCACTTCTTTTAAGCCAATATGAGAGTCTACTAGAAGTAGAGGGAGCCAGCAGCCATTGGAAATGTGGCAGGCAAAGAATGCCAGAGCAGAGGAGCAGGTAGTTTTGATTTGAACTAACTGACCTGAAGAACCAACTTGCCCAGTGGGGAATGGGGTCACAGTTGTATTTGCTCCAGCAAGCCTTTCCCTACTTCCTCCTCTACCTCCACTCCTAGTAAAATTAGACTCTTCCTTCCTTCTAAGCCCTATACTATTTAGTCCCTTTGGCACTTTCTACTCTGGTTATCTATATGCCTATTTGTTTCCCAACCAGAAAATAAGACCATTAAAGGAAAAATCCATGTGTTTGTATCACTCCCACACACACACTATAATGCCCAGCACAGGATCCTGTACAGCAGACACTGTACAGTAAACACTCATTGAATGAATAAATGAATGAATGATACGTGCAACCTTAACTCAGGTCCCGTGACAGTATTACTACCGATAACAAGAATAATAATAACAAAAGCTAATTTTTATGAAGTGCCTACTATGCACCAAGATTTAAATATGCATTACATTTTTTGTCCTTACAATGATCCTGGCAGGTAAATAGCATTATTCCCAATAAGAGATGAAAAAATGAGGTTCATTATGTCATTTGACTTGCCAAGGCTCACATAAAAGAGACTAGAGGACCTTTCTGACATCAAAGATCATGCTGTTTCCACTGTGCTAAGTTGTCAAGTGTGGATAAGAATTTCAACCCTTATTACATGATCTGTTTGGTGTTCCTATTTTGTAAGGGTTACTTTGAAGAATTTTAGGAGAAAACAAAAGTGTGGTCAAATGCAAGTGGGATTTCCAATGAGTTTTGAAATTGGAGAAAATGCATTACCAAGCACTAAACAAACACTGAATCTGTTTTATGAGTTAATGGATTAAGTTGGATTTCAGTGGCATTCCTGTATCACACACAGCATACACATGCTCATGCCTTTCTCCAAAGCTTAGGACCAGTTGGTGTTGATCACAGATGCAGCCAAATGGCTGGATTGTTTCAGAAGAATGCTGCACACAGAATTTGTATCTGAGACTGTTGCTTATCCAAAAACATTTATGGAAGAGTTCAGACACCCCAAGCAATTCTCCTGAAGACAGCATAAATAGTTCCCACAATATATTTTCTTTTATTTTAATATAAGGTTTTGAACCCAAGAGCTCTCTCTTTTCCTTTCTATATACAGAATAAGTTGCCATGTAATACACGCTCAATAATCGTTTGTTAAATTAGCAAAATTTAGCACTATGGAGTTTAAACCCATCTATACTGGTTTTTCTGTAAGTATTACCAAATCTGGTGTCATTTAAACAATTCTAAAAGTCTTGTAAGGAAAACTTCAAACTGAGAAGTGTGAGCAAAAACAGAGGAAAACAAACAAATAAAACCCTTGGATACCAGCTCACAAAGAGCCTCATTTGTCATGACCAGAAGGGGGAAAATCACTAGAATAAGCACTTTTAGGAAATTAGACAACTAACTTCAAATGGTGATGAAATCTAAAGCAAGGATGGAAAATCGTTTTCAAGTTGCATTTAATCTTGATCAATCATTAGTAGCTTTCTGGAGCTTCTTGCTGAGAAGGGTCTGAAGCCAGATGCAGGCTTAGGGAAGAAAGAGCCATTCATAGTGTCTTACGGTCATAGTCACATAGTCATAGTCACATAGTCAGTCATTGTCCTGGTTCTCTTGCCATGTATATATTTTATAATCTAGATTTAAAAGGAAAAAAGAAAGATTATGACTTCAAGATATGGTTTGGTCTGCCAGAGTCGTTTATTCAGCCATAAGACTTAGGAAAGATGCCATTTCTTTCTCTAGCCTACAAAATATATTTATTGAGACACTGAATTGTTAGAGATAACTTTTATTGAAAACTAGCATTCTCTAGGACTGTGTACAGGCCAGAAGTAAACATACATGAAAAAAATCAGTCTGATCCTTCTATTAACCAAATAATATGATATATAGGAAGACAACTTTTTAAATCATCCCCTGGCCTCATCCAATACACACTCAACCATTTGTGTTTGCACAGTCACCTAGACAGAAGTGGGACTAGCTAATTCACCAGAGATGACTCCTAGCATGAGGGAGGCCAGCCCATGGAAGACTCTAAAGAAACATGGCACAATTGTGAGAATTCTGAATGCCAAACCACAAACAGTTTACAAAGAAGAATATTGGTCCTGTGGTCCTTTGGTTTTCCCACACTTAAAAGCACCAAGAGTTGGGAATTTCCCTAGAGGAGAAAAAAAGCCTAAAGTCAAATGCTGCCTAATAGCAGTTGAACGTAGTAAAAAAGATGTTTGATTTGAACCTACCTATTTGCATGTTATAAATTCTGCTCCAGATTGTATGTGTATTAAGTTTGAAAACAATGGTAGATGCTTAGTGATTTATGCTTTTTCATTAAAAAATACTATTGGCTAAAACCTGTGCTTTCTCACCTTCTCTGTTACGCATAGTAACAATGAGCCTCTCTATAGAACTTGGTTGCCCTTTTTTACTTTTATTTATTTATTTTTTGAGACAGGGTCTCACTCTGTCACCCAGGCTGGAGTACAGTAGCACAGTCACAGCTCACTGCAGCCTCGACTTCTCAGGCTCATGTGATCCTCCCACCTCTGGTCAACCTTTTTATAGGCACCTTTTGCCCAGTGATAGTTAAAAAAATTGCCTGCAAATGCTCAGAAGAAAACCCCACAAAACCTAGCCTCTAAGTGACACAGAAAATATCAAAATACGATGAATTATATAACACATACCTGTAAGATGACTCTTTAACTGTCTGACCAGTTTGAGAAAATATATCCATTGTCTTAAGATGTAGAATATGAGAGAAGTTCACTAATGAAGAAAAATACTAATCAGAATTGGAATTTAAAGTAGATATCTATGCTTCTTCATCATTGGCTTTCAAAATTTTGCTTATTTGTTGTCCAAGATGTGAAAAAAAAAAGACCCTCACCTCATCTTTTATTCTTTCGTTTTATTTAGGTTATTGCTGGATTTTCTGCCCTTTTCAATAAATTGGGTAAGAGAGAACAAACAAAAAAATGCATCCTAATCTTAACCAACAGCAGTGTTCAATTTGCTAACAGTATCTAAGTTGAAAAGATTTTTATTTTGCTCTATCTGAGATTTCTATTATAAGGTGCTTCAAGTCTGTTTTGACAATGGTCAGAGTATAAATACACAAAAAACAGAAAGGATCATTGTCCGGGCCTTCTAACTCTAATCCCAGAGCTCCACAAGATGGCTGATTTTGCTAGACTATCTTGTATACTCTCGAAAAGAAAGGTGAACATTTTATTGTTAAGCCATTTCAGACAGAGAATAATTTATTCCAGCTACATAAGCATTCAGGAGAAAGTGGACAACCTTTTTTAGCAACATATTCCAGAGCCACAGGGTCACACAGTGCTTCCGCAGAAGGCCCAGTGTAAACATATATCATTTGCTGCCGGTGAAGACCCAGAAGCATCATTCTCTGGTCCTCCCCAGCCCAGGTTTCCCAAACTGTTTACAGCACACACACCATCCCAACCCACTGCCCACACATCATCCCAACCCACTGCACACACACTATCCCAACCCACTGCACACACACCATCCCAACCCACTGCCCACACATCATCCCAACCCACTGCACACACACTATCCCAACCCACTGCACACACCACTCCAACACACTGCACACACACCATCCCAACACGCTGCACAACCACCCCAACACAGTGCACACACACCATCCCAACACGCTGCACACACACCACCCCAACACACTACATACACACCATCCCAACACACTACATAACACCATCCCAACACACTGCATATATACCACCCCAACCCACTGCACACACACCATCACAACACACTGCACACATACCATCCCAACACACTACACACACACCACCCCAACACACTACATAACACCATCCCAACCCACTGCACACACACCATCCCAACACACTGCACACACACCATCCCAACCCACTACATAACACCATCCCAACCCACTGGACACACACTATCCCAACCCACTGCACACACACCATCCCAACACACAGCACACACACCATCCCAACACACTACATAACACCATGCCCAACCCACTGCACACACACCATCCCAACACACAGCACACACACCATCCCAACACACTACATAACACCATCCCAACCCACTGCACACACACCATCCCAACACACAGCACACACACCATCCCAACACACTACATAACACCATCCCAACCCACTGCACACACACCATCCCAACACACAGCACACACACCATCCCAACCCACTTCACACACTCCATTCCAACCCACTTCACACTTGTCATTCCTACCCACTGCACACACACCATCCCAAGCCACTGTATACACACAATTACAACGCTACTCTTCTCCCAAATATTATCTTATGAGTCATGAAAGCAAATTTTCTACTTAAATTCACTCCACCAGCTTTTATATCTCTGGAGTCCTTGATCCTGATGATGATATTATCTAGATAACTCACTGATTTTACTTGATCTTAATGGATGTTTTAATGGAACAGCATAGCTGTAGACCTGTTAGGAGTAGCTCTACTTGCTGTTCTTCAAGTCATAGTTGACTTGTATGATTGCCAACTCTGTCTTTTGGCTTACCTGCCCCTTCCCCTGCAATAGTCTTGCTCTTGTGTTCAACTTCGAGGACTGACTCACCTTTCCTTCATGTCTTCTGTGCCTAGTGAAAGCAATCCCTCATTCCTACTGAAAGTGATCTCTCTCTCCCCTTTGAACTTCAGAGTAATTTACTCTACTCTCCCCTCCCGTTTTTGTTATCAGGTAAGATACTTTTTAGCTAAACGTCTTTGCTTCCCTGAAAGACTCTAAGTTCCTTTAAAGAAGGATTTTTGCTTGATTCATGAGCTGCTAAGAACCCAATAAAAGCTCTATAAATTATAGATATATGAATAACAGGACAGAATTTTAAAATATATTGTTATTAGACATATATATTATTATATTATGGATTGATAACTAGGACTGACAGTCAGTTTTTAGAATTTTTAAAGCAATTAATAATGATTCCCAACCTTCTCTAACACACCATATCCTCTTGTTACTTGATTTTGCAGTAACATCTCTTCCTGATCTGGAAAATGACTAATGGCATGATTTTTAATTTAAAATAATAGAAATTGGGTTTCTACTAAAACATTTCTTTGGATAATTTTATTAATGTGGTTTTGAGAATTACAAGTCATGGTAAGAAAAGCAACACTTACAAGTGTGAACATACCCACACCCATTATTCGTTTCCCAGGGGTGCCATAACACTGCAGGGCACACTGGGTTAGGATATGTATGCCAATTTAACTAGAGATAGATAAGCAATGGCTACAATTTGATAGTGGGAAGATGGAAAGTGATAGTTAATTGTCTGCTGAATGCTCAGAAGAAAAGCCTAGAAAACCTAGCCTCTAAGTGATACAGAAAATATTAAAATATAATAAATTATATAACACATGCCTATAAGATGACTCTTTAACTGTTAAAGCGTCAGACAGTTAAAGAGGGCATGCTTGCTCCAAAGCCTCTAGGAAGAATTCTGCCTAGTATCTTCCAGCTTCTAGTAGCCCCAGTCATTCCCAGACTTGTGACAGAGGCTGTCTATGCCTGCCTTCACATGGCTGTCTTTCCTCAGCATGTCTGCATGCTCAAATTTTCCTAATTTTATAAGAATACCAGTCCTTGGGTTAGGGCCCACCCTAATCTCATATGAACTCATTTTAATGGGATTATATCTGCAAAGATCCTATTTCTAAACAAGGTCACATTCATAGGTACTGGGGGCATTAGGATTTGAAGAGGTTTTTATTGTTGTTTTGTTTTGTTTCAGTTTTTTGAGGACCCAATTCAGTCCATAATATAGGCCATACTTAAGATTATTGCCAAATGTAAAAAATAATAGATGTTTTTAGGTTTCAAGGATGAACCATGCATAGATGACTTCAAAATGAAGTTTATAATAAGATGCATAAAGAAACATTAAGTAGCAAAGGAAGTTTTCCTAGTAACTCTGTGATCACTTCAGGTTCCTAGGATTAAAAACTGGATGTATGGTGGACTCAGTAGAGATTCAGGGCAAATGATTAATGTTGGGCAGAGAACAAATCAAGTTTAACTGGCCTGCTATATCTTTACTTACTCAACATTTAGACTTTCACAATGAAAAGGTTTACTGTGCCTTTTTTCACCACCCAATATGGAGCAGTGGTAATGGGTTGGATTCAATTTAAATTCTCTGAATAGCATGAGTTGGCTTTCCATCTTCCCACTATCAAGTTCTAGCCATTGCTTATCCATCTATCTCTAATCAAATTGGCATATTCTATTTTCAGTTAATAAAGGCTTTTTAACATCAGAAATCAAAGATGAATGTTATCTTTCTCTGACTTAGGGGAAATCACAGAAATGCCCATATATCATTTTCTCCTCTTTGGTTCAATGATTGACATGTTGTTAGGCCGATGCCATGATGTCCAAGAGATGTTTAGTCAAGTTAGTTTCAATGACTCAGTGACGTTATCCAAGTAAATTCTCACCGGTTCCATCTATCAGTTACTCCACGGGCTTTTCCACCTGCACCTTACATGTGAACTCTCCCTAGCCACCCAAATACCACACTCTTTCCTGCCTACCTCCCAACCATTTTTCTAATATAAAATTATTCTTACATTCCTTTCAAAAACTCAAATTGGACATTATGTATGGTTCCTTTAATATTCTGCTGGATTTATTTTCCTAGTGTTTTGTGTATGGAAAATTTTTAAAATTTTATTTATACGTGAGATAGGTTGAATTCTTTGGTGTCTGTTATTTTTGTCTAGGTTTCAATATTATAATTATGCTATTTTATAAAGTTGAGTTTTATATCTCTTAGGTTTTGAGGCATGTTTTCTGGTATTTGTTTTTTAAAAGTTTAAAGTCCTTTGGGTAAATACAAAGGAGCACAATTGCTAGGTCATATATAAGAATATGCTTAGTTTTATAAGAAACCACCAAACTGTCTTCAAAAGTGGCTGTGCCATTTTGCATTCTCATCTGCAATGAATAAGAGTTCTGGTATCTTCACCTTCTAGCATTTGGCATTGTCCGTGTTCTGGATTTGGGCCATCCTAATAGGTGTGAAGTGGTATTTCATTGTTGTTTTAAGTTGCATTTCCTTGATGACATGAGATAGATCATCTTTTAATATGCTAACTTCCCATTTGTATATCTTTTTTTTTTTTTTGGTGAGATATGTGTTTAGGTCTTTGGCCCATTTTTTAATTTGGTTGTTTTCTATTGCTGAGTTTTGAGAATTCTGTTTATATTTTAAATAATAGTCCTTTATCAGATATGTTTTTTGCAAACATTTTCTCCCAGTCTGTTGCTTCTTTATTTTCTTGACAATGTCTTTCACAGAGAAGAAATTTTTAGATTTTAATAAATCCAGTTTATTAACTGTTTCTTTCATTCATTGTGCCTTTGCTGTCATACCTAAAAAGTCATCCCCATATTCAAGGTCATCTCAATTTTTTCCCATTTTGCCTTCTAGAGGTTTCATAGTTCTGCATTTTACATTTAAGTCTGTGATCTATTTTGAGTTAATTTTTCTGAAGGGTGCAAATTCTGTGTCCAGATTTTTTTTAATGTGAATATCTAGTTGTCCTAGCACCCACTTGTTAAAAAGACTATCTTTTCTCCATTGTATTTATTGCTTTTGCTTTTTGTCAAAATCCAATGAACTATATTTGTGTGGATTTATTTCTGGTCTCTGGTCTCTATTCTGTTCCACTGATCTGTTTGTTTGTTCTTTCAACAATATCACGCATTCCTGATTACCGTAGCTTTATGGTAAGTTTTGAAGTCAAGTAGGGTCAGTCCTACAACTTTGTTCTTCTCCTTCAGTACTGTGTTGGCTATCCTAGGTGTTTTTTAAAATCTTCATATAAACTTTAGAATCAGTTTGTCAACATCCATAAGATAACTTGCTGAGATTTTAATTTGGATTGCATTCAATCTATAGATTAAGTTGGAAAAAACTGACATCTTGACAATATTAAGTCTTCTTATCCATGAACATTGAATATCTCTCCATCTATTTACTCAAAGGAGTTAAAAATGTATGTCTATATAAAAACCTGCACACGGAAGTTTTATGGCACCTTTATTCATAATTGTCAAAACTTGGAAGCAGCCAAGATGTTCTTCAGTAGGTAAATGGATACATAAACTGTAGTACATCCAGACAATGAAGTATTACTCAGCACTAAAAAGAAATGAACTATCAATTCATGAAAAGACATGGAGGAAACTTAAATGCATATTTCTAGGTGAATGAAGTCAGTCTGAAAAGTCTATATACTGTATAATTTCAAGGACATGACATTCTGGAAAAGGCATAGTAAAAAGATCAGTTACTGCTAGGTGTTGGGAGGGAGAAAGAAATGAACAATTAGAGCACAGTGAATAAGGAAATAAAACTACTTTGTATGATACTATAATGTGGATACATGTCATTATAAATGTGTACAAACCCAGAGAACATACAACACCAAAAGTGACCCCTAATGTAAACTATGAATTTGGAGTAATGAGGATATATCAATATAGGTTCATCAAATGTACCACTCTGGTGAGGGATATTGATAATAGAGGAAGCTATGCATGTGTTGGAGCAGGGGATCTATGAGAAATCTCTGTGCCTTCTGTTCAGTTTTGAGGTGAACCTAAAATCGGTTTTTTAAAAAGCCTATTAAGAAACAAATCACAAGCAAAAATATGTAAGTAAAAAAATTATTTAAGTTTAAAATTTGTAAAAATGTTTAGATGAATAGTATTCTTATGTTTACTAATTTGATCACTTTTTTTCCTGGCTATTGATCTATTTTTCCACTTCTCCTTGAGTTTGTTTTTTCCAATTATTCTTCTCTCTACTTTTACTCTATTTTGTGTTGCT
Organism: Homo sapiens; assembly: GCF_000001405.40. Lineage (NCBI taxonomy): Eukaryota > Metazoa > Chordata > Mammalia > Primates > Hominidae > Homo > Homo sapiens. The sequence continues at coordinate 108,252,959 of NC_000009.12, forward strand.
ATCACAATTCTTGCTTTTCTTTTAATTGCCCTTTCCTGTTATATCCTGCCCATCCTTTTATTTTTATCATTCTGCATTATATGGTTTAGACGTATCTCTTTTAGATAAGATATACTTGAATTAGGGGGTGGAGTCTAATCTGAAAGTCTTTGTTTCTTAAAGAGAGAATCTTGGCTCTTTTATGTTTATGCTTGTAAAATACATTAGTTCTCACTTGATAATTTTTCAAGAGTTTGTGATTTAAATGTTTATTTGCTTCATTAAAAATCTGTCTTTATATGAATTATGTTTTCACTGGTAATTTTTTCCCTGGTGATTAGAAAGGTAGAAAATGGACTACTTATTCTGTATCTTAATGACTGAGTAGGCAGATTCAGTCAGCCCTGCTCTGTGAACTCAGCACTTTGTTTGCTTGCTTGTTTGTTTCACAAATAATATCAAAACCCAGCAAAGCTAAATAGTCTAAAGTTTCATGACTAGTTAGTAAAGTTGATACCAAAACCTAGTACTCCTAGCTTCAGAACAGTGCTTTCTACTGCCTCAGTGTGTGCCAAATTTTGCCCTATTCCATGTGGATGAGCTTTTTCCACCTCAACAATCTACACCTGAATGTTCATATTTCCTTCTCTTGAAAGAAGCATTTTCCTCACCATATCTATGTTCTCTACAATCTTAGCAGGGCATTATTGAGGCTGTACACCCACAGAAGAACTCAGAATAATGTATCAGTTGGAGTTGTAATCCAGTGAATTATCAATAAGGTCATTATCTTTTCAAAATCTTTTTCATTTCAACTTAATACTGGAATTGGTAAAAGGAGATTTAGGCATCATTTTTGACATTAAGGAGCTCACTCCTCCTTCAAGTAGGCAGATGAATGACTACGTAACTATAATATATAGCAGACTCTAAAAAGCATTACAATTTGGAAAACATATTTGACATAATAAAGATGACATTCTGTGAAGTTTACATGTAATTTTCTCCCATAAGCAGTATAATTTAAAAAACATCTTTGACGTAATAAATATGGCATGCAGTGAAGTTTATATGTAATTCCCTCCCATCATCTCTCTTTGAAGAAAATGTGTATTTCAAAATACTTTTAATAGAGATCAATTTACTCATCAGACTTATTATGGGGTTGGTCTTTTCACTGAAGAAGAACAAGTACCTCTGTACAAAAGCACACACACAGGCACATACTCATACATTAAGAGAGCAAGGTTTTGTATTTTATCCATAGGGTGGTTCACTTGCTAAAGGAAAGAAAGAAGAAAGGAAAGGAGGGAAAACTTTTTGTGTATGGGGTGTATATGTGTGTGTGTGTGTGTGTGTGTGTGTGTGTGTGTTTAAGAGTTGGGATCTCACTTTATCACTCAGACTGGAGTGCGGTGCAATCATGGCTCACTGCAGCCTCCAACTCCTAGTCTTAAGCAATCCTCCTGCCTCACTCTCCCAAAACACTGGGATTACAGGCATGAGCCACCACTCCCAGCCTAAGAAATCTTCTTTTTAAATAAGAATGAAGAAATATGACTCATGAAAAAAAAGAGCAGAACTCATCCAATCGTTTTCAGTCTGTGTAGTCTCTGAATGGAACTATTTTGAGTTTGGATTTTCTCACTTGTAACACTGTGATCACATTACCTTCCTGATAGGGTTTTGTGGATTTAAATTAAATAAGACAGCAACTAGAAGCTGCTGGCACAGGGAAAACCCTCAATAAATAGTATAATTGATTGTGACTCACATTAATTGAGCATCTGCTTTGTGGGAGCTGCCTGTCATCTCATTTAGTGTCTCTGCAGCATTAGCTGATTAATTCATCTCACTGGAAATCTGGTTGCAGAAACTCCCTGATGTCACAGACACAAACGTAAAAACCAATCAATAATTTAAATTTTTACCTTTCGACAAGCTCTTTTGATGGCACTGACACCTTCCTTTTTCACGTGTCTCCAGACACTTACATTTTCTGAAATTAACTCACATTGCCTTATATACAACATAAATAAAACTGCAAAAAATCAATCCATCCTATATTTCAAAGGTGATTCCATAAATAACATAGAAAGTTATGGTCTTGTCTTGAAGGAAATTCCATATATCAGAGAGATCTTTTAAAAAGTGAATAATTTACGGTTAAAATAGGTCTTGAGTCACATTTTGAAAGCATATCCACAGCCTAATTATCACAGTAATCTGGAGAAGATCCAGATTCGTGCTTAGAAGTGTCTTCCAAAAGGTTTCTGAAAACTGCTTTATTAATGATGCCGCACAAATGCAAAGCATTATCCTAACTGTTAAGTCACAGCCTTACTTTGTAGATGTTCTATTGTCCTTTCTACAGGAGGCAAATTAATCACTCTTTTTTCCTCCTCAAACATATTTTTCCCATGTGTTCTCTCTTGCTGCCATGCTAAGAATTTTATGAGAAAGCTGAATAAATACTCTAGGTCATTATAATTTTACTTAAATAATACATTTTCATTTTTAGAATAATATATGATCATTTACTATAAGCTGGGCTTTATGCTAATGACTTGTATTTATTTACTTGAATTTGCAGTGTGCTATTACATATATTTTCTCGTTTAATCCCCACAGCACCTCTATGTAGTAGGTAATGCTTTTATCATCATATTCCAGGAAAAGATCTACAACCTAGAGAATTGAAGTCACTTACCCAAGTTCTTATGATGATGAAGCCACAACTCAACCCCAAGTAGTCAGATAGCAGAAGCCATGCTTTTAACCCCAGTTCTGTATTGTTCCCTGGCTATCCATAATATATGAAGGGAAAAAAGCAAATTTCAAAACAGCAGATATAGAAGGATCTCTATTATGACATATTTCCTTGGTGTGTGTTTATAGATATATGATACGTAACGTATCATATATGTGTATGTATACATGCATATGTTTTTATGTAATGTAAACAGCAAATATAGTGAGAGTTATTATGTAGCACTTTCTATATACTACGTATTTCCTATGCACTAGATATTTCATATCCATTTTCTCATTTATTTCTCAAAGTAACTCATTATGATAGGTATGAGAAACACAGAAGAGTAAAAAAATTTAACAAGTTCATAGAGGAGCAAGTGGTTAAGATAAGAGTCAACCAGATAATTTTATTTATAATATATATTTATAAATACGTTTACTTTGCTAAGTGTATTATATATATGTGTGTGTATATATATATATATATACACACACACACACACACACATATATGTATATATGCGCTTTTTGAAGTTTTTTTTTTTTTGGAGACAGAGTCCCACTCTGTCACTGAGGCTGGAGTACAGTGGTACGATCTCTGCTCACTGCAACCCCCACCTCCCGGGTTCAAACAATTCTTGTGCCTCAGTCACCCAAGTAGCTGGGACTACAGGTGCCCACTACCACACCTGGCTAATTTTAGTATTTTTAGTAGAGACAGGGTTTCGCCATGTTGGCCAGGCTGGTCTCGAACTCCTGACCTCAAGTTATCCATCTGCCTCGATCTCCCAAAGTGCTGGGATTACAGGTGTGAGCCACCACGCTGGGCCGAAGATTTCTTTTTTAATTAAAAAATGTGTATGGTGAAACCCCGTCTCTACTAAAAATATAAAAATTAGCCAGACGTGGTTAATGTGCCTGAAATCCCAGCTACTTGGGAGGCTGAGCCATGAGAATCGCCTGAACCCAGGAGGTGGAGGTTGCAGTGAGCTGAGATTGTGCCACTGCACTCCAGCCTGGGCGACAGAGTTAGATTCTGTCTCCAAAAACAACCAACCAAACAAACAAAAAAGAAAGAAATATTCAACTAATGTCACTTGAGATATCCTTTCCCATTACAAAATGAACTCTTAAAAATAGTCTCAATATGGGACCTCCACTGGCTAAGATGACCTTCCCTAAGTCATGGAGGAACTGGCACTGCTCATGATAGCCTTGGGACTCTCCTTTGTCTTTTCTTCTGTGGTTGCTTTGGTTGACCAGATCCCCATCAGATTGGCATGTTCATATTTTAGAGGTGGTGATATCTTCAGTTATATCACTGTCTTGCTAGCCTAAAAGACAGTTTGTCTCTTTCTGGTGACCATTCCTCTATTTCAGGGGTCAGCAAACTAGAGCTTTGTTTCATTGTTTCGTTTGTACAGCCCATGAACTCATAATGGTGTTTACTTTTTAAAATGGTTGCAAAAAACAACCGAAGAATAATATGTTATGGCGTTTGAAAGTTATATAAAATTCAAATTTCAATATTCATAAATAATAGTTGGAACATAGCCATGCCCATAATGGTGCCATTTTAATAGGAAAAAAAATTGTCATAGACATCTGGATAAATATTCCACTGAGAGGACACTATGACAGAGCAGCAAGGTCCGTGGGTGAGACATCAGAGGCTAATTGTGAGTTACAGCTGCCACCTCCGACCCTGAGACATCGAGTGTGTTATTTAAATTATCTAATTCTCATTTCCTCATCTATAATAACTAACTTGTAAGTTATTCAGAGACTCAAACTGTAATGATGTAGGTATTTATACTGTTCATATGTAAGTCATTAGCGGCACACTTCTAATTCAGAAGACAAGCCATTACATAAGCAGAGTCAGCCAGGGCCTGGAAACATGTTAACATTCAAAAACTCAGCCTAGGCAGTCTCAGGCTAATAAGCACTAACTTGTCTGTCTCTTAGTGGAGTGCAAATATTTACGTTTAAGCAGGGAGCAACTTCCTGCTCATTTTGGTTAAAGGGTAGACCCAGTTTTTAGACAATGAATTGGGGGGCGGGTTTATCCTTTAAGAAAAAGAACACTAAATTATGACTACAATGTAAATTATAAAAGTGAGGATTTGGAATGAGAAAGAAAATCACAACAAATCGCAAATCTCTTTCTTCAAAAATATTACAAAATCACATGACCACATGAAAGGGGCTTGAGCAAGTGAGCTGCTCTGAAGCTTCAGCTTTGGCAACTTTGGAGTAAATCCTTTTCTGCTGTTGTCCACTCCAGTGTCAAAAAAAAAAAAAAAATCCACAGGTCTCATAAACATCACAATTACTCCCACCTCATTGCATATAAAATAACTTCCCTATTTGCAAAATTGAGGTGCTAAATATACTACTAACAAATGTTACAAATAAATGTCAGATGGATTCCGTGGCTTGCTTGGCATTAAACATTCCTGCTACAAATTTGTTTCAGTCCTGCATTAACAAAAATCTGACAGGTATGAGAATTCATTCTAAATTCCAAACAGAGCCATGAGGAAAAGAAAATGTTTATTCCTTATCAAGAGAAAGTTAACTGTGGAAATCTGGGAAGCATAACTGAAATGAATAGATAATAGGTCAATTTTTTTATAATGAAATTCGTGAAGTGAATGTCTCCAACATAGGATCCTGTACAACATTGTTTCAGATCAAAGGCCCCATTTTCCAGCAAAGGGAGTACGGCAGTGGGCACCAAGGGAATCCACTGTTTCTTTCACAATCCATCTCACCCTCACCCCACCAGTCTGACAGAATGAATGGCAGAATGGCCTCTTGAAGATGCAGCATAGTGCCATCTCGGAGAGGGGACCTTGCTAGGATGGGGCACCATCCTCCAGGAGGTGGTCTATACTCTAAGTCAATAATCTTTATGCAGTAATAACTCCTCCACAGGTAGAATACATGGGTCTAGGAGCCAAGGGGTGGAAGCAGAGTAGATACAATTATCATGATCCCCAGTGACCCAGTTGGGGATTTATGCTTCTCATCCCTGAAGTCCTAGGCTCTGCAGATCTAGAAAATCCTGCTCCTTCACAGACAGTAAATACTCCCACTGGAGAACACAATGAGAGTCTGTTTCATTGAACTTTTAAGCTCTGGCTGTAACTGGCCACTTCCGGTTCCCATACCAAGAGAACAGTAGATGAAGAAAGTCATCACACTTGTAGGAGTAATTCACATTGGCCTTCAGCAGAAAGAGACTGTTAAGAAGTCAGCTGCCAAGCTGTCAGTTCTTGGATGATTTTTTTTTCTATTTGTTTTTAAGATATTTTCTTCATCTTGGTTATTCCGAAATTTCAGAAGTGGATTTTTTTTATTAATCTTGATATTTATTGAATCTACTGAGACTTGTGTTTTTCGCCAATTTTGCAAAGTTCTCATCTATTATCTCTTCAAATCTTGCTTTCCTTCTATTTTCTCACTGTAGAACCCCAACTAAACAATCCATTGGAAAATACTGACCAGGGGCACATTAAACTAAATTTTTTACTTTGGGGCTTTTGGTCCAAAGTGGTAGAGTGAATTCCAGCACCAATATGGACATAGGTAGGTTTGTGGTTGGAAATTCTCAAAGGAGACATATTACCATCCCTTTCACACCTGCCTGGCCACTCCACCAAGAATCAAGCTAAAACGGTCCCTCTGTGGAGCAACTTTTATTTTAGGTCACACATTTTGGGCATCTTAGGGAATTCTTTTTTTTTTTTTTTCTTTGCAATAATTCCTATTGTCACATCTCACTGTGCTCAAGCCCTGGACTTTGTCTCCTATGCTCTGCCTTCCTGGCCCATTAAAACTAAGAATCTAAGATCTTCACATTTCATCAGGCAATCTGAACTTGTTTATACTTCTGGAATCATACTTTCTTGTGTTTTTTTTTTCTTCTCCCAGTGTTTTTCATACTTTACCATGCGCTCAGTCATGCTTTGACACAGCTACTTGATCTATCTTTGTGTTTCCTGCACTGGGAATGTTTCTCTGCATAAATGCTCTGCCATGTTGTTGCAAACAGATGTCAATAATTCCTCATTTGCATCATTTCTGAAATTCCCAACTAATCTTTTTTTGATATTCATAAAACCATAAGGTTTTACCTCTACAACTGTCCAACTCTACAAATGAGAGAAGTTATTTCACCTGTCCTTCCCTCAGCTCCCTTGTCCATAAAGGGAAGAAAAGATGATCCTATTTCACAGCCCATTGTGAGAACTAAATGACCTAATGTCCATACCGGTACACACAAGGGTCATAATTTTATGACTGAACCTGAGCTAGGATTTTAGAGTAGAAGGAATACTTTGTGTCTGCCCAAGGCCTCTTGGCCAGCTCCCCTCCTCTAGCCATCACAGACACACTGGGCAGGACCCACTGCATGGTGGACTCTGACTCATTCACTAGAATGACACTGAGGTTGTTACCAGGGCATATGGAGCTAAGACCTCAGCAGGCCACTTCTGGCAGAGGCTTTAATTTTCTCAATGGCAATAAAGTGAGGGCATTACAAGGCATTTGGTAAATGTTTATGGTCTTCGCAAGTTTTTTCCAAAAGTTGTTATGAGATTCAATTTTATCTTATTATCCTTTTTTCCTCTCTATTAAAAAAGCTACAGTTGCACACATTCCTTGTATATCATTGGAACTGCTAAAGTTTCACTCTCATGTTGTGGCTTGTTCATGCCGAAATGACCGTGCTGTTCTTTTCAAATCAGGACAAACTATTCCCATATCAAGAGCCTTTTTGGAGTGACTAATGATCACATTGCCTCATCTTGACTTAGTTCAAATATAGACGAATGGTAAGTACATGCAAGGGCTTCTCATTCCCTAAGACCCAGCTTAAAAGTCAACTTCTTTTTGAGAGTTTCCCTGACCTTCCCCTACCACCCCAGTGTCAGTCACTTTCTCCCCTGTGCTTCCTCAGCACTGCATGCCAACATCACCTTAAAAGATCTTACCACTGGCTTGGTGTCCTGTCACTATTTGTTCACAAGTTATAGGAGATGGTAAGTCTCTCAAGAGGAAAGAGACTATTCCTCCTGGTAACTTCAGCACCTAACATAGTACCTGCCATATAGTAGGTGCTCAATAATATTTATTGAATCAATACAACAAGAAGCATTTTAAGTTATTTTACATGTGAATAATTACATGATATTTACTGTGTGAACAATTACATGATATTTACCACTTAAATGAAACTAAGATTTTTAAAATGTCAAAGCATAATTATCAAATCCTAGTTAAGGGATGGTCCTTTATAACACGTACATGGAGGGCTTTTAGATATAGTATTTCCTGAACTTCATTTGGTTTTATTTGGGTGGCTAAACCGTGGGGTGTTTTTTAAAATGAGGAGCTGATATCACAGAGTCTACAAATATAAGAGCTGAGAAGGGGACTTTGAAATTATGCAATTTAACAATCTCTTTTTCTTTTCCTTGCTTTATTTTCTTCAGAGTACATATCATGAATTCAAATGATTAATTTTAATGTTTTCAGGCCCCTTTCTGGCTCACGTGTTAGATTATAACCTCAAGCACTGCACTCCAGCCTGGGAGATACAGCAAGACCCTCTCTCCAAAAAAAAAAAAGATTATAACCGCCAGTAAAGCTGGACCCTTGCTGTCATGTTCACTGTTATGTTTCCAACTCCTAAAATAATGCTGGAGGCATAGAAACTTTTTAAGAAATATATATTAGATGGATGACTAGATGAGTGGATGGATAGATGGATGGATGGATGGATGGACAGATGATGAATAAATAAATAAAAACATAAATAAATGACATGTGCAGATGTGGAAAAGGGTTTGCAGGACTTAGAAAGTCTTCTGAGGCCCTGTACAGCAGTTATACTGCAGAACACTACCCTATCCTTACGTGAAATAGTTCAAGTTCCTCAAATTGAATCTCAAATTTCTCTATTTTATTCCTTTTTTGGAATTTCTGCTGCCACTACCATATTTCAGGGTACTTGCAATGTGTTTCCATTCCTTAGACATTTTAATAAGATGTCAGTGCAGGATGGTATCAGCCAAGCATCTGAGGAGTAAGTGGTCAGGAACAAGATATAGTAGGTACCTTCTGCAGATGTTCCCAACCATAAAGAAAGTAAAGGAGCACTCATCTACCCATTAATTCAACAAATATTGAGTGAATACCTACTATGGGCCAAGTAAAAATCCTAGGTACTTGGTTACTTTAGTAAACAAACAAACACAACAATTCCTTTCTTGGTGGAGCTTAAATTCTGTTGGGTGGAGGTCCGGGGAGCAGGGGAAATAAGTAAAAATAATAAGTACTATGAGTAAATTAGATAGTTCAGCTAGACAGTGATAGACGAAAAAAATAGAAAAAAATAGAGCAATGCAAAGTGATTGAGGGTTCCGGGAAATACCATAACTTATATTACAGAAACACTGTGATGCCTACAGAGTCAGTTGCATAATGGGGGCTCCCACACAAACATTTAATATGTTAGTTTCTTTAGGAACTAATTTGAATACCATATTTACCAAAATAAATAAAGCCATGGGTTCTGCTTCTACTCCTACGAATATCACCTATCCCTTCAACGGTGCTAAAGTAGACTTACTTTTACATATACTTGGCTTTTTCTGTTTCTGCTCATCCAGTTGCCTGGTCTTTCCCTACTTAGAGATTAATTAGATGAAGAAGGTATGTTTTTGAAAAACTGCCTTTCATTTCAGGTTGGATAAGAACAGCTCGAGACACCGGACCATCTGGACTGAGATTCAGGAGTCCAGGGGACCCTGGTCCAACTCTATACCCAGCTCTCGTGTGACCTTGTTCAAGTCACTTTGCTTCTTGGGTACCTGGTTGCCCTATTTGTACTGTAAGGGAGTTAGATAAAATGATTTTGTACACTTTCTGAGTTGCAGCTCAGGTGCTCCAAGATTCTACAAATTGCATGTGGAGGAGAATGCAGAGAGGAGATATCTATCCTGAACTCTTGCAGTGACATACCAATTCTTTAAATAATTACAGCTTTAAGCAGAGAAGTGTTCTTGACATTTTTATAAGCATTCTCACTTTATTATTTTGAAACTTCAGCAAGATTTCTAAGTGGTAATGCAAATAGTCTTTGACTAATACTAGGGAACATTCTTTGAGCTTCCCGCTAACCATCTATAACTATAATTGTCTCTTCAAAGAAAATTTGCTTCTTAATTACAAGATCATGCACTAAAAAATAAAATGGAATGTAGCATGTGGACTGAGTAAGAGATGTGTGCGTGGGTGTGTGTGTGTGTGCGTGCGCGCATGTGTGCGCCTGCGCGCATGCTATGGGGTGTGTGTGTGTGTTCATGTGTGTGTCGTATTTGTCTAATTTTAAGAAAATTTGTCAGAAGCCATTTAAAATTCTCACCAAGATTATATGACCAGAATTATACTTTAAAAGTTTAATGAAAATTCAGACTTAAGATAACCTGGCAAGATCAATTTCCAAAAGCTACCTTTGCATTGATGCATTTTCAAAAAACTGCTTTTAGAATTCCAAACTTGCCTCTCCACAGTGGTTGCTCAAGTGTTTCTTTTCCTAGGAAGGGAATGGGAAGGAGCATGGTGGCCCCTTGAGGAGGGTCACTTTCGGGTAAGGGATATCATCTGGTTTCAGTGTTTTAGCCATGAGCAAATTAGAGGAAGCCATTGCATCACAAGTACCCCAAAGTGTTTATTGGAAAATGACTGTAGGCAAATTTTGAACATTCTTTTGAAAAACAGCCCCTTCATAAAATAAAAGGAGGGTGGCGACTTAAAATGAGCCACTTCCTGTTCCTGGCCTCAATTTCCTCAACTGTAGTGGTAGGGTAGGTGATGTTATGAGAAACCAGCAGGGCTTAATCTGAATGCTAATAAAATATGGGGGCAACTTCCCACACCAGGAAAATTAAAGTAGACCATGGAGATGAAAGTAGGTATCCTGAGGCCAGTAGGATTCATGGTCCAGGGTGAGAAGAGGGATGTCCCCCACCAGGAGGAAAGGATTGACATGCTGAAGACTTAGATACCTGGATGGGTTCATAGTGAGTGGGGAAGACATTTGCTGCAGCTGTAGAGAATAGCTCCAGCTGCCTTCTGGACAGGTACCACAGGAGAGGAAGTGCTAATGCTAGGTCCTTCCACCGAAGGGCTGAACTCACTCTTTGGCCCAAGAGACCTACCTACTCTCATTTACTGAGCCCCAACCTCCAGAGCCCCAATAACAGAGAAAAGCCCAATTGCAGAAAACTTCTAGATCCCCAACTCACCATTTTCCAAAATCAGGAAGAGACAGACATTGAGACTGGGTGGGAGTTTGGTGGTTGTTGCCTAACTCGCTTTGCCATTCCTTGAGATTTGGGAAATAAACACTGCATCAGAGTTTCTAGGGTGAGTGAGGACAGTGCGAAGTTAACAGGGATTTCCCTTCCGGGGTCCCCTTCCATTCATTCCTATTCTGCTAAGGCCTTGCTTAAATAGATCCCATAGGACTGGCTCAGCCTCTGCTGTTCCTCCCTCTTGGTTCTGTCTCCTTAGTAACAGCAGGGAGGGAAGGCTCTTTTGGTGTCCAGGGCTCCAGGATAGCCAAGGAGCAGAGGCAGGGCTGAGGAATAATACATAGTTCCCCTATGGTGGATGGCAGGCTTAGATGCCCACACCCTTCGCTGCAGGTCAAGTTTCTCCATCTCTGCGGGTGGCCTCAGAGCCCCCTCCATGGGGAGCTAGGCATGTTTCCTATGTTCACACCAGGAAAGCCTAGCAGTGAATGCTCCAGAACAAGAGGAAGTGGGCTCCGCTAGAGCTACAGTCTTCCGTTTCTGGTCTTTCCTTCAGGTTTGGGGTGTTGCAACCAGCCTCAAGGCAGGAATATTCATAAAAATACTATCAGTTTTTCCGAGTGGTCCTGGAAAAGGAACCACACTAACTTGACCAGATGAAGACAACTTCTGGTTTTGGCCTGTGTCAAAGTGGTTTTCCAAATTTCACCTGAAATTTCAGGTTGCCTATTTTCCCAACTTCAAATTTCCTCTTAAAAGATAACTTTCCTGGCTGGGCACGGTGGCTCACACCTGTAATCCCAGCACTCTGGGAGGCCGAAGTGGGTGGATCACCTGAGCTCAGGAGTTCGAGACCAGCCTGGCCAACATGGTGAAACCCCATCTCCACTAAGAATACAAAAATTACCCTGGTGTGGTGGTGCACGCCTGTAGTCCCAGCTACTCAGGAGACCGAAGCAGGAGGATCTCTTTAACCCGGGAAGTGAAGGTTGCAGGGAGCCAAGATCGTACCACTGCACTCCAGCCTGAGTGACAGAGCAAGACTCAATCTCAAAAAAAAAAAAAAGACAACTTTCCTATGCTTCAGATGACAGACACCCTCCCTATAAGTGGCTGTAAAGCCTATAGCAGCCAGAGATTTGGAATATCTGTTTTGATTAAATTGAGAATGGGGTAACCCAGCCCAATGAATCATGCTTAAAATGTATTTTATATTAGATCTGCGAAAGTAATTGCATTGTAAATGTCTGTTGAACAATCTTGTAGCTAGTAATAGGCTTATGTAAGAAATGGTAATTAAGTGAATTGATTTTGTTGCTTCCCAAGTCTTCCCACAGCCTACAAGGTCTTACTTGAGGTAGCTCACTGATTCCATCTACTAGTGGTCTTCCCTCCCTTGTTCTGCCCAGCCACAGGCTTCTTGCTTTTCCTTCACCATCAGGCAGCATAATCGGGTTTCAGAGCCCTGTACCTTCACAGCCTGTGAAAGTTCCTCCATATTGCTTTATTTAAAAAGAATTTTTAGTTCCTATGTCATAGTTGGCCATATTTCTCCATAATGCTTTATCTTTGAGAGTTTTTCCAACCTAGTCCTGCATGGCCATTCAAATCTCCATGATCACGTGAGTAAAGCCCCCATCCATAGCCTTCCTGGGAGCAAGACACATACACAGATTTCTCCATTGGATCTTTCTTTGGGTTTAATTATCTGTCAAACAACAGAAACTTAAGGGAACTTGGGAGAGCCTACCCTCAGTCCAACATTTAAAATATTATTTCAACGTTCATTCCTGTTTTCGTTATTTCATTTTGTTATTCTCAAAAGAAGATTTCATCTTCTGCATGATCCATTTCTATCTGTATCTCACAATCATAAAATATTTCTTCAAAACTAAACTACAGTTCTGCCTGTACAGGTTGGTTGAGATTACTTAGGGGATCAATTAATCACACCCTCTCCCATTTGAGTTCTGAATCCATTAGGAAGGGGCCACTGGCGTCAAACAGGAGACTGAATAACAGTATTATCAATGGAAAAATGGCATTAGGAAAAGTGACATTGGAGACCTACATGAACTTCTACCCCTTTTTCCTAAATTCTAGATCTTGGGACCCACACCTGATGTGAGTTGAGCCTGCCACCTCCCAGCTACCTGGAGCACCATAACTGGCCTTGCTGAGTGTATAGAATCCAAGGGGAAAGACTACTCATGAGAAGTATTGTTTATCCCGTCCAAAAGAGAAACGTCCACCAAAGAAGGCTTTCATTATCTCATCCATCAGAGGCAAAAGCTAGGAAGCAGAGCAATACTTTTAAGTGGGAAGAAGTTTCTAAGTTATGGCTGGCAGAGAAAGGAGGGGAAGCAAGGGATGTTGTCCTGGTTGTTCTGCTCACTTTGTCCTGCTTGAGAAAACCCCTGGCCTCTCATACATTCTCCTTTTACAATATCACTGAGTATATGGCCTCCTTCTGTGCCAATTCTAATTTAAACTCTATTCAGTTCCCATGTCTCTTCCTTACATTATCCCTTTTAGGACCATTAAACTATTTTTATCAGCCCATCCCTAGGTCCTGTCTAAATTTCATATTTCCTGAGTCAAAGAATCCCAATAAATAACTCCTATGACCAAAATCAACTCTATGAAAATTAGATTTTCCAGCAATGGAGAAACCACCCCACTATGTCTCATACACAGCTTGTGACCCACTGCAATTCTGAGCTCTTCTTTCTTCTTCAGGAAATAGTTTATTCCTCTCTCCTGGGTGACTACTCTGTGCTTTCCCTAATGGCCTCCACCTATCCATTTGGCCATCCCCAGGGGTCAAGAACATTCCCAACTGTAACCAGCTTTCCCAGGGACTTGCTCTCACACCAGTTTACATCAGAAGACAATTGAGTGAGTATATCTGCCATTTGTGTATTTAAAATGTTAATGAAATTGCTGAGTGCTCCAACTGCCTCCAGTTCACTTGAGGAAGAAGAAGCCCCTGTAACCCCTTTGTTTTGGCCAGTTTCTCCCATTTGGAATGGCTGTATCTACCTAATACCTGTACCCCATTGAATCTAGGAAGAAACTAGCTTGCTTTTGATTTTGCAGGCTCATAGGTGGAAGGGACTTGCGTTGTCTCAGATGAGACTCTGGACTGTGGACTTTTGAGTTAACACTGAATTAAGACTTTTGGGGACTGCTGGGAAGGCATGATTGGTTTTGAAATGTGAGGACATGAGATTTGGAAGGGTCATGGGTAGAATGATATGGTTTGGCTGTGTCCCCACCCAAATCTCATCTTGTACTCCCAGAATTCCCATGTGTTGTGGGAGGGACCTGGTGGGAGATAATTTGAATTGTGGTGGCTATTTCCCCTATACTGTTCTTGTGGTAGACAATCAGCCTCATGAGATCTGATGGTTTTATCAGAGGTTTCTGCTTTTGCATCTTCCTCATTTTCTCTTGCCACTACCATGTAAGAAGTGCCTTTCACCTCCCGCCAGGATTCTGAGACCTCCATGGCCATATGGAACTGTAAGTTCAATTAAACCTCTTTTTCTTCCCAGTCTCGGTTATGTCTTTATCAGCAGTGTGAAAACGGACTAATACAGTATCACACATAGAAAGCCTAGGAGATTGTCTTTTAGCTTGACTAGCATGAAGTTTTCCTTTTGGATATCCATAGGCTTTTATTGGCGGCAATCTTAAAAGCCAAGTTCTATTATCTAGGACAAAAGGGTTTCTCCTAGCATTTAAAAATAAGCGTTTTGAAAAAAGAAAAATTGATATGACATGAACAACTAAAAGGCCTGGAGCCGAGTGACAGGGCATCCCAATCCTTCCTCTGATCTATTCCAACAGCAAAAAGGAAGAGCTTAATCAAGATTGGGTGAGGGTGTACCCCATGTTTCTGGGCAGCATGACCCTCAGATCCTGTCTGCTGGCTGTCTATACCTCCCCCAGGCTGCTGGGATGAAAAGACACCATTTGTCAGAGGACTCTGCATAGTCAGTGAGATAATGTGGTTTAAAACTTGTTCTAATTCCTCGAGAAAGGAGTCCTTGGGCATCAACATTTCGGCATAGCTCCAGGCAGACAGCCTAGCTCTGATCTGAGCAAAGGAGTGGTGTGGGCATGTGGGTATATGTATGTATGTTATATGTGTTTATGCATGTGTGTGCTTGTGTATATGTACATGCATGCACACCTGTGTGTACACTCACACTATCCTGCACAATGATTACACTTCTCTAAAGCCCTGCTTGCTGCCCCAAGACAATGGTGAAGAGAAAGGCTGAGGATGGGAACCATGGGGTACACCTGGCTGAAGGACCCTGGACTCTGCTGGTTTCCATAGCTCCCTCTGCCTGAGACACTCTGCCTTTCCCTCTTGGCCCAGTGAATGTCTCGTCCTGCCATGCTCTAGTCAACAGACCTTGACCAGGGAAAACATCCTTGGCCTCCAGGACTTGGTCAACCCCTCCCCTGTTAAAAACTCCAAAAGCTGTTGTGGTTCTCTCCCCTGAGTAAAACTTCCTCCTTCATGGCATTTATTTGGAGTGTGACTTGACATTTATTTGGGTGATTGATCACAGTCTACCTCACTCACTAGGCTGAAACCTCTATGAGAGCAGGGGCAATGTCTGTTATTGTTTACTATGTGTCCAGACACACAGTGGATACTACAAAAATACTTGTCAAATGAATGAATGAATAGGGAGTGAATTAAGAAACCAATGAACCAATGATTTGCTGACTCAATCAATGATCTGCTCTCAGAGCATTTTCTTCACTTACAAAATGGGACCCATAAAGTCTATTCTGTGTCACAGAACACACAGAACAGGCACACAGTCGGAATGGAGCTGCAGAATGTTAAAATCATTGTCCATTCTACTTAGGAAACCTGGAGAATGGAGGCCCTAATTGCAGCTCTGTTCCCCGGAGATTCTGATTTAATTGATGTGGAGAAAGACCTAAGTGTTGGAACTTTTTGGCAAGTTCCACAGGTGATTCTAAGGTGTAGCCCGGGTTAAGATCCACTATGCTTGATACTTAGGGAGCCTCAAGTTGAGTCGTTCCTGGTCTCTGCCTTTCAGTATCTCCTTGTCTAGTGGGCAGGGGAAGCCTGCAAATGGATAAGGGCTAGAATGAAAGATTGGACTAGCAGCTATAAGGTTAGAGAAAGAGAAGAAAATGATCTCTGCTTGGGTAGGCTGTTCAGGGATGACTCTACTGGGGCCATGGCATGAGTTCCATTCTGACATCCAATTCAGAATTCACCAGGCAAAGCCAGGGAGGCCTTCCAGCCCAGAGAGCAAACAGCAAGTCCAAAGATACAGAGGTGTGAGGGGGAAAACACATTAGGGATTTTTCCAAACTACAAACTGAAATTATATAGGCTACAAGAGGGTGTGGAAAATAATACCAGATAAAGCAGCTTCATTTGCATTCTTGCTTGTGAAGAGAAGCAACTCTGTGGTGAAAAAGAACCTAAAACTCTGTGGTGGAAAAAGGGAACAAACTAATGGCCAACCACATACAAAAAAAATGTGGAAAGTTCCAAAAGAAAGCCACCAGCAGCTCTGCAAACTCAAGTTGCGGTGGATGGTTTAGGCAAGTGTTTCTCTAAGTGTGGTCACCTGAGCAGCCACATTAGCATTACCTGGGAACTGGTCAGAAATGCACATTCTCAGGCTCCACTCCAGAACTACTAAGTTCTGGAACTTAGGAAACTCTCAGGATGCAGAGAAACCTGTGTTCTAACACACCACCCTCCAGGTGGTTCTGATGCACACTACAGTTTGAGAACTACTAATTTATGGGTAGTCCCCAGAGGGCTGTAGCTTTAAAGAAAAATAGCATATAATTCAGAGGCTGATATAGGAAGGAGCCCTTAGTACAGTTTATTTATTTTCTTTATTGGCAAACAAACATGGGTTTTGAGATAGTCATGAGGCCTTAAATCCTAAGGAACTTCCCCTTAAGGGAAACTGAGCTCTGCCAGCAAAAGACAGCACCTCCTGTGGCAGAACAGGTGCTTCTGCCTAATAGTGGAGCAGGAGGTCTTGCTCAGGGCACCAGAATAAGCGTGGGGTCTTCCCCAGCTACAGCCTGCAAGCCTGCCTATGGGTCTGGAAATCAGGGCAAGGCAAGATTCCCACATACAAAATTAGATCTTGGAAACAGGTTAGTTATCTTGGACTGACTTAGCACAAAGGAATGTTATCACTGTACAGATCTACACACAGATCTATATGAAACTGAACTGAAACCATGCAGTCTTTCAAAGAGAAGGCCACCAGCCAGAGAGAATAGTGGAATTATCAGATGCCTGTGCTATTCCTTGCACAGAAAAATCAGGAAACTGGGTTTCTGTAGATTGTCTGAAGCCAGCTTCTCCCCTACCATCTGCCATGGCCTACCATCTCCTCCATTCTGGGTACCCAGAGAGTTGTGTCACATCCATTATCTCATTTAGTCTTCACAGTGATTCATTAACTTTCAGGGGGCACTTTTAAAGGTGTAGGCTTTTTGCAACCACCTGTCCAAAGGAAGTCACAAAGTCCTAGAGACGGCAGCCAATTGCAGTATTTTATTTTTCAGAGACAGACGCTAATTACTCTGTGAAATGACTGAATCAGCAAAGTACTATGATGTTGCATGACAACTGTGAAAGAAGCATATGATGTTGTGTAAATATTTCTTTCCTTCATCTAGGTCATTAGTTTTTAGTACCTCATCATTTTGCTGCCTTGCTTTCCACATTGATCCTGCCACTTCTGTGTCATGGGATTTAGAGGTTTCAAACCAAAATCACCCGAGCTGGCTCCAACACTCACCAGTTGGGTAATCTTGGACCCTGGCCTTCAAAATAGGAAAATTACCCACCAAGATGATTGTGAAAAACTAGGACAGTGAATGGCCCACTCAAAGAGATCAATAAATGTGGTGCTTTTCTCTTCTTCAAGGTTGTTGCCCAGATTACCTAAGATCATATACGTGAAAGGGACTTTGTGTCTTGTGAATGGCTTACACTGGTGTTGATTGTTATTATTCTTTTACTTTCCTTTCCTTCTAATTTTTACCTCCAAGCCTTTTTTTAAACCATAGTTTTGGTTTTTATAGGAATTATGCTTTAAAAAGACACCTACCAAGTATCACACACCCAGTGAGGTGTGCCCCATCCATTATCTCATTTAGTCTTCACAGTGATTCATTAATTCTCCCGTTTTTTACAGCGAAGCAAGTGCAACTCTTAAGAGTTGCCTGTGATTTGAAGACTTTGCTGTTAACTAGTGTCAGGACAAACTTTTGAGCCCAGCTTAGTCTGACACTCCACTTTGCCTACCTGGGAGAAGCCTCAGAGATCCCTGTAGCCCGCATATCCTGTCGTATCCACAAGGGACTTGTCCCAGGTCACAGAGAAAATCACAGGCAGCACTGGGGCTAGAACTCACATCTCCTGAAGCTCAAACCAGCACTTCAAGTTCTCTGCTGTTATGTGTTTCAGTCACTTTCCCGACCCAGGAGAGGCACGATCTAAATCATCCTTTCCCAAACCATCACCCAGAAATCTCTATTTGACAAACTTCCGAGACTGCTTTCTTTGTGATGCTTCTAATCCTCATGCGTGGTGAGGAAGATGGCAGGTAGGGGAAAAGCTTAGGAGCTTAGTTCCTGTTTATCCATGTGTCATTCTTTTAGTCCCTGAGGCTACAATATCCATTTAGAAAGATTAAATAAAATGGAGTTGGGGACAGAGAAAGGGGAGCTCAGGGGGAGGCCGAGCGAAAGAAGAAAGTGGAATTCTCTAAGCATTAGACTAAAGAGCCTAAGACATTACTCATTCTCAAATGGGTCTCACTTCTTAAAGACAAACTGGCTTCCTGGGAAATCGCAGGCAGGTGAAAGCAGCTTGGGTGATTCTTTTTTTGTCCGTGAACTTGGCTTTTCTTTTCAGCATTCTCAGGTGCACTCAGGGCCCTGGGAAGAGATTGGGCTTTTTCAAAAGACATTTCCACCTCCTAATCTCTGTGCCTACAAACCAAATATTGATCTATTTAGTAAACCAGCCCATGGGAGGAGAGATTATAAAGCCCTGTTTACTCAGCAGTTGGGCCCCCCTGACAGCTGTTCAATGAGGGATTATGATGTCACAGTGGTAATTACACTATAAACAGGGGATAGGAGGAGAATAAAGCATGAAAGGGAACGCTGGGCTTGTTACCAGGCAACACAAAATATGCAACCTGAAACCAGGCAAGCATGTAAATTTCCTTACAAGCCTCCCAGATGTCCTCACTTTATGGCCAATGCTCAGTTTCAGTTTCAATTTGTTTATTTGCCCTTCTTCAATCACAAATGTGGAGCTGAGAATGTTGGAAGAGAGAAGAGAAAGCAAGGAAAAATAAGACAAGGAGGGCCCCTGCTCTCTCCCCCGGGGGTGTAAGTGGGTCCTGAGAAAGAGAAGGGGCTGAGTCCGCTCTGTGCAGGAAGCTCTAGAGGTCAATGTCCCAGAAGGAAGATCAACCCAGTAAAGAGGCTAAAGGCAGCTAAGAAAAAGAGCCCAGGAAAGAGGAGAAAGAGAAAAGGGGAGTGGAAAGTGAGAAGATAAAACTGGCTACCTAGGAAAAGGAAGAAGAGTCCATTGCAGGATCAGACCCCAGGAACTAGAAGGGGCCCCTGGAGTCCCCACGGTCACAGCCCCACCTAGTGGGTGCCCTATGTTCTTTATGCTATTCTTTTAGTGATGGCATTCCTCATGGTGCCAGGCAGCTCTGCCTTTCTCTGGGTGGCTTTATCGGAAAAGTCCTAGGTTGAGCTGAAATCAGCATCCCGGTTCTAGACGCCTCCCCAACCCATTTGTTCAGATTCCACGCCTCAGGAAAAGTACCTTACAGCCCCACAGAGATTTGGAAACAATGGCCAGGATACCCTGTGTTTTTCTTCCCCTGGATTCTCATTCCAGCAATAGGTCTCCCGGTGGGCTTTTCAGACGAAATTGCTTCTTGCCCAAATCAAACAATTTTCAGTGTGCCTATGTTCCTCTTACAATGTAGGCTTTGAAACCAGACACACCCTCCCAGGTGTGGTTTGACCTCACAGAATTAAACAGAGCCAGCTACATCTCCCCTCTCTAGTCTCATCCATGAGGCCCTGCTGTTTAGAGAGCTACAGAGGTGGGCTGGAAATGGCTGCAGCAGGCGCATGAGAGTGGATTGTTAAATTTTCAGGAATTCTGTGAGCCGGTTGTGAATCCTTGGTAGCTTGAAAGCCACCATGGGGAAAGTATTTGCACCACAGATATCGGGCAAATGCAGGAAACCAAGGCTTTCCTTTACCATCCCCCAGAGAGCGGGTCTACCAGCACACCACTGTCCCCGACCAACCACTTTCCACTTCTTTTGGGATTCAGTGCCTCGCAGAAGATAGGCAGAAGCCTGAAGCCAGAGAGCCTCACAAATGACAGGCCTTCCTACAAAAAGCTTTGAAAGAGGGAACCAGTGCCTCTGTTAGATCTAAAGATCATGGGACAGGAGTTTAATTCCTTTTGACTCTTCCAAC
The DNA here is from genome assembly GCF_000001405.40 of Homo sapiens. Taxonomy (NCBI): domain Eukaryota; kingdom Metazoa; phylum Chordata; class Mammalia; order Primates; family Hominidae; genus Homo; species Homo sapiens. The sequence continues at coordinate 108,273,580 of NC_000009.12, forward strand.
TAGCGTGACCACCTTTGCTGACTAAGAACCTTTCTCTTGGGAGTGGCTCACATTATGGCCACACAGTTTTCCACAGGGCCCTCCAAGAGGCAGATGTTGAATGGCCAGGTTGCCTAAATAAATAAATAAATAAAGTCACTAAACTGAATTGTAGAGGTGGCTGCAGTTGCTTGCATGGACACAAACACAGCAGCTCAATCAGTGGCTTTTCTGCAAACCTGGGAATTCTGTGAAATTTCTTCTTTTTTTTAACTCTAGGAATAACTGTCTAGAATGATGGTTTGGCCAGAGCTAAGTTTCCATCCTGGTTCAGCCCCTCCCTTGGTGTTTGATGGGATGTTCATTAGTTTCCCTTGCTGGGCCTCAGTTTCCATATCAGTCAGTGGTATGGGTTGAGTCTTAGGATGTCTAACTGCAGATGAGTTTTGCAACTGACTCCAACATGGGCTGTGGCATTCATATTCTGATGAGTGCAGTGAGCAGAGCTGAGTTGGTTGAGCAGTGTTTTTGTACAAGCTAATCTTACTGTGCAGACTTGCTCTCTGCCTTCACTCCTGTTGTCCTGGGTGATGGTTTGTTTGCTGTGACCAGCCTCTCCTCAGATGCACTGTCAATGCTGATGAAATTGTCCTCAGTATTGCAGCTCTGGGCCAGATTATCTCCCAGAGAGTCTCCTCCAATCCCAAGCTGATTTGAAGTCACTTCCCTAAAAGAGGCATCCTCAGGTGACCCACCCTGAAGCTTCAGATGAAGTAGAGGTCTGGGGGCCTTGGCGAAGCCTCCACCCCTTTGCGAAGATTCTTTCTTTGGATCTTACTGGAACCTTTCTCAAGAGCAAAAGCTCACAGTCTTTTTCGTTTGCCAACCTTATGACAACTTAGAATGCACCCCAGTGCTCATACTGCATCTTCATCCCATGTTCCTTTCAAGAGCCCAGGTTCTGAAGTCAGAGAATCCTACATCATTTGCCAACCCAGTCTTTATCTCATCTCCTCTCTGCCACCCCCAACTGCAGCCATCCTGGCTTCTTGCTCAGCATCTACACTGCGTGTCCCTACTTCCCAAATTGCTCCTTCCACACATGTCCATATGAACTGATTTCCTTGAGTGTTCACAGAACACTCCACTAATCCCTCCCTACTCCACTCCCAGTGTGATCTGTCTCCATAGATTATCACCATCTTGACCATGATGTACTTTACTACCTGCATTTACCCTTTCCCCAGAATGTTAGGTCCAGGAGCACAGAGGCTTTGTTTTGTTCACTGCTGAATCCCCAGTGACTAGAACAGTGTCCGGCACATAGTAGGCACACAATTAATATTTGCCCAATGATTGAATATACAGTCGGTTCTCATTATTCTTGGATTCTGCGTCTGTGAATTTGTTTACTTGCTAAATTTATTTGTAACCCTAAAATCAATATGGCAATTTCAAAGTTATTCATAAACATGTGCAGAGCAGTGAAAAATTTGAGTTGCCCAAAACACCTGTTCTCAGCTGAGGTTGAATAAGACACTGTCTTCTGGTTTCAGCTTTCATGATGTAAACATGTGTCCTCTTCACAGTCTGTTTGGTGCCATGCTTTTCCCATTTTTTGTTGGTGATGTCACTGTTTAAAATGACCGCCAAGCATAGTACTGAAGTGCTATCTAGCGTTCCTAAGTGCAAGAAGGTTGTGATGTGCCTTACGGAGAAAATACTTGTGTTAGATAAATTTCATTCAGGCTTGAGCTTATAGTGCTATTGGCCATGAGTTCAACGTTAATGAATCGACAATATACACTAAAACACGGTGTCCTTAAACAGAAGCACACAGAAAACAAGGTTATATTAATATATTGACTGGTTGATGAAAATGTTGTGAACAGAGACTTTCAGGAACACAAACCTGTATTTTCCCTAAGGGCAATTGTTCAGTATTTACTAATTCAGTGTTCAAAGAGACTGAGACTTTATAGATCATAACAACTATAACAACAAAGAACTACTAGAACAACAAAGATCAACTGTACATGCATGTGAATGTTGAGCACTAGCCCATTAACAGTGGTAGTGATCTGGCAAGTGACTTTAACTCAGCCATGGGTTCCTAAGCTGTAAATTGGTAATGATAGCGCCTATCTGCATGGCTGTTCTGAAAAGTAAGTGAGATTATTAATGTCATCAAATGCCTACCACAGTGCCCAACCCATAGAAGGTATACCAAAGATGTCTGCTCCTCTTACATTTATCTTGTTCATACATATTTGCAATCCACAGACCAAATGCTTTTTGCTTTCTTGTATTATCAGAAACATTTCTCCTTGTAGTTCCCATGACTGAAACAGCCCATCAACTGTTCTGGTCCATTCTCCAACTGTTGGCCATTGAGCTTACATCAAATTTTGAATTACACAATGAGCAACTTTTTAAAAATGTAGTTCTTTCCTCCTTCCCAAGGAGTATATTTCTTTACAGTAAACTCCCAGGAATGAAATTACTAATTTGATGGGTGCCAACAATTGTATGGCCCTAAGAGTAAGTTTTGATAGTGGTGATAAGAGGAAGCTTCTTGACAGACATTCAGTCGGGAGTTAGAGGTTTGCCAAGTGATTCACCCATTCTCCAGCAGCATTCAACTTCCAGGAGAATTCAGATTTGTGAGAAATCCTAACGATAATCTCATCAAATCAAGGAGGGAAATTGAGACTAGAGAAAAGAATTGAGTTGTCCAAGGTGCTCTGGCCAGTAGTCAATACCAGACAAAGACTGGACCCCAGGTCCGCTGACTCTCAGGTCATCATTCTTCCCAACACCCTTTGGCCAGGATGGTAATTAGGATATTCCTACCGGGCTTAGTAACGCTGCTTCCTCAAGCTTTTAGGACCCATGATTTTAAGGAAAGGAAATGTGATAGATAAACTTTATTTTCTACCGATAAATTTAAATATGCTATTTTGTTCACTCCTTTCCCCTTTGAGTTTCCATGTTGACGTAACAAGAAGCAGGATAAAGAAGAGGATTTGTGCTCGTCTTTAGGATACAGTATCAAAAGACCAAGGGAGAATCTGAATATGACCAGCACAGCATTGTCCCCACACCTGTCATTTAAACTCTTCCAACTGTTTTCTGTAGGAGGTACAAAGACAGCAACTTCTCTCACAAGACTTTGAAGCAAATACTGAGCAGTACTTTACTGATATGAAGATAATGAATGCATTCATATAAATCATCATGACAGTAATTAATGGTTCCTAGAGAATGGAATGGCCTCGCAGAGTCACCCACTCTGAGTACAATTTTCAAACCACTCTAGAACTTAACTATCAACTTTGCCTTGAAAAGTTCCTGATGATATCTGAATAGAACAGGCTAGAAGTAGAATAAAGTTTCATACAGAGCTTTATTTCATAAAGTATAGTTCTTGTACACTTTCAACCAAGAAAGAAAATTCCCCTTCGTGGACCTAGTCTCCATGTTGAGCCAAGGAAGACAATAATCCTCACATTGGCATTAAGAGAAGAGTTTTGCAGAAATATCTATCTCAGTTATAATCTGGCATTGATGATGAGATGCATTGATGATGAGATGGCCTAATCTGCCATTAGAAGAATTTTATTGACATGTTATCAGATTTTTCACGTTATCTTTATAGAAGCTAACAGCCCTCTGTTATTGCCTAAGATTGCCAGGAAGGAAGGGAGGGAGGGAGGGAGGGAGGGAGGGAGGGGTCCTAGCTACCCACTTCTAACCCTGAGCTTTTCTTCCTCAATGAACTGATTCACAATCTCATTAAATGAAGGGAAGCAGAAATTGCTCCCAGATTTTCTCTAGGCCTGTTGGATGGTTGCCTCTTTGGCTGGGATGGGATGTTAGCAGAAATCAGCACAGGCTGTCTCACTGCAGAGCAGATGCCAAGGTGAGACTTCATGGCCACCAAAGACTCTGATTTGGCTCTTGTCAAATACAAGGTGATTCTGCATGGAAATATTGAGAAGCCAGAGACATGAGCTTTTTCCTTTTATGCCCCTCCTCTAAAAGCTAGATAAGCCTTGACACATGATGCTTGCTTGATGGGTTTCCTGAGACAAGAAAAGATGATCGGATGATGGGAGCATCCCAGGGTAGTGCTTTGGTAGGGAAGCTACCACCTGACCCTCTGCTGCCTAATTTAACAAATTATGTATCCCCTCCTGAAAATGTACACATTCAGAAAAGCTGAAAAAGGAAAAGTACATGAAGAAGGGACTAGACACCAAAAATGGGAGGAGGAAGGCAGCTTCTATGGCACGTAAACTTCTCCCTCTCTTTATTCCCATTGGTACTATCAGATTCTCCCTAATTAAGCAAGCAGAGAATCCCATTCATAGCCTTAGGTGGAAGTGATGAACGCCGTAAAAGACTAGGGTAACAGTACTGTCTCTGCTGAATTCTGTCCTAAAAGTTCAGAGGGCATGAGGACAAACTGGCTTTGGTAAACAATAGTGCAAACAAATAATGAGGCTAATAAACCATCATTCTATGTGATGCATGATGGAATATACTAGGGGCATTGTTAAATTTTTTATTAGACCACTCTTTGAAAGAACATGACTCGTAATTTTAATTTCAATTATTGTAACTCACGTCACTGGATTCTTGTTATACCAGTCCTACTACTAAAAAGTATTTACAACAATCAGCAATTCTTCTACCTGAAGGCTCACAAATTACACTTAAAAGTTTCAATAATGTCTACTAATCTTTTACTTTGAACAAGACATGAATGGAGATGAACATGGAAGTGAAATATCTTATGAACCTTCCAGTTTTGATATAAAGGACAGATTTGTCACCACATGAAAGCACAGTGGGTAATTACCAGGTGGTTGAAATGACAATTAACTCCATCCTTAATAATTATAATTTGACAGACAATAAATCAAGATGGCAGCCATCTGTAAATAAACACCCACAGAGCCAGCTGAACAATATTGCACAATAGCTTAACCTCATAAACTAGCAAACTAGTTCTGACTAGTGAGCAAGTAAATCTCCTAAACACCAGAGAGAAGCAAGTTTTTGGGTCACCATGTTCCTACATTGTGTCAGCTGGACACAGTTGAGGGCCTAGTGTTGTTTTGTTTTGTTTTGTTTTCATTTGATTTTTTTTCTAGGACAATTACTGTTATTTTCCACAAAACATTAGCTTATTTTAAAATATGGGGTTTATGACTTTTACGGTTCAAGTGAAACTGTTCTCACAAATAGCTCTATCCTGGGGCCTTATGAATCTCCTAGCATACTGTGCCTCGGCCACAGACCAACAGCCACCGTTTACTGCCTCTCTCTATTGAAAGCCTCTCCTCATTCAGCTTCCATTACATTTTTTTTTTTTCAGGATTCTTTCCTGGATTTTGAGAATGTGATGGTATTAGTATCAACAACAGGAACGTATGTTCTTTCTTACCATCTGCTAACTGGTTTATATGCAGTTTATTGGTTAATCCTCTTAATAGCCCTGTGAAGTAGAAATCTTATTTTCTAATTACCCTTAAGAACAGGGAAGCCAAGAATGATCCAGTCACTTTCTCAGGGTCATACAGCTAGTAAACGGGGAGGCAAAGATTTTTAACACAAGTCAATAACCCTGAGGCTGTGGCTCTCAACTCTGCTGCTTCATCTGCAGAGTCTTTATTATTTTTTTTCAGGCTTTATGTTGGTTATTTTTTTTGAATTTCACTAAAATATCCTTTTCTTGGTATGTCAGCTACTCTCATGCAGCTGTCATTTCGTTGCTAAAGAATCCCAAATCTATCTTTAACTCAGGTCTGCCCTGCAAATACCAGATTCTTGTAGCAACACATTGCTGTAACCCCCACCTGGATTTATTCTTTCATTCAGCAAATATCTATTAAGTATCATAACTTGTGGTCAGGCACTGTTAGGTACAAGGACTACAGTGGAAAACAATGCAGAAATCAGTGACTTTGTGGAACATATATTATAGATGCAAGACAGTGGGAGAAATACAAACAGTCGATAAAATTTAAAGGTAAAATATAGAGTATGATTGATGGTGATATGTACTAAAGGGGAAAAAAACAGAAAGGAGGGATTGGGAGATCAGAGGGAGAAGGGAACCTACCTCTTAGGGAAGGTGGCCATAGGAGACCTCACTGGGGAGGTGATGTCACAGCAAAGACCTGGAGGAGGAGAAGGAGCTGCTGAGGTGGGCACCTGAGGAAAAGCCATTCCGGGCTGGGGGACAGTTGCTGGAAGGCTCCTATGCAGAGCATGAGGAATGCTAAGGAATCCAAGATGGCAGAGTGGTTCAGAGAAGGCTGGAGCAGGAGAATAGGAAGCCCCAGAGGCAATGGGGCAAGGCTGCAGGGTTGGGAGGGGTGGGTTACGCAGACCAGCGCTGTGAATACTTGGGGATTTTACTCTGAGTGAGATGGGCTGGCCTTGGAAGGCTTTGGACAGAGGAGTCAGGATCTGACTACTCTTTAAAAGGCCCATCCTGGCCACTGTGTTAAGAACAGGCTGAAGGAGGGCAAGGTGGAAACCAGAGGGGCAGCTTAGGGGGCTATTTCAATAATCCTGCAAAGGATGATGGTGGCTCTGATGAGTGTGGTAGCCGTTCAAGCAGTGAGAAATGATCAGATACTGAATCTATTTTGAAGAAAATGGCAGCATAATTTTCTGAAGGATCAGATGTGGGGTGCACGGGAGAGGAATCATGGTGGACACTTAAACCATTTGCTGAGAAGGGGAAGTGTGACAGAAGCAGGTCTGGGGGTGGGATTGGGGAAAAGATTGGAAGCTTAGTACTAAATATTCCCAGGTGGTTTTTGTATGCATGTGTACAAAACAGACACCGATTGTTTCACACACACACACACACACACACAAACACACAAACACACACGGTCCTTTCTCCTGTATATCCTTAATCTCCATTAACAAAACTATCCAACCAGACATTCATGCTAGATTTAAAGATCCTATTGCCTCTTCCTCATTCCAGCATTTAAGCATTCCCTCTAGGTCATCCCTGTCAGCATTACACAGGTTCTCATTCCATGAGTACACCTTGTTTTCTGTGTCAGGGTATAAATCTTCCCCTCAATACAGGTGATACACTTGGTCACCTTCTACTTGACCTTGCTTCACAAATATCAACCATTGTTTAAGGCACAACTTAAATATTCCTTCTTCTCTGTAGCCTTTATGAGCTCAACAGCAAAATTAGCTACTCACTCCTGTCATTCAAGTATTTCTTATTCAACAAGCCCATATGACTTTTCTATTTTGGGCATCTCTTGGTACTTGTAGTATAGCATGTATGTGGACATGATGAGAGACAAGACCACAGGAGGAATGGGGAATGCATTCATAAAGGACCCTGAACATCATGCTATGAGGATTGTACTTCTCCATCAAGCTGACAGAGTTAGCTCTACAATAGTAGAGTTTCAAGAAAACAGAGGGTCTAGTTTAATGTGAGTCTTCAAGAATTCACTCCAGTAACCATATGAAGGGTGAGCTGGAGGGTAAAATAAGTCAGAAAAGACTTGATGAGCTCCTGAAAAAAGGTAGGTTTAATGGGGATGGAGAATATAGAACAGATCTGGCTTTTCTGAACTAGACTCTATTGGGCTTATGGATACTATTTATTGAGCTTTGCCATTTACCAGACACTATTTTAATTATTATACCTGTGTTAACTTATTTAGTTCTCTCAACCGTCTCATGCAGGAAATAGTGTTCTTAGCTCCATTTTACATAGGAGTTAAACTAATATCTGGATAGGATTGAGTAAGTCACCCAAGTCACATAGCTATGAAGTAAAAGTGCCTAGATGTGAATATAGGAAGCTGCTCCAGAGCCCATGCTCTTCTTCCTCACTGTTCTACCTCCTACAACATAGTGTATTCATATAAAACTATATTTAGCTGAGAAAGAACATTTTCCAACCCATATTAATCCAAATTTAATGTCTACTTTAATAACTTCTGCAAAATCTCCCTTTCAAAATATACCATCTGTGAACAGTACATGCTATAACTTGTGTTTATATGGGTACTTAGCCACTATGTGATGTTTTTCTTAGTCTTTGTTTCCCCTTCAGTCAAATGAAGGGAAACATCTAGCATATGGAAGCATTTCCACTCTACAAGTTGTGCTGAAGGGGAATATTATGCAATTTGCAAACACTGTCAAATAAAATATAAATATGCATTAGAAAAATGCTGTGTGGAGACAAATACATCTTGTATCGATGATTCATTTGGTCAATCATTTTTTTATTCAACAAACATTAATCAGTCACCTATGTTATGACAGGAGCAGTGGTCAGCAGTGGGAAGAGAGAGATGAATAAGACTTATCCCTTGTCATTGAGGAAAACTCACAGGCTTGTGATTTTTATTTTTAAATGATCAGGGCTGGATGAAAATTTTTCAATTGACTCTCATTACTCATTAACCATCTTAAAAATAAAGAAAATCCTGTGTTTTGATTCATGTAGACCTATGGTCTTTAGCCCAGTTCTGCCTCTTAGTACCTAGACATGTTGTCCCATCTATCTGAGGCTCAATTTCCTCAACTTAAAATAAGACAGGATGGTGGTGAGAATTAGGAATACGCCTAGCATATAAGTGCTAGTTTGAATCAGAGTAGTTAAATGAATGACTAATGTGGCTTTTTATTTTTTCAATCACCGGTACCATTTCCAAGGGTCCAGTCAAAAGTCATACCTGTTCCAAAACTAGCAAACAACAACGACAAATAAAAACCTCCCTGGTGGCTTCAGGTAGAAAGGACACGGCCTATCAGGAACTGAATTGGTCAAGTTTTTGCAAAAGCAGACCTGGAATATGCTGACATACCTTGTCAACAGCTAATACACCCAAGAAGGAAGGGCAAGTTTTCTGAGCATCGGCTTATGAAGGAGGAATGAAACTTGCTAAAGAAATGGTGAAGACTTGTACAACAATGAAGAGAACAGCTACTTCAGAACCGGTGTCCCCACAGAGAGAGAAAACTGTTCTCCTGAAAATGTCCCAATAGGTTTTCTTCAGTGGAGTTACACCAGCAAAATGGTTGGTTCTCTCCTGACAGGGGGACCACAGTAAACAAGATTTCATGAATGAGACAGTCCCACCCATCACTGTAGGTGTGAGTCAACAGGGGATTCCCCACAGAAACCCCATAATAATAATAAAAAAAAAAGGTCAGACTGGTTCTTTCACCTCAACATGGCAGGCAGCTTACCCTATAGGAGTACCAGATGGAAAGAGCGAACGGGGAAGGAAACCAACAAATATCACGCACATTTCATGTGTCAAATTTTTTTTGTCAGGCTCTTTTCCTTGGTTAACTTATCTAATATTCCCAGTAACTCAATTAGGCAGGTCGTTATTATTTCTAGTTAACTGGGTGAGGAAACTGAAACTCAGAGAGGTAAGTTGGATTTCTCCTGAAGCTGTTCAACAGGTTTTCTCCAAAAAGATACCAGCTTCTCACCACTAGGAGGTGGAATTTGAATCTAGATCTTTCTGACGTCAAAACCTATGTTCATTCTGCCATTCTGTGTCTTGGAGTAAATCTGAAATCAGTCGGTTTAGGCCATCTGATTATTTTCCATTTGTCAGACCACTCCCTTTCCCCCAAGACAAGTCTCTTACCTTCTCTTCTATCTGCCACAGATGCCCAGGAGACTGACCTGTATAGTGAGTATCACAAATCTCCCTGCCCTCTGGTTTTTGGTTGGGCTTCGCCAAAGAGAAGTGCCAGCAAGTGATCAGAAGGTAAAAGCAGAGAAAGAGATTGAGGTATTTATTCTTCCGTATACTCCCAGCCTTGCACCGAGCTGTGGCTGCAATTCTACCACTCTAGGTCTATTACGCCATGCTTGTTCCAAGGCTCCAGCATTCAAGTTCTATCTCTGGCTTTTCTGCCTGGGACAATAAGACCTTCCTGCTATTGACGATTCCTGGATGTCTAACCATTCCTTGTTGATTCTTTTAACATTGCTTATGTGTCTGTAGATCCTGTCTTTATGAAATTATATTCAGCTAACCCCTTTTGAGTGTACCATTTTGTTCCCTGTTAAGACTCTAATGATATAGTATTGAGCTAAAAACTAGTGTATATTTAATTCCACCATAGTTTAGAGACTTAAATTGGTCTTAAGATATCTAGTAAATAGCATCGTCTTGCATCTTATGGAAATGAATCAGCTGAAATTGCAGTGAACACATTTTGTTTGGAGCTGATCAGCTTGCTGGAGGGCCCATAAACTCCCCACATGTTATTGGCAACCACTACGGTGAATGAAATTTCCCAGTCGCACTTGGAATGTGATGTTTTTCCATAAGGCCGTGCTACGAAGATGAAATCCAAAGAATATGAAAACACGCTTTATGGACCCTGCCAAGAAGTCCTCTAGAATGTAGGCAAAATGGAGCTAAAAGCATTTGTAACTCTGTCATAGAAAGTGGGGCTTTGGTTGGGAGAAGTTTGACTGAAATCACTTGAGCCCTCCTGACGCTGGCTTTTGGGAATGAGTGAGTACTTTGTAAATGAACTGAGAAATGTCTCACCCTTAATTACCTTTTTGAAGCTTTCAGAGGGCTCCTACACAATAGCAGTTTGTCCATGAAACACATAAATCAAAGGGCCAACCATGAGGCCTGAAGTCATACCTCAGTAAATCTGTTAGGTGAAGGCCAAGACTCTGTTTACTAATGCAAAAACAAAGTTGAGATTTTAGCTTCTTATCCTAAAAAGTTTGTCTCCTCCACCCCCCAAAAAGTGCACCAAACAATTGCCAGCTACCTATCCTGATAAGTGTCTGTACAATAGTCTTATTATCTGCCTTAATCCACATACAAAGACCTACCTTATGTTATTTACAGGCACAACATGCAGGAGGTGCTTCTCTCTGGGAACATTTCAGGAGATGCCATTGTTGTTGAGGTTCTTTGGTCTTGTGGCTTTTGGCACTAAGGCAAACGTGGTAACTGCAATTTTCACACATTCGCCCCAGAAGAACATTTTATAAGAGAGTATGTTTGCTCTTCTAAAGCTATCTATGAATTATTCAGTATCTATCCTCTCACTCCCCCAACTCCATCCTAACAGTTTTCCTGCACAAACTTTTAGGGCTTTCCACTAACAGGAGAACACAGAGTAGGTGATCTGATTTTTGCATGAATAAATATAAGTGCTTCATGAATATATTTTTATTTCTAGTCTGTAAGAATTTTTGTGGGATGATAATTACATTTGTTTTAATTGCCCTGTTTGTTTAAAAACACTGGGGATGTTTTTCTTCATCCATCTTCCAGCTTATGTAGCTTCAGACAAGTGACACAGCATCTCTGGCTTTTCCCATCCATAGAACTGGGACACGAGCTTTTGCTTCATTGCACTGTTGTGCTGATTAAATATTATAATCTTTGTGAGCAGCCTAGCATCATGATGGGCATATTAAAGAGGTTCACCAGTATCCAGCCCATGCCATTCCTTCTGAACTGTCAGCATGAACGTATCATGTAAATGGATATAGAGAAGGATGGAAAGGGCCCAGGGAAGATTCCCTATTTGGAGGAAACATGGATTTAATGGTTTGGTGGACAATCTGGGTTCACCCTACCCAAATCTTTGCTGATGTTTTAGATCTTGTACTCAGGCCACCTTTTTCAGGCTTCCCTAGTGGTCAGGTGGTTTTTTACTAGAAATATTTCAGATGGTGAACTTTATATTTTATCCATTTTTTTCTGTTTCTAGATCCTCTCCTAGCTCTCCAGCAGATGCCATTTTGTCCGTGATAGTTTAATAAGTTTCTAATACCATGTGTTTCCAATACCATTTGACTTTTCCCATTATTCTTCTATTTTACCATCATTTATAAACACTTTCTGTGTGCCAGGCATAGTGCTAGGTACTAAGGTTGTAGGAATGAATAACCTGTGGTTCCTCAGCTACAAAAGTTTACATTTCCATAAGGGAGACAGATCAACGAATAAATTCTACAGTGTAATCACGATAGAGGGATATGAGATGTTGTTGAAACCAGTGCCAGGATAGGGTAAAGTAAGTTAGGTGACTAGGATGCAAAATTTAAGAAGACCTGTACTCTCAGTGTCATGGGACTTGCAGAGTTGGCACTTGTACCACCCTGAGAATGAGGGTTTCCTTAAATTTTGTGCCCAAGATGCCTCACTTACCTCACCTTTGTCCTGGCCCTGGTAGAAACATAACAGAGAAAGACCCAGCTCTCCTTTGTGGAATCCAAAAATTTTCCCGGAGCAGATGACCTGGAACCCAAGCCTTTGAGAAAGGGCAAGAGTTAGCCAGGCAAAGAAAGAAAGGTGGGAAAGGTAGAGGTGTCAGCAAATGTACAACCATAGAGGAGAGAGCAAGCATAGCACGCAGATGCACCTGCAAGTAGATTGATATGGCTGCATCAGTGCAAGGTGGCTTGGAGAAGTGGGCGGCAGGACAGGGATTGCCTAAGGATGAAAAAAAGGGCCAGTTCACAGAACCCAGGAGAGAAACATACTGTATATTTAGGAGGACCAAGTAGTTTATCATTGAACTTGGACACATTTGAGGGTGAAAGAAGGTATTACCCATAATTGCTAAGGCAGCAAGATCAAACAGGAATGTGTATGTATATAATACATCTGCAGTACACAGTAAGCTATTGTCTCCTGACATTGTCCTCAATGTAGCACTTCTTCCACTTTCCCTAGGAGTTGGAGGTATTTTACTTTTCTTTAGTATAAGGGGAAGACCTCAGGGAAACAAACAATGTCAGGAAAATAGCTTGTGATTAGGAACCCAGTAAGATCCCTTTATAAATGTGAGGCTTGAAACCATGTTTGGGCCAGTATCACTCCTTGTAAGGACCATGTGACCAACTCAGCAAAGATCTTTCTGCTTTTGAACACTTCTACGCTTCTGAACATGTGTATGAGTTTTGATTTATAAATGCTAAAAGGATTGCAGACTTTTTGTCCACAGTAGTGAATGAACCAGACACTTTAAACGTTTATTCCAGCAAGCATGATGCCGGTGTCAACTGAAGAATGACGTGGTTCATCAATTCATAAAGAAGAGTTTTATTTCTCATAAAGAGCAGCAGCCTGCAGGGTAGCCCTTCTGGTAGGCTGGGAAGCATAGCCTCTGATCAGAAGCCGAGAACAGATACTTGGAGATAAGGGCAAAGGGAACAGGAATTTATGCTGAGCAGAGTGGCTGAATATGCCTATTTAATAAACTATAAGAGGAGTCATGAATATTTATGAAAGGAGAAACACACGCATGTGCAATTGAGATTTATGCCCCATTCATAGGTCCCATGTATAAAATACAGCAGCATTAGCATTATTCGAGGGTGGAGTTTTCTGCCTTCCGATGTCAAAAGGTGAGGCAGAGGATATGAAAACCCTTACTGTGCATTATCTGTAGCACAACTCCATGGTCAGTGGTCTCTTATCAGGCCAAAAGGCAAGGCACTCTCAGATAGTTGGTTACTGACAGTGGTAAAATCTTCCCAGCACTTTGGGAGGCCGAGGTGTGCAGATCACAAGGTCAGGAGTTCCAGCCTGGCCAACATAGTGAAACCCCGTCTCCACTAAAAATACAAAATTTAGCCAGGCATGGTGGCATCCACCTGTAGTCCCAGCTACTCAGGAGGCTGAGGCAGGAGAATTGCTTGAACCCAGGGGGCGGAGGTTGCAGTGAGCAGAGATCATGCCACTGCACTGCACTCCAGAGAGACTCGTTCTTAAAAAAAAAAAAAAAAAAAAATCCTGGTTTCTGGTTTCTGTTTAGCCCTTAGAGAAGAAAGGCTAATGGTGACAGAAGGTCTAAGGAGGTGTTTCCGACCTCTTATCTCATCATGGCCAAGAACTCAGTTTCAAGGCTACCTTTGGGTCCCCTTGGCCAAGAGAGGGTCCATTCAGTTGATTGGAGGGCTTAGAATTTTACTTTTATTTCTCACCAGTAGGCCAACTCATATCCATGTTACCCTCCAAGGGGCTCCAGAGATTTCTGGCCAACTTTTGCTGATAGAATGCAATGAGATTCTGGACTTGAGTGAGGTTTTGATGCACACATTAAAAGAAAACTGTTATGAAAGAGAATACTCATTTATTTAATGACATTTCATACAAATTAGGTCTTTTTGTACATGTCCCTTACTCGCACAACATTGTAATATGGATATAATTTTATTTCTTTCACTTTTTATTACCAAATGCAAAAAAGTAGAAGGACTAGTGTAATGAACCCCCATATGTATATCACCTGGCTTGAAATAACAGTTGATAACCCTTCATAATATTTTAGTTCATAGGTATAATCACAAGCATACATGCACACATGCACACACACACACACAACTTTTAAAGTAAAACAGAGGTATCAGGATATTTGTCCCTTAAATACCTTGTTATAGATTTCTAAATGGTAAGATTTGTTTCCTTCAAATAATAATATCTAATAAAATTAACAACAAAATCAACAGCAACTTCCTAACATCATCTACTATAATTTTCATATCCACATCTTCACATTTGCATCCCTCATTTTCCCAGTTTTATCTTCAAACTTAGACCAATCAAGGACCATGTATGGCATGTACCTGTTATGTCTCTTGTCTCTTAACTCTTTTTTAATCTACAGCAGCCCTAACTTCCTAGGACAATTGAAGAGGTCAAGCCAGTTGTCATGCAGAATGTCCATTTTCAGATTCTGTTCCCTCGCGGTGTCGTTTCCTTACGAGGCCTATTCCTTTTGCTTCCAGCAAGCTGGAAGTTGGATCTAAAGGTTAGGTTATATGCTACTTAAAAGTTTTTGGCAAGAATATATCATAGGTAAGCTGAGTCTTTTTTCTTCATACATCTGATTGCCCATAAAGGATATTAGTGATATTAACATCTATCAAATTGGGTCCATTTAGAGAGCGGAACCCTGAAGTTAGGGAGGTTAGTTGCATACCTAAAGTCATACGGTTAGTAAGAGACTGAAGCAGAATTCAAGTGTTACATACTCACGCAAGTCAGGGAGTGAGGGCTGATGGACATATTGTCAAACTCTCCTAGATGGACAAAGTAGAACTAAATGATGAAGCATGCAAGTAAAACTGCAAGGCACAATCATGGACAAAGTATTGCCTTCAATAAGAGAAATGAGGCTGTGGGGCTGCGATAGCTCAATATTTGACCCAAGAAAAGTTTAGTGGAAAACTTTTAAAAAGCCTATATTACAGTCATTTAAGTGTCAGAAATAAAGTAAACTTTTCAATGCTTTCTTACAGATTTGGACTACAGTGTTCGAGGGGCTTGCATAAGGCATCATCCTCACTCACCTGTCACATAATAGGCAGTTGATAGCTATTTGTCAAATGAATGAAGCTATTTGTGTTAAGCATTGATACCATATTCTACCTCAATCCAGCAGCCAATCAATCCTAAGGGCCATTGATCCTAGTTTCTCAACATCTCTTGACTCCATATTCTGCACTGTTTCTCTCACTGCTTTAGAACAAACCACCCTGTCTCTCCCCAAAAAATACTGTGACAGCATCCTAATCTGTCCACTTGGGCCCCTTTCCAATCCATTCTCCACACTACTGCCAAATAATTTTTAACACTGCAAACTGGATTTAAAATTAGGCCTAAATCCTTTCAGTGGTTTCTAATCACACTTAGGAAAAAATGCAAGAGCTTTACCTTGTCTTATGAGGCTCTGCATAATCCCCCTTCCATCTGCTTCTCCAGGCTCATCTTTTCCTCTATATCTTTTTGTTATTTTGCTCCAAGTCCTATGGTTTTCTCTGATTCCTTGAACATGTCCCTCTTTTTCCTGCTTCTTAGGCTTTGCATATGCTGTTCCCTTTCCTGGTATGTTTTTGCTCACGCTCTGCTTTGTAGCACAGATATCCATACTATTTCACCTCCAATAGCAGTTTTTGTTTTGTTTTGTTCTGTTTTGTTTTTTGAGATGGAGTCTTGCCCTGTCACCTAGGCTGGAGTGCAATCGTGCGATCTCAACTCACTGTAACCTCTGCCTCCCGGGTTCAAGCAATTCTCCTGCCTCAGCCTCCTGAGTAGCTGGGATTACAGGCATGCACCACCCCACCCGGCTAATTTTTTGTATCTTTAGTAGAAAGGGGGTTTCACCATGTTGGCCAGGCTGGTCTCGAACTCCTGACCTCGTGATCTGCCTGCCTCGGCTTCCCAAAGTGCTGGGATTACAGTAGTTCTTTAGGGGTACTTTCCCTGACTCTAAGATTGGGTTAGAACTCCCTAGTGAAGACCCTCATTCGGTGTCTTGCTTTTACTTCGTAGGTCTAGTCAAGTTTGTGACTGAAAATAATTGCTTGTATATATGTATGTCTCTCTAACTAAACTGCAAGTACCAAGCTGTAAGGGTCCACCTAGGTCATAGTCATGTCTGTAATCCCTAGCACTCTTTATAGGCCTAGAACAAAGTACATGCTTAATAAAAATTTATTAGAAGTATAAATGAATGAATGAGTGAATTTATCATTTCGTATATCTAATTAATACATCATTTCTAAGACTGGCTAGTACTTGTGACCTTCGGTCTTCCATACAGTTTCAGCTTTGCAAGCCCTCTTTTGTCAATCAGTCGTGTTCGATATCAGGGTGTTGGATGCCCTCAGATGGGTTCTAAACATTGGTATGGAGCAGATTATTTCTTCATTCATGTCAATTGTAATTGGTAAGTGCAACTATAAGAGCCAGGGAAGCTCAAAAGATGTATCTCTCCAGATTGAGGGGGTGGAGGTGGCGAAGAAAGGATGTCAGAGAGGACTCCCTAAATGAGAGGATTCCTGACGTGAGTTGTAGAGTTGTTTCTGAGTCGGCCATGGAAGTAAGTATACGTATGAGGGGCTTTCGAGGCAGATGGAACAGCATGTGCAAAGGCATGAGAGGAAGAGAGAATATGGCATTTTCAGGGCATTGCAAGTAGTTTGGTGTGGCCCAAGAACTAACAATGGAACCAGAAGCTAGAGGGCTAAATGAGGTCTGGATCACAAAACGTCTTCTAGCCATGTGAAGGCGCTTCAACTTCATGTGAAGGGCAATGGGAAACCAATGAAGGAGGAATGGCAAGGAATAACATGACCAGATACAATTTTTTTAGCAATTGCACAAACAATGGTTCAGATAAAAAGAAAGACACACACTCCAAATTCAACTTGGTAAGTATACTGAATTTGATTTAATACTTGACTTTGTCAGGACGTGTTTTTATGCTTCTTTATCCACTTGCCAAATCAAACATGCCTATAGCACTGTGTGGAAGAAGCATAATCTGCTCTTTAACCCTTTTCTTCTCTAGTGCAGGGAAGTCTGAGTTAATACACTGCTTGATTACTTACACATGGTGAAGGGCCCTTCTCAAGCTGCCCCAGATAGTTGGGTTCTGCCGCTGGTTTTATAGGCTTTATTTATTTAGCCAGAGCTAGAAACATGGAAAACAACAGTCTCTGAGCACATGGACGGGTTTCCCTGCAGGAGTCTGAGCTGGCAGTTATTTTAATTAGCAACACATTTTATAAGGGCAGAATCAGAAATGGAAACATGTCAAGGCCTCTTTAGTTATCGAGTTTGGCAGGTTCCTATGAGTGTGCCCGGGCATGGTAATCAGCTCTCAGTTACTCTCCATCTCTCCCAAGGAAACCACATGCACAGAAAAGTTCTCTATGCATAGAGCCCCCTTGGGAGTTGGAGGACTTACCGATATGACACACAAAAAGTGGAGGATTCAGGAGTCCTTCTGGAGCCAGTTCTGGGAAATACAGTTTTCTCAAGGTAGGCCTAAAGTCATTTGTCTTTGATCTGGCCCCAGACCAGTTTCTCAGTTCTCATAACCTTTCTAGAACCAGTCCTTCTAGATATGCAACCCAGTTTACTAAATTTATCTGTCTAACGTCCACTAAGCACCAAAAAATTGATTTCCCCTTTTTATTGCCATGATGGTTTTGAGCATCCTAAATATATGTGTGTGCATAATATAAACACACACACACACACATATATATAATATATAATTATTGACTTCAGATATATCTAAAATAAACCAAAATACAGTAGTCCCCTCTCATCTGCGGTTTTGCTTTGAATGGTTTCAGTTACCCACAGCCCACCAAAAATAGGTGAGTACAGTACAGTAAGATATTTTGAGAGACAGAGAAACCGTATTTACATAACTTTTATTACAGCATATTGTTATGATTATTTTATTTTCTTATTAGTTATTGTTATTAATCTCTTACTGTGCCTAATTTATAAATTAAACTTTATCATAGGTATCCAGATATAGAAAAAACAACACAGTATAGGGTTCAGTACTATCCACAGGTTCAGACATCCACTGAGTCTCTTGGAACATATCTCAAAAATAAATAGGAGACTACTGTACACTCGTACATTTCAAAATGAGTGGTAACTGTATACTGTTCTAACAAGAAGGTCTCTTAAATGAATGGATTAAGCTGATAAGCTACTGTCTTCTATTCACTTATCCATTCGTGTAATCATTGTGCCAGATATAAGCTAAATGCATAGTCTCTGACTATGAGAAACTCAATTTAATGGGGAAAGTGACCCGTGGACTAAAACACAAATTTAGAACAAAGTAACAAGGGTGGTGATAGACATGCACACAAGGCTCTCTGGTTTGCAAGTGGCAGAAACCAACCTTGAAGCAACTTCACAGAGAGGGAGAACTTGCTGGATGGATAAATATATTGCATTAAGTTCAAAGTCTCATTTTGGAAGCAACCAGGTCCCCAGACCATAGACACAGCTACATTCTCAGGACAGGGAAGGGGAGAGAGAAAAAGAAATTCTTATATCCTAGAAAAGAAAATGCCCTGCAATTTTGAGTATATATTTGGTGAAAAACAACTTTTGCAGCATCTTCAGTTTTTAGGCCAAGGATGTCAGGATTGTGACCCATTGGGTGAGGATGCCTGAGCAACAAGTGAGAGAAGCCTATAAAAAGAATTCTAATTTCTAGTATCAAACAAGCCCTTGTTCTGCCCCACAAACACCTCCTAAAAACTATCAACTAAAGGGCTTTTCAGGAGCACTGCTTTGTCAGACCATCAACCTGAACACCTAAATTATTGTTAAAAAAACAAACAAACAAAAAATTCTTCCGTCCTGGTTCAGCAACACATAAATAAGATCTGTCACAATGCCTCAGGAACCAAAACCAAAGGATTACAAGCTCTTGTTACTCAGAATTTTGGAGCATATTTGGGTCAAAACAGAAGAGAACAGCCTCCATTTTGGGGCACCTAGCCTCCAATTTAATATCTCTTTTCTTGATATTATATTTAAAAAAAACGTTTCAAAATATGAGGCTGCTTTCACTTTGAGAAGCTGGTATTCACAGCCAGAACTGCTAGCAGAAAATCCAAGTCTTCCCAAGAGGTGGCTGCAATAAAAAGTAGAGACGATATTGGCTGCAAACTTAACAGTCATGTTGGGTGGAGCCCACCTTCATTCATTTTAAAGCATGCATTCAACCACCATGTGGCTCCCACTGAGCCCTTCCAGCCTGTGAGGCTCTGTGGAGAAGCCAGGATGGGCAAAGCACAGTCACTAAACATACATTAAGCCCAGAAGGAGGGACAGGCAAGAAACTAGATAGCAAAAGGGCACAGCAGAGTATACTAAATAGGTACCGAGTACTAAAGAAGCAATACATAGGTGAGCTTCGCCTGGAGCTAGGAATGGCTTCATGGGAATGCAGTCTGTGCTCAGAAAGGCCCCAGTTGTCACCATCTTGAACTTTTTAATAATTTTATCTTTGAATTTGAGTTTCATAAGTGAAGTCTGATAGGACAATAGAGCATGTTCCTGGAGCTGGGAGCGTCCAGCTCCTGTGCACTCTCACTTCCCACCATGCCCCCACCTGCCTGAATGCATCTTGGCCTCCTGCTTCTCTGAGACTCTGAGACTCCTCCTGAGACTCTGGCTCAAGGCTCCTCTCTATATCCCACAACCACTGGGCACTTCATCCAGGGCAGCAAGTAGGTCTTGTTGGCCTTGCTGGGCTGGAAGGCAGACCTTCTGTCCTTGCCTTCCAGCCCAGCAAGGGCTTGCAGGCGTGGAGAGGGGAGGTACCTGGCATGTGCCCTGCAGCCTCTCTGAATGGGTCAAGGCAGTGACTGTCCTTGCCATGAACTAGTAGCGTTTCAACACCTCTGGCAGGTGACTCGGTGGAGAACTGTCACCCGCTCCTATGGGGGTAGGGAGAACGTCACTGTATAGAGGTTGCAGGCCTTTAGAGGATACTCATTCACACTTGGGATAGCAATCCTGTGGGAAAGGGAGATTGACTTCCCTTGCTGGGGCCTTGCGTTTTTCACTTTCCATGGGCTCTGCAAATTATGTGACCATCCCTACTAGGAATCCAGATCAGAATGACCTCAAAGCCTCTGTTTCCTGCAATGTCCCACAAAGATGGGGATCATGCAGGGCAGGGTATGAGTTTGAGGTCAGAGTGCTTCAGCCAGCCTCACATCAAACGTCTAGACAGGAATCTGGCAGCTCAGCTCCAGCAACGCTGGGCCCCCACACCAGCTGCGAGGGAGAACATCCACCACTCTCCCTGCCCAAATGGCAGCTTTGGTGGTGTCCACATTGTCTCCTTCCCTCTCTCTTCGCATGAGATGCCACTCTGTTTCAGTGTGCAGAAGCAATTCTACACCTACACTATGCCTTAGAGAAATCATGCCAGCGGTGACGGACAGGTGGGATTGAACAAGGACAGACAGGAGAGGCTTTGGAAAAGCTTGTGTGCACAATGGGAAAGAACTGAACCAGGAAGGGAGCAAAAAAAGAAATAAAGGGAAAGGTGACCAACTGTCCTGGCTTGCACAGAACTTTGGGGTGTGAAACCCAGGATATGAAACTTCTGGTGCTAAAACCAGGACATTCTGGGGCAAACTAAGATGGCTGATCACCCTAGAAGGTCAAGTCATCGAAGTAAGCAGCAACTAATGATGGCAGCGTTTTACAGCCTCCAAAGCTCTTTGTCTTTCATTATCAGATCTCATCCTGGCAACAATCATGTGAGAAAGACAGAGCAGGTTACTGTTCCACTTTATTTACGAAGAAACCTGGGGCTCAGAGAATGCAAGTGACTTACCAGAAATCTAATAGCTAATAAGTACTGGAATAAGACCGCAAATCCAGATCTGCTAACGAATACAAATAATAGGGTCTGAGAAGTGATTGAATGTGTTGAGAAACAAAGAGAAGATAGAGGCTTTTTAGCTGACTGAGAGAACATTTCCATGAAAAGAAATAAGAAAATTAGGAGAAAATAATCTTTGGGACAGGAAAGATGGGTTCGGTTTGGAGAGTATCGTGCTCTGAATTCACTGAGCAACATGAAATTTCTCAGGGGGTTGATGTCTTGAAAGCGATCAGCCAAAATTATGTTTACTTAATAGATCAATCTGTCTTAGATACTGCAGAACTCTGACACACACCTTGGCAATGACTTTCTGCTTCTACTCAGAAAATATTCTGGGTCACCTTCCTGACAAGATAAGCAAAGAACTGGCAGTAAATTACTGTGACTGTACAGTGGGCAGGAATAAGCAAGATGTGGCCAATTCTCTGTAAAGGATATGAGTGTGGGAACCACAAAATACCGTAAACTGTGGGGAGGGGAACAAGTTGGGACGCCATCTTTAGAATTTGTTTTCATTGACCTTTGAATTTATGTATTTTTTATTTTTTTGAGACAGGGTCTTGCTCTGTTGCCTAGGCTGGAGTGCAGTGGCGTGATCTAGGCTCACCGCAGCCTTGACCTCCTGGGATCAAGCAATCCTCCCACCTTGGCCTCTGAGTATCTGGGAATACAGGTACATGCCACCATGCCTGGCTAATTTTTGTATTTTTGTAGAGACAGGGTTTCATCACGTTGCCCAGATTGGTCTCAGACTCCTGGGCTCAAGCCATCTGCCCGCTTCAGCCTCCCAAAGTGTAAATTTGTTTCTTTAGCAATCAATATCCAAAAACTGTGCTACACTTGGGGAATGCAAAGTCACAGTGCTGCCATTGGGAAGCTCATAACCCATCTCTGGGGTGCATAGGCTGAGACTCACGTTATAAAACAGGTCTGTACAATGTTTTGAAGGAAATTGCCAACAGAAGTAATGCAAGTGGGGGCTTGAAGAATGCATTAAAAAATTTCCAGGTAGAAAGGCGTAAGAAAGTGCAACCCATTCCTTTTTCATTTATTCAACAAATATTTATTTAGCCTCTTTAATGGGCCTGGTCCTCTTTTAAGTGAAGTGTCTCAAGGATATACAGCTCAAAGATTGAGCTCAAGATACGTGGCTCCTATTTCCACTATCCCGTGACTCCTCCAAAGGAGACCGTGACTTTCTGGAAAAGGGTAAGGACTACAAGTGAAAAATAGGGAGTGGGTCCAAAGATAAATTCCCCTCTATATTTCTCTGTGGCATACTTGCCTTAAGGGTTGAGTTAGACACACAGGCCAAGAATTTATGGAATGGGTACAAAAAACATGGATGCTTACCATTTGGTAAGCATACACCATAATCTCAGCACATTTTAAACTCATTCTAACTTTACTTCTGATGCCAAAACAGAAACTCAGAGAGGTTAAATATGCCCTCAAGGCCACAGAGCCAATAAGTAGGAGAGTCTAGCATGTTTCTGACTCATATCCTATGCTCCTACCACAGCACTGAAATTCCCCCAGAGCCTGTAACTAGAGTGTAACTATTTAGCCATGAAAATTTGAATCCTTCAGATCTCACATTCCACCGGTTGTTCTACTTTTATAATTATCATTACTCTTTCATACTAGTATACAAATTCATCAGTAGTGAGTAGGACTTTTGTGGCAACCATACTTCACAATTGGATGGGTTCTTTTGGGCTCTTGCAAATAGGGACGAGCTAGATGAAATTAATTATTGGATGAACTTTAAGATCTCTCCTTCACTTGAAATGCTGATTCCCTGAAAACTTCAGAATGAGGCTTCAAATCAATCTGTTGACTTTCACTGGTCACCAACACATTTGAAATTTCCCTTCCCACTCTCCCAGCTTTGTTTGTTTTTTGCTTTTGTTTGTTTGAGTGATTGTTTTACTGTGTATAATTCTCCCAAAATGCTAGTAGAGATTAGTAAAGTTATACAAGACCTCACATTATCAATCTAGGCTATTCAAAGCATATGCTAGCACTGACTGTTTTGTGGATATTATTCCTCTTGGTTCCAATTTATGTCAACCAAACAGAGCTTTTGCTACAAACAAAGTTGCAACTACAAAATAAAGTTTTGAAAAAGAGTGTCTGGGCAAGGCACAAGGAAAGACTGTATCTCTGAAATTGACTCTTGGTTTTTAGAAAAAGAAGTGGGGCAGGGGGAGGAGGAGAAGAGGGGATTGTGCCTCCTGAAATTCAGACAATCAATCCAGAGAGGCAGCTCAGCCTCACTTCTGTGGCTGAGAACTTTGACTCCAGCTTCCATCTGGTTTCCATAAGGCAAGAGAACTTGGCAAATGGCTGGCCACGTAACTTCAGCACGTGCACATCCTGACCACGAGCACCAGTAAAAGGAGCCAAAGGGAACAGACAAATTTCTCTCTGTTCCTCTGTATAGTATAGGGAAGAAAGAGTTGCTTTAAAGAGAAACGGAGTGCTCTGCAACCCTATTGGGCAATGTCTTGGTCCATTTTCTGTTGCTATAACAGAAAACCACAGACTGGGTAATTCAGAAAGAAAAGAAGTTTATTTAGCTCACTGTTCTGGAAGAAACTGGGAAGTCCAAGAGCATGGCTCTGGCATCTGATAATTGTCTTCTTGCTGTGTCATAACATGGCGGAGGGCATCATATGGCGAGAGGGCAAGAGTGTACCCACTCACGTCTCTCTTCTTCTTTTTATAAAGCCACCAGCCTCATCATGGAAGCTCCACCATAATGTTTTTATATAATCCTAGTTACTTACCAAAGGCTATACCTCCAAATACCATCAACATATGAATTTGGGGTTTAGGTTTTAAGCACATAAAATCTGAGAGACACATTCAAACCACAGTGGGCAGGTTCACAAAGAACTGCCCATTTAACTGCATCAAAAATGCCCACCTCCGATGGAGATGATATTACCAGTTATTCTAAAAATGTCTGGTAAATGTTCTAACTCCACTGCTGCCTTTAATTCTATATGGTGTGTGCACAGGCAGCAGGATCTAAGTGAAAGAACCTAAACTTGGATCTAGATGGATATGGCATAAGTCAACAGTTCTGTTACTTATAACTGTGAAGCCTTGAACACATTACTTAAACTGCTTGAATAACACAGAGTATTCTGTAATTTATGAGATCTTTGTGAGATGATATATATAAAACATCCTGTACACAGTGGGTGCTTCATAAATAGTATTTATCATTAAGTTTGAGGTGATGCTTTCCTCCAAGATTTTATTATTCAAACACGCTCACAGTGTGTCTGGCTCTAGGATACCGTACATACATCATCTCCATTAATGTTTTGAACATACCTTTGTTGTTTTTATATTATGCCACTTACAATGCTTCAGTTCAAATAATTATGGAATATCTGTTTAAAGGGAGTCTTCAGCTCCATGGCCTTACAGATGAGAATGCAGAAGCAGGAAAAAATGCCACAGCAAGTCAGTGGCAGATCCAGGCCTATCCCAGTATCCCGAATCTCAGTTTTCTGTCTACTATTTCACCTGCCCTCATAAATGTTTCTGAAGCTAAAACAATTACAGTCATCCTTCCAAAAACCTCATCATAAAATTGTAGAGCTGGGATAGAAAAGTTTCTTCCACTGCTGTCTGGCAGGCTGAATTATGGCTCTCAAAGATGCCTGAGTCTCAGAACTGGTGAACATTACTCTGTATGAGAAAGGGTCTTTGCACATATGATTAAGGATTTGGAGCAGGAGAGATTATTCTGGATTATTTGAGTGGGCATGATATAATCACAAGAGTCCTCACAAGAGGAAGCAGAAGAAACCAGAGTCAGAGAGAGGGCCATGTGAAAATGGAAGTGGTAACTGGATGATGGGCTTTGAAGACGGAGAAAGGAGCCACAAGCCAAGGAATGCAGGTCACTTGTAGAAGCTGGAAAAGGCAAGGAAACAAACTCCTCCAAAGCCTCCAGAGGGAACCAGCTCAGTGACACCTTGACTTTAGCCAGTGACACTGATTTTGGGCTTCTGACCTCTGGAACTGTAAGGGAATAAATTTGCATTGTTTTAAGCCACTGAGTTTGTGGTAATTTGTTAGAGCAGCAATACATAACTAATACAACAGTGTAGTACACTGTATCAAAAACACTGAGTGACAGCTAAAATGCCCAACCACTGGGAATTACAAGTTATAAGGGAATATAATGCAGCCTTTTAAAAAGTGTTGATTCAAGTTTATTGAAGTAGGAGAATATGTATATTTTTAAGTGAAAAGCAGTTTATAAGACAGTGTATAGAGTAGGACCCTGTCATGAGAGAGATAAAAAAATAAGATTAAAAGTATATATTCATTATTTAGAGAAATTATCATCAGTGTTGGGATTTTCTATGTTCTAAGTACTTTTCTGTATTCTCCAACGAGGATGCACTAAATGTGTTGATTCTGTAATTAGAAAAAAAGATATTCTTTAAACAAAAGCCTATTTTTCACCAATCCTTTCATTTTATAAAACAGGAAATGTTTATGTAAACCAGAGGAGTTGCTTGCTCAGGGAAGGGATGAAATTTCTCCTCAGTTCAGAATCTGGAAGCTTATTCTTAAATTATCAAAGGTAAAAAAAGCACAAGACTGAATCAAAACTATGAACGCTCAGAGAAATGACACACACTTCCCTCTCCACTTGTAATTTCCCTTCAATGGACTCCCCTTTCATATTAGGAGAGTTAGTAAGTGCTTTCTTCCGTAGACAAATCATGAAAAGCATTAGAGAGCATAACAGCACATGGCATTTTGGAGCTTCTCACAGAATCTCCCAATGCGAATATCAAAGGATTCCAGGCTGAGAAAAACTGAAATGCAGACCTTGATATTGTTGACAGCTGATAAAGCCATGAGACTTAAGTGCTTGCCATTTTTTTGCAGCTCATTTCTCTTCTGCTCTTATGAATCTTTTGACTCTTTCTTCTCATCTGTGTCTCCTTATAGCATGGAGAATCCCTTCACCAACCATCCATGATATCTCTTACTTTAAATCCTTTTTCCTCTCTAATTCAGGAGTAGCATGGACTATTTCTGAGCTGCTACAATATTCCAAACACTGTACAGGGTCCTGGGGTTACAAAGATGAATAAAACAGAGTCTTTGCCTTCAATTAACTTCCAATCTAGTGGTACCAATAAGCGTAGTCAAAAGAAGTAGATCTTATGTTGGAACGACATTAGAAATTGTCACAGAGATGCAAACAGCATGAAAAAGACATTGGGTCTGAGTATAATTCCAACAGAAAATGGGTGATTTCATGAAAGAGGTACATGCTAGTTATCTGCCTCTTTATGATACATTCCTCATCCTTCCCTTGCTCTGCCCTATATCACAGGAAGGTTGCCTCCTGGAAACTGTATTTCCCAGGCTCCTTGATACCTGACTCTAGGCTAGGTTTTGCCAATGGGAGACTCATGCAGGAGATTAGAGGTAAGCAGGAAGAAAACATATTTCTATCTTTCTTAATGCTTCAGGTGGCTTCTCTGGCTATGGCTGAATCTCCATCATGCCTCCATGCCCACCGCAGAGCCCCATCTCCTTCAGTAACACCACCTCCGTTTGTTAGGAATCTCCCTGCTAATGCCATGTCTATCTAACACTGCCAGACCTAGGGAGTCCCTGAGCACTTCCCTTTTGTTATCCCTCCAGCCCCAGTGATGGTAGCAGCTTCCTGTTGATGCTAGCCCCTCACGTGCCTGACCATCTCCTGTTGGACTTTTCATCTTTCCCAACAGCTTTTTGATTCGTTCCCTAGAGTAAATGTCCTGGATTTAACTACCAGGCACGGGCTCTGTCTTCCAGACTCGACCCTCAGAAGAACTTTGTAGAACCAGAAGATTCTCCATTGGCAATGCAAGGAAGAACACTCTTGGCAGAGATTCTAAGCAAAGCAATGACCACAGTCCAGAGTGCAGAAAAGCAACTAGGGCAGGGCCGCTATGTCTTGAGGGTCACCAGGAAATATATTAGAGAATCTGACTGGCAATCTAGGGAGAATGAGACCACAGAGGCTCTTCAGTTATCAGATAGAGTAATATGGGTTTGATTCCACATGCCTGGAGAGTTATTGAAGGTTTTGAGCACAGTGAGATGACCAGATTTGTTCTTTTGGAAATTCAATCCGGAAATGGCAGATTAAACTGCATAACGTTAAGAGCCTAACACAAGGCAAAAGTCATGTAAATAGCAAGGAAGGGTGGATTTAAGCAGAGTCAGTGTGACTTGGCAAGAGAAAAGGGAAGTGTTACAAGTGCATAGGAGGTGTTGAGTTAGAGTGGCTGTCCCTGTGACCAGGAGGAAATCATGAGGTGAGTTTGGTCTGGGCTGAGATGGAAGGAAAAGTACTCATTTGAAAATGTGAGTTTAAAACTCACAGTAGGAATAATCCTGAGGGAGGCTATTTTAAAAGACATTCTCACCCCAATGACAAATCAAGTTTGTTTGATTTGATTGAAGGCAAAATTTAGAAGCTTTATGGCATGAAGCAACACCTCAATTAAATTAATACATTGTAATTATTAATATTGTTATTTTATTAGTGATAAATTTATAAGACTGCAGCATTTTCATGACACAATTGCATTAACTTGTTTTTATTAGTATTCCAGGTAGAATAAAGAAATGTTTTCATGACCTATATTTTAAATACTAGGATGAAATCATCAGCTCACCGTGGGGATAAAAAGAAGGAAGGAAGCTTGGCCCGATCTTATTTCTAAGATAAATCAGTTTTTGTCCTTCTTTTGTATTCCAGACCAGAATTAAAGGTGCAGAAATAATATCTGTGTACACATGTATATTATAATCTTCTAAATTTTTAATCTATCTTTCTAGAACCCCAAATATATCCACTTTGGAAATAACTCCCAAATGTCATTATATGACTAAGCACTCTAATTAGAAACTAAGTGCTAATAATTTGCCCTATTAAAAAGTTAGCATTTGTAAAAGGAATGATTTATTGACCTGTAATGCCACTGAAGCATGATCTGAAAGACATAGAAGACTGAAGTTTTACTTTTCTTAAGAGATTATAAAAATCAGTGGACTTTATAAACATGAGCTCCCATCTAGTAATTTGAGATTGCTTATGTGATTCTGGAGTCCCAAATAATTCCTAGGTGAATCCATTTGTTCCAAAGTTTGCAGGTGCTTTATGATAACTGCTGCTTAAACAGTGTGTGTTTTAGAGATGGAGAGTATGTTTGAGATCTTTTCATCCATTTTACAGAGCAGTAAACTGAGACAGCAGTGGGGCTAAGTGAGTTGTCCAAAGAGGCACAGTGAGTTGGTTGCAGAACCCAGCGTGATTTGCTAACCAGTATTATCATCACATGGCCTTTAGCCCTCCAGGATTGTGGCAGCCTTTGGCGCCACCCTGCATGAACCCAGAGCTTATTATCTGAGCCAGGGCAGGGAGTCTCCCAGATCCATCAAATTTCTTGCCTCTGATGACAGGTAGATGACAGAACGGAGCAAAGTCACAGAAGCTTTGGCTTTGGGGAAGACAGAACCTTATTAGCTTTGTCAGACACTCACTCCTCTGGTTTTACGACTGCAGCTTTCTATATATGGCCCGCCAGGCCCCAGTGGATTTCCCTACTAATGCCATGTCTATCTAATAGTGGCAGACCTAGGATGGCCCTGATCATTTCCCTGATGACAACACTGAAGCACACACATGCCACAGAGCAACACACTGTACCTTCTGTGGCTTGTGCCAAAGTGAGCCCCTTGCTCATAAATGTAGCAGTATGGGTGTGAATTATCAGATGCGCCCTGCTATAGGCCTACATGGCCTTCTCTAATAGAAGTTCTTTCTTGCAGGTTGTGCATCCCCCAAAATTCTAGATCTGTCACTGAACACAGTAACCATGCTGTTTTCTTTCCCAAAAGACTCAGGAGGGTCTTTGTGTGTCACCTCTGTGGCATGTTAGGGTCTAAAGAGAGATGAGTGGCTCTTTCCTGTGCTTCTTCTCACAGGAGACTTGAATCTTTCTTTGTCTCAAGGACCAGAGAGCTCTGGCTCTAACATAAATCACACGTAATCTGCTGGTCACTCACTTCTGCTGAAGGAGGCAGGACAGAATGGAAGCATTATTGGACAGACTCAGATGCTCAGGGCCTCTTAGGGGTATTATGGGTTTATTTATGCCCCTCACCTCCCTGCCACCAAATTCACATGTTGTAGTCCTAACCGCCAGGATCTCAGAATGTGACTGTATTTACATGTAAGGTATTTACAAAGGTAATTAAGGTTAAGTAAGGTCATATGGATAGGCCCTAATCCAGTATGTCTGGCCTCCTTGTAAGAAGAGGGAAAGAAACCAAGAATGTACATGCACAGAGAGAAGGCCACATGGGGACATAACAAGAAAATGGCCATCTGCAATCAAATGAGAGAGAGAGGACTCAGGAGACACCAAGCCTGCCAACATCTAGGTATGGACTTCCAGACTCCATAACTGAAAATGGCCACCTGCAATCAAACGAGAGAGAGAGGACTCAGGAGACACCAAGCCTGCCAACATCTAGGTATGGACTTCCAGACTCCATAACTGAAAACAAATGTTGTTTAAGCCACCCATTCTATGATATTTTGTTATGGCAGCCCTAGGAAACTAACACCGAAGGCAATTCAAAAAGTAGCATGGAGCCAAACCTTGATTCTAGAACCCAGCACCAAAGGGTGGGGATAAGCTTCATGTCTTTGGTTGCTTCCTATGACCACATCTGACCAGTTTCCCTATGAAAGAAGCACAAGCCAAGGTAATCAATCTCTCAAGTAATGCAAGGGAAGAATGGTGGCCTCATAGCAACGCAGATTTCCTTTTGGCAGCCATAGAGCAGGGTCATATTTCAGGGAGCAACCCATATCCAGAGATTCTCTCACCCAAGAAAATATCTGTCATATCAAATCTCCTTAATCTATTTTTTACAATCCTGGCATAGGTAGTAAGATCTCATTAATTCAAACTTCCTACATATTTGGATTTTGTGATAGAAGTTGTACTAAAGTTTGTCTTTATACAGGGTATAAATGAAGTTATAAAGAAAATCAATCAATCAACTTCAAAGAAACTGTCATATTGACTTCGATCAGCTTCAAATATGTTAGAAACATACACTTGAATGTAAACAATGGCTGTATCAACTTCAAAGCAATTCTCTCTCTCCATAGAGCAGTGCCTTCTCTCCCTTTCTCACCCTAGAAGAGTGGTTCTAAGACTTTGCTCACTTTGAAAGTTGATTTAAAGAAATCAGAAGGATGAATGACAATCCAACAGATCCCACGGGAACGAGAGGACAGGGCCAGTATGATTTATTCTCCTTCAACATCTCCAATATACCAAAAATATCTAACACACAACAGGCACTCTATAAGTGTCAATTCCATTCTCCTTTGCCAATTAATCTAAATAATGAGATTTTACTACAGTAATTGATTTAAGTCCTGAAGGATAAAAAAATTCATAATGTATTGACTTGAAGCAATTGGAGATCATCAACTCCAACTCCTTTATTCTAGCATATAGAAACAGAGGCCAACAAAGGTTAAGAGACTTCTTCAAGTTCATTCACTCATCCTAGTGCCTTTCATGTGGCAAGCTCTGAGCTTTGTTGTTGACAAAGTCAGACCAGGATCCGGGGCCTCTGACCCAGAATTCCTTCCAATCTTATTCCACTGCTGCCTTTGAGTTAATTTTGTTTCAGAAATCATTGTGTGAGCACAGGTAAATCTTGCTGTCTTTTTCTACATGTATTTAAGGTTGATTCTCCTTCCTTGAGTGTAGTAAAAAAAAAAAAACAAAAAAAAAAACAGTTACAAATAAACCCTAAGTATGGACAGGCTTACACTTAGAGAAAAAAAGAAAAAAAAACAATCTACAAATGCTACTTAAGGCATTTGAGAATGCCTAAGAAGTTTCATTGACCCCCTATTTTGAGCATAACTCGGACACAAGTAACACTTGTTAAATTAAATTAGATGTACAAAGCATTCTAATGGGAACATCAGGGAGATGTGAGCCAAGTCATCTGGAGGGGAGTTGTGCAGCTGAAGGTGGGGAGGTTGGGAACAGATCAAACTTATTTTGAAAAAGGACTAAAAGTTCAGAGAAAGAGGGGAGGGTTGTTCTAGGCAAAGCAAACAGAATAAACATACATGCACAAGAGCATATGTTCAATGTGGAATCTGAAAATGCTTGAAAAAGCAGAAGGTAGGCCAGGCATGGTGGCTCACGCCTGTAATCCCAGCACTTTGGGAGGCCAAGGCAGGTGGATCACCTGAGGTGAGGAGTTCAACACCAGTCTGGGCAAGAGGTGAAACCCCATCTCTACTAAGAACACAAAAATTAGCTGGGCATGGTGGCAGGTGCCTGTAATCCCAGCTACTCGGGAGGGTGAGGCAGGAGAATCCCTTGAGCCCAGGAGGCAGAGGTTGCAGTGAGCTGAGAGCTGAGATTGCGCATTTGCACTCCAGCCGGGGCAATGAGCGAGACTCTATCTCAAAAACAAACAAACGAACAAATGAAAGCAGAAGGTAGAATACAAAAACATGCCATTAATACTTTGTAACCCTCCTGTATAAGAATTTACATAGTTATTTTTAGTCTGAGTTTAGTATGTTTCATTTTGCTCATAATCTGTCTTTTTCAAGTTTCCAAGAGTGCCTTGAGTGCAAATACAACAACTTTGTGGAAGAAATCAATATTTGCCCTTCTATGTGCTTTCTAATTTAAGCTTAGTAATTCAGCTAATATTTCAGCCATGTCTCTAAACTGGTCATAAAGAAGGCTGAGAGGCTTCCAAGCTTGTAAACGAACCAAACGTACAGAGTACTATACCTGCTATCTTACAGATTGTTCTTATTTTACTGGTGCCAAAAAGAAAAAAAGTGTGGGCGGGGGGCAGGTAGAAAGTCGTCAGTGATAAATTTCTTCAGAAGAGAACTTATGATCCAAGCAGCAGCCACAAACACAAACCCACCCCCGCCCCCCCCCGACCCCGCCCCGACACACACACACAACCTGCTCATCTACTTAATGCTTTGGAATGTAACAGAGACCAAAAATAGTATATTTCATGTGGAATCCTGGAAACATTTTTAAAAGAAGAAAAATAACAATTTAGGAGGAGATGCTTCAATTTTTCCATAGTTATTACTGAAAAGAAAATCTTGCCTCTGGCTATTATACAATATCTGGTACCACACAAGCTCTCCTACCATAATGCTTAAAAGTAGCAGCAAATAATTAGAAAATTAAATTTAAAGTACTATTTGCAATAGCATAGAAATATAATCTTATTAGAAATAAATTAATGAAAGATATACAAACACTCTACATTACAAACTATAAACTTTCCTGAGAAAAATTTCCTGAGAAAAAGTTTGGGCTCAGGTGATCCTTCTATCTTGACCTCCAAAAGCATTTGGATTACAGGCATAAGCCACTGCACCTAGCTAGAAAAAATTTTAAACATCTAAATAAATGTATAAAAGTACTATGTTTATGCATCAGAAAGCTCAGTGTTATAAAACTCAATATTGTCAACATTTGAAAGTCTAAATAAATGTTTAGGGATACTATGTTTATGAATTAGAAAATTTAATTTATTTACAAATTGATCCACTGATGTAATGCAACCAAATTTCTAGCAGGCAAGATGATTCAAAAATTTATATGGGAGTGCAAAAAACCAAGAATAGCAAAAGCAGTACTGAAAAAGTACAAATATTGGGTGACTCACCCTACCTAATATAAAGATTTACCATAAACGTCAAGAGGCAATACATAATTCTATTGGCCAAAGATATAGACACAGTTTAACTAAGTAGTCCAGATATGAACCCGCACATATATATGGTCAATTGACTTTTGACAAATACATCAGCATAACTCAATGAAAGTATTTTCCATATAGACTTCTAAAACAGCTGAATATCCATGTGCAAAAACTGAAAAAGAATCTTAGCTCCTACCTGTTGCCATATGCAAAATTTAATGCAAAATAAACCACAGACTAAAACATAAAAGATAAAACAACACAAGTTCTAGAACAAAACAAAGGATAAAATATTCATAAACCTTGGATAGGCAAAGATTTCCTAAACAAAACACAATAAGCATGGATCATGAAGGCAAACAATAATAAATTTATCTTCATAAAAATTAAAACTTTCTGCTCTTAAAAATATTATTAAGAAAATGAAAAGGTTAGCCACAGACAGGGAGAAGATATTCACAATATGGATATGTGACAAAGGACTAGAATCTAGATCATAAAAATAAGTCTTCCAACTCAATAATAGTAAGAGAAAAATTTAAACAAATAAATAAATGGACTAAAGATTTGAATAGGCACTTGATAAAAGAAGATATATTAATGGCCACAGAGCATAAAAAGAGAGCAAACATCTGTAATCATCAGGGAAATACAAATTAAAACCACAATTAAATCCCATTACACATCACTTAAATGACTAAAATTCAAAGAGTGATAATAAGAAGTGTTGACACAGACATGGGGCAATTCATACATTGATGCTTCGGTTGCAAAATGGTGCAACCACTTTAGAAAAAAGATTGGTAGTTTCTTTTAAAGTTAATCATACACTTCATTCAGCAGTTTCAATACTAGGTATTGAAGAGAAATAAAAACATATTCATTTACATGAAAAAAATTCATTTACATGAATATTTAAAGCAACTTTATTCACAACCACCCCAAACTGGAAATAACCCAAATGTTCATCATGGGAAATAGCCCAAATGTTATCTACTGGTGAGTAGATAACTGAACGATGGTATATTCAAACAATGGAATACTAATCAGTAATAAAAAGGAACAGACCACTGATAGGTACAATATGGAAAAATCTTAAACACTATGCTGAGTGAAAGAAGAAATGAAAGAGCACACCCAGTATGATTTAATTTACATAAAGTCCTTGATCATGTAAAACTAATTTATAATAATGGAAATCAGAAAAGTGTTTCCCTGAGGCAAGGAATATGTGGGGGATCAACTACAAAGGGCCATCCGGGAAGTTTTTGGAGCAATGAAAATCTTATGTGTCATGACTGAAGTGGTGGTCACACTTGTGTATACATTTGTCAAAACTCATCAAGGTGTACACTTAAAATGTGAGCATTGTATTGTATATCAATTACATTGGAAAAAAATTGGTTCAAAACATAAAGATCATAAAAATAAAGAGGGGCCGGGTGTGGTGGCTCATGACTGTAATCCCAGCACTTTAGGAGGCAGAGGCGGGTGGATCACAAGGTCAGGAGATCGAGACCATCCTGGCTAACACGGTGAAACCTCGTCTCTATTAAAAATACAAATAATTAGCCAGGCATGGTGGTGGGCACCTATAATCCCAGCTACTTGGGAGGCTGAGGCAAGACAATCGCTCGAACCTGGGAAGCGGAGGTTGCAGTGAGCCGAGATCATGCCATTGCACTCCAGCCTAGACAACAGAGTGAGACTCCCTCTCAAAAAACTAAAAATAAAATAAAATAAAGAGGGACAAATGCACTATTTTATAGTTTACAAAGGGGTTTGATTGTTTGCTTGATATTGACCCTTACCACCACCTTGTGAAGTAGGAATGCATACAAGTTCTTGTTGTGGAAAAGTCACAAAATTATGTTTTGTTCCTGAGCTGCAGTGTCTCACTTGGCTCTGGAATTCATCCACACACCTTGGGGGAATAAGAAAAAAAAAACCCACTCCCTATGCACACAAATTATAAAGATGCTTTGAATGGTTCATTGCCTAGATATGGAGGAGGGTTGTCTATGGTAATAATGGTTGTACTGATTATTTTTTCTTCTGCATTACTGGCCAGGCATTGCACCAAGATCTACTCAAGTAATTCTCAAAACAGTCCTGGGAGGTAGGCATTATGATCTCCATATACAAATGAGGACATTGGGCCTCAGCAAATTTAAGGGACTCACCAAAGTTCACACAGGCACAGCTGGGGGTCTAGGTCTGATAGACTCAAAGCCCCAGCTCTTTCCATGCCACCATGTTGGCTCCATATTTCAGATAAATGGGACTAATTTTATTTGTAATGACTAAAGTTATTCAGGGGTGCTGGCTAGGAGTGGTCCTTTGGAGAAGATTGAGATAGAGTCCATAGAACTTCAGGTCTAGGACAATGTGGTCTGCACCCCAAAAATCATGTGGGGGCCAATGCCTCTCTTACCTGATGGATGGACATTGAGTTACAAAAGAAAGAGGTATGTCAGTCTGTGAAGGAACAAGGAACTGCATTTGGGCATCTGCGACAATGAGTGCTGATGGGAAGAAGCGGGAGAAACTTCCGCATGGCCATGCAGGCAGCAGCCCCCCGTGTGAGATGATGTTTCTGGTAGGGGATCTGGATCCACACAATTCTTGATGCAAAGTATTTTAGGATGCAGATGTCATGTGGGGAAATCGTTCATGAAGACCCACTTCTCATTTAAAGAAGAAAATTAAAAGGGACATCAGAGCGTAATGGATTATTAGGATTGATTTGGGGTTGAGTGCCAACTCTAACATTTGGTGAAAACAGGTTTGAAATAGAGAACGCTGATGTAAAACCTGGCTCTGTACTTACTAGCTGTGCAATCTTGGGCAAGTTACTGCACCTCTCTAAGCTTCTCTCTTCTCAGTTGGCAGACGCAAATAATGATGCCTACTTGACAGCACAGATGGAAGACGGATGTTTACAAAGTACCTTCCTCGGTGTCTAGTACTAGGTAAATGTTTGACCCTCTCCTCTTGTGGGTAACCCTTCAGGAACCTTAGGCTTCAACCTTGATTTGAATCCCTAAATTTTAGCTCTGCTGGCACTTACTTGTCTGAAACTGCAGCTGCCCCCAGGGAGTGGAGCCTGTTGGAAGCCAGTCCTCTTTCTGTTCCTTCCTGCTTATCCTGTCTCCCTAGGTCCTGGCATTCCACCTACTCCCAGGATTAATGCTGTCTACCCCTTGCTTCTGGATCTCTGAAGTCTTCCTAGACTCTGTCACAGCTCTCCATCATCAACCTGCCCAGAGGGTCTGCCCTAACATTCCCTGCATGGGTTCCGATGACAAGGGTGGAAACAAGTTTCTGATCTGATAAAAACTCAGTCACAAAGGTTCCAGGCATTTCTGCTGAATCTCTGTATAACTGGGCTTAACAAAAGACAAAGCTGATCATGTCATGTTCTTGATTAAAATCTGTCTCATATTTCCTCAAGATAAAGTTCAAAATCCTAAGCATGGCCTGCCATGTCCCACAGGACACAACACATGGCACTCTCTCTAACTTCCTCTCTCACTACCTTCCCCTCCACCTGCCATGACCAGCACCACAGACATCCTCTACCTTCCAGCCAGACTGAATTACCTGCCCTTCCCAAACACGCTCCACTCTTACTTGCCCCAGGGACTTTGTACATCCTATTTCTCTTGCCTGGGATCCTTGCCTCCCATCTCCTTCAATACCCTCTTCCCGACTCATCTCTGTCTTTTGTAAATCAGTTTGGCCATCACCCAAGAAGTTATCTTTGACTTCCAGGACTTATTTGGGGCCCTTCTTGGGTGTACTCCTGGCTTGCTAAACTTCTGTTTTAAGACTAATCACCTTTAGTCGGTTTCATTGTGTCTTTCCCACTAGACTGTAAACACTCTGAGAGTGGACTTGCATTTAGATTCCTGTGCTCCAGCACCTACCAGAGTGCCTGGCACAGAAGGGTACTCAGGGAGTGCTTATACATGAAAAGAACTAAAGCAAGTCAGGAAACACACTTGATGAATGACAACCACATACCTGTGAAGCAGGTGATGGGCCTTGGAAAAGACAACCCTAGAGGAAAGAAGACAAGAGTAAGAATTTCTGTAATAAACTTTCTGTGAGATTTTCCAAAAGATCTGAGCACATGGAGCCGACTGCAATCCAAGACCACTAGACCACCCTGGAAAAGCACTGCCTTCTCAGAATTGCATGGGAACCCACGTCTGCCCACATTATGCTCTGAGGCCACACAGTCTGAAAATGGAGTGTCACATTTTTTGGTCTGAGCTGTGTGCTGGCCTGCTCCAAAGCTGAAGGGAACAGCATTCTCTAGGCACAAAGAATGCACTCAGACCCACTGACTAGGAATGTATTTTTAAACCAAAAAGTTTGGGAAGAGTTAAGCAGCCTGCAAGCTTTTAGAGATCTGTAGCAAATGGGATTCAGCACAGAGACCTCCCAGGATGCAGGATTTGTACCAGACAGGAATCAAAGTTGTCCCAGATCTGGTAAAGATTTCTAAGGGCTTAAGTAATTGTCAGAGATCTATTTGCAGCGGGTCCCCAAGGTGGGTGCTAAGATGCAATGTCTGTTATCATGCAAGACCTACAAGTGCAGGCTTCTTTGCCCCAGCTGACGGGCAAATTTTGACAAAGAATAGGCTTAGTTGAGAGTACCACTGAATCATTGTGATATTGTTGAATAGAAAGACTTCAGACTAATGTCTGGCTGTGACATGGACCTGTTATTAATGACTGTCTCCTGCAAGCTCTATTTTTTTCATCTCTGAAATGTAGACCCACTGAAACTGTATTCCCAGGGGACCATGTATCAGGACAATGAATCTAACAGCTGATTGATCTAGCACAGCAGTTGAGAGGGTGGTTTGAAGAGTCTGGATGCCTGGAATGAATCCTGGCTTCACTACTTGTTGTGTGTCATCTTTTCTTAAACTCCAAGTCTCAGTCTCTACACCTATAAAATGGAAATAATGAAAAGACATAGAAGAGTACTCATTCAGTAAAGTGAAGATTCAACATAAAACCCTTGCAAGTTCTTGTCACACAATCAAATTAATAAATGTTAACCATCATTAGTGAAATGGGACTATCCTTGACAGTCTAGGATGCATGGTAAACTTTGTCCTTAAGGACGGAATCTTTGTTTCAGTGGTTCCCCTTACGATATTCCAAAACAACTTTGCAGCTTCAACTCAAAGATAGTCACTGATTTGGCTTTGTCCTACATTTCAGTCAACACATATTTACTGAGATGATGTGTCCAGCCAATGCTGGGCTCTGAGGCTCTGAGGCTGCAAAGATGAAGAAGAAATAGTCCCAGCCCCTTCTGAACTCACAGATGGCTGAGAGAGTTCAATTCAAAAAGACATCATCACCGAATTAGCTCTATTTTATTATAGTCTGATAAGTCAAGTGAGAGAGGGAGACCAAGGGGACTGTGGACACACAGAGAAGAGGCCTGAGGTATGTGAAAGGCTTTCTAAAGGACAAGAGGGGAAAGGGGGTCTTCCAAATAATGGGAGGCAGAATTTGGCAGCTGGGGAAGGCAGGGTAAGCAAGTTCAACACGGGAAACAGCCAGGACAAAGGCCCAAAGATGCCATGCCATCTGGGAACAATTGGAATGACCTGGGGATGTGAGAGTAATTCACTGAAGCTAGAGGCCAGAGTGTGAAGGCAGTGATGAATTTGGGCCTTGGTAGGTAGAGGCCTGTTAGGGAGAACTCATGAGCTGAATGCAGATTTCTCAACCTTGGCGCTATTGACATGCTGGACAGGGTGATTGCTATGAGAGTCTGTACTGTGCATTGCAGAATGTTTAGCCCTGGCCTCTATTCACTGAATGCCAGTAGCAAGCCCCTCTATCACAACCCTGTCATGACACCCCAAAATGTCTCCAGATATTATAAAATGACCAGCAGAGGTAGGGGCAAATTCACACCTTCCCCTCCCTCTGTTGAGAATCACTGGACTAAACTAAGGACTTTGAGCTTTAGACTGGTTTAGAGGCTCTTAAGGTGAAGTGACATGGTCAGATATGCAGTTAATTCAGATTACTTTGGATTAGAAACACAGCACAAAGACAGCCAATCTGGTTCAGGAGCTATTACAACAGTCTAGGAAAGAAATTATAAATGACAATGGAAATATTAACCAAGGGAAGTTTTCTCTCTCTCTCTCTCTCTCCATCTACGTAATATAATGGATTATTAGTATATATACAAATATATAATAGTGTATATAATACATATAGTAGTATATTAAGGCACACACACTAATTGGTGCTGTAAAAAAGTGGAGAGTGACTATAAGAGAAGACAGTGGTAAGTCTTTATCTCTTCTCCCAGGATAAATAGAAATTTTTTTTGAATTGTTTAATAATTCTCCAGAATAATTATAAATACCATCACTGCACTTTAAAATTGCTAACAGCATTTTACAAACATTAGCTCATGGAATTCTCACCAGAGCCCCATAAATTAGGTTTTATAGTCCCCATATTAAGGATGAAGAAAGTGAGGTTTAGAGAGTTAACAATTTACACAAACTGATGCAGCCAGTAAACTGTGGAGCGTGGACTCACTTCTTGAGTCCAAATTTCATTCTCTTTCCACTGTATCCTGAAAGATGTTTCATAAACACAAGGCTTATGGTACTCTGATTCATTGCAATCAGTTCGATCTGGGGCATGTTAAAAGAACTCCGTTTAATTTTTCAAACAATACATTTCCAAGCAAATGATCTCATAAAAATACGAAAGGAAGAGAATCCCCAAAAGTGGAAAGTTTTATATGACTTGTATGCCTGCTTTCTTTTTTCTCTTTTTGTTTCGGTGTTAATGAAGGACATGCTCTTTCTTTCCTTACTCAGTCCAGGCTCTTGTAACTATGCTCACCAGCCCTAGCTGAAGCACAAACACCACGCGCATATTTGTCCCTAGAAACTCTTCAGGCTTCTGTGAACTTGACACCTGAAGTGAATGTGCAGTTTGCCACACCAGGTAGGCCACTGAGGAAGTGGCAGAGAGGATCAAATCCTTTACTTAATTTGTCTGAATGTCCCTTGTTGCCAACAAATCCTTCTTGTTTATGTTGGGAAGAAGAAAAATAAGTGGGTTAGTGACATTTATTTAGTTTCATTTTAAATGAATAAATAATAATTGTATCTAGGTACAAGTTACAATGTGATGTTTTGATATATATTTCCAATGTGGAATGACTACATCAGGCTAATTAAACGTATCAACTCACATACTTATCATTTTGGGGGGGTGAAAACATTTAAAATATTTTTGCGATTTGGAAATACACAAGGATTATTATTAGAGTCACCATTCTGTGCAATAGACTAAAGTCTATTCCTACTGCCTAACTGAAATGTTGTACCTTTTCATCAACATCTCCCTTTCCCCATCCACCCCCCTTCCTAGCCTCTGGTAACCATCATTCTACTCTCCACTTTTATGAATTCAACAGTTTTAGATCCCACATATATGTGAGATCATGTGGTATTTGTCTTTCTCTGCCTGGCTTATTTCAGTTTGCATAATGCCCTCCAGCTTCATCCATGTTGTCAAAAATGACAGGATTTCTCACCTTTTTAAGGCTGAGTAGTATTCCACTGTGAATATATACCCTATTTTATTTATCAGTTCATCTGATGATGGACATCTGGGTTGTTTCTATAGTTTAGCTATTATGAATAATGCTGCAATTAACATGTGAGTGCAGGTATCTCTTCAGCATACTGATTTTAATTCCTTTGGATATACAACCAGAAGTGAGATTACTGGATTGTGTGGTAATTCCATTTTTAGTCTTCTGAGGAAACTTCATACTGTTGTCCATAATGCCTATATATTTTTTGCTGGTGCAAAGTTTACGGCTGATAAATCTGTCTAAATGTTGTTAACAGGTCAAGTGCACCTGGGGGCTAAATGTGATTCAGCCAGACTTGTGAATGAATGTGTTTTCCCTAGTTGCATCCACACATCATTTGTTACACTGTTTGAAAGACTTGACTGGTGGCTGTACCCAGCCCTGTCTCCACCCTGAGTTTTAAAGCTTGCTCCATTTACAGAGTTTTCCAGCAATTCTAGGAAAAAAATTTTCTGGAAGGAGCATCAGTGTTGTTCTGCACACTGGGCAGGAAAGAGAGATGTTACTGAATGTATTCAAACTACATTGTTGCTCTATTTTTTAACATAAATTTGCTTGAGAATTTGATTAAAAGTCAGAGGCTAATTTGGCCACGGGAGGTTGAAAGAAACAAATATTTATTCAGAGCTTATTAAGGGCTAGGATTTGTGTTAGACACTCTGCTGCTTATCTCTTTAATTCCAACCACAATTCTGTGAGAAATCATCCCTTTATCCTCATTTTCTAAAAAGACACTTGGAGGCTCAAGAAGTACAAACAACTTGCCCAAGACCACTCAGCAAGTAAGGAGCAGAACTGACAATATTTACTCACTCTTTAAACCATCAGTTGAGAGTCTGCCATTGCCATGCACTGTTCTGGGCACTGAAGATATATCGGTGACCAAACAGACAAAACCCTCTGTGTACAGAGAGCACCTGGATGGAGAGATAGAAAATAAACATAATAAACATGTAAAATGCATGGTATGTTAATTAAATATAAGGTAACAGGTGCTGCAGTAGTTAATGATGCTGTTTACCAAATATTTCCAGGGCTTGGGTTTCCATGTGCCTGGCTCTGGCAAATGAATGGTGAGTGGTTTCACTTCTGGGCTGGAGTGTGTAATTGCTAGTTTAAGACCCTCCGGCACACTTTCTGCCCCCTGCCATGCTGATGGGCAAGAGTCCAGGTGG
Organism: Homo sapiens; assembly: GCF_000001405.40. NCBI lineage: Eukaryota > Metazoa > Chordata > Mammalia > Primates > Hominidae > Homo > Homo sapiens. Next base: position 108,315,483 of record NC_000009.12, read on the forward strand.
TGCTCACTCCATCAGCCTGACTTACAGGTAAGCACTCCAGAGTCAGCCTCTGTGGTAGGGGACCACTGGATTAGAATGAATCTGGAAGGAGGAATGAGGCTATATGAAAGAAAAAGGGAGAGGTCCACTGGGGTAGTAATGAACACTGAATTCTGAGCATTACAATAAGGGATTACTGTGAGGTCCTGCCCTGGGGTTCAAGACCAGCTGAGCAAATAGCCCAGAGCCAGCAGACAGGGGAATAGGCTCCAATGGGCTACCTTCCATTATAGCAGGGAGCATGGTACAGTGAAGGAGATGGGGAAGATGTCGTGTAGACACGGGATCAAATCTTCATTGTCCCATTAACCAGCTGAAGAAAAATCTTAACCTTGAAATAGTTAAATTCTGAATTTCATTTTATTTGCAAAATGTAAGTAACAAACTTTTGCTTTATGGAATTGTTATATTAAGACTTAAATCAGGTGGAGTCTATGAAATGAAAGTGCGCCAGCTGTCCTCTGTCGCCCCCACCCCAGTGCTCTTCCTTAGCACCTGGTCCTTGGAATTATGAATTCTGTGTTGTCTGCATCTGGCTTCAAGCATGACTTTTCCTAGCTAAATTAGATTGCCTTTTCTTTTAAAAGGTTGGTTCTTGTTTTGTTTTGTTTTTCACTCTAGTTTCTTTGTTTTGTTTTGTTTGGGTGTTTTTTGCTTTCCATTTGTCTTCAAAAAATGGTTTATGTATCCACTGTTTAACATTCCAAAGACAGGACACTTTTCTCAACATAGTTTTGTGTTGTGTAACAAACGCATTGCTTCTCACTTCCTATGAGAGCTGTTCTATCTTCTTCTCCTCTCCTTTGCTCTCTTTCCTTCCTACAAAGAGTGAAGAAGAAAGTTTCCTAACGGCCCCTGTCTCCTGAATCACCCTCCCTTCTCTTGGGACCCCGCCTGTTGATGGAAATGTATAATTGGATTAAACAGGTTTATGTCTTCTCGTCCTGTTTCCTGTGTAATTTATGTCCTTCATCACACATCTGTTAAAAGAAAAAAAAGGAGAAGAAGAAGGAAGTGTCTTCCTTGTTCATAGAGAAAAATCAATTATCCTCCCCTCTAAAATGAAATCATATGTATTTATTTGGTGGAAAATCTTCAAAGAAACTAAGAGGATCTCTCTACAATATTCAGGCCACCCATACAACTCCCCCCCCCAACCCCTGTGTCTGCTTTGATGTTTTATTAATCAAAAGTGTGTTAGTTACACACTGGGCACTATAACAAATATGAGCAAGACATGATCTGATCCTTTCCCTCAAGGAGCACAGAGTCTAGAAGAGGAACTAGACATGGCACATTGCATTACAGTGTGACTCACAGTGCTGAGAGCAATGGTCAGAGGTGGCCCAGGGAATGCAACTGATTTGAGGCTCTGGTATAGCTAGAACCAAAGGGTAGGGGCAGGAGTGAGGGTCCTGTGAAGACAGAGAGGTGGGAGATAAGGTTTGAGTGGTCAGCCAACCATTTCATAAAGAGCTCCAGTTCTAAGGGGAAAAAAAAAGTGTAGAATTTATTTGTTTTCCCCAAGAGAGAAGAGGATTAGAGCAGGCATCTCCAAACCCTGGGCCAGGAATCAGTACTGGTCTGTGGCCTGTTAGGAACCACGCCACACAGCAGGAGGTCAGTAGTGGGTGAGCTTTACTTTTCATCTGTACTTTACAGCCACTCCCCATCACTCACATTACGACCTGAGCTCTGTCTACCGTCAGATCAGTGAGGGCATTAGATTCTCATAGGAGTGCAAACCCTGCTGTGAACTGCGCATGCAAGGGATCCAGGTTGCACATTTCTTATGAGAATCTAATGCCTGATGATCTGTCACTGTCTCCCATTACCCCCACATGGGACCGTCTGGTTGCAGAAAAACAAGCTCAGGGCTCCCACTGATTCTACATTATAGTGAATTGTATAATTATTTCATTATATATTACAATGTCATAATAATAGAAATAAAGTGTGCAATAAATGTAATGTGCTTGAATCATCTGGAAACCATCCTCCCACCCCACCACCTCATCCATGGAAAAACTGTCTTCCACGAAACCAGTTCTTGATGCCAAGATAGTTGGGGACCGCTGGATTAGAGGATTTTGGCTTTGGAGATTGACTCCAGAGTAAATCTGGATTGGTTCTAATTCAGAAATGGAAAATAGAAGCAGAAAAAGAATGGAACTAGTTAGACACTGTGCTGAGAAATGAAATCAGTTATCTCTTTTGATTCTCACAATACCCCAGCAAGGACCTGCTTCACCAGAAGCTATTATTCCACTCAGTTTATACTTGAGAGGGCTATGGTTCAGAAAGACTAAATGGGGAAAGGGTTATCACTGCTCTACTTCCCACCAGGGTTGACCACTGGGGATCAGCAGTGTGTGTGGGGTCAGCAGTGTGCATGCATGCATCGCTCTAGGGTAAGATGGGCTCTTGTGTGGTGGCCCAGGGCCAGGTGCCCTGTATCTGTCTGATGGACTGAGAGCCAAGGCAAAGCTCTTCCCAGTGATGGTTGGAAAACCAAAATGATATGTCCTTACTATGTGGGTTTTTTCCCACACATTTGTTCACTCCATGGGCTTTTATAATTATGGTGCCCTGAACCTGACAAAAGCTAGATGTTATGATAGATAAGCCAATGGTAGCTGGAGGAAAGATGCACTCCCAGTAAAATGTACAATTACCAGGGATGGCACAACCCCAGCCAAGGGTCCTAAAGCCCCTAAAACACTTTTGCTTTCTCCCATTTTCAACATTGATATGCAAGTGGAGCTTAGACCCTAGAACACCACAATTGGATGAACAAGGCTTGCATAAAAGATATGTGGTCTTCGTGAATCTTTGCCTTGAAATCTAGAGAAGCATGTCATAGGGGGACCAGGGCCATCTTCACCAACTACTCAAATGGTGTTTCCCACATCGCTATCTGAGACAGATAAGACAGTTGCTGGTATTGGGGCTCCAAACAATTCCCACTGGCAGGTCATTTCTCCAGCAGCCTTCCTCCCTGGGGTGGACTACTTTGTGTGCATGGATAAGGACATGAGGCCTACTAATGACCTGAGAAAGGAGACCTCCCTCACCCTTGCTTCTATAGGGTCCATCAGAAGGAGTTTACCAAAGACCTTGGTCTTTGTCTCAAGCCCACATTCTCAAAAAGGAATGTGATTTTATTTTATGGTCACTTGCAGACTCACCAAGGCCTGTCACCAGGTAAGAATGATTGATAAAAATAAACAACAATGTGGATGTTGGGCAGAACCAAAGCCACTTGAACAAGAACCTGGTTCTCCAGAAACCAGTTGATATGATTTGGCTGTGTCCCCACCCAAATCTCACCTTGAACTGTAGTTACCATAATCCCCACATGTTGTGGGAGGGACAAGTGGGAGGTAATTGGATCATAGGGGCAGTTACCTCCATCCTATTCTCATGATAGTGAGTGAGTTCTCACAAGATCTGATAGTTTTATAAGGGGCTTTCCCCCTCTTTGCTCTGCACTTCTCCTTGCTGCCACCATGTGAGGAAGGATGTGTTTGCTTCTCCTTCCACCATGATTTTAAGTTTCCTGAGGCCTCCCCAGCCCTGTGGAATTGTGAGTCAATTAAACCTCTTTCCTTTATAAATTACCCAGTCTCAGCTATGTCCTTATTAGCAGTGTGAGGATGGACTAATACACCAGTCAAAGCCATTTTCCTGGATTGTATGTGGGATAAAGAGCTGCCAGGCTGACCTGAAGAAGCTCAGAGATGTAGCCAAAGAATCACTATATAATCTGTTTAAAGGGCTAGGCTTCCAAGAAGGACTGAAGTAGTGCAGGGAAAGGTGTGAGGGATCCTAGTAGGAGGGCTATTTGTCCTCCTTACAGGTCAGCCTCATTGGGCCCAGTTTTCTCAGATTACATGTAACTCCTCTTCTTTTTTCTGTTTCCTTGAAAACTATTGCACAAATACAGCAATTCTCGGCCCCTACCATGCTTGGACAAAACTGATTCTTTGGCTCAAGCATTGAAAGTGAAAATTCCTAGGGTTGCCTGGCACCATTAGTCTCCCCTTATCACCCTAGCAACCCTTGAAGATGGAAGGAATAGATAATGCCAACGACCACTCATCTGACAAATGAGGGTTCCGACAGAGGGTGACTTTTCCAGAACTAGAAGGGAGACTGTCTGACACATCCAGGCAGCTTTCTCTGTCAGTGTGCTGTGGGGTTGGACACAGTGGCCCTCATTCTCACTGCTGCACATTCATAAGTTGTCATTTTAAGCCATATTGCCCTCTCCTTTCAAAGTGCCATAGGGCAGTTGTTTCATAACACTGAGGAACTCCATCGAATTTGGGCTTTATTGATAAAATGGAAGGTCTTCTTTGTATGCACGCACAATGGGAGGATTCAAATCAAGACCACCTTCCTGACTGTTTTTTGTCTATCTCAAGGCAATGTTGGGTTCCTAAAAAGAGCAAAGGAGTCATATTGTTTTTTTCGTTGTTATGCTGCTTCTTATTGATTGGCTCTCTGGTGGTGATGATCTCTGGCTCCCTCTTGATCTCTCAGTTCCTGATGGAAACTTTGCTCTCAGTTCCTAATGGAAACTTTAGTTTTTCTTTTTCTTCTCAAAGAACTTATAGTGACATGAAATGCATCATCTTTTTGGCCCTGTTTTGACCCACCAGCCATCCTGTCCCTGATTTTTTTTTTTCCTCATTGTGCAAGTCAGAAAGTCTCTCCCTTAAAGCCTTTATCCCTTTCCTATGGTTTGCAAGACTTCATAACATCAGGGTTATTTTCCAGCCATAAAGTGCTCTGATTCAAAAGAATATGTTCCTCTCTGTTAGTGCTAAGCAACCTTTTAGCTCTCAGATAATTCCAAAAGAGTAATGTCAACAATCCCTTTTTTCTCGTCAATTCAAAATGAAGATAGCTATATTGGGTCCTAGACAGTCCACTGCTAGAAGAGCCCTGAGATTTTTTCTGACCCTTCAGGTAGGACGGGAGTTAGGGGATGCTCCAGGGTAGGTCCCTCAACATTTATCCCTTCTTTGAGGGCCACAAGCTAAGAGCCCCTTCCAGGCACTATCCTCAGGGACCAATGGGTTCCAGAATCTCTTGTGTTATTGTTGTATCTTAATTTAATAGCTACTTCTAAGGTAGTTTGCTAATAAAATATAGTCTTTTCATTTATTAACTTTGAAAGTTTCATTGAGCACATTTCTATGGTGAATGATATGTATAAACCTACAATCTGTCCTTGGGACCCATTTGACTATAACATGGTTTCTCCTGTGGCTATTTGGCAATACTTTCCACTCATGAAGAAAGTTTTTGTAATTTTCCCATTGTTGTTTTCTGACAATGAAGTCAACATGCTAAAGTTGCAGAAGCAGGGTTTATAGCATTACACGCCTCTTGGCAAAGTAAATGAGAGAACAATGTTTGTTGTGATTTCTTCATCAATACGATTTTGGGAGAGAATAAATTGGTTAAAAAATTAGATTAAATTAAATTATTTGCTCCAGAAATACAGCTAATGATAACAAGGAAGGCTTGAATCAAGTCTAATTTTGTTCCATAGCTTGACCACTTCGCATGGTTGGATTAGAAAGCCAGAAATATATCTGGTGTGTTCCTGGGGCTTGATTTTACATTTTCATCTTATAAATGGGAGAACAGAGGTCAGAGTAGGGTAGGATCTCCCCAAGGTCATACAGATCAGCAGCCAGGCTGCAATGAGAAGCTAGGCCTCCTCACTCCCCAGGCATGGTTCTGTCCACTCTTCTAGGGGCTTAGGGTCATTTCCTTTTCCTACTATGCACTGGGCACTACTTAATTTTCTCTTTCATTACATTAAATGGCTGAATACTGTGGCTCAAAGCAACACATAAAAATCATAGTTCCACATCGCCATGCACACATATTCTTGCCACTTCCACATAGGAACAGAATCTTTGAAAGTATGATGCAAAAACAGCCAGTCTGCTCAGTTGGTAGGTACCATGGTAGAGTAAAAATATTTTGGCTTTAAAATTAGACCAATCTGGGTTTTAAACCTGGCCCTATCTCTAACTAGCTGCATGGCCTTGAGCATACCACACAACCCCTGAGCCTGAGTTTAGTGTTTGGCCCAGGAGAAGTTCCATGTATATACATTAGCACCTCTTTCTGGTACATAGCAGTCTACACCAGATGAGGCAGTAGATAGATCCTATTTGAAAATTTAGAATAGAGAGGTAGCCACTAAACTTCTGAAATGTGATGAAAGCTTTATAAAGTGAAAGAAATTTTCATGTGCTATTCCTAATATCTACTACATATGTACAATATGTAATATTGATTCAATTTATAGGTAGTTCTTGGGACATGTGTAGATTTCTCAAATCCTTGTCACAACTTCACAGGGTGGTTCCCTCCCCACCAACAACCATCCCACCTCACACCGATTCCCAGGATGATGCCCTTCTGGGAAATACCTGATTACTCAATAACTACTGGTACATATTTGTATTTTCTGTAAAGACATATGAATACAGAATATGTGGTATTAGAAAATATAATTTTTTCTACAATAAAAATCTACTACTCATTTAATAAAAGAATACAAGAGCAACTTCAATAACTGAGAAAATGCATTTCTCAGACAATACACACATACTTTCTTAGAAAAGAAAATGCATTTTCCCAGTTATTAAAGTTGTTCTTCTATCCTTTCAGCTGTTAATAAAGTATAGTTAATAAAATAAGCTTTTAACCAAATTATAACAATTTTATCCTTTGGAATGTAAAAACTATAATGTTTTTGTTTATTCCTTTTTCTGAGACATTCCTATAACTTCTTTAGTTTTTATATTATTCTTGTCAGACAGGACAAATATAGTAGTTATTGGATCTACTCAATTGAGTGACAAAAACCTATGTTTTGCTCCCTAGTCAAGAAAGTCAACATTAGTGTAAACAGCCCTGAAGCAGGCAACATGTAGGCATCTCATAATTTCTCAGCTCTTTGGCTCCTTGCCACCCATAGTCATGAAGAGGAGCTGGTGATCATAGCAGTATCATTCTCACTCTGGAATCTGACCCAAGACAACAGTTCTGTAAAACAAGCCTGTTCAAAGTCTCCAATAACCAAAGCAGATTCTATTCTGTTGTCACTTTCTAGATGGTCACAAACCCTCCAAGTCCTTGTAGACTTTAGGGTTTAATTTAAGACTTCTAATCACTGTTTCATTGTTTTTCTAGAGCTAACTACTTGAAGCTCCATCCAATTTCCCTGTCACTTCTAAGTTATTCTAAGAGAGTCATTACTGCTGAATGACTATTATATTAAATGGAAACAGTCTGTACCCAGGATGATTTGATCTAAATAGGCCACTTTCCCTGATCATGTGTGTCTCTGGGTATGCTAATGTCTTTGGGATGGAAAGGGTGTATTGAATGAAAGTTTTCCCATGAGAATTCCCATGTCGAGACCCATACTGCCTAATGCCAGTTCTCAGGGACAATTCTCCACTGCCAATCTCAAATTGCATATTGTTAATGTGCACCATTAAGATTAATCTTTGCTTTTGCTGTCAGTTCTTATTTAAAGGCCCACATTTTCTTTGCTGCAGTTAAATCTAGTTATGAAATCTTCCTTGATTTTGAGGCTCTCACGCCACCTTAAATTGATTGGCCTTAATGTGAGGATCGAGTGTGTGAGGAGGAGATTAAAATCCATCTGAATGCACAATTCAGTTAATACAGATGAAACTGGATTCTTTTATAGATTCTTTAAAGAAAGTATGGCCCCAGAATTTTATTACACATAAATTTATAATGTGCTTGGTCAAATATACATAACACAAGAGAAGAAAACTACCATTGACTGAAGACCTATCATATATGGACATGGTGTGGGCTCACAGCTTTTATATACATTGACTCATTTAATGCAACCCTATGGAGAAATTCGTATCTTCTCCAGGTTATAAATAAGGAACATAAATATTACAGAGATAACTAACTTACCCAAAGTGACAAAGCTATTAAGGATAATGGCAAAACAAAAAGAAAAACAAACAGGAGTTTCTGGTTCTTCTGCAGGTGATTTTGTCCCTACAACACACAGAACAAGAAGTTAGGAGCTTTCAAAGTTATTTCTAATTTTCCCAACTAATTAGTGTATGTAAGAATTACGGCCTACGAGTTCACAAAACTTAGCACAGAATGCTAAACAGTTGTTTTTAGACATGTATAGGTCATGTCTAATTCCAAAGGATGTAAAGAAGTAAGCAGGTGATTCATTAGGATTCATTTATTACTCATCTCAGGAGTCATTATTCATTAATTTCAGCGGAGGAGATTCTGTTTTCACCATGTAGTCATTCCTATCAAAAAAAAAGGATTGTGGGTAGGAATTTTCACTGGTGTGCTTAAGGGTCTATTTTACTATTTATATTTCCTCTAAAGAACATGAGCTCTTCACACTCATTGAAGATGGGCATCCTAGGTCTGAGTCTTAAGGAAATTCACAGGTGACCAGCTTCCCTCTAATGCAGAAATATGACTCTGAGTACCTGGTGGCAGCAGTTTGGTTAACTCTTAGCACAGTGTGCAAAAGATTGGACTTGAGAAGAACAGAGATATTTCTTACCCTTGCTGAGGCTATCTAGAGTCAAAGACACCAAGGCACAACTTTATAAACCTAAGGTCTGGGATAGTATAATTATTCAATTAATGCTTACGGAAAAAGAGGCGAAAGGGGGATGGAGGAAGAGAAGAAAGATACAATAGTTTAACTTCAAAGATACAGCAGCTACAGAGGGCAGAGCAAGATGACAGAATAGAAAGTTGTACCAATCACCCTTCCTACAAGGACACCAAGTAAACAATGACCTACACAGAAAGAACACCTTCATGAGAACCAAAAATCAGGTGAGCACTAACAGTACGTGGTTGTAGCTTCATATCACTGAGAGTCACTGAAGAGATTTAAAAAAAAAACCCTCTCCCACCCCCGGCAGTTTTGGCATGGTGCAGAGAGCATCTCTGGGCACTGAGGGATGGAAAACACAGCAATTGTGAGGCACTGAACTCAGTAGTGTCCTGTTAGAGCAGAAAGGAAAACTGGACCAAACTCAGTGACACCTGTCCATGGAGGGAGCACTTAAACCAGCCCTAGCCCTAGACAGAGGGCAATTACTGATCCCAGGTATCTGAACTTGGGTTTTTGCAAACCTCACCACCAAGGGCTATGCTCTGTGTCTCCAAGTACACTTCAAAGGCTATATAGGCCATAAGGACTGCAACTCTTGGTGAGTCCTAGTACTGAACTAGTCCCAGAGACCGTGGACTTGGGGCCACTGGACATAAAGAGACACCAGCTGGGGCAGCTGATGGAGTGTTGACATTATCCCTCACCAAACCCCAAGCTGCACAGCTTGTGGCTCCAAAAAAGATCCCTTCCTACTGCTTAAAAAGAGAATAATTAAGACTGGGTAGGACTTGCATCTAGGATATCAGCCCAGCTATAGCAGGATAGGGCACCAATCAGTCATGAGGCCCTGGTTTCAGGCCCTAGTTCCCCAATGACATTTCTAGATACACCCTGGGCCAGAAGGGAATCTACTGCCTTGAAGAAAAGGACCCAATCCTGGAAGCAATTATCACCTGCTAGCTGAAGAGCCTTTGGGCCCTGAATAGCCAGCAGCAATACCCAGATACTATGTCAAGGGCCTTGGGTGAATGTCTGAGACTTGGTGTCTTCAGATGAAACTCAGCACATAACCAGCAATGGTAGGTATGGGGCAAAACTCCTGCTTGAAAGAAGTAGAGGGAAAAGTAAAGGGGACTTTGTCTTGCACCTCAAGTACCAGCATGGCCACAGGGGAGTAGAACACCAAGCGGGCTCTTGGGGCCCTTGATTCCAGAACTTGACTCTTGGACAGCATTTCTCGATCAACTCTGGGCCAGAATTAAGCCCACTGCCCTGAAGGGTGAGTCCAAGGCCAGACAGCATTCATGACAAGCTGACTTTAGAGACCTTGGGCCTTAAGGGAACATTGGCAGTAGTCTGGCAGTACTCCTCATGGCCTCAGGTGGGAGTGGCTATGGGTGAGGCTCTTCTGCTTTTGGAAAGGGGAAGGAAGAGTGGGAAGGACTGTTGTGTGCTTTGAGTGCCAACACCAGGTAGACTTCTAAGGTTTTTGACTCTAGTCCCTGATTCCCAGATGGCACTTCTGGACCCATCTGGGGTTCAGAGGACCTTAACACCCTGAAGGGAAAGACACAGGCCTGGCTGGCTTTGCCATCTGCTGATTGCAGCGCTCCAGGGCCTTGAGTGGGCATAGGCAGTAGCTAGGGAGTGGTTACAGCAGGCCTTGGGTGAGTCCCAGAACTGTGCTGATTTCAGGTCTGACCCAGTGCAGTCATAGTTGTGGTGGCCACAGGGATGCTTGTGTCCCTGTACCCTCTGCTTTAGGTGGCTCAGAACAGAGAGAGAGAGATATTCTGTACGATTGGGAGAAAGTAAAGGAAGGGAACAAGAGTCTCTGCCTGGTAATCCAGAGAGTTCTCCTGGATCTTGTCTAAGACTATCAAGTGGTACCTCTACAAGTCTGCAAGAACCACAGTGTTACTGGGCTTGGGGTGTCCCCTGAAGCAGAAATAGCTTAGATGACAACACTGAAGTCCTTTCAAATGTCTGAAAAGCCTTCCCAAGAAGGATGGCTACAAATAAGCCCAGACAGTGAAGACTACAATAAATATCTAACCCTTCAATGCCCGGAAATTAAAGAATATCTACTAGCATCAATACCATCCAGGAAAACATGGCCTCACCAACTGAACTAAATAAGACACCAAGGACCAATCCTGGAGAACAGAGGTGTGTGACCTTTCAGACAGATAATTTAAAATAGCTTTGTTGAGGAAACTCAAAGAAATTCAATATAACACAGAAAAGGAATTCAGAATTGTATCAGATAAATTTAACAAAGACATTGAAATAATTAAAAAGAATCAAGCAGAAATTCTGGAGCTGAAAAATGTAATTGGCATACTGAAGAATGCATCAGAGTCCTTTAATAGGAGAGTTGATCAAGCAGAAGAGACAGAAGAGAGAATTAGTGAGCTTGAAGGTAGACTATTAGAAAATACACAGTCAAAGGAGACAAAAGGAAAAAGAATAAAAAACAATAAAACACATCTACAGGATCTAGAAAATAGCCTCAAAAGGACAAATCTAAAAGTTATTGACCTTAAAGAGAAGATAGAGAAAGAAATAGGGGTAGAAAGTTTATTCAAGGGGATAATAACAGAGAACTTCCCAAATCTAGAGAAAGAATCCATATCCAAGTATAAGAAGGTTACAGAACACCAAGCAGATTTAACCAAAAGAAGACTACCTTAAAGGTATTTAATAATTAAACTTCCAAAGGTCAAGAATAAATTAAGGATTCTAAAAGCGGCAAGAGAAAATAAATAAATAGCATACAACGAAGCTCCAATATGTCTGTCAGTAGACTTTTCAGTGAAAACCTTACAGGCCAGGAGAGAGTGGCATGACATATTTAAAGTGCTGGAGGAAAAAAACTTTTTTACCTTAGAATAATATATCTGGTGAAAATATCCTTCAAACCTGAAGGAGAAATAGACTTTCTCAGACAAACAAAAGCTGAGGGATTTCATCAATACCAGACCTGTCCTACAAGAAATGCTAATGGGAGCACTTCAATCAGAAAGAAAATGACATTGATGAGCAAATAATCACCTGAAGGTACAAAACTCACTAGTAATAGTTAAGTACACAGAAAAACAGAATATTTTAACACTAACTGTGGTGTGTAAACTACCCTTACGCTAAAAAAAAAAACTAAACAATGAACTGATCAAAAATGGTAACTACAACAACTTTCCAAGACATAGTCAATACAATAAGAGATAATTAGACACTAGAAAAAGTTTAAAGTTGGGTGACGAAGTTAAGACATATAGTTTTTATTTGTTTTCTTTTTGCTCGTTTCCTTCTTTGTTTATGCATGTAGTGTTAGGTTGTTTTCTGGTTAAAATAGTGGGTTATAAGATAATATTTGAAAGCCTCATGGTAATCTCAAACCAAAAAACATACAATGGGAACACAAGAAATAAAAAGCAAAAAACTAAATTATATCACCAGAGAAAATCAAATTTACTAGAGGAGGACAGGAAGGAAAGAGAGAAGGAAGACAAGATCATAAAACAACCAGAAAACAAATAAAAATGATAGGAATAAGTCTTTACTTCTCAGTGATAACATTGACTGTAAATGGAGTAAAGTCTCCAATTAAAAGGCAGGGACTGACTGAAAGGATGAAAAAACAAGACCCATTGCTTTGTTGCCTACAAGAAACACACTTAACCTACAAAAACACATGTAGACTGAAAAGAAAGGAATGGAAAAAGATATTCCATGCCAATGGAAACCAAAAAAAGAGCAGGAGTTGCTATACTTATATCAGACAAAATAGGTTTCAAGACCAAAACTATAGGAAGAGACAAAGAAAGTCACTGTATAATGATAAAGGAGTCAATTCAGCAAGAGGATATCACAAATTTAAATATACATACACTGAACAACCAGATATATAAAGGCAATATTATTAGAGCTAAAAAGAGAGGTAGATCATGACACAATAATAGAATAGGGTATCCACTTCAACACCCCATTTTCAGCATTGGATAGATCTTCCAGACAGAAAATCAACACAGAAACATCAGACTTAATCTGCAGTATCAATCAAATGGATCCAATAGATATTTACAGAGCATTGCATCCAAGAGCTGCAGAATACACATTCTTTTCCTCAGCACATGGATCATTCTCACTGATGCAAAAATTCTCAACAAAGTGCTAGCAAATCAAATTCAACAATACATATCAAAGATCATTTATCATGACCAAATGGAATTTATCCCTGGGATGCAAGGATGGTTTGACATATGCAAATCAATCGATGTGATACATCACATCAACAGAATGAAGGATAAAAACAATATGATCATTTCAATTGATGCTGAAAAAGTATTTGATAAAATTCAACATCCCTTCATGAAGAACACCCTCAAAAAACTACGGAAAGACGGAACACACCTCAACATAATAAAGCTATATATGACTGACCCACAGCTAGTATCACACTGTATAGGGAAAAACTGAAAGCTTTCCCTCTAAGATCTGGAACACAGCAAGGATGTTCACTGTCAACATTGTTATTTAACATAGTACTGGAAGTCCTGCTTAGAGAAATTAGACAAGAGAAAGATATAAAAGGCATCCAAATTGGAAAGAAATAAGTAAATTTATCCTTGTTTGCAGATAATATGATCTTATATTTAGAAAAACCTAAAGACTTCACAAGAAACGATTGGAACTGATAAACAAATTCAGTAAAGATGCAGGATACAAAATCAACATACAAAAATCAATAGCATTTCTATATACCAACAATGAAAAATATGAAAAGGAAATCAAAAAGTAATCTCATTTACAATAGTCACACATAAAACTAAATACCTAGGAATTAACTTGACCAAAGAAGTGAAGGATCTTTCTAATGAAAAAAATAGGCAAAAGATTTGAAGAAACATTTCTAAAAAAAAATATACAAATGGCAAACAGGTGTATGAAGGGTGGTCAACATCATTTATCATCAGAGAAATGCAAATCAAAACCCAAATGACATATCATCTCATCTCAGTTATAATGGCTTATATCCAAAAGACAGACAAAAACAAATGCTAACGAGAATGTGGAGAAAAGATAACTCTTTCTGTTGGTGAGAATACAAATTAGCACAACAACTATGGAGAACAGTTTGGAGGTTCCTCAAAAAACTTAAAAATTGAGCTACCACATGACCCCACAATCCCACTACTGGGAATATACCCAAAGAAAGGAAATCAGTATATTGAAGAGATAGCTTCACTCCTATGTTTGTTGCAGCACTGTTGACCATAGATAAGATTTGGAAGCATCTCAGGTGTCCATAAACAGATGAATGGATAAAAAAACTATGGTACACATACATAATGGAGTACTATTCAGCCATAAAAAAGAATAAATGGAACATGGACCGTACTGGAGATCAATATATTAAGTGAAATAAGCCAGGCACAGAAAGACAAACATCACATCTTCTCACTTACTTGTGGAATCTAAAAATCAAATCAATTGAACTCATGGACATAGAGAGTAGGATGGTTACCAGAGGCTGGGAAGAGTAATGGGGAGTGGGTGGGGGAGAGGTGGGGATGGTTAATGCATACACAAAATAGAAATAATAAATAAGACCTACTTTGTGACAGCACAATAGGTGACTATAGTCAACAATAATTGTACATTTAAAAATAAAGAATGTAATTGAATTGTTTGTAACTCAAACGATAAATGCTCAAGGGGATGGATACCTCATTCTCCATAATATGCTTATTTCACATTGCACTTCTATATCGAAACATCTCATGTACCCCATAAATATATACACCTACTATGTACTCACAAATTTTTTTAAAAAAATTTAAAAAGATATAAAAGGAAACATTTTTCCTTTAAAAAAAAGTCTAATTAAAGCCCTGTTTAAGATATCAGGTTGAACACACTCACTTAACCTCAGCTCTCTCTTTCCCAAAATCTACTTAAATGCCATTAGACGCTACAATGTTTTTGTTATTGTTTGTCTGTCTGTCTACCTACTAATTTGTTTTAAGGTATAAAGATTCAAGGACAAGGAAAAGAAAGAGGAGCTAAGAGTAACAGCATTTTGAAAAATGGAAAGTAACTGAATGAGTTAGTGACAGACTTAGCAGAATCCTAAGATGGAAGAAGATGTAATTTCAAAATAACAGGAACAAAGAAAAGATCCCCCAAGTTGCAAAAAAGAGACATAGTTTTCATATAAAAGGTCAATAATTATATTGGCATCCTAATTGTAAACAGAAATCTTAGAACCAAAGGAAAATTGTGCAATGCCTTTAAATTTTAAGGGAAAATGTGCCCTTTCCAGATGATTATACCAAACTAAGCTATCAATTAAATGTGTTGACAGAACAAAGCCATTTCTAGACATTCAAAACTTCTTTAAAAATTATCACCATATTTTATTCCTCATGACACTACTACAGAATGTGCTCCATCAAAATAAGAGAATAAAGCAAAGATGAGGCATGTGACCTGGGAAATAGCGCCACCAACATTACAATGCACACAGAATGTTGAATACCACATGATTCCATGCATATGAGGCATCTAAAATAGTCAAACTCATAGAAGCAGAGAATAGAATGACAGTTGACAGGGGCTGGAGAAGGGGGAAATGGAGCGTTGCTGTTCAATGGGTGTAAAATTTCAGTTAGGCAAGATGAAAAGTACTGGAGATCTGATGTACAACACGGTATCTGTATTAGTCCATTTTCACACTGCTATAAAGAATGATCCGAGACTGGGTAATTTATAAAGAAAATAAGTTTAATGGACTCACAGTTCTGCTTGACTGGGGAAGCCTCAGGAAACTTACAATTATGGCAGAAGGCAAAGGGGCAGCAAAGACCTTCTTCACATGACTACAGGAAGGAGAGAGCTAGCAAGAGCCAGGGAAACTGCCTTATAAAACCATCAGATCTCATGAGAACTCATTCACTATGAGAACAGCATGGGGGAACCACCCCCGTGATCTCTCTCTAAACACTGGGAATTACAATTCAAGATGAGATTTGAGTGGGGGCACAAAGCCTAATCATATCAGTATCTGTTGGTAATACTGTATTGCAACTTAAAATTTTATTAAGCGGGTAAATCTCAGATTAAGTGTTCTTGCCACAACAATAACAACCTCAGCAAAACCAAGAGAAGCTCAGGTTAATAGCGAAGGCAAATTACCAGCTGACTCCTTGAAGAAGCCCTGGAGAATAACTATTTGTTTTAAGTGGGGTTCTCCAGAAACAGATGCGGAGAAGGAATTGGCATGCAGGCTATTTATTAGAGACCATTGCGTCTAAGGGATTGGAAAGAAAGGAGAGGGCAGAATCGAGATTGAGCAGAGGGAGAAGGTGAATTATGATGCAGACACAACAAAGCTTCGGCCAACCCCTCAGGGAGCTCTGGAGCATTACAGCCAAGTAAAGTTGTCCCACGGTGGGCTGAAGTGACTTTTATAGCCTTCTCATTATCAGTCATTGGATATGGGAAGGGCATGCTCTAGGGCAAGAGAGCTGTCTGCAGCCAAGGAAGAAGATGAAGAAGGTAACAGCTATCTGTTGACTCATTCTCAGCAACTGGAATAACAAGTCCCTCCTAGAAGTGGCTTCTAGACAATGCATCTACCATGTCCACCACACTGGTCTACATTGGAGCTGGTGAAAAGAGTACAGAAGAACATCCTTCCAAGATATGAAATTAGTAGAATGCCTAACATGTTTTAAATTTACACAACAGGGGATAAGATTGGGGATGAATTAATGATGATTACATAGAAACCTAAGCAAAAGATAAAAACAAGATTAATTCCAAAGGCAACAAAATATTGTGCACGAAAAGTAATCACACAATACTTCATGCTCAGATATAAATCATTTTTATATGGCCATAAAATTATATTGAGAGAATGCGGGAATGAGAAATATGAATAAAGGTAAATCCTCATATACAATAATGGGGAATCAATAGTCATACTTAAAATGATTTTTACAAATCAAGATGTAGCAACATAAGCTTGATTTAAATACATGAAAATATATGCTAAAAGATTCTATTAGAAGGGTTGCAAGTGGTGGCCTCTGTGTGCAGGAACATAGGAGCAGAGGCTTTTCATAGAAATACGTACTTGTGTAGCTTTGATAAAACAGAACCTAAATTTCTATTACATTCTGGGCTTCCAGATATGGAAAATGTTAGGGTCTGGCTCTTACTCTATTTTCCCCACCCCATTTCAAAAGGGCAGCCAGGGTCATTCTCTTGCCTACAGTCAATCTTCTCCCAGGCTCTTGGCTTCCAAAAGTGAGACCTTCAGAAAGCTTTGCTGAGGAGATTGGAGCAGTGAGTGCCTTTGAGTGGAGAACAGAGGCTCACAAAAGTATAGAGGAGGCCGGGCACGGTGGCTCACGCCTGTAGTCCCACCACTTTGGGAGGCCAAGGCGGGCGGATCATGAGGTCAGGAGATCGAGACCATCCTGGCTAACACAGTGAAACCCCGTCTCTACTAAAAATACCAAAAATTAGCCAGGCGTGGTGGCGGGTGCCTGTAGTCACTGCTGCTCGGGAGGCTGAGGCATGGCGTGAACCGGGGAGGCAAAGCTTACAGTGAGCCGAGATTGCACCACTGCACTCCAGCCTGGGCGACAGAGCGAGACTCCATCTCAAAAAAAAGAAAAAAGTATAGAGGAGAGAGGATTTCTATAGCACAAGAGGTGATGAGATCTGAGAGGTCCTGTGAGTGTCCTGTCACTGGAGCTCCTAGGCAAAGCAACGATTTTGGAATCAAGCTTGCTATGGAAGCTTCAGATCTCCCCGAACTAAGATATTTTGTGGACTTGGATGATGAGAACATCAACAGTGCCCATGAGAGCCTGAGGAAATAGATCTCAACCCCAATTCCCCAGCTCCACTTAATAGTCTAATATTTCCTTGACATTCTGTGAATTACAAGTGTTCTATATAACTATGGTATTAGTGTCATTATTACTAATTATAATACCAAACAAGAGGGCTGAATAGTTTTTATTTAGTGACCATTAAACCTGTTTTAGAGAAAATTCTGCCTGCCTATATATAATCTTCTGGACTATCTTGTACCAGAATATATTAATATATGGCTAGCAAGAGTCACGCTCCACTTCATCAGCTCTTATTCAGTAAGTGGAATGATCAAAGAAAAGATTATCATGCCCCTGAAAACAACCTGGATATTTATCAAATTTCCCATATTCCTGGATTTGGGGCTTTGCACGTGTTTTCCTGGCTTCCTGAACCAATCTTACCCCACTCGCTGAAGAATTGCAGCTTCTCACTGCAGCTTAAATGTTACCCTATACCTAGGTTTTCCAGGACCGGAATCACTCTGTCCTAAGTTCACTGTTGCTCTCAGCTGAGCTACTCAACATGTCAGACAAGCTCTAATTATTTTGTGTATTCATTTATCTCTCTCCCTACTCAAAAGCCATTTCCAGGCAACCAAAGGCCTTGCCTGTCCTTTTCACACTGTATCCAGGGACTTGGTAGGTGCTCAATGAATATTTATTGATTTTAAAAGTAAATGAGTTCACAGCTAACAAAATGAGGTAACCTCCTGATTTTCTGGTTGTATTTCAAAGTTCATAGTTAAAATGTCAATAGTGGTAGCTGTCTTACTTAGTTACCACAAGCATGTGACTGAGCACTCTGTTCTTTGCATACTAAAAGAAGCAGTTGAACTTTAAAGCCTACTATACAGATAAGAGCTCCTGTATCCTAGACTATGCTTTCCTAAATTCCAAAACTGAGAGCCACAGTGTTCATCATTCACCATGTGCCAGCCATTCTGCCAAAGTAGGAATTGATAGAGCAAAGAGCAAAAATATGAATAAACTATTACTATCATTTATTGAGCTTTTGCTGCATACAGGGTACTTACTATATTTGTCATCCTCAAAACAACTCTGAGAAGGAGCTGTTTCTTTTTTAATCTGACTCTAAAACAAGAAAACAGAGACTCAGAAGAGTCTTGTCTGAAGAATACACAGCAAGTAATTATCCGAGTGTTGAAGATGAAAACTCAGGTCTGTCACTTCTAATGCTGGTGCTCTTTCCACCCTAAAATGCCATTTCGAGAATCTACATTTGTACCTCTTCACACAGGATCAAACTACAGAAGCTAAAATTGTGCCATTATAACAACACAGCCCTTTTATAAAGAGAAAAGCTAGGAAACCAATTCCTTTAGTTTGTTGTCAAGAAGTTTAAAGAAATATTTTTGCTCATGGAGCACTTACACAATTTTATATAATGATTCTGAGAATCATGATTCAATCACTGAGGTTTCAGCATAAATCAAGAGGGAAAATGATAATAAATGTCTGTGAGCTAATAATGGAAAACTACTAAAGTCTTCAAGAGATTACAGGTTAGCAGGAAAAGATGTGAAATGTAAATGACACTTCATTTACTGTAAGAACAAGGAACAAATGTTCAGAATAATTTCTTTCCACCAAGAATTCCTAATGAAATGTTGAGATCAATGTCTAGCAGGGTATTGAAACAGGACATGGAATAGATGTTAAAATAAGTCAAACTGAATGAAGTAAGTTAGAGGAAACAGAGCTACATGATTCTTTGTCTTTGATTTCAAGAACAAAGAATTACTTTTTTTTCTTCTTTTCGAAGCAGCAGTCTTTTATTAGTCATGATGAAAATGTCAAATTCTTCAGGTAGAGTTACAGCTCCAACAGGTGTTGGACAAAAACAAAAATAATCTCCCTCTAAAAAACCATAATAATAATTCTTAAAATTTTCTCTCTTAATTTTCTTGATAAACCTATCAGAATAACAATTAATACATTAAATTTCAAGTGTGTATATAAATTATTATTCTGATAGGTATATCAAGCAAATTGAGAGAGAAAATTTTAAGAATTCTTTATTCATTATAATATATCCTCAATTTTCTATGTTAAAAAATTATAATCACATTTTTCTAATTATAAAATACATGCTCATTATTTGAAACTGGAAAAATAAGAAGCCCTCCCACAATCCCATCAACCATGTTTTTGTTTGTTTTTACAAATAAAAGTATGTTTACATGTTACTTATGTCATACGTACATGCTCAATTTTAGAATGCTCATAATATTTTCTCTACTCTGTGCTTTGGGTGGTAAGTAGGGTGTTCCAGGAAGATACTGATTTTATGTAATTATTTCTTGAATTAAGGCGGATTTTATTCAACATATGGTTGTACATGATTTGATTCACATGGCTTTGTAAAGTTTCTCATATAAATACATTTGGGAGTCTTTTGCTGGATGTTTTCATATTGAGTTCAAAAACCATGCTACTAAAATCCTACAACTATAATCATACTGCCTGTGTTATCAGAGACACCCTCTTGCTGGTCTTATCCAGCAATACATAAGTTTAGGCTATAGAAACTCCCTTTGGTGACACCCCACCTCTCAGCACTGATCCTTTTCTCATTGTTCAATAGCCATCCACAGAAAAATTGATTTTAGATTCCTGAATTGTGACTCTCTGGGAAAAGCAAGTGGTTACCTTTGTGCAGTCTTCTTTACTATCATTAACAGCTTCTCATGATGTCATAACCCTTAGTCTTTTTTTTTTGACGGAGATATATAGGTACCCCAAACCTTGGAAAAGAGGGACCATCCACAGAGGGCACTTTCACAGCTCAGCAAGGTCTTGGATGAAGTTGGAGAGAGTCATTCTGTTGAGCCTGCCCTCCTTTCTGTGGGCACCCAAATATGACCCTCTCCTGTCTGGCACCACCAAACTCCACAAGGTAACTTCTCCTCCTTCCCTCCAGACCATGCCCCAGCCCAGGAACTCTTCTCCAGAAGTGAGACAGAGAACTGTTTCAAATTAACTGTGTGGCATAAAGTTTGCACCATGCTTCCCTCAAATCTTCCTTTTGGGTATCAAAAGCCCATTTTGAAGGTCAAAAAACAAAAAGAAAAAGAAAAGCTCGCTGGTATTTTTCACCCTTTTAGTCCTGCTTCCCCTGGTGGAAAGGCCAAGTGCAATGGGGTAGAGAAAGGAAAGCACAATGGTGATATTCCAAAACGTCGTCACATCATTATCATTGAATTATCTGTCTGCTCTCCAATGAGTGTGGGCAACTTGAAGGCAGAATCTCTATACCTGAGGCCTGCACCCCAGTGCTGAGTGTCACTTCTAGAACATTGCAGCCTCAGGAACTCCTCGCTAAGTGGACACACATGTGAGCTATTACTATTTTTGATTATCAGATATGGAGATATTTGACTGCAATACGTGGTATTCTTAACAACTTCCAACAGTGCAAAGTTTCAATCAAGCAGAAAAACAGTTTACTTCCAACTGGAATACTGGAGTACCTCGTGTAAACTGTTGAATTAAACAGATTTATGATAGTTCTGCAAAGTGAAAGTTTATAAGGTGTTTTAAAGAAACTGATATCACAGACCATATAATTTCCATAGCATTTAAATGTAAGACTGTAATTTCCCTGCATCTGATGATGATGTAAGTGCAGGCATTGAACACTCCGCCTTCCACCCTCAGACACATGAGATGACCAGTGGATATAAAATTAGGGAAAAACCAGCATCAGTGTTGGAAAGTAGGAAGGGTGCCATACATATGCCTGCCACACCAGGGAGTATATATTTCATGTAGGCTGATGGTAATGAACCTAAGATACCATTCAGACTCTATTTATGATTGTCCCTGTGACAAAGAAAGTGGCAAGGGAGTGGAGGGACCTAGACAATTTATGTCAGACCAATTAATTTGAAAAGGGTAAAAGAGATATTGGAAAAGGAAAATCCAATGATCAAAATGCCATTCTGAGGCTAGGCTTTTTCTTAAGCCAGGAAAGCTTCCAGAAGAAATTGCTCACAAGAGAAGCAAGAGACCACTATAAGATTGGAAGGCCACCCAAACAGGGCCACCTTGGGGATCCTAGGTAAAGAAAAGATACTGCAGGTCCAAATAAGAAGATCATCTTGAAGAGACAGAAATGCTTCTTTTGAAATAATTACTCTAACAAATAAGCACACAAATATGCTAATTTGCATCTCAGAAAGATTCCAGCGTTTTTCTGAACCAGTCACTGATAATAGAGTCATCAGTGGAAGAAAAAAAGGAAAAAAAAAAAAAACAACCGTAATTGTCCACCAAAAGTTCATGGTTCCCCTTCCATGATTATTCTGGGTGCCACCTGCCCCTTCCTTCAGGGTACAGCTATATGAACAGTTCTTGCCAAAGACACATGAGCAGAAGTGAAGATCTCTTCTGAAATGGGGTTTTGAAGAAGAAAGTGTGCCTTCCCCACCACATATTTCCATTTTGGCTGGCTGGAGAGGGAGGGCTCAGGGGTCCTCAGGGATGGAAGGAAACTGAGACCCTGAATCATCACATGAAAGGAGAAAAACTTCTGTTTGTTAAGTTGAATGTTGGGGGACTGTTGGTGTGGTAGATTGCTTAATGGCTGCAAATTCCTCCCCTCCCAGGCTACCTGCACCTTTGCGATATGACTTTGCTGCACCTTCTGTCCAGAAGTGGAAGAAAACTGCCTGGCCTCATGACTTGTTTACACCAGTGGAATGTGGCAGGAGTGACATTGTGTGTGGAGCTCAGGCCTTGAGCTCCTGACCTCACCTCTTGAAAACCTTCCCTTCACCAAGTAAGGAGACTAGGGAAGTTAAAAGAATGGATAGAGAAAGACGCTGTGACATCCAGTACCAGCCCCAGACTGTGTGTAAGGCCACTTTAGACCCCTAGCCCTGTAAGCCACTGATGACTGCAGCCATCAGAGTGAGCCTAGGAGAAACCAGAAGAACTACAGAATTGTAAACCTCAGGGGAAAATAGCATTTAAAAATACAATAGAGATAAGACCTCAGCTAGTCATAGATGCCCCTGTGTTGCAAACTTCCAGAAAAAAAAAAAAATGCGGTAATCTCTGGAGTATTTTTAGGGGAAAAGATGTGACAATAGATTCTATAACTAAACAATTACTCTGTGTAATGTGGCTGACAAAAATTGTACCCAAGGATATAAGACATGTTAATTATATCATCTATATATGCTTCCGGGAAGCATATATGGATAAAATTACTTGAAGATTTAACCAAGACATAAACCAAAATTTTAAAATTTAAATTGGAGGTTGTGGCCAAAAGCCTCAGTGGTACAAATGAAACTAAATAAAGAGTTGTTTAAATAACTATAAATATAGTTTCATAAATTAATACAGATGGTTTTAACAATTCTTAAAAGAGAAGCTGTGTGATGAAAATGATAATCATTTGGGCCAGAGTCACAAATTACTATCAATAAAAATTAGAACATGTGGGAAAGCTCTAGACAAGTATATTACATTACTTACACAATGGAAATAAGTATAGTTTAATTTTCAGCATCACCAATTAAAGAAAATATATTCAAAATTTTAAAGAAATTAAAGGAAAAAAGACTAAATAAAAAGATTGCAACTTCTATTTTTATTACTAAGACTTTTTAAGCAATGTATACTCACTTTAGTGATTTCTTAATAAATTGTATATAAATATATGTACTATTGTATATACATGGATATGTGCATATATTATACAATAAAATCATTAAAAAGATGAACTTGAAATAACACTAGTTTAAAATAAATTTATTGTATTTATTAACAACACAAACAACATTTTTCTTTCTTTCACTGAAATAATAGTAACATTCAGTGAGAGCAGAATGTTTAAATTTTTCAATGTTTTTGAAACTGTTGGTTACATATCTTGCAATATAGCAACCCAAAGGTATGATTCTGGGTCAATTTTTATTTCAAACTTGGTTTTCATGGCTGTAGTAACTGAATAAGATCCTTCACAGAGAGAGAAACGCAAGGGAAAGAAGTGTGTCATTGGCTGTACTTAATAATCATGACATTTATAATCGATTCCACCCATCAATTATGTAATTGTTCTTGTTGAAATTTGGTAGTAAGTTTCCATCTTCCATGATCAATTGTTCTTGAAAAGGAATCAGTACATGTTATAGTTTTTTGCCTCAACAAAGGGTTTAAAATTCTCTAAAAACTTTCAAAGATTATAAAAATTCTATTTTAAATCCTTTAAGTGTGTTGATACCACAGATTATTTTTTATAGGTGTAACATTTCTATCGTTTTCAGCAATGTATCACATAGCAATGGAAACACTGAGAAACATTTCCAAACATCCGTTTTGAAAATGCTCTCTATTACCTCATAATGTGGCTGATGGAGCACTCCTGCCAGGAAAATGGAAAGCATTAGCTGGGCCTTTTGGGGTGGGGGTGGGAGGGAGGGGGTGGGGAGACAGACGGGTTGTCATTATTGTTCTTGTCTGTATCATGGGCATTACTTTTAACCTGCTTCTTTTTTTTGGAATTATCTTAAGATTCTTGTAAATTTTGACAGCTTACATAAAAGCAAATTAAATAACTCTTAAATCCACCTAACTGGGCACACAAACTTCAGTGAGTCAAAAGTTTGCAGAATGTAAAAGTGTCATTGTCATTCACCCCCACCCTCTGGAAATCACTCCCTTCCACCTTGCTTACTATCAATAAACAGAGAGCATCTGTCTTACTTGTGGACCTGCGTGAAGAACCAGTGACAATTTATATTAAATGAGTCAAGTTTAATATCAATCTTAATTTTGAAATGTAAAAACTAGTATTTCCTTCTGGGACTCCAATTAATGTTCTATGCATTCCACTTTGGAGAACAAAGCTATAGCAAATAAACCAGTATGGAAGCATTATGGAAAGAAGGCTGCAGAAATGAGACCAAGTGTACCAATTGTGACAACAAATACAAATAATCAGAAATTAAAACTTAACTATAGAAGATACTTCCAAAACTAAAATATTGAATTTATTTTAAAATATTAAGAACACAAAGAGAGGGAGAGACACACTTTTGTTTCAGCAAGCCCAAACAAAAAGGAAGTAGGGGCCACAATATTAATATCAGACAAAAGAGAATATGCAGCAAGTAGGATGACGCGGGGCGGGGAGTATCATTGAATATTAATAAAAAGCAAAGTCTGTAATAAAAATGCCATATGCTAGAAACCCTAGGCAAAACGTACAGACACATGGTAAGAGAGACTTCAACATACCACCTCTACCTTGGCCATTTAAGTAGATAAAAACCAACCCAAAGATATAGAAGATTTGAATAATGAAGTTAATAATTTATATACACAGTGAGTTCAAGGGATGAAGGAGAGAATATACCTTCTTTCCAAGATTCTATGAAACATTTACCAATATAAATCATATATTTGGCTGCAAAAATAAAGCCAAAATATATTCCCAAAGTAGTAATTCCCAAAATAGGAATTGTGTAGATCATGTTCTACAATTTTAAATGTCAAAATTGGTAACTTACTCAAAGTCATTGGCCTTTTACTATAAGCCATTTCCCTAAAACCATAGCTTTCCACCAAAACATCATAGAAATTACCATAAACTAGAAATATGCAAATCTATTATGTTCTTGAAATATTCCTGTTCTACTAACTTTGTTTTAAAAAGATGATTCAAGGCTTAGACCATTTTATCATTAAAGAAATACATACTTATTATAAGAAATTCAATCAATAAAGTCTAAAGAAAAATGGTAAAAATCATCCATAACCACATTACCCAGAGATTATTTTGATTTTATCACTTCATTTATTTTACACACACACACACACACACAAACACTCATACAAGCATCCACATGCTTTTGCTCCCACACAGCATAGGGGCATACTGTAACTTTCTATTAATTAATTAATATATCACAGGCACATGTACATGCCAATAAATAACAGTCTACATTGTTATTTTTTAAATGGTAATTTTCCATAGTACTGGATGTTCCAGGGGTTATTTCACCAATCCTCTACTGAACTGTCTTTATTCATCGACCTATTAACACTTGATCAGATTTATGGCTTGTTCATGTTCCAATTTGTCATTTGATTGCGTTAGCTTTCTACATTTGTTTTGTGGTTGTGGTGGGTGGTTGGTTGGTTTGATTAATTTCCTGGTTTTTGTTGTTGGTGGTGGTGATCGTGGTGGTGATGGTAGTGGTGGTTTGGTTTGGCTTTGATTAGAAAGTTTCTATTTTTATATAGTCAAATCTATCACCTTTTTCTTTTATAAGTTTCTGATTTTGATGTCATGTTTAAAAATGCCTTACAAATCCAGGCCCAGGGGTTCATGCCTACAATCCCAGCACTTTGGGATGCTGAGGTGGGAGGATTGCTTGAGCCTAGGAGTTTGAGACCAGCTTGAACAAGATGGTGAGACCCCAGGAGTTTGAGACCAGCTTGGACAAGATGGTAAGTCCCCAGGAGTTTCAGGCCAGCTTGGACAAGATGGTAAGACCCCAGGAGTTTAAGACCAGCTTGGACAAGATGGTAAGACCCCACCTCAAAAGAAAGAAAGGAAAGGAAAGGAAAGTTCTTAAAAATGCCTTACATATCTCAAATTTATAGAAATACCTATATTTTCTTCTAGTTTTAAATTTACTTTTAAAACTTTAGTCCATCTGAACTGTATTTTGGTGCAAGGCATGGGGCTAGAAGACAGTACAGCAAGAGGTTAACAAGATAAACCCAGACTCTATACTGCCTGGGTTCAAATTCCAGCTCTACTCCTGACCAGCTGTGTGATCTTGGACAAATTACTTAGCTTGTCTGTGTTTCAACCTTCTTATCTATAAAATGGTGATAACAGTATCTACCTGTAGAATTTCTGTGGGGAAAAAAATGTTAATTGGTATAAAGTACACAGAGCCATATTTAACACAGAGCACAAGCTATCATTTTTCCAAATGACTAACCAGTTGTGCCAACCCAATCAGTGAATATCCTCTGCCCTCATCCCTAATTTGAATCTCATTTTTATTATTTACTGAAATCTGGTGTACTGTCTGTCTGGTGCTATTCCTCCTGTGCCAACACTATTTAAGTGACTCTAACTACCCAATGCACTTTCATACTTCTTGGGGTACGTACAACTTCATTATTCCTCTTTCTCAATGTATTCTTGACTAACCCTATCCTGATATTTTTCTAGATGAACCTGAATATAGTTCATCGAATGCCAAGAATAAGTCCTTTAGGATTTTAATTGGAATTGGATTGAACTTGTGTGTTAATTTCATATTTTTACATCAAAATAAATTTAATGACAAAAAGCAGTTTACATTTTCAAAAATACTTTTAGAGCATTGTCTAATTTGAGACTTAGAAAATATTTATGAAACTATTACAAAAAGTCTAGAAGGAGCACCTCCTTAACCTATCATGAAGCCAGCATCAGACTGATACCAAAATCTGTCAGAGACACAATGAAAAAAAGAAAACTTTAGGCCAATATCCCCGATGAACTTAGACATAAAAATCCTCATCAAAATATTAGCAAACCAAGTCCAGCAGCATATCAAAAAATTAGTACATCACGATCAACTATACTTTATTCCAAGGATACAAGCCTGGTTCAACATATGCAAATCAATAAATGTGATTCACCACACAGACAGAATTGAAAGCAAAAACTATAACATCATCTCAATTGATACAGAAAGAGTTTTCAATAAAATCAAATAAAAATATGCAAAATGATGCTAGCCATACGCAGAAGGTGGAAGCTCGACCCCTACCTTTCACCATATACAAAAATTAACTCAAAATGGATCAAAGATTTAAATTTAAGACCTCAAACTATAAAAAGTCTAGAAGACAATCTAGGAAATATTTTCTTGACATCAGCCTTGGCTAGTCCCCAAAAGCAATTGCAAAAATAGACAAAACCCAAAATAGACAAGTGGGACCTAATTAAACTAAAGAGCTTCTGCACAGCAAAAGAAACTATCAACAGAGTAAAGAGACAGCCTACAGAATGGGACAAGATATTCACAAACTATGCATATGACAAAGGCCTAATATCCAGAATCTATACAGAGTTTAAACAAATCAACAAGCAAAAAACAAATAACCTATTAAAAAATGGGCAAAGGACATAAACAGACACTTCTCAAAAGAAGACATGCAAGTGGCCAGCAAACATATTAAAAATTTTCTCAGCATCACTGATCATCAGAGAAATGCAAGTCAATACCACAGTGAAATGCCATCTCACACCAGTCAAAATGACTATTATCAAAAAATCAAAAAGCATGGATGCTGGTGAGCCTGCAGAGAAAAGGAAATGTTTATACACTGTTGGTGGGAATGTAAATTAGTCCAGCCACTATGGAAAACAGTCTGGAGATCTCTCAAAGAATTTAAAACAGAGCTACCATTTGACCCAGCAATCCCATTAGTGAGTATACACTCAAAGGAAAATAAATCATTCTACCAAAAAGACACATGCATGCATATGTTCATCACTGTGTTATTCACAATAGCAAAGACATGGAAACAACCCAGGTGCCCATCAATGGTGGATCAGATAAAGAAAATATGGAATATATACACCATGGAATGCTATACAGCCATAAAAAAGAATGAAATCATATCCTTTTTAGTAACATACCTGCAGTTGAAGACCACAATCCTAAGCAAATTAATGTAGGAACAGAAAACGAAATACTGCATATTCTCACTTGTAAGTGGGAGCTAAGCACTGAGCAAACATGGACATAAACATGGGAACAACAGATACTGTGGACTACTGGGAAGGAGGGACGGAGAGGGCCTAGGCTGAAAAACTACCAATCAGGTACCATGCTTACTACCTGACGGGTGGGATCTGTACCCTAAACCTCAGCATCATGGAATATTCCCATGTAACAAACCCATACTTGTACCCCTTGTATCTAAAAGTTGAAAAAATTTGTGTTTTTTTGAGGAGGTGTGCAAGTATGCATTGCCTCCATTTAATTGACAGACAAGGCTCGAAAAGTCTCAGGTGCTCACAGCAGTAATAAGAAGTAGAATCAAGATTTAATCAGTTAAGTTACAAAATCCACTCTTTTTATAATACCATGCTAATACAGTAAAGAGGCATCAGCTAGACCATCAGGAGGTGTAAATGTGAATTCCAGTTCTAACCTGAACTCATCTTTCCTCCATGTGGGGCCTTGGTTTCCTTATCTTGACTAGCTCATGCTAGGTTTCTTCCTGCTCTGATCTGTGACTCCCTATTTAAGATTATTTATCATCTTAAACATTATCTCAAAATTTAGGCTACTTTACTATGTTCCCAAGGTATCACCCACATATTTGCTTCATTTGCCCTTAATTAATATGTGGTTAAGTAGTCTCATTAAATGAATAACGTCATAACTAATGAAAAAAGTTACATAAAGGTCATTGGTATTTTGTCCTCGGCTCTCAGATGCTTATACTCGCTTGCAGACAATTGGAAAAGAAAAAATAACTCCCCAAGATGATAAAAAATTTTTTTGCAAAACACCAATCTTGTTCACTAACACTGGATCTCAAAATTATAAACTTTCTTAAGTAATTCAGATCTATGGAGTATTTTCATGCTTTTACTCTCTTCAGAGAAAAAGCTATGGAGGCTGTTAGCAAACTTAAGTCCAAAATCGACAGCTCCTAAAATACTAGTTTTTTAGGATGACTTTGCACAGCCTCGTCTTACACTTTGAAATGCCAGATATTTTCAGGTGGTATATCTTTCGTTCCCACACCATTATGTTTATTCAGGCATCAGCAATACTATGTTCTTTTCCTGTGACCCTCAAAACCATATACAAATATACTTTCCCATTCTATAGGAAAACAGAGTGTGAAAGCACTTCTGAATGAATGAAAGAGATTAGGGTAAAAACCTCAGATTGGAACTTTAAACTGAAGCACCTGATACAGATATACTGTGCTAACAGCCAAAAGCAAATATAACCCTAGTCAGGGAGACATAATCTCCCCCTAGCACTTATAAAGTGCCAGGCGGGCAATTCCTGTGCCTTTAGGTGTGTGCTAACTGATGCTCACAGCATTCTCTCTGCTGAAAACAGGCAGACATTATGTTTTTTATTCTTTCTTTTGGAAATTGCATAAAACCATGTTAGAACTGAATTTGAGAGGGATTTTGAGCTAATCTTTGTGATTAATTAAACTTTTAAAATGTATTTAGGCTACAATATCTAAACTTTCACATCAAAGGACCTAGACCTGGGTGCAGCTCTCCTACTCAGGAAATGTGTGTCTTTAGGCAAGTCACTCATGTTCATAGGCCTCCATTTCCATAAAAAATTTTAAAAAATAAGAAAGGTGAAGGGTATCTTTGAGCTCCTATTCAGTTATACTTCAGTGACAAGAACTAAACTTTCAGGTAAGTGATGTGAGTTTGGTATTCATATATACTATCCGCAGGACCTTGAAAACATCGTTAAAATACTTCCGTTATCATACCTATACAGTAGTGACAGGGAGACCTACATCACGGAATTGTATGTATTAGTTGAGATAACGAGAAAATGACTGAGCACCATTTCATGTTTCCCCAAAGGGACAAAAATATACACAATATATAAACTTTTTTTCCTATAGTGTTTTTTGGTTTTTGGTGGTGAAGATGATGATGGGTAACCTCTATGTTGTTTACTTTGGAGTCATGTAACGTCTAGGTGAATGTGCATAGTTGTGTTATCTATGAAAATTAAATAAAAGATATTCAAATACAATTTTAGAGATTAAATATTTTCTACCAACCTAGTCATATTTTCACCCATTTCCTTAGCTATTCCTGTTCTATTTCATGGTGTGCATTCCAAAAGCAGTAAGTAATCTTGGATGTCAAGAAATTCTACAAGCAGTGGCAATGTTCTCTTTCCACAGCGTGACTATAAACAGAAATCTCATTACATGCTGACATTTATTTCTATTTAGTATTGCTTTTAACCTGGAGACAAAATGCAAATATGTATTTTATTATGAGGTTCTTTTCCTACTTATATAAGGCATGTGTAACCGAATTTCCCACTGTTGTGAGTGTTTTGTTTCTTTGTTTGCTACAAAGACTTTTCAGGGTCTGCTGAATGCCAGCCTTTAGGTAGGTGCTGGGATGAAAAGATTAGTAAGACACAATCTCCTGCTTAAGGAACCCTAGAGTTAAATAGGTAGACATATACAAATAGTTTCAATACATTTGGATAATAATATTGTATCTTAATTCTTAGAAATGAGTACAAGGTATAGGGAAGGCTCATAGAAGGGAAGAGCAGGAAACTCCCTCTGGGGCTCACGAGGCCTTCACTGAGTATATGATGCTTACCGAGGACTCAATGGATGAGCAGGAGTTTCATCATTGGTCAATGAGAGCAATGTTGGAAGACAGGCAGACATGAAAAAAAAGTTATGAGGTGAGGAAAGCAGGGCATATTTGAGAAGCTGCACATGATTTCATATGCTAAGTATTCAATATAGTTTTCATGCTGAGAAAGATATCTTAGAACCTCAGTATAGGAATACCTAATCAAACCTCTCACCAAATCAGCCATTCCTCTTCTCAGAGTCATTTTCTTTCCACACCATTAATTCCTTAAAGTCTTATCTCACTTCTGACTTGATACTTTTCTGATTTCCTTCTTTTATGAAAAGGCTGGGAATATTCTGAGCAGAAAAAAATCCAGAAACATCTTCCAATTTCTCTTTTGCTCATTGAGGGTAAGCCTCAAATGATCAAGGCTTACCCACCTGTACTAGTCAATTGGTAAGTGTGGTGTATGCCATGTGGCACTGGGGTGTCCCTCATAAGGGAAACAGTCTCTGTGTTTTGGGAGCCTACCCGATTCCTAACTCCTTTCATGAAGCTGGATGCAGGGCCTGGGTCTTTGCATCACCTCCTTGAGGAAAGGGCAGACTGAAGAGTCTAGGCTTTGGATGCTAGACACATAGGCTCCTATCCCAGCTCTGCCATTTCTTCTCCACACAATCTTGGCAAGTCACTCATCTTTCTGACCTTCAGTTTCCTCAGCTAGAAAAATGGATGCCCAGGGATTTGATTACCTGGGTGTCTGTGAGGAAAAATAATGAATAATGTTCATTAAAAGTCTAGGTAAACTCTCAACTTTTGGAGGATGTTTTAAGAACAGAGAAAAATAAAGTCCTAGAAGTGAGAAAAATGTGACAATCCCCAGTTCATTAAAAATTACCAGTCTTTGAGTGGATTTTATTCTACCACATTGATAATTCCATTTATAAAACTCTGCTGCAGCACATACAGTATGGTAAAAATCTCAATTCCTGAGCAGCAAATGTTCCTAAATTGTGTACCCGATGATTTTATAATTAGAAACAACGCATCTGGGAAGCAGAGACGAAATGTCTAACAATTGCTCAAAACACCTTTTGGGAATCCGCTCCTTTAGGTATGTTCTGGGTAGCATCCAAAAAGACAAGAGCAGGGGCTTGTGTATATTTCCCCACAGACGCTTATCTTCTGTGCATGCTGATGGGAGTCATCATGGTGTATTTCTGACTCTGGCATCTCCATCTCTGTCTCCTTTTCTGCTTTGTTTTGCCTCTCTTATCCCATTAGTGCAGCCAATATCTAGAGTTTCATTCGTAGACTCATTTTGGCACATATTTCTATACATTTCTAGATATTTCTTTTCCAGGGATCAGATCTGTAGATACTCTGTCATCTTTCAGGAGTAGAGAATGAAATGAATGTCTGAGACCTAATAAGGGTGAGAGCTCTGAGGAACTCTTGTCATAAATAAACCATGACTGGACCCTTAAAACCTCTGGCCTAATATCAAGCATTCCCAACCATTTTTGGCTACAGTCTCCACAGTTGTGAAATTTCAAGTACCTATCCTTTCTAGATATGAGAACAAAGAAGGAATTCTTCGTGAGTTTTTTTTTTCTGTAATTATATGGGAAAATGGCGACTCTACACTAACTAATGTACTTCACTCCTTCGAGTGTCCTTATTTTTTTCATAAGTGGCTTGTATGAAAATTGTAACCTAAGTTCTTTCTTCCCAAGCTTCTACAATTTTTCAGTTTTAAATCTATTATTACTGCAATCTCATAATAACCTGTTAAACCCAAGCTCTTGCACAGTTTGTGCCAAGATGAGATTTTTTAAAAATCATATCTAAATTACTTCATGAAATAATGTTCCTATCTGCCTCCAAGCTGCTGTCAAGGCTGGGACAAAAAGCTTTGCTAAGAAGAAGAGAGCAAACTGAGCCGGATGTCTCTAGGGAAATAGTGGAGTGGAAACCAGCTCTGGGAAGGACCCTCAGTAGATATCTTCTTATTTCATATTTTCTTCTAAACGATGTAGGTGTTACCCTTACAAAGTGCATTTTTCTTTTCATATTCTGATTCTACAGAGAATCAAAAGCACAAAAACTATGTACCCTGGCTCTCATCTGAACTTCTGATGAAAACGAATTATGAGAGAAGCATCTTCATATTCTTAGGCTACATAACATGACCTTTAATATACAATTTTGTCATTCATTTATTTAGCAAACATTCTCTGAATCCCTGCTCAGTTACAGGGCATTGTACATAAACACATGCATAAAAGACTTAGTCTCCTCCCTTTTTCTTTTTTTTGAGACAGAGTCTCACTGTCACCCAGGGTAGAGTGCAGTGGCACGATCTTGGCTCACTGCAAGCTCTGCCTCCCGGGTTCACGCCATTCTCCTGCCTCAGCCTCTTGAGTAGCTGGGACTACAGGTGCCCGCCATCACACCTGGCTAATTTTTTATTTTTTATTTTTTTTATTTTTAGTAGAGACGGGGTTTCACCGTGTTAGCCAGGATGGTCTCGATATCCTGACCTGGTGATCCACCCGCCTCAGCCTCCCAAAGTGCTGGGATTACAGACGTGAGCCACCGCGCCCGGCCTTAGTCTCCACTTTTAAGAAAATCACTCTCTGATGAGAATAACCATACAAACAGGTTGTCACAGCACAAAGTGACAAGGGGTATTACTGTCTACAGATGGATTCATGGTACTTTGAGAATAGGTGATATCTGTACTTTTTGCTTTCATGTTTTTATTCAACTACTCACTCAGCAAACTTTTACCAAATAGCCATAGTATGCATTGTTCTATTCATAGCGCTGGGGTCCACAAAAATGAATTGGATAAAATTGTGTGCCAAGAGTTTTATTTAGAGAGGCAATGCATGTGCTGGATATTTTCTGTTGCTCTCCAGATCTGTCATCCATGTTTCCCACTCTGCTCTGTGACCCACAAAGCTCACCTTTAATAGACTTCAATATTGATGGACTGTTCTCCAAAATGCGTTTTCTGTAAGCAGGCCACTAAACCATTTGAATTCCTTGATCAGTATTCTTCATAGCAGAATAAGACTAAATGCACTTTTAGATTTTAATATTTACTATATTTAATATCCACAGGCTATTTTCCATGTATATCATAATAAGGACATTTTTTAATTTATCAGGTTTTTTCTTGTATTAAATTTTACATATTATATCTTCTGCCATTGTGATTTTGTTGTTGTTTTTATTTATACCAACTCCATTTTTTTAATCTGAGTAAAATTTTGCAGATAAAAAACTCATTAAGGTAGTTCAATCTTTTGTCAATGTTTAATCAATAATAAGATTAAATATATGTATATTTGCTATTTTCAATGTTACTTTATGTTGGTTGTCTCTACCCACAATATTTAGTTGTGATTTCATCACCTAAAATAAAATGACTACTTATAGAGATTGCTTAATTTCACAAGAACTTTTAATTTTATCTAAGTAGGATTAAAATAGCGACATCAGTGATGGGGTCAAAAAATCTTGCTTTACATTTTGCAGCTTCCTGGATTTATACATTTATAAAAGCACCTGGCACAGTATATTGAGATTCATGTCTGCCTCTCTCCAGAAAATGTGAGCTCCTTGAGGGTGGAAATTATGTATTATTCGCCTCTGTGAAGCCAGTGCCTTGCCCAACCTGCCCAAGATGGTGTTAAGTAGAGACAGGTTCATTGTAGAGTCATATATTTTTTAAAGTTTCTTCATACCCTGCTAAATGTGTATGCCTTTTCAGGTGTTTCCTCCAGGGAAATGATCAGTAGAGTATTGTCAACATTCTTAGATGCAGGGAACCGTGCGAT
This sequence comes from Homo sapiens, assembly GCF_000001405.40. Classification (NCBI taxonomy): domain Eukaryota; kingdom Metazoa; phylum Chordata; class Mammalia; order Primates; family Hominidae; genus Homo; species Homo sapiens. Next base: position 108,350,313 of record NC_000009.12, read on the forward strand.
ACAGCTCTGGTATCTGCTTACTTTCATAAACTCTGTTCCTACTCTTTTCACAATTTGTTCTCATTTGTAAAACCCTTTTCCAAGCCCTATGGTTTAAAAAAAAGGTCAAGGGTGGCCACTGAGCAAAAACATTCAGGGTCTCACATACCAATCCTACTGGCTTTCAATCTCTCACTCCTGGAGTTAGATTCTATGCAACCAGGGCCTCCAACGGTTCTGGAGAGCAGGTGGGTTAAAGAGAGGGGGGAAAAGAGGGAGGCAGAGAGAAAAGGAGGGAAGAAAATATAGTGTTTGTGGGCATTCATTCGTTTATTGCAAGCTCCATAAAGGCAGCAAATGTATCTAACTTATTCGCTTTTCTGTACCTACCTCCTAGAACACTACCTGGCTCATGTAGGTGCTCAATAAACATTTTTAACAAATGGGAGACCTAAATAAAGGACACTTGGATTTACTGATAATTTACGATTTGACAGGTTCTGTGTTAATTCTTTTCGCATGTGATCTTGCTTTAACTGTAATTCTCAAGCCATCTTTGTTACCCTTGTTTTACAGAGAAAGAAACTGAACCTTACTATTACATATGGGCTGTTATTAACTCTTCACAATTAGGTATCATTGAGGAAAAGATCTGTCACAGTGAAAAGGAGCTCAGAGATGATCTAACCCAACACTCGTGTTACTGATGGAGAAAATAACCCCCAGGTAGCCAGAGTGACTTTGTCAAGGCCTCACAGGAGTTACGGTTGGAGGGTGGACCTAGACTCAGCTCTCTCACCTCAGTTGGGGACCTGCTAATCCCTAGATCCTCACCTTCTAACCCTAACCCTCTAACCATAAGCTCTGTTTTGATGCCTCTTGCTGTTCTGTCGCTATCACATGTAGAGAGGACTGAAAACCACCAGCCACACCACCAAATTACCACTCAACCCAAAAGAGAGCTAATGCTAAGCGTTCTTTAAATGATGTTTCACAATTACCCACAACACCACCTTCTGACCCCATCAGCTCCGTGAATTTTGTTTGTCTGCCCACGGTGGCCTTGCATACAGCACTTAGCCTTTTAAGACACTGGCCTTGTCTACGGCCTTGAAAATTGCAGATCTTCTAGACTTGGCAGAGCAGCATCTACCAAACAACACAAGGTTCTCTGTTTCATGTTTTAACTTGACTCCATTGTTCACCAAATATATTTTTCTTTCTACGAAGTGTAGCTGAACAGTTTATGACAGGATTTAACATTTAAACCTGTAACATAAAGATCTCTCTTTGTCCCTGTACTCTGACGGATTGTCAAATAAGGTTAATGTGGATTGCCAAAAGCATGACTACCTTATTAGATAATTCCGCAGGTTTGCCTTTTGAGTCTGTGCATGTTGCAGATGGCAGAATCAACAAGAGTGGAGATCAGGAAGAAGGAAAGGGACATGCAAATATGAACTTGTACTTCTGATGGGCGCTGGTTCTTGCTGCTCTGAAGGACTGCCATCCGGATTCCCGAGGATGGCATCATACAGTCTACCTCATTTCCTGGGCATGCCCCTACCTTGCACCTCAGGTAACCACTTCCCTATTGCCCTCACCTATCTCCTTCTGTATTGATCTAGCAAAGTGAGGTTATTTACCTCTTAGAACTGTATAATTTGATTATATTTATCACGCATAACAAGAAGTAGGTGTTTTACCAAGCAAACAAGACAGTAAGTAAATGCAACTGACTCTGGTTAGTGGTGAATTCACACTCACATCATCTCTCGGTGGGACTGTTCCCTGACCAGTTTTCTGCCTCTCTCTCACCTCCAAAGCATCATCTCAGAATGATCTTTCCTGAATATAAATCTCTTCATGTTGCTCCTCTGCTGAAAACCCTTGATTCTACTTTAAACCTAGAGAATAAAGTACCAACTCACCAATGTGGCAGAGAGATAGGGGCTGGAAAATCTGGTCCCAACCTACCAACCTGATGTCTCCCACATTAAACCACATGTCCTCTCCTCCAACATTACTTGACAACTCACTTCTCAATAAGGCAGGCTATTACTTTGCAAGGATTACTCTCCTGCCTTTTTTCTAACTCATGATCTCTTAAGCACACTTCACGACCCAGTATACAGAACCCATGCCCTGGGAAGCCATTGAAGCCTTTCCAGATAAAGCTAGTAATGTTTTTCTTTCATTAGAGCACTGATTGCTATCTTGACACGGCAGTTCACACCTCTAATCCTAGCACGTTGGGAGGCCAAGGAGGGCAGATTGCTTGAGTCCAGGAGTTTGAGACCAGCCTGGGCAACATGGAGAAACTCTGTCTCTACAAAAAATACAAAAATTAGCTGGGTGTGGTGGCTCATGCCAGTAGTCCCAGCTAAGAGGGAGGCTAAAGGGGGATGATCACGTGAGCCTGGGAAGTCAAGGCTGCAGTGAACCATGACTGTACCACTGCACTTCAGCCTGGGCAACAGTGCAAGACCCTATCTCAAAAAAAAAAAGTAACACTGATTGCACTAAAACCTAGCCATCTGACTTCTTATCTTCTCTCTACCTCACCAGATTGTGAGCTGTTCAAAGTGTAAAATTATGGCCGGGCGCGGTGGCTCACGCCTGTAATCCCAGCACTTTGGGAGGCCGAGGCGGGCGGATCACGAGGTCAGGAGATCGAGACCATCCTGGCTAACACGGTGAAACCCCGTCTCTACTAAAAATACAAAAAATTAGCCGGGCGAGGTGGCGGGCGCCTGTAGTCCCAGCTACTCGGGAGGCTGAGGCAGGAGAATGGCGTGAACCCCAGGGGGCGGAGACTGCAGTGAGCCGAGATTGCGCCACTGCACTCCAGCCTGGGCGACAGTGAGACTCTGTCTCAAAAAAAAAAAAAAAAAAACAAAGTGTAAAATTATGTCTTACACTCACTTTCACTCTAGGAATAACAAAAAGTGATCATCAAAGGAACATCCATTTTGTTAAAGACACTGGGCTAAATTCCATGAGGAATGCAAAGACAGATTATTCAAAGTCTTTTTCCTTAGGGAGCGTGTTCCTCATTAGGACAGCTGTTACCCACACTAATATGTAGACTTTTTGCACAAATACATTTTGGTGGCAAATGTTTATGGCACCCTGCTGGAACTAAACTACATTCATGGTTATTGAATTTTTGACTTTGTCAACCTTTAGCACCCCTTGAGAATTTTCAGTATTCTGATTGTACATTCATGAGGCAAATCACTATGAGGGTACACATGAGTGTACCCTCTCTTATACACTCATGAGGCAAATCACTCTGTGTATTCCAATCAATTCAAAAACGTGTTTCAATGCTGCTTGATTTTTCCCTTTAACAGATTTCTCAGAGTAAATATTCACAGTTGAAGCAAAACTAAATATACACACTGATCAAAATTTGACATAACATCTGAGATGGGGTCATGGTACATTGGGGTACTGGAGTCACACCAAATGGGCAACTCCCAGGTAATTCTCCTGTGCATATAGTCTTTAAACCCTACCCAGGTAATTCTCCTATGCCTATAGTCTTTAAACCAGGAATGCATCTTACAGACACTAAAATAAATATGTTTCCAAAAAGGTCTAAATGGATACAGAAAAAAATAAACAGGAGGATCAAGGAAGGCTACACAGAAAAGAATGTCTGAATGTACTTTGCTGAAGTACAGAAAAAATAGGTATAATATGGTTTGGATTCGTGTCTCCACCCAAATATCATGTCAGGGGAGGGGCCTGGTGGGAGATGCTGTGCTTGGATCATGGGGGCCGATATCCCCCTTGTTGTTCTCATGATAGTGAGTGAGTTCTCACAGGATTTGATGGTTTAATCAAATTTCTCAAAACCATCAAATTTGATGGTTTAAAAGTGTGGTGCTTCCCACTTCACGCTCTCTCTTTCTTCTGCTTCACCACGGTAACATGCGCTAGCTTCCCCTTCTCCTTCTGCCATGACTGTAAGTTTCCTGAGGTCTTCCCAGCCATCTGAAACTGTGAGTCAATTAAACCTCTTTTCTTTACAAATTGCCCAGTCTCAGGTAGTTCTTTATAGCAGTGTCAGAGTGAACTAATACATGGCACTTACTTTTAAACCTTGTAAATAATTCATAAATTTTATTTTAATCACTTTTTGGCATTCCAATAAGGTGACTTTCACAAAATACTCTACCCAGAGCAATCTGGTGAATAAACGCATGGAAAAGTAAATGGGAAGTCAATCCAGGGATCTAACTAAATAGCACTAGAAGGAATCTTTTGGGCAGCTTGGGCTTAGTCAAAAGATTTCACCTAGGAATTCGGTGCCATGCTTGGTAAAATAAAAATCACAAAAGTGATTCCACTTGAAGGTGCTAGAGATGAACAATGAAAATGTTTTCAGGACAGAAAAAAAAAAACTTTATTTTAATGAGTAAGAATTTATGGAACTCCACTTAGGACCCAGAAACTGGATTAAGATTCAGGCATCCAAAAGTTAATAGAACATGGCCCTGCCTTGCCCAGTCTCACCTGGAAACACACTTTGATAATTAAAAAGTGCTTCGCCTTGGTAGTGGAGAAAAAGTATTCCTGAGCTAAAAGCTGCTCTGTCCCACCTAACAAAACTTAGAAGCAAGACCCAAAAGGATTAAACTACTTTCAAGCAATTTAACCACATCTCAGAAAAAAAGTTCAAAAATGAAGGAATACAAAAATATCCAGCACTCAGCAAAGTAAAATTCACAGTCTGGCATCCAGTAAAAAAAAAAGTAGCAGAAGGCAAAGAAGAAAAAAATGCAATGACAAGGAGAAAAGTGGGTTCATCAAAATTGGCCCAGAAATAACACAAATGATAGGATAAGTAGACAGGGATATTGTTCAAGGGTTATTGTTATTGTATTTCATCTGTTCAAGAAGATAGAGGAAAAGTTGAACATTTTATGTGGAGACATGGAAAAATATATGTATCTCCCAAATTGAACTTATAAAAATGAAGTCTACAATACCTGAGATTAAAACATATGCTGCATGGAACCAATAGTGGATTGGACAATGCAAAAGAAAATATTATGAACTTGGGCCAGGCGCGGTGGCTCATGCCTGTAATCCGCAGCAATTTGCAAGGCTGAGGTGGGCAGATCACCTGAGGTCAGGACTTCAAGGCCAGCCTGGCCAACATGGGGAAACCCTGTCTCTACTAAAAATACAAAAAAATTAGCTGGGTGTGGTAGTGCCTGCCTGTAATCTCAGATACTCAGGAGGCTGAGGCAGGAGAATCACTTGAACCCAAGGCAGAGGTTGCAGTGAGCTGAGATCGCACCACTGTACTCTAGCCTGGGCAATAGAGCAAGACTCCATCTCAAAACTAAATAAATTATATATATATAAAACTTGGAGCTATAGCAACAGAATTCCAAAATGAGAAAAAGAGATAAAAGACCAGAATTAATTGAATAAACATCAGTAGGTTGTAGGACAATTACAAGTGGCCTAACATAAGATTATTTCAGTCTTTAGTACAGAAGGAGGTGTAGAAACAATATCTAAAGATATAATGGCCAAAATTTGCTCATATATGATGAAAACTATAAACCCACACATTTCCAAAAATGTTTTTGAAACTTAAGCACAAAAAAATGAAGAAAACAACAAGGTACACCATAAAATAAAACTACTTAAAACAAATGATAGAGACAAAACCTTATAAGCAGCTAGATCTAAATATACAGAGGAATAATTATAAGGATACAGGGCTGATTTAATATTTTAAAATTCAACCAATGTGAATTCAACCAAAAATTCACATATATTGGTTTCCTAGGTTTGTCATAACAAGGTACCATAAATTAAGTAACTTAAAACAGAAATTTATTCTTTTACAGGTCTGGAAGCTAGATATCCAAAATCAAAGTGTTTGCAAGGTTGATTTCTTCTGCAGGCTTGGAGGGAGAATCTGTTCCATGCGTCTCTCCTGGCTTCTGGTGGTTACCAGCAATCCTTGAAGTTCCTTGGTTTGTGGCAGCATAACCTTTACTCTCTGCCTCTGCTTTTACATGGTATTGTCCCCCCTATGTCTCTGTCTCTGTTTTTCTCTTCTTATAAGGACACCAGTAATTCAATTAGGGCCCACCATAGTCTTGTATGACCTCAGCTTATCTTAACTAATTACATCTGCAAAGACCTTATTTCCAAATGAGGTTTCTGGTAGACATGAATTTTGAGGGGACACTATTCAACCCAGTACAATATGGCAAAAGATCAAATTGGATGTCTGCCTAACACCATATATAAATATCAACTTTAGTCATGTTAAGAATTTGTATGTCAAAAATGAAATTTTCAAATACTTTGTAGCAAATATAAATGAATATAATTTAGACTTTGGAATAGGAAATGATTTCTTAAGCAAGACACGACTTTGGCTATTCAACCTAGTATGCCATATTAATAGACTGAAAAAGAACCTACACAATCGTCTCAATAGACGTGAGGGGAAAAAATATTTGAAAATATTCCAAAATCCATTTCTGCAAAACTCTCAACTAACTAGAACAGAAAGATCTTCTTCAACCTGATAAAGGGCACAGGTAACACCATACTTTGTGGTGAAAGTGAATACTTTTCCCCTAAGATCAGGAGCAAGGCAAAGATATCTCTTCCCTGTCATGCTTCTATTCAACATTGATTTGTATCTTCCTCCTCTATACCACAAAATACCTTCAAAATTGCTGGTGAGCTCAGAGCTGGAGCCAAGCCCTAACCTTGCTGCTGGACTCAAGAATACCCAGCTACTTCCTCCATCACCCTGGAATGTGTGATACACTACAAAGGCCCCTCAGTTCCTGCCACCTAGGCGTTGTTACTCCACTTCTCATTTGTTGGCTTGAACGCCAGATATTATGAGTTCTGTAGTTTCCAGATTTAATCCTGGGAAGCAAAGTAGTGTATCTTTCTGCTCTGGGATTCCCAACAAATTATCTGGGAATTATGAAAATCAGGTATTCAATGAACCATCCTCACTGCCTTCCCAAAAATAATTCAGGCAAAAAAATAAGACACTGATCACTTCTCATGATTCCACCAGCAACCAAGGTAGTTTTTCCTTCTCTAATTCTTTTTCTATCTCCTGGTCAAATATTTGTTTCTTTTTGGACATAAAAGGCTCACTCTTCACATTTTGTATATATTTAATATAAATTTAATGTTTTGAATCCTCCAGGATTTAGCTCGTCATATTTTAAGTCAACTTGGGAAGAAAACAAACAATAATGTGACATTTCTTTTTTCACTTCAGCACCTAGCTCTTGCAATTGAAAGGTACAATTTTCAAGACATGGCTCTGCTATTGATCCACAAATGTCACATCAGAGTCCAAAGATTAATAATTTGATGACTTATTGTCTCTGGATTGCTCCTACATTTTTTGGCAATGCATATAGAAAACTACTGCTGCTGACTGACTGGTACCTGAAGGGTAGGTCCTACAGAAGATGAAAAATGCATAATTAATAACAAAATATTCGCCTGCTCCAATTACTTAAGGTGATGGAAGCAATACTGGAAGCAATAATAGTTTTTAAATTGGAAAAGATTATTATTAATGCTAAAACATTCTTAAAGCCACCCAAGAACAATGCATTTGTCTTCATAAATTACAAATACTCACATATTACACATATTCACACAAATAATATGGAGTGAAACTTATGAGATAGATAATTACATGTACTGTATCAGTAAAATACATATATAGAGGGAGGAATTGTAAAGATTTTCAGCAACTCAATACTTCTTGGTAAAATAGTCTGGTTCTCTGAAGGCCAACTTGAGTGAATTAGCAAAGTTAGCTAGTATCCAATTTGAGGCACCAGAAAATGTCATTCAGATGTGTTAGAAAATGAGAACAAATGACGAAAACATTGTTTTATGGTATGGTAAAATAACCCAGTAGAAAACATTCTCCAGGAGGTGGAACTTAACGTGTCTCCACTGCTTGAGCATGGGTTGTGCTAAATGGTTTGCTTTTAAAGAGCAGAGATTATAAAGAGTGGGGAAGTAACTTACAGTAGAGGAACCTGACAAATACTACCTTGTTTGGGTGATCAAGGTTAACATCATAAGTGATAGCATGTTGATTGCAGGTACCCTTGATATGATCTAATGGGAATGGCATTTCACTTCTATTCTCTTCTTCCCTAAAACCCATAAGCCAATCTAACGATGAGAAAAACATCAGATTAAACCCAAATGAGAGACATTCTACCTGACCAGTACTTCTCAAAACTGTCAAAGTAATCGAAACCAAGGAAAATCTGAGAAATTGTCACAGACCAGAGGAGACTAAGGAGGCATGGCAATGAAGTGCAGTGCAGAGTCCTGGATGGGATTCAGGACAGAACAAAGTCATTAGGGAAAAGCTAGTGAAATACAAATAAAGAGTAGGATTTAATTACTAGTAATGTACTAATGGTTAATAGGAATATGCCAATGTTGGTTTCTTAACTGTGATAAGTATGCTATCATGATGTATAATGTTAACAATTGAGGAAACAGAATGAGAAGTATATATTAGGTTGGTGCAAAAGTAATTACAGTTTTCGTCACTGAAAGTAATGGCAAAAACTAATTACTTTTGCACCAACCTTTGTAACTTTTACAATCTTTATAACTACAGAAAAGTTACAAAGATGGTACACAGATTTCCTTCTCTATGCACCATCTTTGTCACTTTTCGGTAAACCTAAGACTATTCTGTATACTTTTTAATTTATTAAAAAACAAATTCCCCTAATTCTTGTTGAAATCTGCTCAGTGATATAATCAACTTACAAAAAACCAATTTCCACATGAGACAAATGGGCTAGTGAAAAGTCACAAGTTCAAATCCATCATGGGACCTTACCATTTGAGTGACCTTAAAACTTTATAAGCCACCATTTTCTCCCATATAAAACAGGGTTAGCAATACTCATCCTGTCTACCTACTTCAGAAGACAGGAAAAAAAACAATTATATATTAAGTATCAACTATGTGTCAGAGAGCTTAAATGTCTGTATATCTTAATCCTCACAACAATCTTGTAACATAGGTAACCTTGTAACATATAGGTAACATGGACCTATAAATCTATTTTCCAGATGTAAGAAGCTCAAAGAGGCTGTGTAAATTGACTAAGGTCATATTATTAGCAAGGGTTAAAGTCAGATTTTGAACACAAGTTCCTCCAAACTGCCTCATATGCACCATAAACATAAATGTTTTGTAAACTGTCTGGCAACTACACACACTTACCTTAACACTACACACAAGACAAATATCTGAGAGCCCAGGTGAGTGCCAAGTACAGTCAAAAAGGGCCTCTCACCACTTGTAATTACTGAAAGAAGAGCCATTCAGGCAAGGGGTACTCGAGCAGCCTTTTGAAGCACCAAGAGCCTGCACATCCCATGAGCTCTCATTTTCCTCTTTCTAGGTCTTGGGGGCTGCCCTGGGGAATTCTTATCCTGCCTTTTGGCAGCTCCACAAACCTTCTTTCTGCCAGAGTGTTTTGTACCAGGGCTGTCCGAGGTAGAAGCCTGAGAGGCTTACCGGTAATGCTATGTGATAACAGTGTATCAAATTCATATTGCCACTTCTGCCAAATGAATTTAATTAAGCAGAAAAATGGGTTACTGAAATGAAATACACATGTGCTCTCTAAAGTCATGCGTGCCTTTGGGTATTTGGAAAATACCCTAAATGCATGTTATTACAGGAATCATGTTAACAGCCAGAAAGCAAGCTTTAGATCCTCAGTATTTATTTGGAAATATGTGAGCATCTTGGAATCTCAGTGTTAATGTGTCAGTTTATCTTCAGGAGATAAACAGCATTTTGTGCCAGGCCGAGGCACAATCTCCCCACTCACTAATCAAAATACAATATATTTTGCTGGTTTAAAGTTTCAGCTTTTCTTGCAAATTCAGACAAAGCTCTCCAAAGATCTAGGCAACTAAGAGAATTGTTGTTACTATTCTCACTCTTAATAAGGACATTAATTGCCTTTAAACACAAGTATTTGTGATGGATTCATTAAAAATCATGAATAGTTTAACCCAGAGGACTACTAAAGATCATCTAACTCAATCCCTTCCTTTACAAATGAGGAAACTGAAGCCCAGAAGGATGACTAGCCAGGAATGGCCCAAGGAGTTCATGGCACGGCTGAACTCATAACTCAAGCTCCAGGCTGGCGGCACACAGCTCATGCAGGTATTCTATCTTGAACAGGGAGATTCTTTAGATTACTTTTGTTCCAAAGAATCTGTGATACATACATAACCAAGTCTCACTTAAAAGTCATGCATCCAGTGGTGGGGAATGAATAAACTGAATCTAACTGGGGGAAACGTCATGTATATCCAGAATGAGAACCATTTTAATTTTAAAAGGAGAAATAGATTGTTTCTCCAAAAATATCAATGTCATAAAAGACAAAGAAGGGCTGATAATTACTCCTGACAAAAGGAGACTGCTATTGACTGAATGTTTATATCCTCACCAAATTCATAGGTTGAAATTCCAACTGCAATGTGATATTATCAGAATGCGAGGCCTTTGGAAGGTGATTAGGTCACAAGGGCAGAGCCCTATGAATGAGATTAGTGTCCTTATTAAAAAAGACCTCAGATGAGAGAGGAGAAACTACCAACAAAGTAAACAGACAACCTACAGAATGGGAGAAAATTTTCACAAACTATGCATCTGACAAAGGTCTAATATCCAGCATCTATAAGGAACTTAAAGAAATTTACAAGAAAAACAAAACATAAAAAAGTGAGTAAAGGACATGAACAGACACTTTTCAAAATAAGACATACAAGTGGCCAATAATCATATGAAAAACAGCTCAACATCACTGGTTATTAGAGAAATGCAAATCAAAACCACAATGAGATACCATTTAACACCAGTCAGAATGGCTACTATTAAAAAGTCAGAAAAACATGCAGATACTGGTGAGGTTGTGGAGAAAAAGGAATGCTTACACAGTCTTGGTGGGAGTGTAAATTGGTTCAGCCATTATGGAAGACAGTGTAGTGATTCCTCAAAGACCTAAAGACAATTCAACCTAGTAATTCCCTTACTGGGTGTATACCCAAACGAATAGAAATCATTCTATTATAAAGACACATGCACCTCTATGTTCACTGAAGCACTATTCACAATAGCAAAGACATGGAATTAGCCTAAATGTCCATCAACTGTAGATTGGATAAAGAAAGTGTGATACATATACACCATGGAATACTATGCAGCCACAAAAAGAATGAGATCATATCCTTTGCAGGGACATGGATGGAGCTGGAGGCCATTAACCTTAGCAATCTAACACAGGAACAGAAAACCAAAAACTACATATTCTAACCTATAAGTGGGAGCTAAATGATGAGAATACATGGACACATAGAGGGGAACAACATACACTGGGACCTATTAGAGGGTGGAGGTTGGGAGGAAAGAGAGGGTCAAAAAAATAACTAATGGGTACTAGGCTTAATACCTGGGTGATTGTATTAGTCTGTCCTCATGCTTCCAATAAAGACATACCTGAGACAGGGTAATTTATAAAGGAAGGAGGTTTAATTGGCTCACAGTTTCACCTGACTGGGGAGGCCTCACAATCATGGTGGAAGGCAAAGGAGGAGCAAAGCCATGTCTTACATGGCAGCAGGCAAGATAGCATGTGCAGGGGAACTCCCCTCTATAAAACCATCAGATCTCATAAGACTTATTTACTATCACAAAAACAGCACAGGAAAGACCCACCTCCATGATTCACTTACATCCCGCCCTGTCCTTCCCAAGACATGTGGGAATTATGGGAGCTAAAATTCAAGATGAGATTTGTGTGCGAATACAGCCAAACTGTATCAGTGATGAGATAATCTGTACAACAAACCCCCATGATGCAAGTTTACCTATGTAACAAACCTGCACTTTTACCCCTAAACTTAAAAGTTAAAAAAAAAAAAAAATCCCAGGGAGTTCCCTTGCCCGTTCCAACATGTGAGGACTCAAGAAGAAGGCATCAGCTACAAACCAGGAGACAAACCCTCTCCAAACACCAAATCTGCTGGCACCTTGATCATGGACTTTATAGCCTTCAGAACTGTGGAAAATAAGTTTCTGTAATTTATAAGCCTCCCAGGCTATGGTATTCTGGTAGAGCAGCCTGAATGAGCTATAAGAAACTTAACCAGCATTACAACTAAATACATAACTAGATGAGATGGTGCTAGAGGAGGAAGTGTTATAATGACATTATTGGGTCAACCGATAATTGGAATATAGACCATAAATTGGATAAAAGTACTGTTGTCACTATTACATTTATTGAGGTTGATAACTGTACCTAGGAAATTGACACTGAAATATTTAGGGGTAAATAAATATGGCATGCGACATACTCTTAATTTTGTCAGAAAAAATAGAAAGAAAACAATTAAATAGAGCAACATGTTAACACTAGATGAAACTGGATATAGAGTAGAAGGGTGTTCTTTGCTCTATTTTTGTAACTTTTCTCTGTAAGTCTGACATTATTCCAAATAAAACGTTTTTTAGAAAAACAAGCCATGCAAATGATTACCAACAGCACCACAAAATTACAACCACCCTCTATTCAAGAGCAAAGAAGGGCATTTAAAGAACATCTCCAAAAATATAGTCTTTTAAAGTCATGGCATCCTTTATGCATATTTACCACAAAACCAAAATTTCAGTAAGTACAAGCAATGAGTACGGTCACCCCAGAAGGCCTTCCAGCTTGGTGTTTGTGCCTTGATTTTGGGCTGGCTCAATGCCCTATGGGCCTGCTGTCATTCATCAATTTTGTTATGATCTTTCATAATGAAGAAAAGAAATATAATAACTTGCTATTATCTTAAAAGTTGCAATGAGAAAACTGATACCTCTTTAATGGAGCCAAATAATTAACTCACATATGTTCTCTTAAAAAAAACCACAAAAACTGTAGGTTACATTCTTGAATATGAACAGGAACATGGTCACATCAGGCCACTCTGAGAGACCTCATTCTAATGAGGAAAGACAATAACCATTTCCCTGATGGCTTGAACAATGAGGTTCATGACAGTTTTATTTACACAGTCTTATTTACTCGGGCCCAGAATAGCAATGCCTGCTCATCCCAGGGAAAGCAAATCCTTTTCTCTGAATTTGCCATTTGATTCTGGGCACTGCCTGTCAGCTGTCTGTTTCATGAGTCTATGCCAATACAGATTGTACACAGAGGGCAATTTGCACACAAATCATGTGGCAGTTGTGTTCCCCATGGATAAAAACAAATTCTGGTCACCACTTCATATCTGTGGGTGTTTGCAGAACATGTTAATTGACATTTTCTGCTGATGAAAGGGTAGCTTTACTATTATAAATCATTCATAGATAAATTTATACCAGTAAGTATTGCCCAGTATGTTTGGAGTTCTTGACATGTGCTCTGTTCTGGAGATGGAACTAAGCCCAAAGTCTGGATCCTGCCCTCAGGGAGTTTGTAATTGAGTTGGAATCACAGGAGCACACAAGGCCACTATAGGAAGCCACAAGTCATGCACTATAGTGCTCAGGAGGCTCTATGCACAAAGCAAAAGTTGTTTAGTGTAATAACCCTGACACAGAAGGCACCTGCACAGCAATTTCCAACATATTGATTAGCCAGCTATGAATTGCAACCCAAATGTGCCATGCTCTCTCTTGACTGCTTTGTACATACTATTCCTTCTGCCTAGAACATTCTCTGCCATCCTACCCTCATCACTCAATATCCCCCTTTTCCACCACCAAAATTCCTCCCTTTCTTTGGCTAACTCACAGTTTCTTGCTTGGATGTTATGACTCCTGAAAAGTTATTCTTGACCCTTTTCTCCTTGGTCTAGGTTAGAGGTCCTTCCTGTTTTCTCCCTCTGGGCCAGGCAATGACCCATTATAACCTTTATCACATTGCATAGCAAGGTGGTTATAAGGCAGGGGGGAGGTGGGGAGGGACCTAGAGTCAGGCTGCCTGGGATCAAATCCTGTAACTGCCACCTACAGGCTTTGAGGCCTAAGTCAGTTTAGTTGAGTTCCATAACCCCTCTGTATCTCCTGTGGTTTATTATTTCATTTAGTCTCAAGCCAATCCTCCAAGGGATACTGCCCTCACTTCACAGATGAAGAAACTGAGTCTCAGAGAGGTTACAAAACTGACTCAATGTAACCTACCCAGGGAGGACAGATTCAAAGTCAAGTCTAGAGGATATGAAAGACACCAGTTTTAAGCACCATGCCGAACTTTCTCCATCAAGTGATTCTAAAAGTTCTGCTTATTACCAAGGAGTCTGGGCAGGCATTGGGTCTGCCTTTCTGAAAGAGGCCACGAAGAAGTGTCAAAAGACTGTGCTGTGTCAAAAGTTTGACACAAATTTTCAACTCTGTCAAAACCCCTTCCCTGAATGTGCCTTCCAAGGAGTGAACTTCAAATTGACAATTCTAAGAAACTCTTTGGGAGCCATTAGTTGAGCTTTGACACCACATTTAGTGACACAATATCCAACTGTTTTTCATTTCTATTTTTACTTTTACTAGGAGTAGGAGAGTGTATTGGTTCATTTTCACACTGCTGATAAAGACATACCTGAGACTGGGTAATTTATAAAGAAAAAGAAGTTTAGGCCGGGCGCGGTGGCTCACGCCTGTAATCCCAGCACTTTGGGAGGCCTAGGCGGGCGGATCACGAGGTCAGGAGATCGAGACCACGGTGAAACCCCGTCTCTACTAAAAATACAAAAAGTTAGCCGGGCGCAGTGGCGGGTGCCTGTAGTCCCAGCTACTCGGGAGGCTGAGGCAGGAGAATGGCGTGAACCCGGAAGGCGGAGCTTGCAGTGAGCGGAGATCGCGCCACAGCACTCCAGCCTGGGCGACAGAGCCAGACTCCGTCTCAAAAAAAAAAAAAAAAAAAAAAAAGAAGTTTAATGGACTCACAGTTCCACATGGCTGGGGAGGCCTCACAGTCATGGTGGAAGGTGAAAGGCACATCCTACATGGCAGCAGGCAAGACAGAAAATGAAAGCCAAGCCAAAGGGGAAATCCCTTATAAAACCATCAGATCTTATGAGACTAATTCCGTACGGCGAGAAGAGTATGGGGGAAACCACCCCTATGATTCAATTATCTCCCACGGGGTCTCTCCCACAACTCATGGGAATTATGGGAGCTGCAATTCAAGATGAGATTTGGGTGGGGAGACAGCCAAACCATATCACAGAGAGAAAGAAATGAATTATGCTGGCTCAAGTGGGCCCGGACACCCCTTCCAGCAGGAGCTTGGAATATGTTCCCCCTTTCCTAGAGAACAGAAAGGATGACAGTTACACAGAAATCCATGGGGAGGTGGTTTATAGTTGAAGTAAGAGGCAGTAAAGCACAGAGCATAAAATTATGGGTTTTGGAGTCAAATCTAGGTTTGTCTTGACCCAGCCACTTTCTAGCTGTGTAAGCTTAAAAAGTTATTCAAATTTTTTCTACCACTAGATCCAGAGTGAAGCTAAGTCCTCCAAGTCAAATGGGTGTGTTAGCCAGGTATCAAGGAAGAGGAGGAGAGAGGGCAGCAAGGATGAAGGAGAAGCGTGTGCTAAGATGCGGTGTACCGTCCGTCTGGTCACACCTCTGAACAGTGCTGGAAGAATGCCATGCCTGCCTATCATGATGACACCCACTTCTATTTCAAAAGTTGACCCCAAATCCTTCTCTGGTAAACATACTGCTGTAACTTCATCTCTACTATTTGTTTAGAGGTTTTGAGTACTAAATTTTGATGGTGAGGTTAAATTATCCTTTAAAAATAGTTTCAAGATGACTTTACTTGTGCAGCAACTGAAAGGGAAGAGTTGTTTTAGTGTTGTAAGCTTTCTAATAAATTAAGGTCTTCTTTTAAAAGACTTTCTTCTATCCATAATCTATCTCCAGAGATCTAAATCTTAATAATATTGATTTTCTATATTTGTGGAATCATTGTTACTCACTGCTGAGGAAAAGAGAAGCAATGCAAATGCCTTGGTTGGTTTGGCCAAATAATCTCATTTTCTGAAATTTGGTTAGTAGGTCTTATAGGACCAACACATTGCTCAGTACCTAATCGGCAATGGTCATGAGAGAGGGACTATAAAGTGAAGCTTCCGGGAATGGAGTCAAATAAATGGTGGGCATGGACCAATGGGAGAGCATTGCTAAGGAGGAACTTATTGAGATATACCTGAAGGCCACTGGCAGACAGAATTCAAGCGTTGAATCCCTGCTCAATTGCTATGGTATTGACCCGGCTCCTGAATGTGACGGGAGCCTTTGAGTAGCTGGCACATTCCCCTAAGCCTGTGTCAGTGTCTTTAGTAAAAGTGTCACTTGATACTCCCGGGAAGGTAGGTAAGATGGGGCAATTTGATAAATTCTGACTTGATCTATTCTCCCACAGCATCCATTGAGTAAGTAAAAGTAATAACCTGAGTAGCAAAGCATTTTATTTTTCCTTAATTGCCTATATATTAGCACCAACAAGGTTACAGCATGTACAGTGCTAATAAACATTGATATGGTTTGGCTCTGTGTCGCCACCCAAATCTCATATCAAATTGTAATCTTCAGTGTTGGAGGAAGGGCCTGGTGGAAGGTGATTGGATCATGAGGGCAGACTTCTCTCTTGCTGTTATGACAGTGAGTGAGTTCTCATGAGACTTGGTTGTTTAAAAGTGTCTAGCACATCCCCCTTTGCTCTTTCTCTCCTGCTCAGCCATGTGAATTTGTATCTGCTTCCCCTTCACCTTCTTCCATGATTATAAGATTCCTGAGGCCTCCCCAGCCATGCTCCCTGTACAGCCTGTGGAACTGTGAGTCAATTAAACCTATTTTATTTATAAATCACCCAGTCTCAGGTTCCTTCTAGCAATGCAAGTACCAACTAATACAAGCATGGAAACATTTTCCTTCTTTTTAATTGTGATATAGAAATTTGTTGTGTAAGATATTTTAAATTATTAGGTAACCAGCCAAATTCCCAAATATTGCTGAGACAACTCTTTTTCTATTCTTTAATACATACATCCTTGCACAATTTCCTGTCACTTTTCTACCTCAAGTTGTCCCTACAAAAAGTTTCATCAAGATCAATGCACATAGTTTCAAGTATCTGTCAAGTGTCTATTGACTTGGGCTCACTTTTGAAATGATTTGTCTTTTCTGACCACATCATGTTAATGCATAATTGTCAAAGTGTTTCTCACACAGGCTCAGCTCTGAGCTTAGAAGCTCTGGACTCTGCCTTGCTTATGAGCTACAGCACCAGCACCTTTCAAGGACAAGGCCAGGGATGTTGCATGGCCTATATTTTGGGTCAGACCCACGCAGATACAGTTTTGAATTTGATAACAATATTTTTTTCAGAGACAACTTTATTTCTCATGGCAAAAGGAGTAGCCACAATTTCATGTTGGTCTGTATCTGTTGGTTCGCCATGCCCACTCCTCCAAGTCTCGTGAGAGTGACAGAGAGAGGCCTTGGGCATGCCTGAGCATGCTACGGGTTGCATTATAGGAAGGCAACACTGAAATTAAAGGATTCACTGCTTTTATAGTCAGTGGAAGCAAGCCTGTGCCTTGTCTGGGGTAAAATGCTGTGCTAGTTCATTTGTGTTGCTATGAAGGAACACCTGAGGCGACGTAATTTAATTTTTTTTAAAGGTTTATCTGGCTCATAGTTCTGCAGGTCGTACAAAAAGCATGGCACTAGTATCTGCTTCTGGTAAGGGCCTCAGGAAGCTTCCATTCATGGTGGAACATGAAGGGGATGTGCAGAGATCACATGGCTAGAAAGGAAGCAAGTTTCAAGGGTGCCACACTCTTTTTAACAACAAGTTCTTGGGGGAAGTTTTATGGGAACTAGAGCAAGAACTCCCTCTTTGCTATGAGGATGGCACCAAGCCATTTAGGAGAGATCTGCCCCACAACCCAAATACCTCCTAATAGGCTCCACCTAAAGTATTGGGGATCAAATTTCAACATGAGGTTTGAGGGGACGTCCATTCTCAAGATTTATGACTGCACACACGACTCGAAGAAATGGCCGAGGTAAAGAGTGGTCAGGCCCTTGCACTGTTGACATGCCCAGTAAAAATATGTAGGGAGACTCAGGGACATGGTAGATTGCTTCTGCCAGCACCAGAGGTCTTGATGCTTTCTTGTCCTCTTTAACTCCAATTTCACTCCTTCACTCTCTATTGAAACCATTCTCACACAGATGTCTTGATGCCTTCCTGTCCTCTTTAACTCCAATTTCATTCCTTCACTCTCTGTTGAAACCACTCTCACACAGATTTCTTCTAGCTGTTTCTCTGTTTTTTGTTTTTTGGTTTTTGTTTTTTTTTTTTTTTTTAATTTCAATAGTTTTTGGGGAACTGGTAGTGTTCACTTACATGGATAAGTTATTTAGCAGTGATTTCTGAGATTTTGCCGCACCCATCACCAAAGCAGTGTACCCTGTACCCAATGTGTAGTCTTTTATCTCTCACCCCCTCCCATCCTTAGTCCACTGTATCAGTCTTATGCCTTTGCACGCTCATAGCTTAGCTCCCACTTACAAGTGAGAACATACAATGTTTGGTTTTCCATTCCTGAGTTATTTCACTTAGAATAATTGTCTCCAACTCAGTTCAGGTTGTGGTGAATGCCATTATTTCATTTCTTTTTATGACTGAAGGAGTATTCCGAGCATTCCATAGTACATATACACCACATTTTCTTTATCCACTCATCGGATGATGGGCATTTAGCCTGGTTTTATATTTTTTGCAATTGCAAATTGTGCTGCTAGAAACATGTGTGTGCAAGTGTCTTTTTCATATAATGATTTATTTTCCTCTGGGTAGGTATTGAGTAGTAGGATTGCTGGATCAAATGGTAGTTCTACTTTTAGCTCTTTAAGGAGTCTCCACACTGTTTTTCATAGTAATTTTACTAGTTTACATTCCCACCAGCAGTGTAAAAGTGTTCCCTTTTCACCACATCCACACCAACATCTTTTTTTTTTTTCATTTTTAAATTATGGCCATTCTTGTAGGAGTAAGGTAGTATTGCACTGTGGGTTTGATTTGCATTTCCCTCATAATTCGTGATGTTTAGCATTTTTTCATATGTTTGTTAGCCATTTGTATATCTTATTTTGAGAATTGTATATTCAAGTCCTTAGCCCACTTTTTGATGGGATTATTTGTTTTTTCCTTGCTGATTCATTTGCATTTCTTGTAGATTCTGGATATTAGTCCTTCGTCAGATGCACAGTTTGCAAAGATTTTCTCCCACTCTGTAGGTTGTCTGTTTACTCTGCTATTTCTTTTGCAGTGCAAAAGCATTTTTATTTAATCAAGTCCCATCTATTTTCATTGTTTTTGTTGCATTTGCTTTTGGATTCTTGGTCCTGAAGTCTTTGCCTAAGTCAACGTCTAGAAGAGATTTTCCGATGTTATCTTGTAAAATTTTTATGGTGCTAGGTCTTAGATTTAAGTCCTTGATCCATCATAAGTTGATTTTTGTATAAGGTGAAAGATGAGGATCCAGTCGCATCTTTCTACATCTGGCCTGCAAATTCTCCCAGTACCATTTGTTAAATAGGGCGTCCTTTCCCCACTATATGTTTTTGTTTGCTTTGCTGATGATCAGTTGGCTCTAAGTATTTGGCTTTACTTCTGGGTTCACTATTCTGTTCCATTGGTCCACAAGCCTGTATATACGCCAGTACCATGCTGCTTGGCTGACTATAGTGTTATAGTATAGTTTGAAGTCAGGTAATGTGATGCCTCCAGATTTGTCCTTTTTGCTTAGTCTGGCTTTGACTATGTGGCTTTTTGGTTCCATATGAATTTTAGCATAGTTTTTTTCTAGTTCTCTGAAGAATGATAACAGTATTTTGATAAGAATTGCACTGAATTTTATAGATTGCTTTTGGCAGTATAGTCATTTTTTACAATATTGATTCTACCCATTCATGAGCATAGGATGTGTTTCCATTTGTTTGTGTTGTCTATGATTTTTTTCCAGCAATGTTTTGCAGTCTTCTTTGTAGAGACCTTTCACCTCCTTGGTTAGGTATATTTCTAAGTATTGTGTTGTGTTGTGTTGTGTTGTGTTGTATTTATTTATTTCCATATCTGCTATAAAAGGGGTTGAGTTCTTGATTTGATTCTCAACTTGATCACTGTTGGTGTACATCAATGCTACTGATTTGTGTACATTGATTTTGTGTCCTGAAACTTTACTGAATTCATTTATCAGATCTAAGAGCTTTTTAGATGAGTCTTTCAGGTTTTTCTAGGTATACAATCATATCATCAGTGAACAGTGACAGTTTTACTTCCTCTTTACTGATTTGGATGCCCTTTATTTTTTTCTCTTGTCTGATTGTTTTGGCTAGGACTTCCAGTACTATGCTGAATAGAAGTGGTAAAAGTGGGAATCTTTTTCTTGTTCCAGTTCTCAGGAGGAATGCTTTCAACTTTCCCCCATTCAGTATAATGTTGGCTGTGGGTTTGTCATAGATGGCTTTTATTACCTTAAGGTATGTCCCCTCTATGCCAATTTTTTAATCATAAAGGGATGCTGGATTTTGTCAAATGCTTTTCCTGTATCTATTGAGATGATCATGTGATTTTTGGTTTCAATTATGTTTATGTGGTGTATCACATTTGTTGACTTGCGTATGTTAAACCATCCCTGCATCCCTGATATGAAACCCACTTGGTCATGGTGGATTATCTTTTCGATACACTGTTGGATTCAGTAAGCTAGTATTTTGTTGAGAATTTTTGCATCTATGTTCATCAGGGATACTGGTTTGCAGTTTTCTTTTTTTGTTATGTCCTTTCGTGGTTTTGGTATTAGGATGATACTGGCTTCATAAAATGATTTAGGGAGGATCCCCTCTTTATCTTTTGGAATAGTTTCAGTAGGATACCAATTCTTCCTTGAATGTCTGATAGAATTCAGCTGTGAATCCATCTGGTCCTAAACTTAGTTTTGTTGGCATTTTTTTATTAGTGTTTCAGTCTTGCTGCGTGTTATTAGTCTGCTCAGAGTTTCTATTTCCTTTTGGTTTAATCTAGGAGTGTTGTATATTTCCAGGAATTTAGCCATCTCCTTTAGGTTTTCTAGTTTGTGCTCATAAAGGTGTTCATAGTAGCCTTGAATGATCTTTTGTGTTTCTGTAGTGTCGGTTGTAGTATCTGTCATTTCATTTCTAACTGAACTTATTCAGATCTTCTCTCTTCTTGGTTAATCTTGCTAATGATCTATCGATTTTGCTTATCTTTTCAAAGAATCAGCTTTTTGTTTTATCTTTTGTATTTTTTGTTTGTTTGTTTCAATTTCATTTAGTTCTGCTTTGGTCTTTGTTATTTCTTTTCTTCTGCTGGGTTTGGGTTTGGTTTGTTCTTGTTTCTCTACTTCCTTGAGGTGTGAGCTTAGATTGTCTACAGGTGCTCTTTCAGGCTTTTTGATGTAGGCATTTCATGCTATGAACTCTCCTCTTAGTTCCACTTTTGCTGTATCCCAGAGGTTTTGATACATTTTGTCACTATAATCATTCAGTTCAAAAAATGTTCTAATATTCATCTTGATTTTATTGTTGATCTAAAGATCATTCAGAAGTAGATTATTTAATTTCCATGTATTTGTGTAGTTTTGAGGGTTCCTTTTGCAGTTAATTTTCAATTTTATTCCACTGTGGCCTGAGAGAGTACTTGATATGATTTTGATTTTAAAAATTTATTGAGGCTTGTTTTGTGGCCTATCGTATAGTCTATCTTGAAGAATGTGCCATGTGCCCATGAAAAGAATGTATATTCTGTAGTTGTTGTGTAGAATGTTCTGTAAATATCTGTTAAGTCCATTTGTTCTAGGGTATAGTTTAAGTCCATTGTTTCTTTGTTGACTTTCTGTCTGGATGACCTGTCTAGTGCTATCAGTGGAGTATTAAAGTTCTCCACTACTACTGTGTTGTCTCCTGTCTCATTTATTAGGTCTAGTAGTCATTGTTTTAAAAATTTGGGAGCTCCAATGTTAGGTGCATATATATTTAGGATTGTGCTATTTTGCTGTTGGACTAATTCTTTTATCATTATATAATGTCCCTCTTTGTCTTTTTTAACTGTTGTTGCTTTAAAGTCTGTTTTGTCTGATACAAAAATAGCTACTTCTGCTTGCTTTTGGTTTCCATTTGCATGGAATATCTTTTTCCATCCCTTTACCTTAAGTTTATGTGAGTAGTTATGTGTTAGGTGAGTCTCCTGAAGAAAGCAGATACTTGGTTGGTGGATTTTTATCCATTCTGCCATTCAGTATATTCTAAGTGGAGCATTTAGGCCATTTACATGATACATTAGTATTGAGATATGAGCTACTGTTCTATTCATTTAGTTGTTGCCTGAAGACCTTGTGGGTTTTGCTTTTTTTTTATTATGTTATTGTTTATAGGCCCTGTGAGATTTATGCTTTAAGGAGGTTCTATTTTGGTGTATATTTTGAGGAACCATTTCAAGATTTAGACTCCTTTTAGCAGTTCTTGTAGTGTTGGCTTGGTACTGGTGAGTTCTCTCAGCATTTGTTTGTCTGAAAAAGACTTTATCACTCCTTCACTTATTAAGCTTAGTTTCGCTGGATACAAAATTCTCAGCTAATAATTATTTTGTTTAAGGACATCAAAGATAGGACCCCAATACCTTCTGGCTTGTAGGGTTTCTGCTGAGAAATCTGCTGTTAATTTGATAGGTTTTCATTTATAGGTTACTTGATGCTTTTGCTTCATAGCTCTTAAGATTCTTTACTTTGTCTTGATTTAGATAACCTAATTACCATGTGCCTAGGTGATGATGATCTTTTTGTGATGAATTCCCAGGTATTCTTTGGGCTTCTTGTATTTGGATGTCTAGATCTCCAGCAAAGCCAGGGAAGCTTTTCTCGATTATTCCCTCAAAGAATTTTTCCAAACTTTTAGATTTCTCTTCTTCCTCAGGAACACCAGTTATTCTTATGTTTGGTGGTTTAGCATAATCCCAAACTTCTTGGAGGCTTTATTTTTTTAAAATTCTTTTTTCTTTGTCTTTGTTGGATTGGGTTAATTTGAAAGCCTTGTCTTTAAGCTCTGAAGTTCTTTCTTCTACTTGAGTCTATTGTTGAAATTTTCTTGCATATTTTGCATTTCTTTAAGTGTGTTTTTCATTTCCAGAAGTTGTAATTGTTTTTTCATTATAATATCTCTTTCTCTGGAGACGTTTTAATGCATATCTTGAATTTTTTTTTTAATTTAAGTTGTTTTTCATCTTTCTCTGGTATCTCCCTAAGTAGCTTAATAATCAACCTTCTGAATTCTTTAACTGGCAATTCAGAGATTTCTTCTTGGTTTGGATCCATTCCTGGAGAGCTAGTGTTATCTTTTAGGGGCGTTATAGAAACTTGTTTAGTCATATTGCTGGAATTACTTTTCTGATCCCTTCTCATTTGGGTAGACTGTTTCAGTAGAAAGATCTAGAACTCAAGGGCTGCTGTTCAGATTATTTTGTCCCACGGGGTGATCCCTTGATGTGGTGCTCTTCTGCTTCCCGTAGGGATGGGGCTTCCTGAGAGCCAGACTGCAGTGACTGTTATTGCTCTTCTGGGTCTAGCCACTCAATGAGGCTAGCAGGCTCTGGGCTGGTACTAGGGAATGTCTGCAAAGAGTCCTGTGATGTGGTTTGTCTTCAGGCCTTCCAGCCATGGATACCAGCACCTGCTCCAGTGGAGGTGGCAGGGGCATAAAGTGGACTCTGTGGGAGTCCTTGGTTGTAGTTTTGTTTAGCATGCTGTTTTTCTCGAATGCTGGTTATGCTAGCAGTGATGCTGTCACAAGGACAGACTCAGGACCTCTGGTTAGCCAGGGTGGTGCAGGTGGTGGAATTAGCTGTGATTTTCTCTTCTTTAGAGCAGGGTTGGTCTGGTATGAGTTGCTTTAATGGCTTAAGTTGGTTGGCCTCCAGCCAGGAGGTGGCATTTTCAAGACAGCACCAGCTGCAGTAGTAGAAGGGGCATATACACTTGCCCTACATTGGCCAGGATAAGTACTCGGGTTTCTCAGGTGATGGGTGGGGCCATAGAGCTCTCAAGAGCTTATGTCTTTTGTCTTTGGCTACCAGGGCAGGCAGAGAAAAATCATCAGGTGGGGGCAGAATTAGGTGGGTCTGAGCTCACACTATCCTTGGGCAGGGCTTGCTGTGGCTACTGTGGGGAATAGGGGTGGTTCTCAGGACAATACAGTTATGTTCTCAGGGTGATTTTGGCTGCCTCTGCTGCATCATACAGGTCACCAGGGAACTAGGGGAAGGCTGGCAGTGATAGGCCTCACCCAGCTCTCATGCAGCAAGGCCAGTCTCACTCCCTCCATGCCTCACTAACAGCACCAAGTTTACATCCAGGCAGCTGGGGAGCAGGGCTGAGATCTTGCCCCAGGCTACAAGTCTTCCTGTTGAGAAAGTAAGCATGACTCTAAGACCTCACCCCTCACCCCCACCCCTCCACCCACAACCTTGGCTGCAGCTTCTGCACTCATATCTGCACTTCCTATTTGTGCCCCCATTTCCCCTCTCCCCACTGCTGCATTCTGCTCAGAAAAATTTGTGCTCAGTCAAAATTATTACAAAAATTCCACTGGAAGCTTTCTTCACCCCATGTCCCCTCCTGAATTCCACTAGCTGCCTTTCCCCAAGGACCTCTGGTGAGATAAAGCCAGGAATGGCTTTTCTGGACTCAAGCTGGAGATCGGGAGTGCCTATAGGGCTCTTCCCACTGCTTCTTCTACGTTTATATTTCACCCAGCTCCTTAAATCCTTTTCAACTCTAGGTATGGTTAAATCCTTCTCCCATGACCTGGATTTGCAGGTTCCCCAGTGGTAATGAGTGTTCAGAGGCAGACCTTTCCCCGCATCTCACACTTTGAGAACTCACAGTTTTTCAGCTGTCTCATGGAGTTTGCACTGGCAAGCCACTTTTTTCAAAGGGTCTGTGAATTCTTTTGGTTTTTCTGGTATGTTCCTGAGGTAGTTCTTGGAGCAAAAATTCACAATGTGAGTCTCCACACACTGTTCAGTTCATCCAAGTGGGAGCTGCACTTTAGTCCTGTCTCCTCTCTGCCAACTTTTCCTAAATATTCCAAAGTACTCCAATTTGACAAGAAGTTTTATAGCCATTTTCAAGAGACACCTGTAAAGGAAAAAGAGGCAGAAAAGTAATTTTATTCATAGATATATTTTTAGGTTAATAAAATTTGTTTATACCTTTTATCCTCCTCATCATGAACTGTTAGGGCACAGAAATTGTGCTTAGAGATACACAGAACTTGTATTCATAACACTATTTACATTTTTACTGTAAAAGCAGTAACAATAAGGAAATTTTAAAGGAGAAAAAGTATCTCTAATCCCAACACTATATCCCTCATCCTATCTTAGTTTATATAATTGCAATCATAGAACACATAAATTTTTATCATCTGCTGTTTCACTTAATTCTGAGTTGTAAACATTTTCCAAGT
The DNA here is from genome assembly GCF_000001405.40 of Homo sapiens. Taxonomy (NCBI): domain Eukaryota; kingdom Metazoa; phylum Chordata; class Mammalia; order Primates; family Hominidae; genus Homo; species Homo sapiens. The sequence goes on from NC_000009.12 coordinate 108,375,928, forward strand.
TGATATATAATTTTTATTTTTATTACATTTTTGGTACAAATCGACAATTTTTCTGGCTGCAGAGTTCATCAAATACTGCAACATAGTCCTCTAGTAATTTAAATACTCGTTTGTTTTCAATTTTGTGTTATTTCAAAAAAGCTGCTGTAGATATCATGTAAACATATTTATTTTCTTAAAATAAATGCCCAGAACCAAGATTTGTTACATAAAGGTAAGAACATTTTGTGGCCTTTGACCCAAACCATTTATTGGCAGCTCTGGATCAGCCCTTACTGTAAGCTTTGCCAGTTCTCCTCTCCTCAATCTGAGGCATGACTTCTTTGGGCTCCTAAAGTCCTGCTGGCTCTCCTGCTCCCTATCCACTCCCAGGCCCAGCCCAGGCAAATGAAGAATGCTGACCAGCAGATCCCAGTCAACTTCACACTTCATTACTTTATCTCTGCCCTTCTTCCTTTCAAAAGAAATGCTACTTCTTGTTATGAGTGGGGTGTGTATGAGCCTCAGTTGTCTGGGGTATGCTTTTAAAAATTCATAACCATGGCTACCTAACAAGTTATCTAAACTATGGGTGTGAGTGATGTACCCACTGGGCTAATGTTACTCCACCCATATTGAACAGGGCTTGGTGGAGAGCAAAAAAGAGAAATATGGGAAAGTTCTTTCTAAATAGCAATGGTACATGCAGAAAATGGAATTACTATGATGTGCCCTTGAATTTCCCTGTATGTATGTGGTATCTTGAAAAATATATATTTAGCCTTTGTCCCAGGTTCATAACACAGAGCTCCTAAAACCCTAGAAATTTCCTGAGTTATAAGATTAATAGGCATTTCTCTTTTTTTATTCATAAAAAAGCCCATTAGACCATACTGAAGTTTATGCTCATGAGGTGACTCTTGGTGGGCCCCTAGATAGCATCAGGATGGGGACTGGGCACTGGGAAGACCATGCCATGACCAGGGGGCTGGAACTGCAGCCCCACTCACTGGCCTCCTGGAAGGGGAGAGAGGACTGGAGAATGAGTGCAATCACCAGCTGCCAATGATTTAATCAATCATGCCTACATTAAAAAAAACTCTAAGTAACAGGGTTGAGGGAGATTCCAGTGCTGGGAGGGTGGAACACCCAGAGAGGTCATGGAGGCTCCGACTTCCTGAGTTATGTTGATGAAAAGAGTCAAACTCTATAACACATTTCAAGAGATTTATTCTGAGCCAAATATGAGTGACCAATGGCCTGTGACATAGCTCTCAGGAGAGTCTCAGAACATGATGCCCAAAGCGGTCAGGGCATAGTCATAGCTTTATACATTTTAGGGAGATATGAGACATCATGACATCAATCAATACATGTAAGACACATTGGTTCAGTCTAGAAAGGTGGGACAACTTAAAGGCAGGGGGCCTTCCAGGTTATAAGTAGATTGAAAATTTTTCTGCTTGGCAATTGGTTAAAACAGTTATTTTCAACAGAAAGGAATGTCTGAGTTACTGTAAGTGGTTGTGGAGATCAAAGTCTTCTCATGCAGATGAAGCCTCCAGGTAGCAGGCTTCAGAGAGAATAGGTTGTAAATGTTTCTTATCAGACATAAGGTCGGTGTTGATGTCAAATGCTGGTTGACTTTTCCTGAACTCCAAAAAGGAGGATGGGATAATGAAACATGCCTGACCACCTCTTCCCATCATGGCCCGAACCAGTTTTTCAGGTTAACTTTGGAGTGCCCTGGCCGATAGGAAGGGTTCATTTAGATGGTTGGGGAGCCTTAGAATTTTATTTTTGTTTTACAGCTGTTTGGCTGTTCCTAAGTTTTATCCTTTATAATAAACACTAACAGCAAATAAAGTGCTTTCCCGTGTTCTATTACTTGTAAAAGTGAATTATTGAACCTGAGGGGGATCTTAAAAGCACCAAAATATGCAGTCCACTAGGCAGAAGTGGGAGTGTCCTGGAAACCCCATTTCCATCTGGCATCTGAAAGGGGAGCAGTCTTGGGGGACCAAGCGCTTTGATTTGTAGGATCTGACACTAACTTCAGGTAGAGTAGTGTTGAAAAACATGCCACATATTTGGTCCTGAGGGAAAGAATCTCTCAACATGTTATTCCATTTTCTAAATTCCTAGCAATCCTAGGCAATTTTCCCCAGGCTGGTATTTGTTGAAAGTAGTTTTCCATTACAACTTTGATAAAAAACAAATTCCATAATCATTCCAAAAAAATTGGCTCAGTAATGTAGAGCAGTTCTTCTCAAACTTACATGTGCATATGACTTATTTGGAGGATCTTGTTATAATGCAGATTCTGCAAAGCCCTTACTACTCAAAGCGTGACCCATGGATCAGCAGCATCAGCATCGTGTGGGAGAATCTCTGTCCTAGACCTACTAAACCAGAGTCTTCCTCTTAACAAGATCCCAAGGTGATTCATATGCATAGCAAAGTTTGGGAAAATCCGGTCTGAGCCTCAGTTTTCTTGCCCCTAAATGCTTTCCACCTGGAACACAGTACATATGCAATGAGTAGAAGCTACTATAGAAATTGCTCCAGGTTCAGTGCTCAGATTAAGATGAGCATTACTTATAAGCGAACAAAAAGTAACTGTTCGTGGGTTTGAGGTTTATGATCAGGTACAGGGATGGATTGTAAACTTGGTGCTCTGTGTAGGCTCTGCAGATGCAGCACAGGAGGACTCAAACTGCAAAGGTAGCTGCTTGGCTCTAGGGAAGAAGGGATATCCAGGAAGTTCTATTAAGCCGAACATAAAGAATATCCTTCTTAGGAGCACCCTCAGAACCTATTAGGTGAAATGGGGCTGCAGCCATAATGCCTGAGACATCAGCTTATAATCTCGGTCTCCAGGAAGGTAGAGCTGGGCAGAGGCTGGCTTGAGCCTCATGTTTGTCCCTCCAGAACGGGCCCTACACCCAGGAGCTGGCCAGTGTCAAGCATATGCTCGCCACTCAACCTCTCTCAGCCACAGCTCAGGACTTCCAGAAGCAACTGTCTAATCATGACCCCCTCTTTATTTTCATTACGATAATCTTTTCAGCAAAATACTTCTTCAGAGTTAAATCTAAAAAGTAAATGGCACAGTTAACTGTAATCTAAGGCTTTAGGACTCTAGCCTTAGTCTAACCACTTATGCACACAACTTGGGCCATGCAACCATAGGCTTAGCTTCACAAAATAATTGGAGACCCATCCAGATTTGAGGCAAGGGGGGTTTAAGCAGGTCCTGCTCAAAAACAGGAAACATCAAATATCCTTTGTCCTTTCCAAGCTCTGATTTTGCTACGATCTGAATGTTTGTGTCTGTACAAAATTCATATGTTGAAATCCTAACATCCAAGGGTATGGTATTAAGAGGTGGAGACTTTTGGGAGGCAACTAATACCTTCTGAATAGGATTAGTGCCCTTATAAAATAGGTCCAAGGGAGCTCATTAGCCCCTTCCACCACGTGAGGCCACAGTGAGAAAACACCATCTATGAACCCAAAAGTGGGCCCTCACCAGACATAGAACTGCCAGTGCCCTGATCTTAGACTTCCCAGGCTCCAGAACCGTGAGACATAAATTCCTGTTGTTTACAAGCCACCCAGTCTACTCTGTTATCCCTGCCTGAACAGACTAAGAGACTTTTGAATCTGTTGTGATGTTGGAGTTCATGAAACATGGTTGCAAATGCTTGCTCTGCCTATTTCTAACTGTTTATCCTGTGGAAAGTTCCTTCACCATTTTATAACTTGTTTGTCTCACCTAATAAAACAAGGACAACAATAGTTATTCCAAAAGACTATTGGAAGAGTTAAAGAGAAAGCATAATTAGAGTAGTAGCTAACACTTATTCAGGGTATAAAATGAGCCAAGTTCTGTACACAGCTCTTTACACTGATTCATCCATTCATTTGGTGCATATTCATTGAATGCCTACCATGTACTGGGCCTAGTTTTCTGGGGTCTAGAATAATAATAACAATGGTTAGCATTATGAAGTGTTTACTATGTGACAGGCACATTCTAAACAAGTTGTTTCTAAACAGTTCACATTTCTAACAGGTTAAATTTTCACAATTGCTCATGTGAATTATTTTGTTTAATCGTCACAATTATCTAATGAAGTAATATTTTCCCCATTTTTACAAATGAGGAAACTGAGGTATAAATGTAAGTAATTTGTGCAAAGTCACCCTGCTAGTCTATGGGGTCCCCAGAGATCAGACTGTAAAATATTGGGCTATACTGTGTGATATTTGAGGTTAAACTCTAAGAAATTGCCAATATCCCACCACTTTTGACCTATACAAACAATTTTATGTTTTTCCTAATATTTTTAAGGAGAATTTGTAGAGCCTGAGACATAAGCAGCCTGCAGTGAAACATCTTTTACCTTCTGATTTTTTGTTTTGTTTTGTTTTGCTTTGCTTTTTGCTTTGGACTGCCTTTCTGCCATATTCCCCAGACCCAATCTTGACTTCATGACCTAAATCCTGTATCAGGCCTCTGTCTTGCTTTATGTCTTAGAGTTGTGTCCTGAGATAGGCTTCTACCTTCCTCCAGCCCATTAGACCTCTTGACTCAGCCCCCAGGGTTTAGAGTCCCTGCACCTTGCATTAATACTAAAACCATGGTAATACTAACATGAAAAACTAAAAAACACTGAGGGCTTACTCTGCAGTGGGCCCTGTTCCAAGAATTTCACATGCAACTATACATTTAATCCTCTCAACAATTATGTCAGGTAACTACTATTGCTTTCCTCTCTTTACAGATAGAGAAAATGAAGTATTCAGTAGTTAGATGCTTTGACCAAATTTACTGCCTTCAGAGAGATCTTCCTTGTCCAGCTCTATTTCCAGACATCACCTGCTTCCGGATTCCCATCCACCAATGTGGACTTCCGTGTCTCTACGCACTAGCTGTTCCCATGCCCTCTTCCCATTGTTGCCTTACCCCTTCCATATGTCACTCTGCTGGCCAGCGTGAGCATGCTTGAGAACCATCCCCAGCTCCTGCCTCACCCACTTGGCCAGTCTAGGGCACAGTCCAGACCCATCACCATCAAACTAGGCCTCAAGCAGTTACCCACACCTGCCCAGCCTTGTCCTAAGCAACTCCTCAGGACTTGGAGTTTTTATGGCTTTCACAGATGAAAGCTAACATGCAAAATGTTCAAAAGGCTTCAGGAAATAAAAGAGGTAAACAAACTATTAAAAAGACGACTCAACTGTGCACGTGCACCCTAAATAATTTATAGTACAATCGCTTCCTAGGGAAAATGAAAGCATTTTTAATCTTCTCATTCATCCTTTCATTCCAAAGAAATGTACTGAGGATCTACTCCATACCAAAACCCAGGCCCCAAACTAAGTAATGGCTGTCCTTTAGGAATTTCCAGCCAGGAGTAAGGAGGCAGAATAGTGAATAAAGCATTCCAACCTAGTGTGTTAGGTGTTTTAATAGGAAGGGACATCAAGTACCCGGAGGCCCAAGAGAAGAAGTAAATGACTTCATGGGGTGCCAAAGGGGATTTCTCCAGGGGCTGGACCTTGAAGATGAAAAGGGGCCCACCAAGTAGGTAAGAGAGAAGAGCATTTTAGGCATTGGAGGGGAGGAACAGTCCAGGGAGAGGGAACAGTATGAGCTAGGGTGGGGAGGTGTGTGGGAGCCAGAGTGATCTAGGTAATATGGTGAGGTCAGAACCTACAACCAGCCAAGGGAGAGCTGGAAAAGCCAGCAGGAGCCAGGGTGCAGTGGACTTTGTGCCACTAGCTGAGGAGCTTAAGGATAATGGAGAGAGGCTCTTTTTAAACAAGGCAGTGATATTGCCAGGTCTGGATTTGGGAAGGTAAATAGAAGGGAAGACATTGAAAGTCATTGGTATAGTCCATTTAGCAGGTGATGACATGACAACAGCCTGAATGGTGGCTCTGGCTGTGGGACAGGGGAGGGGACAGACAGGGAGGAGAACTCTAGAGATAGAATCCACAGGTTTCAGTATCCACAGGGTGGAGTATGAGTAACAAGAAGAAATCTAGGAAGACTGTCTTTTTATGTCTTTAAATACTTCTCTATCTAAATGGGGATAATTTGATAAATTAATTATAATCACTGGAATAAAAGTCCATCAGATTAGCTACTGAACAGCCCTTTTATCCAGCTGTAGGATAGATCCCTATCTGTCTGAGAAGGGCAGATCATCATTTTCTCATAAAATCTCAGACTCAAGGGTTGAAAAAACTTCAAAAGGCTATTTCTTTGTAATCTCTATATTAGTTATCTATTGATGCATAATCGTTTACTCCAAAATTTAATGAGTTAAAACAATAAATATTTATTATTATACTTCACAGTTTCTGTGGATCAGGTATTCAGGAGTAGCTTAGCTGGGTGTTTCTGGCTCAGAAAGTTGCAGTCAGGACGTCATCCATGCTGCAGTCCTAGGAAGCTTGACTGGAGCTGCAGGGTCCACCTAGCAGATGGCTCACTCACACGTCTATTGGCTGGATGCCTCAGTTCCTTGCCACGTGTACTCAACACATGCAGGCTGACATCCAGAGCAGGTGTTTCTAGCCTTGAAACTTACACACCATCATGTCCAGAATATCCTATTGGTTTACGCAGGTCAGCCCTATTCCGTGTAGGAGGGGAGTAACAGGGCTTGAATAACAGCAGCTGCAGCTAATAGGAGACATGGTGGAGGCTTGCCAGCACACTCCCTGACATCAGAGACCTAAGTCATTATCACGAAGCCCATTTTGCAGATGAAGTAGCAGAGATTAAATGCAAAGATGATATGGAGTGGCGTAAAGAGTACTTGAACAGGAGTCAGATGGCCAAACCTCAACTCTGCGGCTATCAACGGGACCCTGAAGAAGTCACTTCACTTCTCAGTTCTCATGTTCCTCAATTATAATATCAGGCTAATGGGCTTACTTTCCAGAATACCAGAGGAAGAGGTTGAGAAGTTATCCTGTTGGCAGCCAGTGAAATGTAAAGGTTTTCAAACTTAGGAATACAGGAAAACCTCATGTGTTTTGAGGACTACTCTGGAAATAGTGTGGAGAGTTAAATTGAGGGACTGAGACAAGTAAGCAGACCAATGCCACATAATATACAGGAAGGAGGCCCAAGAGCCCGTTCTCAGCTGCTGGTGACGAGGGTAAAACAGGGCCTCACCCCAGAATCAGAAGGGCTCAGGAATGCACCCATCATGTCACGGCCCCATTTCTATTTGTGTAGTATTTGCAAGTAAAGATCCACTTGGTGTCAAAAAGATTGTAAGTATCTATTCCCCCTCTGCCTTTTTCTGAAATGACAACTTGAGTCCTGGAAAACTTCCTGGGTTTATGGAACCATTAATCTCTGCCTTAGGACCCAGGATATGCTGAAGGCTACAAAATCAACAGAAAGAAACTAGGGAAGAGAATGTCTTCATTGGATGGTCTGCATTGGATTTCAAGTATTTTATCACAGTCTTAGCTCAAGCTTTTACTCTAGTCATTAAAATATTAAAAATAACACAATTCTAAATGGCAAAATAGAATATGCCTATCATTCCAGCAGGAAGAAAAGAAAAATAAAAGACTAGAGTCTATTATCTGTTGAAAATATATGCCAATCTTTCCCCTAAATACAGAAAGAGTTGCAATATTTGCTATGGACAAAGTGCCAAAAATGAGTGGAGAGGGTCCATATTTTAAAGACATAATGGAGACAAATATGAGTTCAGAACTAAAGCCTTTTCTGTGAGTACAACTAATATTATAGGCTTATTTTTTTTTATTTGTGGTGTACATAAGCTACCTTAATAGCTTTTCTTTGAATAACAGGAATGTCGTCTACTAAATGCAACTCTGAAAGATTAGAGACATAAAAAAGAATTGTAAGAGCTGTGATTCCCTGCCCTCCTACTTAAATAAACTCTGTCTATTCTATTAATTATTGTATTACAGCATAAGCTGCAGAACTAAGAAACTCCCACTCTTTCCACAGACTCACTCATGCATGGAGCATTTGTGATTGATGCACCAATAAGGATGAAATTTGCAAATGGAGATGAAACATCCCAAGATTAAACATCTCCGGGGTAGGAGATTGGCACTTTTCCAGCATCTTAAACTTGGCCAAACTCTTCAGGGATAAGTATTCAAGGAAAGATGCCTGGTCTCAGCCAGAGACTGGAATAACCCCTCCCCTTCCTAAGCCTCTAAATATGTTCCAACAAACTTCCTCTTTTATGATCTATACTCATTTACTCAACAAATATTGAATTAGGGGCCTGGAGAACCCACTCTGAACCTGGCCTGGAGAAGAAACACTAAGAATATAAAGTTAGTTAAGAAAAGGCCCAAGATCAGAGGAACTTACAGTTTGGGGCGGTGTTTCTCAAGCCAGATGCACAATAAATTTACCTACAACTTTGAAAAAGTACTGCTGGGTCCCCCTGCTGATTGATTAAATCATCATCACTGGGGTGAAGCCCAAAGTAGAGCCAAACTTGAGAATCACTCGAGAAGAGACACGAACAAATCACTGTCCTACATTGTTATTGAGGGAACTCAAGATCTACTTTAGCCCAGAGGAAGGACCCCATCCACAGGGAGCCAGAGTTTGGCTGGAAGTCACCTGACCCATACGTTTTCCTTGAAGAGTAAAGGAGACAGCAGAGGAAGGCAAGTTAAGGAAGGAGGGCTAAGGCAGCAGTGTGTGCCAAATGAGAGATATTGTGACATTCCCTGGAATTGCAAGATGTGCAGTATAGCTAGAGCAAAGGGGTCTCTTACCACTCTAAGTGGTAAGAGATGAGGCTTAGAAATAGACAGCAATCCAATTTAATTCATCCTAGGCTCTTGACCTTGTCAAATATATTCAAACAAGTAGTTTGTACTTTATACTGAAGGCTATGTTGATGAAGGCAGGTTTTGGCTTGGGAATAACTTACTATCTGAACCAAATTTCTATTTTATAATGACTCTTCCGACCCCACCACCAGCCAGGAGATGAGAAGTGATACACACAGCAAGGGTTATGGGAAGGAGTGAGGGATACAGGAGGAAGAACAGTTAAGACATCTGTGATAAAGAGGGGTCAGATGATGTGGGACTGAATATAGCAAGGAAGATGAAGAAAGAGTGGATCTGAGAGGCAATACTAGCAGAATAGGTGAAACTTGGTGACTAACTAGATGCGAAAGTAAAGCAAAGAGAAGAGTAACTCCCAGACTCCTGCACTGGGTGACCAGACGCCTGGAAGAGCAGCAAGAGGAAAGGGGTGCACTTTAATCTTGCTGACACGTTGTCTTGCTGTGGCTCCTACCTTTCTTTCTCTTTGACCATTTCCTAATTAGTCATGCTTTCCATAATTATTGGAGGAAAAGACAAACAGATTTTGTATCTGTAGCTAATACAATAAAAAAACTTAGGAATAGATGCTTTTAAATGGATTTCAGTCCTTTCAAATAGTTTATTACAGCTCAATCCTCACCACGGCCCTCACTATCTATAAAATAAAGGGTATTTTAAGCCTATTTTGAACAAGTGTATCCTTGTCTACTAGACTAGAAGGTTCTGGGTGATAAGGATCATAAGTGCTGTTATTATTCACTTTTTTAGTCTCTGGGCCTTAGAACAATGACAAACATACGATGTATGTTTAACAAATACTTATTAAATCTTTGTCAAATTTATTTATTGACCCTTGAATTTCCTAAGATGTTTTCAAAAGCTTTTAGACTTCTGGGTTCCTGAATTGTCAGAGAAAAGAATTCTCGGCTGGGCACGGTGGCTCACGCCTGTAATCCCAGCACTTTGGGAGGCCGAGGCGGGCGGATCACAAGGTCAGGAGATCGAGACCATCTTGGCTAACACGGTGAAACCCCGTCTCTACTAAAAATACAAAAAATTAGCCGGGCGCGGTGGCGGGCGCCTGTAGTCCCAGCTACTCGGGAGGCTGAGGCAGGAGAATGGCGTGAACCCGGGAGACGGAGCTTGCAGTGAGCCGAGATTGTGCCACTGCAATCCGGCCTGGGCTAAAGAGCGGGACTCCGTCTCAAAAAAAAAAAAAAAAAAAAAAAAGAATTCTCAGTGTTTTAAGTCGCCAAGATTGTGATTTGCTGTGGCAGCCCTATAAAACAAATACACATGGAAACTAATTAAGTGGTTATTGCTCTGGTCAAGGAGAGAATAAAAATTCTGAATTAGGGTGGAAGTGAGAGGACTGAGAGGAGAGGCCAGACAAAGGGAATGAATAACGGCAGATAGACAGAGATTGGTCATTGGTTGATTGAGGAGGAGATGGGGAAAGAAAATCAAAGATGGTTCTGTAGTTTCTGTCTGAGTCATTAACAGACTGAGAGCATAAGAGGAAGCAATGATGTGGAAGAAAGAGGTCACACATTGAAAATAAAATTAATATAGTTTATTGTTCTTTAAACTTTGCAGTAGAAGGTAGATAGGTAAGGCTATATGGTTTTCTCCGAGTACATTAGATTAAACAGAAGGAAGGAAGGGGGAAAGGAAAAGAAGGAAGGATGTGAAAGTCCCCCAAAGTCCTACAAATTTTGATATGATGTGGTAGAATTTGAAGAACAACATCTGGTTCATAGTAAGTACTCACTGGATCATAGTCCAGAAGCCAAAGTATAAAGCTGGATATTTTCCAAGAAGATTCTGGACATCTCCTAATTTTATTTCTCCATACCAATCACAATTATGGTTTACACATGAGATATATCTGTGCTGTTGGAAAAATAACACTCACAACATCACTGCCATATTTAGTGACTCTCAGTAAAATGAGAGTCAGAAGACTGCTGAGAAAATGATGGCGGAAAGTGGGTCCCAGGCATGAAGAGGGAGAGGTGGGAAATAACTGGCTAACTGGTGGAAAGAAGACAGTTGGTGACCTGTTAGGGAAACTGGAAAAGAGATGGGAGTTTGCTTTTCAGACTCAATAAAACTGGGTGGATTAAACTACCCTTGCTCAGCCCCAATAGTGTCTGTCTGCTCACCTTGGACACTTGCATGACTGCCCATGATTCATGCAAAGACAAGAAAAACAAAAAGTGGAATTACTATGATAATATTTGTAGTCAATAAAACTTAGGGCTTGTTCATTTCAGATTTATTTTAACTCCACTCCACAAATCATATTCAAAGCCTTAATGACTCAGACAATACTTTAAATGTGGTTTCCATGAGCATCTTCGGGATTACTATGGAAGATTATGCCAAAACTATTTTTTTTTGGCATGTGATTACATACTAGAGCATATATTAGGGCAAACAATTATGAATTTTATTCACTGGGACACATGACAGATTTGTACAAACCTCTAAATTGGAAATGTTTAAAGAATTAGGTTTTTTTGCCTTCTTTTTGGCATGAGTCATACATAGCTCCATGAATTTTCCTCTTCTGACTACTTTCTCAGGAAACAGAAAGATAAAAAGCATTTTTACCACATTGGAAAAGCAGAACTTGCTTATTTATGAAGTAAAAGGTACATCCAGAGAGAATTTTTTTTTCTAAATCTTCTGCACTTCTCAATTAAATGTTGCTCCTTTTAAAGACAAACTCATGAATAATATTGATTTCTATTTAATTATACTTGTTACTGTCCAAACTAAATTAATGATAGTTAAAGTCTCCCCTTCTTGCATGTATTTCTCATAATAAAGGAAAGTGTTAGTAAGTAACAAGTGACCGTGTAATTTAAAGGTGGATCTAGGTAGAAAATTAAGCCATTTTATCCCCTATTCTCCACCTTCAGCACCCACACCCCCCAACACACACACACTGCCACAAACACACACAGTGCACACATTAAGATGACCAATTGTCTAGGTTTGCCTGAGACAGAGAGGGTTCTTAGGACACATGACTTTCATTGATAAACTAGGAAAGTCTCGAGAAAACCAGGATGATGTGGTCACTAACACACACATATAAATTTTCCTCTAATTTCAATTGCTTTATACTACTCTAACTACATATAAACCTAACTCATAGTCAACTCTCTCCACTCCTATACAGTCTCATATTGGAGGTCCTAGCCAGCACAAAAAGGAAAGAAAAAGAAATAAAAGGCATATGGATTAAAAAAAAAAAAACTATTTCTCTTCACAGACAACATGATTGTCTATGTAAAATGTAGACATCTTTTAAAAAACTACTAGGACTAATAAGTGAGATAAGCAAGGTTGTAGGATATAAGGTTAATATCACAAAAATAAACTGTCCTTCTGTATACTAGCAATGCACTAGTTAGAAATTGAATTAGATATTGAAATTGAAAAATAACAAGATTGAAAGTAGCATCAAAAAGCATGAAAAACTTAAGTATAAATCTAACAAGATACATATAAAATCTCTATATTAAAAACAACCAAATACAGATTAAAATAATCAAAGAAGGACTAAGAGAATAGAGTTATCATATTCACCTGTTGGAAGACTGTGTAATTAAGATTATAGTTCTACTCACAATGATCTATTGATTCAATGCAATCACAAGCAAAATCTTCACAAGATTTTTGAATTTTAGAATTCATAAGCTGATAAAATTTCTGTGGAAAAGCAAAGGAAGTACAATAGCCAAACGATTTTGAGAAAGATGAACAATGTTGGAGAGTTCGCATTATTTGATTTGAATAATTATTAAAAAGGGACAATAATCAGCACAGTGATGGCAAAAGAACAGACACATAGATCAGTGGAATCAGCTGGGGTCCAGAAACAGACCCACACATTTGATTTTCAGCAAAGGTGAAAGAAACCTCAACAAACAGTAGTTTCAGCAAATAGTATTGAAAATTTGGATGCCTATAAGCAAAAAGACAACCAGAATTTATACTATGCACAACATAGATAAATTAACTCAAAATGAATCAAAGAACTAAAAGTGAGACCTAAAACTACAATACTTCTAGAAAGAAAACAGGACGAATCTTGCCACCTTTGGTTAGGGAAAGATATCTTACATATAATAAAAAAAAATCCACAAAAGAAAAAACTGAACTCCATCAAAATTTAAAACTTCTGTTCCTCAAAACACCATTAAGAAAATGAAAAGACAAGCCATACACTTACAGAAAATATTTGCAAAATACATATCTGATAAATAACTTATATCCATAATACATGAAGATTCTTTGACATGCAGTAAGAAACAAGCAGCCCATTTTTTTAAATGGCAAGAATGTAAAGACCCATCACCAAAAAAGAAAGGCAAATGGCAAAAACATGAAAAGATATTCAACATCATTACTCATTAGGAAAATGAAAGTTATCACCACAATCAGACAATGATTACACACATCCCCATCCTCCATAAGCAGAAAAGAAACTCAACACACCTAGGCAATACCAAGTGCTGGAAGTGCTGTACAAATTTAAAACATTTAGAACGCTCATACACTACTGTTGGGAATGCAAATTTAGTACAGCTACCACTCTGAACCACAATTTGACAGTTTCTTGTAAGATTAAATATACAATTGCCAAACAACTCAGTAATCCCACTCCTTCACATCTATCAAGGAAAATCTATGTTCACACAAAAACTTGAAATGAATGTTTATAGCAGATTTATTTATAATCATTCAAAAACTATAAACAGCCCAAGTGTCCTTAAATCAATGACTGGATAAATAAATCGTGGCGCATCCATACAATGGAGTACTTCTCAGAAAAAAATAATAATCTAATATGTGCAACAGCATGGAGGAATTTCAATGCATTATGCTAAGTGGAAGTGGAAAAAGAAAACCAGACTCCAAAGGCAATATATATTACATTTATATGACACTCTGGAAAAGGGAAAATTACAGGGACACAAAATAAATCAGTGGTAACCAGGAACTGGAAGTCAGAGGAGAAGCTGACTGCAAAAGGACACAAGAGAATTTTGGGGGGTAATGGAACTTTACCAAATCTTGATTAGAGTTCTGGTTACACAACTGTATACACTTTTCAGAAGTCCTAGAACTATACGGTCAAAAAACTAAATTTTATTATATGGAATTATATCTCAATAAACAGAAACTTAAGAAAAAATTCCTTCAAGTTAAAAAGGTGTTCTGGTGGGGATTATCATTTTAAAGAGTGTTTGTCTTTATTTTCAACTTATGCCAAACAAATGTAAAGTAAAAACCTGTGTAATTAGTTGGAATTTTGTTAGATAGAGAAAGAATGGTATCAACACACTTGTTTCTAAAAAATTTATTTTAAACTGAGACAGGGTCTCACTATGTTACCCAGCTGATCTCAGACTTCTGGGCTCAAGCAATCATTGTGCCTCAGTCTCCCAAGTAGCTGGTATTACAAGCATGCGCCAGCGTGCCTACCTCAACATACTTCTTTTAAAAACTGTAAAACTTACAGGCCGGGCATGGTGGCTCACGCCTGTAATCCCAGCACTTTGGGAGGCTAAGGCGGGTGGATCACGAGGTCAAGCGATCGAGACCATCCTGGCCAACATGGTGAAAACCCCGTCTCTGCTAAAAATACAAAAATTAGCTGGACATGGTGGCACATGCTTGTAGTCCCAGCTACTCGGGAGGCTGAGGCAGGAGAATCACTTGAACCCGGGAGGTGGAGATTGCAATGAGCCAAGATCACACCACTGCACTCCAGCCTGGTGACAGAGTGAGACTCTGTCTCAAAGAAAAAAAAAAAAAAAAAAAGGTAAAACTTAAACTTATTTTCTGGTTCTAAAAATAATATCTTACTGAAGAAAATGTAGAAACTATAGAAAAGAATAAAGCAGAAAGTGGAACTTCCACAATTTCACCATCCAGAGGGAACCACAATTAATATTTTATTTTACTTACTTTTGATTCTTGCTCTAAACATTTAAATACATCTGAAATCTGAGATTAGTGATTTGGAAAATAAGCTTTGGAGTTAGGCCAACTGGGATTCTCTCTGAAAACTGAATCTCACTTCTGTCATTTGTAAAATCAGTAACGTCTAGTTCATAAATTATGAAGATTAAATTAATATAAAGTATTCAGCATAATTTTTGGCATATATAATCCTCAGCAAAAATATGGAACATGATTTTCCATTTCAGTAAAAAGTTTTTGCAAATAAAACTTTATACAAGATTCTAGGATCTGAAAGTACTATACCATTCTCTGTTTTCTAGTTTTTTTCTAATTGTTGTTTATCATATATAAAATTATTTTTCAAATATTTGTGTTTGAAACTTTTTCTACATTTTGGAATATTTTCTTAGGATAGATTCCTCAATTGAAGTATGTAAATATTTTTAAGGCTCTTGATAATTCATTTCAAAGTTACCTGCTTGAAAGTTAGCACTTAATTATAGTTCTACCATCAGCATCAATTTCATTGCAACCTTCACAATATTATTTTTAATTTACATGCTTGCTGTAGAAAATTTGATTACTATAGAGATGTTTAAGACTCTGGCAAGATAGTGGTCTGCTAATGAGGACCTATCTCACTAGAAAGGCAGAAAAAAATGCTCTATTTAATCTAACAACTAGAAAAATATACATAGCGAAGCTTGAAAGGAAGAAAAAAAGGAAAATCTAAGAGTGAGAAACGAAAGAGAAACCCAAAGCCTGAGCAGAATGGTTCAGTAGACACCTTGGCATTCCATGAGCGCTAAACGCAGAAATAGGCCAGAGGTCCAAGAGATGGGAATTTAACATCCTTGTGAGGACATGGGACATGGTCAGGTGAAGAGACAGCTGCACTAACTTTGCACCTTCAAAGAGCTGCCCTTTTCATGAGAAATAATTAAAATAATCCTAAGCAATAACCCTCGATATATCGAAGGAATTTGCTGTGTGCCCAGTAGTTAATAAGGAGTAGCAGGGGAGGGAGGGGAATAGAACTTATAACAAATTTAGACTTCAAGTCCATACTTCCATACTACACATGGGTGTGGCATTTGGGTGACCAACTCACCTCATCCCATTGTGCTGAAACTTTCCCAGTTTTAGCACTGAAAACCCAGCATCCCAGGCAACCCCTCTGTCCCAGGAAAACCTAAAAAACTGGTCATATCATGTAGCATCCAAATCTACACACTTTTGAATTATATATTTTACAGAAATCCCAAACCAAGAGAGTATATAAAAACTGGTGTGACCCTTGGGAATCCCTGAGGACTCAACAGGACTCAACCAGACTTTACAGAGAGACTTCCTAAAAGCAGGATACAAGATACACTTGCCAGATAAAATATAGTTTGTTCAGTTAAATTTGAATTTCAGTTAAGCAACAATTTTTAAGTTGCAATTTGGGGACACACTTACTCTAAAAAATCATGTGTTTTCTTTTCAGAATTCTAATGTAACTCAGTACCCCTGTACTTTATTTGCTAAATCTGGCAATCCTCAAGTGCCAGAGATAAACAACAGCAAAGAGCAGCAACAATGTATCCTGGAGATAAGATCATGCCCCCAAATTTGTAAATTACACACACACACAAAATGAGCCACTAGGATAAATAATTAGTAGATATAGGAAATGCACTCCAAGAGCCAGAAATTTTAAAGCAAAATTTATTTTGTAGTGTCTGTAAAGACACTATTTACTGTCTGTAAAGACCCAAATACGACTTGTAGAAATGGAAAATGTAGTCACTGAAACTAAAAACCTTAAGGTCTGGGTTAAATAGTAGACTGGACAGCTGGGGAGAGCTATATGATCTTAGGCAAGTTAATTAACCTCTCTGTGCCACAGTGCGCTTATTTGCAAAGTAGGGATAATAATAATACCCATGTTATAGGATTGAGGTGTAGAGATAAGTATAATACATGTAATAAATAAATCTAATACACTCAGAATAGTGCCTGGGCTCTAGTAAATTATCAGTCAACCTATCAGTTAAGAACTATTGTTCAGTCATGAGTTAAATAAGTATCTAGAATACCCTTCTAGGGTAGCATATCCCAAGTGTGTGGCTCAGAACGTTAGTCCCATAAGGTGCTCTGAGAAGCAAAGTACTGTATTCCATGATGAAATATGGTTGAGAACTCCTATATTCATGTAACCATCTCTTAGAGATTCAGTGGACATTAGCCATATTAAAGACTCTGGCAAGTCCTACTGAAAAGAAATCTGTTTAGCCTTGTTGTTGGGATCACTCAAAAGATGATGAAACAGAGGCTCAGAGGGTTTCTGTCATTTGGCCAAAGTTCTTCAGCTGGCAAGTGACAGAACTGGTCTGCAAACCAATGTGGTTGCGCTCCAAAGCCCAAGATCCCAATGACTCCACAACATTGTAAGATTAAGAAGGAACATATAATATTATTCTTATGAGAAATATTCTTCCTGAAAGTCCAGGAACACAGAGGTGAACTTGCTCAGGTGTCCCTCCATACCGACTGCTCTATGGGGCCAGGCCCCCGAATCCCAGTGAGAGGTGACAGCGTGCTGGCAGTCCTCAGAGCCCGCGCTTGCTCTTGGCACCTCCTCTGCCTGGGCTCCCACTTTGGCGGCACTTGAGGAGCCCTTCAGCCCACCACTGCACTGTGGGAGCACCTTTCTAGGCTGGCCAAGGCTGGAGCGCACTCCCTTAGCTTGCAGGGAGGTGTGGAGGGAGAGGCGCGAGCGGGAACCAGGGCTGTGTGCGGCGCTTGCGGGCCAGCTGGAGTTCCGGATGGGCGTGGGCTTGGCGGGCCCCGCACTCGGAGCAGCCAGCCAGCCAGCCAGCCCTGGTGGCCCCGGGCAATGAGGGACTTAGCACCCGGGCCAGCAGCTGTGGAGGGTGTACTGGGTCCCCCAGCAGTGCCAGCCCACCGGCACTGCGCTCGAATTCTCGCCGGGCCTTAGCTGCCTTCCTGTGGGGCAGGGCTTGGGACCTGCAGCCCGCCATGCCTGAGCCTCCCACCCACTCCGTGGGCTCCTGTGCAGCCCGAGCCTCCCCGACGAGCGCCGCCCCCTGCTCCACGGCGCCCAGTCCCATCGACCACCCAAGGGCTGAGGAGTGCGGACGCAGGCAGGGGACTGGCAGGCAGCTCCACCTGCAGCCCCGGTGCAGGATCCACTAGGTGAAGCCAGCTGGGCTCCTGAGTCTGGTGAAGACTTGGAGAGTCTTTATGTCTAGCTCAGGGATTGTAAATACACCAATCAGCACCCTGTGTTTAGCTCAAGGTTTGTGAGTGCACCAATCCACACTCTGTATCTAGCTGCTCTGGTGAGGCCTTGGAGAACCTTTATGTCTAGCTCAGGGATTGTAAATACACCAATCGGCACTCTATATCTAGCTCAAAGTTTGTAAACACGCCAATCAGCACCCTGTGTTTAGCTCAAGGTTTGTGAGTGCACCAATCAACACTCTGTATCTAGCTGCTCTGGTGGGGCCTTGGAGAACCTGTGTGTCCAAACCCTGTATCTAACTAATCTGATGGGGACGTGGAGAACCTTTGTATCTAGCTCAGGGATTGTAAACGAACCCATCAGCGCCCTGACAAAACAGGCCACTCGGCTCTACCAATCAGCAGGATGTGGGTGGGGCCAGATAAGAGAATAAAAGCAGGCTGCCCAAGCCAGCAGTGGCAATCCGCTGGGGTCCCCTTCCGCACTGTGGAAGCTTTGTTCTTTCACTCTTTGCAATAAATCTTGCTACTGCTCACTTTTTGGGTCCACACTGCTTTTATGAGCTGGAACACTCACCTCAAAGACCTGCAGCTTCACTCCTGAAGCCAGCGAGACTGGAGCCCACCGGGAGAAATGAACAACTCCAGACGCGCTGCCTTAAGAGCTGTAACACTCATCGCGAAGGTCTGCAGCTTCACTCCCGAGCCAGCGAGACCACGAACCCACCAGAAGGAAAAAACTCCGAACACATCCGAACATCAGAAGGAACAAACACCAGACGCGCTGCCTTAAGAGCTGTAGCACTCACCGCCAGGGTCTGCGGCTTCATTCTTGAAGTCAGTGAGACCAAGAACCCACCAATTCCGGACACACCAGGACAGACCCCAGCCAGGCTCTGGAATCCCAGGGCAGACCCCAGCCAGGTCCGGGAATCCCAGGGCACAAACAAAGTGTCCTTTGAGCTTGTCCTCATTTCCTGAGGCACAGGCAGAGATCTGCGGGAGAGCGACTGGCTTCTAGGGCCCTGTCCAGCCTGAGAAGTCCCCACTCTGTCGCATCGTCATTTTTTCTACCCCAGTCCTCCTCCTATGCTGTGCTGATGTGGAGTGACGGCTTTCTCTGCAAGGGTCCCCAGCCACATGTATGTTTGGGGTCTTCTAATAAACAGCATTTGAAAACCAAAGAACAAAATGTGAATCCACTAATATTCTTGGTATTTTTCACCGAAGATTTCCAAAAAAAATTTTTTTAACTAGTTCCATGGCTGTTATGTTCTTACTGCCAGGGTCATTGTCTTCTTGCAAAATATTTACACACTCTGCTTGAGGGAAATCAAGGTGAAATTTTCTTCATTTAATTTGATTCACAACAGGGATTTGAATTTCATAAAAACTGATAGGATTTGAGCAACGCTATTGACTGATGTCCATTAAAGGTTAAGCCAACTTGGGTTGCGAGTTAAGTCAGAATTTACGTGCTGGGTGTATCACTTTTATTTCCCTAAAGCTGTACTTTAAGTAGGACTATGTTAAAATCTTTTCAACTATGCCCAGAAGTCCTAGGGTAATCACAGTTTTGACTATGATTCATTCGTATTAAGTTGAAGCTGGAAAAGCTAACTAAAGATCGTCAAAGATTCTGAAAACAGAAATTTTTCCTAAGTGAATCCTCAATCCTATAATAAGCAGCTGCTTCCTTTAGTAACATTTCATTCCTTTTGATTCAACAAAACTTTAATTGAAGAATATTCATATCATATTTCAATCCTCAACACAAAATACTTAAGTACTTCCTAAGTGCCAGCCTCTAAACATGGCTTTGGAGATTCAAACTTAAATAAGACAGATCTAGCCTTCAAGGAGTATAATGTGGGTAAAGAAAAAAATTAAGCAGTCGGAAGTAATCAACCAATTGCCTAGCCAGTGTAGACACAGCAACCTAAATGCATCTTAAAATACATGTTGCTGAGCCAATTTAAAAAGGATGATGTATATAACACAATGGTATTTATGTAAATATAAAATGCATTACTACAAAAATAAAATGAACATTTAACAAAAAATACATAAAGCCGATTTGAATGGTTGCTTATGGGACAAGAGGGAAATAAAGTGAAGAAAGGAAGGAAAGAAGGAAGAGAGAGAAGGAAGAGAGGGAAGGAAGAAAGGAAGGAAGAAAAAAACAGTTTGAACATTAAAGCAGCTGGCGTAGCCATCTGGCACATAGATGTATTCCTTAGGTGTCAGTTTCTTCCTTCTTTGCTCTGAATCCCTAATTCTGAAGGATTTTCGTAATCAGAAAAGTGTTAAAATAAAGAATAAAGGCACAGAGGTCAGTGGGAAAGTGGCTGGCTTCCAGTTAGTGTGACCGGTTGCACTAATAAACTGCAACCATAGAAGTGGCTCATATTTCAATTTTAAGATAAGGTGAGCTTGTGGGTGAGCAGTCGGACTTGTATATTTACCAAGTAGACACCTGGTGCCCTAAGATTCAATCATCATAGCATAGCAAGGGGAGTCCCACCTCTTTCCTCTATTTCCCCAATATTCCCTGAGTCAGGTTCTGACTCAGGATGAAAGCTGCACTTTTTGGGGAAAGATCACTCCTTAACCCCACCATAGTACTCCAGCAATTTGAGTTCTTCTTCCTCATAGCTTTGTGTGAGTAAATAGATACCCTTTGCTTGAGCTAGTTTAATGAGATTTTTCTGTCATTTGCAACTAAATAGTTTTCACTGACACAAATCCTACACTTGATGTGTCTGTCTCACACAGCACCAAGTTCTATCTCAAAAGCCTTGCACAACAAGAAATTGCTTGTTAAGGAAGCTAACTACACTTGGACTTTGAAGCCCATATATTTCCAGAGCATATATCTTAACAGTTTGAAAGAGCAAAAGTTGGATTCAACTATTTTTTTAAAAAAAGACTGATAATGTATGTTTATCCCAATATTGCTGGCCTAAATTATTTGGTGTATCCCCTGAATTTTGTAATACAGTCTAGAAAATATTTTCCATTGGAAATATTTAAAATCAGAAATGTTGCGTCATTTAAATGGGTAAGTTTTAGTAATCTAGGAAATTAACTTATTCACATTAAATTTTTCCGTGAATTGATTTTTTATATTTTTTAAATAGCAGTAGATTGAATTTGACCCATCATTGTTCTGTGGCTGAAGGCATAAAAAATGTATAAATTTAACTAATTTTGATTACTATACTCCCAAAGTATTTTATTATCACCTAAAGATTCTGGATTTAAAGATTTTTCTGTCCCAAATCTAATTTTCAATCCTGTCAAGACCAATGGGGGGCAAAGAACTAAGAGTGTCCAAAGGAACAGACAGATTGTCACATCTATTTGAGATCTATCATTAGTCACTGAGTCTTCTGCCTCAGAACTCAGTCACACAGAGAAGACAGATTGGTAGGCTTCTGGATCTGGTTTGCATTGGCTGATATTTGGCCACTCTTCCATCCTTGTAGCAACTGCTGTGGCCAGAATAATGTAATGCATTGATTGACTAAGTCCTAGGCTTAGTCACTCTCACACTGCTATAAAGAAATAACCTGAGACTGGGTAATTTAATAAGAAGAGAAGTTTAATTGGCTCATGGTTCTGCAATTTGTACAGGAAGCATGATGTTGGCATCTGCTCAGCTTCTGGTGAGGCCTCAGGAAACTTATAATCATGGCAGAAGGGAAAGCGGGAGCTGGTGTCCTTCCCAGCATGGTTGTAAGTGAATGCAAGCAGGGAATTCCCTCTGAGGTCACATCGCTGAAGTTGAAACTATTTCAATTCAGAGCACACTAGTAGGAAATACTATGCATATTCTCTATAGATTTCCCCGATTTTTTCAGGTCTTATTTCTTTGTCTCAGATTACAGCAAGTCATCAACTACACTGAGAAATTAGAAATGTGTTGTGCTTATGGGCTGTTTCTACATTAAGTCACGTCTAGAGCTTAGGAAGTATGTCACCTGCTCTGAAATGTACATATTAGGTACAAAAGCATCCTACCATGTAGAAGTCTCCTGTCTCAGTAGCACTTGCTAGCATCATGAAATACAATGGAATAATCCACGATTGGGTTATGTATGACAATCTTGTTTTCATTTTTTTTTATTGACGTGATTGGATAGAGTTCATCATGTAGTTCTAACTTTCATTCTGTCTCATTAATTTTTATTCCTGGTATATTCCTTAAGTATCAGAATATCATTTAAAACAAAACATAATACATGCATTCTTCAAACTTAAGGAACTTTCAAAAAATAAACATCACCTATTTGTTGCAGTGATGAGGTGTAATGAAAGAATGTCAGTTGGTTTGAATCCCAGCTCCACCATTTCCTAGAGCTATTTTATCTCCTTAAGCCTCCATTTCCTAAACTATAAAATACATTTTAAAATATTTGTTGAGTACCTACTGTATGTTCTTACTCCTTGGTAATCCATCAGTAAATAAGACAAAAATTCCTTCCTTCAAAGAGCTTACAGTATACGGAGAATATATTAAAATAATTCAATAAATCACACATTTTGATATTACTCCAACACTTCACTTATTTAAAAATATCATGGGTATTTGCACATTACAACAAACATATAAAATATTTTACATAAAGTGAATAAAAATAAAACTTTAAAAGGAAAAACAAATTAGTTTTATCATTTGTTTGTTATTTTTCACTTAGCAGCCACCATAATAAAAACTGTCTCATGCAAAAATCATCAATGAGTGCTAAAACAAATGTGTGAAGGTTTGAGGAGAAACAGGATATTTATACAGTCTCAAAGTATTTTCACACAAGATATTAATTAAAAATAAGTTAAATAATTTTATGCTGGAGTAAGCTAGAGGAGTCCCCTCGACCAAGAAATCAAATATAACATCTCCAGTAATGGGTAGTAGTAGATATTATATGCCTGCTAATATAATAAGGCACTGGGAAGAGATAAAAGTATCTTCTGTGGTATTCTTGTTAAAAACGCATGACCTGTATCAAATCATGAAGGAACATTAAGGAAACCCAAACTAGGGGGCATTTTATAAAACAACTGACTAGTATTCCTTCAAAAATGTCAAGGCCGTGCTAAAAAATGAAGTACTGTAGAACCGTTTCAGATTAAAGAGACATGACAGCTAAATTCAGTGTGTAATCAAGATTGGATCCTAGACTAGAAAAATATGTTCTTTTGCTCTAATGAATATTAATAGGACAATTAGTGAAACTATATGGCTAGTAGATTAGATAATAATACTGCATCAGTGCTAATTTTCTGATTGTGGCATTATAGAAAAAAAAATCCCTGCATTTAGGAAATACACACTGAAGCACATAGGAAAAAACAGACAGAGGGAAGGAAACAATGATGCAAACATTTTTAAATACCAACATTTAGGGAATCCAAGTGAAATTTACATGGGAATTTCAACTTTAGTGTTGATCTGATCTGACAGTGACTAATCTAATTAATCAAAACTAGCACCAGTAACAGTAGGACAAGCTGATACTTTGTGCCCCTTGGTGTGTGGTAATCTGAAACATATAACATCACCTATAATGGATTCTTGCCAAAAAAGTCTGACCTGAATGTCATGAAGTCGTTATAGTTTCCAATGTACCGGAAATAAAAGGTATAGATGAATGACTTAAGTGACACAAAGTAGAAATAATTAGAGAAGTTCAGAATGTGGGACATTCTATAAGATGACTGATCTGAACTTGGAAAATATCAGGGGGAAAAGGAAGATAACGGAGGGAAGGGAGAAGAGGTATGGGGTATGATTATTCCACATATAAAGGGTCTATGAGAAATAACAACAAAAGGCACTAAGTGATCCTAGACTGGATCCTATTTTCAAAAATGTTTTAAAAGCACCAAAAAATATTTTTGAAACATGCGAACATTTAAATCTAACCTGGATGTTAGATGATATTATGAAATTATTGTTAATATTCTTATGACTCATAATAGTATTATAATTATGTGGGAGATTGCCCTTATCTTTAGGAGATGTCTGCTAAAGTTTTAGGAAATGAAGTGTCATGATGTATACAATGTATTTTCAAATGGTATGGAATGTTTTACAAAGCAAGAAAGAGAGACACCGAGAGAGACAGTAAATATAACAGCATATTTACAATTGTTGAATCTAGATAAAGAGTAGATATGTGTTTATTATGCTGTAATTCAACATTGAGGGAAAATAAAATAATAACACTTTACCTTCATAATACGTTCTTATGAAAATTTTCTTTTTAGAGGTTTAAACATTTTTAAATGAACAAAGAAATGAAAAGGTAAAAGTACACCATAGTTTA
This sequence comes from Homo sapiens, assembly GCF_000001405.40. Classification (NCBI taxonomy): domain Eukaryota; kingdom Metazoa; phylum Chordata; class Mammalia; order Primates; family Hominidae; genus Homo; species Homo sapiens. Next base: position 108,400,338 of record NC_000009.12, read on the forward strand.
CTAAATTTGGTTCTAAACTCTCTCAATTTAAGAGGATTAATAAAATTTATCTCTCAGATTGTGGTCATAGCATAGATTAGGGAGAGTTATCCAACTACAGTGATCCCCTCAGTGTCCAGCAGGGTAGAAATGGGATGAAGTAGTGGCTGCCCCAAAAGTGAACTCCCTCACAGTCCTTGGTAGTGACTGTGAGATTTTCTAATCTAAGACTGCCTCCCTGTCTGAGGTGTAAAACTGAAATGGATGGAGATTTTCTTCTAGAATTCCTTTCTAGCTGGTGAGGTCATTCTATTTATAGATATGATTCTACCCCAGATCATTCTCAAAGCCATCCATCTGTATTGAAAGTTCATACCCTTAACTTCCAGTGGCATTGGGTATGTGTGTGTTTTCTTATATTTTCATGAGTTTTTTTATGGTAATATGTGTGTGGTTTTATCACTGGGTGACAAGGAGACAACACAACTACATGCTTTGCTGTCTGAAAACGAAGTGACAAATTCATGGTGACAAATCACTGAAAGACACTGAAGGAAGTGACATCACTGGTAACTGATCATAATGTACACCTGTTATTTGCATAGTCATTTGTGTACTGAAGAACTAGCAGCAATGTCTGTACTTTATACAATTATTAACACTTAATATTTCTTGGTAATTGAAATTTGAACCAGCACCGCAAACACAGTGAATATAGTAAGTACTCAATAGACACTTTATAATTAATGATCAGTCATCTAATCATCTAAGACAGACAGCTGGAAAATAACATACCTGCAACCTCCTGAATCAATGTTACTGGACACTAAGAGAGACCAGTCAGGAAAAAGCTTGAGCAACACAACTCAAAACTAAATTATCTGTGGGTACTTTCACCAGGCTAACCCATGAATTGTTTTGTGTGTCTTTTTTTTTTTGAGACAGAGTTTTGCTCTTGCTGCCCAGGCTGGAGCACAATGGTGCGATCTTGGCTCACTGCAACCTCCACCTCCTGGGTTCAAGCGATTCTCCTACCTCAGCCTCCTGAGTAGCTGGGATTACAGGCATGCACCACCGTGCCCGGCTAATTTTTTGTACTTTTAGTACAGACAGAGTTTCTCCATGGTGGTCAGACTGGTCTCGAACTCCCAACCTCAGGTAATCCACCCGCCTCGGCCTTCCAAAGTGCTGGGATTCCAGGCGTGAGCCACTGCGCCCGGCCTTGTTTGTCTTTTTGAAGGACAGTTGTGAAGTTTCACAACAAGACAAGGCCTTGAGTAGATAAAAAAAAAAAAAAACTCATGAACAAATGGTAGTCTACCAACAATGCACAATGCATTAGGATTAATATATCATCTATCTATCTATGAAATCTATCTACATACTTAAAAGTTATTAAGGAAAAGAGGAATTAAAGAGAGAAAGCAGACATTCACATTCTATGATTTGAATGATTTTGTGCTTAAAGTAGGGACTTTTTATACATAAATTAGCTAGGAGTTTTTCTGTTAAGTTCAATTTTTTGTTTTTTGTTTTATTTCTTTGAGACAGAGTCTCGCTCTGTCACCCAGGCTGGAGTGCAATGGCACAATCCTGGCTCACTGCAACCTCCGCCTCCCGGGCACAAGCAATTCTCCTGCCTCAGCCTCCTGAGTAGCTGGGATTGGACACATGGGCCACTGCACCCAGCTAATTTTTTATTTTTAGCAGAGACAGGGTTTCACCATGTTGCCCAGGCTGGTCTTGAACTCCTGACCTCAGGTGATCCACCCGCCTCAGCCTTCCAAAGTGCTGGGATTACAAGTGTGAGCCACCACACCTGGCCTTAAGTTCAGTTTTTTATAACCTTCCTACTCTTAGCTAAGGTTCAGCTGAATGTGACTGTCACAAGAATTACATAAGTCAATGAAGACACAAGCACATAGTAATAAAGGGAAAACTATTTTAGCTAATCTATAAATGCTGACAGTAACAGGTGACAGGCAGGTAGTGATGACTATAAGCATTGAATATTTTATATTAGCTTAATTTTTTAAGAACTAATTTAGAGTTAAATATATGCCATCTATTTTGGTCATAATACAGTTCATAAATGTGTTTATTACAATTCTGTGTAATCTGGAGTTGGTCAAAGGCACCAATGTGGTTGAATCCATTTACAGTTCCTAAAATACATTCAGTCATGGGTTAGTATTCATTACTTTCGCAGAAGAATAATTTAGGAAGATTATCGATTGTATCTCAAGTGACTATATGAACAAAATGTCTTTAATATTTCATTAATAACTGTGAAACTGTATAAATTAATCTAGGTAGAGCTTATGGCATAGGAGCCTCCTAGGCATGCTTCACATTCTTGGTGCTAGAATTGCCAATGTGCCTCAGCTTCCTCCAAAGCAAATCAACATAAATCCACGTGCTTTCTTACTACAACGCAGTGATTGAGGAGGAAAATTATTTGACTTGACCAATTCTGTTATTCATCAAAAGGGAGGAGTAGAGTTATCCAGTAACATTTCTTTCAAAATACATCAGTCTGCTGGGTTTGTAACCATCAAGAGCACTAAAGAGAAACACCCTTTGTTTAAAAGATCTCAGGAAGTCCTTGTAAATAATACAGAGGTCTCAACTCAGACATGATTTCTTGACCAGTTCTTTCACTAGTCTTCCTTCTGATGTCAATTATAAAAGCCATGGACTTTAAGCTAAGAGATGTAGGACTTAGACCTCAACCTGTCCCTTACCAACTATGTGACCTTAACAAATTAGACTTCTACGAGTCTTAGTTTTTTCCCCATACAATAGGACAGCACTTCGTCTTCCTCAGAGCTTCATGATGAGGAACAAATAGATCACTGTAAGATCTAAGTAGTAGGATTGTACATGAATGTAAACCACAGAAGGAGTCTTCCTCACTATATGAACCATTGTGAGAAATTAATAAAAATGCAGTCCGTGCTTTTGAGGATTCATAAAAAATTAACAAAATTTGAAATTGGTGACATACGAGTTAATGAATTACTGCCTGAACTAATCAGCTCTCAGAAACATAACCCATTTCCTGACCTTTGAAATATTTCATTTGAGACCCAAAAATCCACCAGGCTGAGTGGTAGATTTTTCCCCCAAAGAAAACATAGAGTAAACATCAACATGAAAAATTGTTTAATCCCATACAAAAGGTACATTATATGGCTGATATAACCAACTGTATCTGTTGCCACTAGAAGCTAACTTCCTCAATGATTCTGGGAGTGTAGGATGGTTACGAAGCCAATTTCAACTGTCTTGCCTACTCAGCATTGGCTGTTTCACTTGTCTCCCATGTATGTGCTTCTCCTTTAGGGAAAACTGCCCTTACTGCAAAGGTATCTCTGTAATTGTACAGTGCACATCAAAGATGTATAGGCAAAAGGGAGGAAGCTGGATTTAGTTTTCACACCTGAAAAAGGTCCAGACAAATTTCATAGATCATTCTTTTAAGACTAGTTAAAAATTGCCAACTGTCAGAGCGTTAGTGAACATCTGAAAGACAAGTATCCACTTCTAAGTCTTCTCTGTGAGTACAGCCCATGGCCAACTGGCAGAATTAGAAAATTTACACAAGTTGTCCATATGCCTAAGCTCCCAACTCATTGTCCCTTGATGCACAGTTGTCATCGTTGGCTAACTAGCACCTAGATGCCCTTCATATATAGAGGTGGGAAGTCAGGAGAGAATCATCACTGGGTGAGTCCCCAGGAAACATCGGAAACTTGCTTCTGCTACTGTAGAATTAGCAGCTCTTCCCATCTGCCATCCCTGTATGCCAGGACATCTGCATGTGGTGTAGGCCTGGACTATTCAATCAGAGGATGCACCTCTATGGAACATTGACTTTCAGGGGAGAGTTGAAAGCGTGACCCCCCCGAAGCATGTAAGCATGGGAAATTATTCACAAACGTAGTAAGAGTATTGATAATCCAGAGACACAGACTGAAGGTGTCAGTTCAGTGGTGCCAGTAGCAGAGGCCTAAGGACACTGTTCCTATAGCTGTTCCCCATTGCTAATCCTCCAGGGCTCCTGTCCATCCTCTGAGCTTGACTCTCTGGCCTTTCAGTGATTCTGTATGCTACTCTATTATGTAGGAGATTGTGCAGTCTTTCAGTAACTTCTTACCCCACTGAAGTAGCCAAAGACAGCCTCTTTATGTAACCAAAAAGCCCAACTGAGACAAACCTAATAAAAATAGTTTAATAAAATTTAGTCAAACCCTGACCTGACCCCATCTCATCTTCCCCAAACCTACATTACCTTCCTGCATCTAATATTTATGATAATCCTCCCATGTGCCAGGCTTTCTATTAGGGAATTAGGTGGGAGGGGCTGCAGATATAAATAAGGCATGTTTGTTGCCTGGGAGAAAAGCAATATGGTGAGACTGGTAATGAACTAAAATTCCATTCTGATTCCTACTTCCTCCTGGATCCCTGTCCTCTTTTTTTCCTCTGGACCTCCAGTTTCTAAAATCGGCAGCTTTCTCTTAAAACATATTGCTTTTTATTCTATTTTATATGTATTTCTTGTCAGCCCCACAAGATTGTAAGCATATTAGGTACATCATCCCTACAGGTTTTATGTTTAAATTGCCATGGCACTCAGCCCCATGTCTGAAATGCAGGAGGTTCTCCTCACAGAAGTAGTTACTGCCAGTTGCCCTAAACATCCTTTGAATCCTAGCGGTGAAGCTTCTCTGCACTAGCCCACCACTTAAAAAGAATATCATATTCCCAGCAATTCAATTATGTGAGCACCATAAATGTCTTTGTGTTAGGTTCTCACTTTAGCATAGCTGATGAAAAGTCTCTGTAATCTGACAATCATTCACCCCATAAACACATCATGCTGCCACCTACTCAGTGCAGACCCTGGACTAGGAAATGGAAACAGAAAGACACATCAGAGTGCTTCCACTCAAGGAGTTCACAGTTACATAGAAATCAAAATATTCAAAATGTTCCCTGCTCCCAACTTGAAAAGCAGAAAGGTAATGGAGTTTATTCCAACTGTCAATGCAGAGACAGAATGGGAAAGCTGAAAATGGGAAAGAACAGTCATAGGATACTAAGATGACAAGATGAAACCAACAACTTTTGAAGGGAGTCAAGCAGTTGCTGTGAATGAATGAAGATCAAGTCTCAAATCTGAGACAAAGGGAGCTTCAAGACCAAGCAGAGATAAGAAATACAACCAAGGCCAGGCACGGTGGCTCATGCCTGTAATCCCAACACTTTGGGAGGCCAAGGCAGGCAGATCACTTGAGGTCAGGAGTTCGAGACTAGCCTGGCCAACATGGTGAAACTCCATCTCTACTAAAAATACAAAAAGTAGCCAGGCGTGGTGGCAGGCACCTGTAGTCCCAGGTACCAGGAGGCTGAGGCAGAAGAACTGCTTGAACTGGGAGGTGGAGGTTGCCGTGAGCCCAGATCACACCACTGCACTCCAGCCTGGGTGAAAGCACAAGACTCCATCTCAAAAAAAAATAAGAAATACAACTAAAAGCCTGGGACAAGTTCATGATCAGAGCTGGCAGGACTGGCTAGGACTAGGGCAAGGAAATGAGGATGTATAGGCTAATAATAAATTCCATCGTAAACTAAAAATAAAATCCTAAGCCTCCCCAGCCTGCTTTTGGCCAAGGAGACCTGAGAGAAACCTAAAAAACTGAGTTATTGGCCATGACAAGAAGGGAAGTAGGACACGCCTTATTATACCTCCTTCCTTTTGGAGTAGGCACAACTGACCAGCATTACTATTAAAATAGAGATAGTAAGACTAACAAAAGTAGACTCTTCGTGAAAATAAGATGTCAAATTATAAATAGGACCTATGGCCATGCCAAACCCTTGTTAAGTCATACACACCTACAGGTCACTCTGACCCAATGAATTGGTTAACAGACTTCCTTATCTTAACTTAAAATATGCGTTTCTGCTGACTCCAAATTTTTAGACAAACTTTTCCTCCTTTAACTAATTGTAAATCAAAGGATCTCTGACTCCACCCGTAACCTGTAAGTCCCTGCTTCAAGATATCCCACCTTTTCTGGCGAAATCAATGTATACCTTCCTTGTATTGATTTATGACTTTGCCTGTAACTCCTGCCTCCCTAAAATGTATAAATCCAAACTGTAATCCAACTGCCTCAGGCATACTTTCTCAGGACCCCTCGAGATTGTGTTCTCTGGGGCCATGGTCATTCATTGGGTCAGAATAAACCTCTTTAAAATATTTTACAGAGTTTGGTTTATCTGTTAACACCATGGACAGCATATTGGGCTTGTATAGCAGAATGGGTGGGTCAAGGTCAAGAGTGCATCAGCTGACATCAAGTAGGGTGGTCAAAGCAAGCACAAGATATTCTAGGAGAACCATGGAAGAAACTGAACTTCAAAACTGGTATTTCCATTAAGAATTTATCAGGTAGATAAAAGATGAACAGGCATCAGCAGAAGAAGAAACATACAGAATAAAGCAATGAAATACAAAAAGCACATCATTTATCATGGGCCTAGGGAAAAGCGACTCTTGGCTGAAGTACACAGGCAAGAAATTCCCAAGAAGAATGCTAGAGAAGCAGTATGGTGTTAGACTGAGATGGGCCTTGGAAGACATGCTAATGAATTTGAACTTCATCCTGGCGTCAACAAAAAGTCTCTCTAGGCATTTAAGTAGAAAGATGCTGCGTTACAGGTTGGGTTCCCTGGGAAGCCTGCTCAGAGACAGAGATCTGCATGTAGGAAGATTACTGGGGAGTTCCAGAAGGCTCTGTGACTTTAGGGAAGTGAAGGAAGCAGGACTGGGCAGAGGAAGAAGCGGTAAGTACCTCACAACAAAGGCCTCAGCTGGTTCCAGCTGTCGCTATGAGCAAGCAACATTGTTCAAGCAACAAGCCAGTCATTGTTGGAAGCCCCAAGGTTGAAGGTGACCTGTGCTCACTCTGTTCATCCCTATCAACAATGCAGCACAGCAAGCTGAGTTCCTTATATGTGCCAGGGACTCTGCTAAGGCATGTTCCTCTGCATATTATAACCTCATTTAATCTTCCCCAAATCCTGTACATGATGTCCACTTAACAAGCCATAGTGTCAAGGACGTGAGAAGTAAATTCAGGTAAGATCAGTGAGTAAGAATAATACTGTGAACGCCATATAACAAACGGATTAAAAAAGAGCACTCAACAAAAATATGTGTGTGGGATAATTTTTTAAAGAATTATTTGGAATCTTGGGGCAGTAGAAAGGGGGTGGGAGGTTTTGAGTTTTCTTTGTGAGTTTTTTTGGTTTTCCCTTTGTGCACATAAGATGAGGAAAACAAAGAAAATTCCTTTGCAAATAAACATTGCAAACTGTCAGCTGGCTTTTCCTTAAACAAAACAACAGCACCAAAAAAAATTGTTTTAATGACAACAAGAACTAAAGCACTATTCTAGAAAAGTCTTGAAGCCATAGTCTAAGAGAGAAAAAAAATGATACATGAAATTGCTAAATATCATTTTACTTAGATTTTTGCCCACAGGTACATGTATATGTGGGTGATATGCATTATGTCTTGCCACAGAAGTTAATGGTTATAACAACAATGACTAACATTTACTGAGCACTTGTTTTGTGCCATTTACCTGCTGGGATCTTTATATACATCTCCTCATTTGTTGCTCACAGCATCTCTGAAGGATATGTGTTTGTTTTTATCACCATTTTATAAATGAGAAGACCAAGTCTCAGGGAGGTTGGAAATCTTACCCAAAGCCTTTCAACCTGCAGCAAATAAGTGGCTAAGGTGATACCTTTCTGACTAGAGAGTCCACTCACTCAACCACTCTGTCACCATTCCTAAGGAATTTACATTGACAAAGCACCTGTCCAGTCTTCAATTCATGTTCCCCTCACAACTAGGCCTGTAGTTGTGCACTTTGTAGACAAGGCCCAAAGAACTTGAACACTTTGTCCTGATCACGTAGCAGGTAAATGAGGAAAGCAAGGCTTGAACTCCTGATAATAAACGCTGGACTTTTGCTACATAAACCACATTGATTATCTACTTAAGAAAGACAAAACAAAACACAAATTTGTCAGTCAGATGATTTAATGATACAGATATCAAAGGTGATTGACAATTGGCACAGGCAGATGATAGAAATGTTTAGCTGAGTCATTCTTGAGAGATATCAGTAATATAGATTCAGAAGCAACCCTGGGAAAAACAACTTCTGGCTGACAGAAGTGCAGATCAGTACCAAGTTTTTGGAATGCTATTTAGCAATATATGTCAAGAGTTTTAAGTGTGCAGATTCTTTGGCACAATCATTTTATTTATGCTTACTATGGCATCTGGCTACCAGCCCCAACTGGAGCTGCTACCATTAAAATGCATGTGAAGTCAGAGAAAAAGAGGAAAACTTCCAAGCTTACTGAAAATTAAGCTTGACAGGGACAACCAGAAAACCTGAAAACCCCACTCTGCAGTATGAGAAGTAACTAAAATGCTGGTTTATACCTATTTGAAGACTGAAAGTCCAAGCAAGCTCATATAGGGACATGAGGGTAGGGTAGAGGCATGGTGAATGCTGGGAGGTGAAGCACACACCTGAACACAGTGGGTGCTGTAACAGGATCAGGAAGAAGAGGAGCCAGAGAGCAATGCATGCTGGGCTCTAAAATGTCATGGCTCCCATGAGTTCCAAATGTCAAATGACCAGGTGGTAATGGAGAACATTCTACTTCAATCCCACAGAATCATGCCAGCTAAAAGGACAAATCCTTGTGGAGCTTTCTTAATGAGGAAAATTAAAAGGGAAAGTCAGCCTAGAGCTGCTGAAAAAGTTTACAGAACAACCCCGCCAAATATTATCATAGCAGCTCAGAGAATAGGTTACTTCCTTAAAATGATTTATGATAGGAATCAGAAAACAATTCTAGAAAGCTATTTGGTATCTTCTGTAGGATGAAGAAGCAAGACATGGTTGCTCTGAAATGGGGTGGGGATTAAGGGACAGGAGGGTAAGACCACAAGGAAAGTAACAGGATGAGATGAAAAGAGAGAGAATGAAATGAAAGAAAAGAATGAGCTGAAAAAATGAAATGACAGAATTTTCAAAAAATACACAAGGAAAAGAGGACTTAGCTACACACAAACACACAGACAGAATCAGTCTTGTGGAGAAAAACTTTAGAAAAGTAAAATTACAAAGAAAAAATACTGCATTATCTCATTTGTATGTGGAATCTAAAAAAGTTGAACTCACAGAAGAAGTGAATAAACTGGTGGGTACCCAGGAACAGGCAGTGAAGGTAAGAGTTGAACAGAGAAATGTTGGTCAAAGGGTTCGAAGTTTCAGTTATGTGGAATTAATAAGTTTTAGAGATCTAATGTACAACATGGTGACTAAAGTTAATAATACTGTATTGAAATGTGCTGAGTGGATCTTAAATGTTCTCACCACAAAACAAGTAACTTACATGATAAGATAGCTTGATTGTAGTAATCGTTTTACTATGTATATGTCTATTAAAACATCACAGTGTACACTTTAAATATCAGCAATTTTTATTTTAAGTTTAAATTTAAAAAATCAAATCAAATGGAAAAGTAAAAAAGAGAATGGTAAGAGATTAGGCAATAAATATGAAGAAGAAATGATCCGACCTAAGCATTTTAGGTTTTCTCAAAGAGGACACCAAACCAAGGTAGAGAAAAACAATTAAAACATACACACTCGCTCTCACACTCTCACATACTCACACACATACTATTCAGAGTAGAAGCCAGCTCAGTTGCATCATTCATATCAGGCAAAAGTAAAATTAAGACACTTATTTCTAGACACACCCTGACAGCTATTTTTAAATTTTAAGTATCAAGAAATTAATCAATCAAACATTCAAGGTAAAATTAGTAGGTTAACAACAAAAATAATGAGATAGATAAGTAGATAAAAAAGCTTATCTCAGACTTCGACACATCATTAAATTATAGAAAACAGTAATATCTACAGAGTACCAAAGAGGGCAATAGAGACCAAGAATTTTTACACCAAGTCAAAATGTCATTCATTTGTGAATACAAGAGAAAGTTATTCTCAGATTTGAAAATTCTCAGGAAAAAATCTTTTTTAAGATTTTTTTGAAGATATACACCAGCCAAGAGAAAAAGGTAAGAACTCAAGAATGAATAAATCAAGTTATATAAAAAACACTGCTAACTGCTGAAAAGTAAACATAGAACTAAGCTAAGAGCTGTAAATATGGCACCAAAACAAAGTGACTGTAAAAAAAAAAATGTATTAAAAGATAACAAACGCAAGGCAAAACTGTTAATACCTTTAATCTGGTAACCAAGTCTATGATTATAATAATAAAGTTTACTTATGAAGAGAAAGGGAAATTAGTAAGGAAGTAAAGGATGGTAAATGCTTCATGTAAAATGTTTGACTCCCAGGGATTCAAGGTAGAGGAGGGGAGAGTCTTAAAGATACCTGACCCCAAGGCTGTCATTTTACAGATAAGGACACGAAGCTCCAGAAAAGAGAAGTACTGGCTCAAGGTTGTAAACGTATTTCAGGAATTGTGAAAATACAGTGCTTCTTTAATTTTCTACCTTCTAGTGCCAAAAGTTCTATTGACAGAATTTTTTAGAAGAAAAGAATAAGAGACATGCTTTTACTGATCTCTATGAAATCACTGAAGAAGTGTTAATAAGATGAGAAGTAGTGACGTCAAAACTAACAAATGCAACAGGAAACGTTTTTCATAATTTATTTTAACTTACAAAGTAATCACAAGTATGACCAGGTCTTTTTCCTTTATCCTTTCCTCCATGTGTTACCAAAAATAAAAAAGCTTTTGCTTTCCCCATAATACACAATTTCTTTTGGGAATTGTACAAAAATACCTGTAAGTTAAAATTTATTAATTAGCACAGAGCCCGCATATATATCTGTATATTTTCATTAATTTAGCATCCAGTACCAAAAAAATAATTCATAAATCACCTTTGGTTTTTAGAATCTTTTAAGAGTTAAAAGAAGATAAACTGGTTTCTTGATTCTATGCCACACCTTAGTAGCGTATAAAAAGACATGCATCTCCACTTAATGAAACAGATTCCAAGCGTAATTGTTGCTTATATTATTTTTGCATTATTTGATGATCAAAATTAACTTGAGACACTTTCATTAGCAATTAATATGCAAATCAGCCCACATTTTGGTACCCATCAAATGGCCCAAAACTACTTAAGATATTTCATGCCTCTAAGTTTCTCATTTTCTCTAATTCTTTGCTGGCTCTCCATTTTTAACCTCACTGGGATTTTAAAAGATGTCAAATACTGTAGTATGTTTTTAATTTATTTATACTTAAATCATAAAAATGCTCTTTTGTAAGAGTCATTTGATGTCCAAGTCTCCTTATGGGGGCCTTTTCATTAGCCTTGACTCTGCCTCGGAAAAAAACAGGAAGTCACAATTTGCCACAATTAAAAAGACTGAGCTGGACAACAAGGTTTGAATTCAGTTCCACACTGGTCTCAGAACACTGTTGTCTCTCTCCAAGTAGACTTCTTGTTTTTAAAGAAGTTTTGAACATAGCAGGCTCCTTTAAATTTAAACCTTACAAATGGAAGGCAGAGTTTATATTAAGTGCACTTGTGTTACAGTTTACCTTCCCATCACATAGGGGAAAAAATATGATTCCTTAAAGCTGAAGCATATAGAGAAGCAAAGTATTTTAACTTTGCTACCAACGTACATTGATTTCTTTTGAGCTTAATCAAAGTGATTCACTGCCAAAATAAAATTCTAGCAATATGTTGTCAAGAAAATAAAATTAGAAGGAAGTTTCTCAATTTTTAGTCTTTTTCCTCCATGGATTTAAATTAGATCTTTGACTTATTATTAATTGTTGGTGGTAAGCTAAGACAATCGCAGCTGATAAAGAAAAAATGGTGTCTTCTCTCAGTATAGATGAAATATATCAGTCTTTCATAAGACTTTGATCCAAATATTTTAATCTCCAGGTGCTCTGCTTCCTAAACAAGTCTGTGACTTCCTAAATTATCAATCAGGATCCATCCAGGAGACAGAAGCCACACAAATTGTTTGAACAGAGATTATACAAAGAATTGTTAAGAAAGGCTAATACTGTTAACTAGGATACTGAAAGTATAAGAAGGGATGCTAAGGTGTCAAAGGGGAAGCAACTGCAGGAAGCAACTGTCACTCTTCAGGCTGAGAGAACAAAAGAATATGTTTGGAAATACCAAAATTTAGGAGTTTAGAGGGGGATTCCTTTCGAATGAAACTCATATTTCTGCATAGGATTCCCTGTGGTCAGTGCTGGTGTCTCTGATCTCTGCAGATGAGCTGGGAGGGGCCAGACCCAGACTCTGAGGAGGGGTCATCAGCTGACTAGTGCTGATATGTCTGAGGTGGACACCATGCAGCTGGGTCTGCCAGTGTTGGAAAATTCTGACTCGCATTCAGCTACTGCTACAGGAAGAGCTGCTGCTGCCCAGATGAAGCACCAAGGCTGGGGTGACTCGCAGGAGTAGGAAGCAGACAGGAAGGAGCACATCCCTCCCCACAAGCGCCCCCTATGGATAGAATCTCTTATGAAGCCTGCTGGCAAAGCAGAAATGAGGTTTGCAGGCTCCCAGCCCTAGCTCCACGAAGTGGAATGTAGAAGGGTGGGTTTGGAGATGAGAGATAGTCTTCTGAGATATAAAGGAATTTAGAAGGATGCTTGACCTGCCTGAGAGTTAAAAGGCTTAGAAGAGTGATTGCTGCAACTGGATTCAATATCTAGCCATAATATCAATACTTACCAAATGCTTCTTATGTGCCACATATGGCTCTAAGTGTCCTATATGTGTTATTTCTTTACAATAACCTTTAAGTCTTTGTAATAATCCAGTGAGGTGTGCACTACTATTAGCACACTTCTACATGTGAGGAAACTGAAGAACGGAATGGTTGAGTAACTTGGCCAAGGTTGCTCAGCAAATAAGAGACAAATCAGAATTTACACCCAGGCAGTCCGGCTCAGAAATCTAGGGTCTTCACCATGACACAATGCCACCATTCCAATATCTGCCTTTATGTATTAAGCTGCCTTACTAAAATAATAATAGCTAATCTTTATTAAATACCTATGGCTGAGCCCTGTTCTAGGAGTATGTATGTTATGAGAACTAATTCTCGTAACAATTCTATGAAGTAAGTACTATTATTTCCCTTGTTTTACAAATGAGTAAACTTAGACACAGAGAATATAAGTAAGTATCTCAAAGTCTCAGGCCAAGTAAGAGGTTAGGCTGTGATTGAATCCAGTCTGTCTGGCCAGAGAGCCATGATTTTCAACCATCATACTAGGATGTATGATAAATTAAGCCTCTGTAATGCAGAATTTATGGTAGCTCTCCTTAAAAACTCTGTGGCTAGTTACAGTAAATGAGCCTATAGATAATCAAATTTCCATCTTTTTAGACATATTCTATAATGCAGATTTTTACTAATCAAGACTGTCCTTCCTTTCAATGGGAATTAAACTAGCTTTGCTGTATGTCATGGCCCATGAAAAGGGAGTTTCACTGAAGATTATGCATTTAAGAAAACAAGAAATGTCTGAGTCAGTGTTTCTTTTTGACCTCAGTCACCCTGATAAGGCTCTCCCTCCCAGCAAAATCAGACTAGAGCAGTGACATTCCCTTGATCCCCCTGGCTCTGCTCTAGTTCTAAGACATTCGCCGAGAACCCAGACACCAACTGAAGTGGCCAAACATGCAGTTCTCATGTGCCATTTAGCTCATTTTGAGGAAAGCAGCCCTCCTTGGCAGACATCCTTTTGGAACTCCGTTATTCTGAAAATTAAATGAACTAGCCAAATTGTTTTCCGTTCATCCCTGGCCTCTAGCACAATGCCTGGCTCATAGTAATAGCTTAATAAGTCTTCAATGGCTGAGAATGAATTAACAAATGATTTTTCCAGAACACGCAACTATATATATAGTTGAGAGTTCTGGAAAGAGAATTCTGTAGCAAGGAGGGTAAAATCTTCGAAATTACAAAAGTATTCCCAGATAAGGAAGTACTTTCTTCTCAAAGGAAGACTCCCAGCTAAAACCCCAAGGGCAGTGATTTACTGAAAATCTAAACTGTGAGTATTACCATGATTTAGAGGAGAGTTATGTTTCTATATCCCCCTATAGATTATTCACTCTATTCTTAATAGAGTATGTAGCTAACAGTAGCCAGGATCTTTACTAGTTTACACATTTAGCTTTGAAATAATGCCCATTCTTTTCAATGCTTCTTATTTAGCAATATCTTTAACACATATTATTTTTAGTCTTTTTTGTAGTATTTAAGAGCCATTTTTAATCCCTTTGTTTATATATATATATATATATGCACACATGTGTGCACAGATACCTAATAATTCACTTTTTCTGCTAAATTATATGTGATCTATACATATTTAAGCTCTTTCTAATCATTTTATTTTATTAAGCCATATCATTACCTGCTTAATAATGAAAAATTAATATCCAAAACTTTAAAGAAGGAAAGTTTTATGTGAAAAAATTATTTTCTTTATTTCCAAAGGAAGTATTTTTCATTGTTTTGCAAGAAGAGCATATTTCCCTAAAGCCCTACATATTTGTTAAACCTTACCTACACGCAGCATATCAGAAATTCATCCACTCTCTAAAGTGTGGTTATACCTGCTTAATCGCACATATTCAAACAATTTTAATTTAAAAATAAAACAATTTTTTAATGAAGCAGCAAAACATCTTTTCATAATTGAAGCGCAATAGGCGCACAATCAGAATTTTAGTAAAACTAAAAACTGGTAATAAAAATTAAATAAAAGAAGACAGGAAATAATATAAGGTTCTAAAAATTGGTAAGAAAACCATGCCAAATTACCAGCTTTTTTATATATTGCACTTATTATAGTGTAAGTGTTCTTTCCAGAAAAGTGAAGCAATACATTACATTACAAAGAATATAAGAAAAAGAAGAATGTGAAAGCATTTATGATCCAGGAAAAAACATTGTTAAAGTTGTGTAAGTACCCTTCTAATCTCTTATCTATGCACACACATACATACACATAAATAAATGCATAGTTTCCCTTCCCAACATTTAGCTCATATGGAACATACTGTTTTGTAACCTGCCAGGCCTTTTTAAGCCCTGAAATTCAAACTCAAGCCCTTGAGGCAAACTCTTGAAAAAAGGGAGGAACGGGCTTCAATAGAAATCTCACAAGAAAAAGCAAAGGAAGGAAAAATGGAGGGCACATGAGATCAAAGAAGACAGAGGATATGGAACTGAAAGGATATCACAAAGGAAGCAAAAGATAAAGACGGACTTTTTCAATTTAAACCCCATTTTCTAATTTTCTTAATTGCATCAACACTGCGCTATTGTGTGTTTTTAGAAATTCTACTCCTCAATTCAGTCTTCCTCTCCTCCTCTTCCTCCCCCCTTCTCTGTGACTGGGTAGTTCACAGCACAGTGTAGAGATGCCAACTGCTGGAGCCAAATTCAATTCCAAATCCAAACATAAGCAACGTTTGTGAATCGAGATGCTTTGAGGTTCACCCAACTCCAATTTTACCAATTCCCTCCAGGGAAATATTTCTCTTTGAAGCTTCTGTGTACCCAAGTGCATTCTGGGATGGAAGTTTGGGTTTCTGGTGTGGGGCAATTTACGTATAGAATGAATACACTCTGCACCTAACCCTCTTATTACCTCCTGTGTTCCACAGTCTGTGACAATGTATAGTAAAATCAGCACATGAAGGCATGGCTGGAAATCATGCCCCTTTTTGTTCATATGCGTCTAACTTCAAATTTAAAAGGCAAATAAAGAATATTGAATTAGCCCAGATGTTGTAAAGTTGGTATCCATCTTAATTTCTTCAGAAATACTCTTGAACTTCCAAAAAAAAAAAAAAATTGGAAAGGGAAGAGCTTAAAATGAAATTCATTTTAAAATGGTAGTTTTAAAACTGTTAATTGTATCAAACATTGTCTTGCCAATAAACGTCACAGGCCACAAACTGAAACTACAACAAAAATATTTTCTTCCCAAAGAAAATAAGCTGTTCAATTGTGTAAGTTGGAGCATGTTTTTAAATATATGGAACAGGTGGGGGTGCAGTTGAGCAAGTTAAAGGCAATCTACCTGGCCTGAAAGGCCTGAAAGCCCAACTGGAAAAAGAAATAAGCTTGAGCTTAAAGCAAACCTGGAGTTTGAGGAGAGCTCAGAATTTTGTCTATGCGAAGAATTACATGCTAACAAACCCACCTGTCAAGGAGGCCAGCAGCATTCACTAGTGGTTACAATATCATTTTGAGGGACACACTGAATTGGAGGAGCAGTCTCTAAAACCCTCTAGGAACCTGAGCCCCTTCCTTTCCTGGCCTCCTAGGAGCTGCCTTCCTTCTCCTTCTTCATCACCAGGATAAAATAACTTGTGACCAAAACAAAAGAGAAGGCATTGACATTTTCAGTTGGGGTCTCGGATGACTCCATTCTCAATCCCTTGTACCATACATACCTCTGTCAATGTCTTCTCTCAGAATTCGGTGGAAGCTGAGAGTTTGTCACCTTGTTTAGCCCTTTGATACTCCTTCCAGTGTTTCTCGTGATGTCACACCCTTAGTGTATACTCAGGAAGTATGGCCTGCATTATCATATCCTTCTTAAATTACTAAAAATAGATTTGGGGGTGAGCCTGCAGAATTATGTCTCCTGGGCCTCTGAATATCTTTTCTTTTATACTCAATTATTTTGCATTATCCCAGACAATTTCATTTAGGTGTTTGATTAAAAAATAAATACCACTTGGTCGATCCACCATCATTATCTTTTCCAAAATGTATAAATACATAAAAAATAAATGCCTGTTCTTGGTAATGATCATGCTTTCCTCCCCTTGCAGGTCCTAACATTTGCTTGTCAATTTGGAATCTGCATCCTAATACATATTCCCATAGTACCCACATTTTCTTCTTAGTTATGATTCTCCCTGGGCCTCCCTAAAACAAATATGCTTTTGACACAATATATGTTTGTAAAGTGAGAGTATGCACAAAGAATTCCATATGTAAATGTATTGGGTAAATCAAAATGTACTTTTATGACAGAAGAATTAAGAATATTCACAACCTTAAGAACTATACTAAGCTTGCGCTAGTCACTGAGCCATGAAAGGTGATAAAGAATCAGACATAGCTCCTTTGTCATCCTAAGCACACTATATATATATATATGTGTGTGTGTATATATATCTACATCACACTATATATATAGTATACTATATATGTAGCACATTATCTATATATATATATATACAGAGCACACTATCTATATATATAGCACACTATATATATACACACACACAGGCTTACACACATACACACATACTTTTTTTGTTTAAGGTCAATAAAATTGCATCTGTATCATCCTATCATCCTGTTACGAGTTAACCTTAGCATGGTTCCAAGTTTTACTTAAATTAGGCAAGAGTTCATGAGAGGACAGATGACAGCATTGTTGCTGGGTAGTAATTCAAAGCTATGAAGTAAGGTTGCTATTAGCCCACATGTGATGAATGACAATACAAGATGTGGCAGTTGGTCTTAGCCTCCCTATGAAATTCATAGTCTTCCCTTTGAAAACCAGTTGTGGCACAGAGGAAAGGGCACCAGCTCTAGGTAAATGGGTCTTGCCACTTTGTGGCCCAGCATATAAGGAGCTTAGAAGTGGCCACTCTGTCCCAATAAGTAAAAAGCTGAACAAACAGAATAATCAACAATTCTTCTTATTCGTCAGAAAAGTGAGGTCACACAGCAAAATGCTGTTCCCCAAATTTGGAAGACAGGTAGGTAGATACAGGGAATCATAACTTACCAAAGTAGAAACCCACAAGAAGAAATCTCCTTGGAAACTAGTGCCAGAGTAGGGAAACTTGAACTGTAATTAACAACTTGCAGGAGGCTCAGGACAACTCAGAGGACAACTCTGAGAATTAAAAACTGTGGGGAGATTCAGTCAGAGGGACTGGCCTCCACACTTTTATGAGTGTTATCTCCAGGAGTTCAACCGGGTCCACATGGTAAAAATTGGAGAAAATCTTGCACTTCTGACAGGGGAAGAAGAAAGGCATCATTCTGAAATACGCCAGAACATTCTGTTCTTCTTAGCAAAGCGTGACCTTAGGACAAACTATATTTTATCAGAGCCTAAGCTACCTGCGGGAAGGGAAATACCCAACTTCAGCTCCCTGAAGCCTTTCTGTGCCACCTAAGGGGTGAGGGGTGCTAAAAAGCACTGGTGAAGTTCACCATTCAGGGCACCCATTCACCAAAACCCTGAGACTTGATCATAAGTCTATAGAGCACTATCCCCCTTCCTTTACACCTTACTACTACATTTTTAAAGGCCTATTTACTGTAGTTCCAAAAAAACAGAATTACCAGACCAGGAATTTTTTAAACTATAATTAATATGCTAAGGGCTTTGATGGAAAAAGTAGACAAAATGCAAGAACAAATAAATAATGTAGGTAAAGGGATAGAAATCCTAAGAAAAAATTATAAAGAAATACCAGAGATTTAAAAAATTTTAACAGAAATGAAGGATGCCTTGATGGCTCATTAGTCGAGTACACATAGCTGATGAAAGAATTGCTAAGCTTCAGGATAGGACAATAGAAACTTTAAAAATTAAAAAACAAAGAAAAAAATACTGAGAAAAGGGCCAGGCACAGTGGCTCATGCTTGTAATCTCAGCATTTTAGGGGTCTGAGGCAGGAAGATCACTTGAGCTCAGGACTTAAAGACCACTGGGCTATATAGTGACACCCTGTCTCTACAAAAAATGAAAAACAAAACAATCAGCTGGATGTGGTGGCATGAACCTGTAGCACCAGCTACTCAGGAGGCTGAGATGGGAGGATTGCTTGAGCCCAGGAGGTCAAGACTGCAGTGAGCTGTGATCATACCACTGTACTCTAGCCTTGGTAACAGAGTGAGACTTTGTCTCTAAAATAAATAAATAAATACTGAAAAAAAAAGCAGAATAGAATATCCAAGAACTATGGGACAACTACAAGATGTATAACATACACACAATGGGAATAACAAAAGGAAAGAGATAAAGGAATAGAAGCAACATTTAAAGCAACAATGACTGAGCATTTCCCCAAAACTGATGTCAGACATCAAACCACAGATCCAGGAAACCCAGAGAACACCAATCAGGATAAATGCTGAAAGCACTACACCTAAGAATAGCATATTCAAACTTCAGAAAATCAAAGAAAATAATGTGGAAAAAGTCAGAGGAAAAAACACTTAACCCTTTGCTGTGGTTTGAATGTGTCCCCTCCAAAATTCAGATGTTGAAACTTAATAGCCAATGTGAGAGTAGTAAGAGGTGGGTGTCCATTAAGAGGTTGATCAGGCCATAAGTACTTCTCCCTCATGAACGGAACTAAGGCCTTTATAAAAGAGGTTTCATATAGTATTCAGCCCTTTAGCCCTTCCATTTCTTCTACCATGTCAAGACACAGCATTTCCTCCTTCCAGAGGTTGTACGATCAAGGTGCCATCTTGGAAGCAGACAGTAGCCCTCATCAGACACCAAACCTGCCAGCAACTTGATCTTGGACTTCCCAGCCTCAAGAACTACGACAAATAAATGTCTGTTCTTTGTAAATTACCCAATGTATGGTATTTTGTTATAGCAACACAAGCAGACTAAGACACTAGTAGAGGAGCAAGAAAAAAATTATGTCTAATTTCTCAGAAACTGTGCAAGCAAGAAGAGTAAAGTGAAAAATGTTAAGTATTCAGAGAAAGAAAAAAAAACACCAGTCTAGAATTCCGTACCCTGAAAAATTATCCTTCAAAGGTGAAGTAGAAATAAAGACTTTTTCAGACAAATAAAAATTAAGAGATGTAGTGTTCAGGCCTGCCTTGCAAAATATTTTAAAAGAAATTTTTCAGAGAAGGAATATAATATAAATTAGAGGTTCAGATCTACATAAAAAAAGAAAGAGCATTGGAGAATAAATGAGTGAAGGTAAAATAAAACTATTCTTTTTCTTAATGGACCTAACAGATAAAAGTTTGTTCAAAATGATAATAACATCAATATATTCAATTACATATGCATATATATATGCTTACATATATGTGCTTATATATAAGTGAAATGAATAATAGCAATGATACAAGAAATGGGAGGGAGAAATTATAAATATTTTATTATTTTAAGATACTTGCACTACCCATGAAGTGGTATCATGTTATTGGAACGTGGACTTGGATTAGTTGCAAATGTGTATCGCAAACTCTAGGGTAACCATTTTAAAAAGTTTTTTTGAATGTATAATTATATGCTAAGAAAGGAAAGAAAGTTGAATAAAATAAAATGCTCAATAAAACCACAAAAAAGTGGAAAAGGTATGGAAGACAGATATAGGAACAAAGAACAAGAACAACAAGTAGAAAAGAATAACAAATATGGTAGATATTAATCCAAGTAAATAAATAATTATCTTAAAAGTCAATGATCTAAATACAACTATTAAAAGACAGAGATTGACCAAACCAAGACTCAAGTATATGTTGTCTTTAAAAAACCCACTTTAAATATAAAAACACATACAGATTAACAATAAAGGGACAGAGAAAGATATACTATGCTAACACTAATCAAAAGAAATCAGGAGTCTGGGCACAATGTCTCACACCTGTAAACTCAGGACTTTGGGAGGCTAAGGCAGGAAGATAGCTTGAGCCTAAGAGTTTGAGACCAGCCTAGGGAACATAGCCAGACTCTATCTCTAAAAACAGAAAGAAAGTAGGAGTAGCAATGTTAGTTTCTGACAGAGCATACTTCAAAAGAAGGAATGTTATGAGGAACAACGAGGGTGTTACATAATAACAAAGGGGTCAACATCCCAAGAAGATATAGCAATTGTTAATGTGTATGAACCTAACAATAGAGTGTCAAAATATGTGAGAAAAAATTAAAAGAACTGCAAGGAGATATAGATGAATTCACTATTATAGTTGAAGACTTTACAACTTCTCTTTCAGACAAAGAGGTAGACAGATCAGGTAAGAAGAAAATAAATAGGGACATAGTTGAACTAAACAGCACCATCAATCAACTGCATATAATTGACAACTATAGACTACTTCATCCAACAATAGTAGATTACACATTATTCTCAAGCAAACATGTAGTATTCATCAAGATAGGACACATTCTGGGACACAAAAGAAAAACATTATTTTTTTTTTCCTTTCTAAAAAAAAATTTAGTAGAAATAAGGTCTCACTATGTTGGCCAGGATGATCTTAAACTCCTGGCCTCAAGTGATCCTCCTGCCTTGGCCTCCCACAATGCTGGGATTACAGACATGAGTCACCACACCTGACCAACAAACTCTTGAAAATAATATACAATCTCTACCCTCAGATCACAATGGAATTTAGTTGAATTTCTAGTTAGAAATCAATAACAGAAAGATAACTAGAAAATCCCAAAATACTAGAAAGTTACACAAAACACTCCTAAATAACACATGAATCAAAAAAGAAATCCCAACAGAAATTTTAAGATATTTTAACTAAATAAAATTAAAAATACAATTTATCAAAATTTGTGGGATTTAACAAAAGCAATGCTTAGAAAGAAATTTGCAGCACTGATTGCATTTATTAGAAAAGAAGAAATGTCTAAAATCAATTATCTAAGTTTCCACCTTAGGAAACTAAAAAAGAGAAGAGCAAATTAAGTCCAAAATAAGAAGAGTAAAACAAATAATAAAAAGTTAGAGCAAATATCAATAAAATCAAAATGGAATATCAATACAAAAATCAACAAAACCATCTTTATTATTTATTATTATTGCTCACTGCAACCTCTGCCTCCTAGGTTCAAGCGATTCTTCTGCCTCAGCCTCCTGAGGAGCTGGGATTACAGGTGCCCACCACCATGCCAGGCTAATTTTTGTATTTTTAGTAGAGATGGGGTTTCACCATGTTGTCCAGTCTGGTCTTGAACTCCTGACCTCAGGTGATCCACCCACCTCAACCTCCCAAAATGCTGGGATTACTGGCATGAGCCACCGCGCCCAACCCGACATTGAGGAAACTTAAATGCATACTGCTAAGTGAAAGAAGCCAGTCCAAAATGGCTCCATACTGTATGCTTCTAACTATATGACATTCTAGAAAAGGCAAAACTATGGAGATATTAAAAAGATCAGTGGTTGCCAGGTGTTTGGGGAAAAGGAAGGAGTAATAAATACAGTAGTTTCTTCTTATCCCCAGGGGGTTACACTCCAAGAGTCCTAGTGGATGCCTGAAACTGAAGATAGTGCCAAACCCTATATATTGTATACTATGTTTCTATGATAAAGTTTAATTTATAAGTTAGGCACAGTAAGAGATTAACAACAACAATAAAGTAGAAAAATTATAACAATATACTGTAATAAAAGTTATGTGAATATAGCCTCTCTGTTCTCTATCAAAATACTTATTGTACCGTACTCACCTATTTTTGGACTGTGGTTGTCTGAGGGTAACTGAGACCAGGGAAGGTGAAACCACAGATAAGAGGGACTACAAGGGATTTTTAGGATAGTGAAACTATTCTGTATGATACTATATTAACAGTGGATACGTGACATTAGGTGTTTGTCAAACATATAGAACTTAACAACAAAAAGAGCAAAACTTAATGTAAACTATGGAATTTGGGTAATAATGATGTGTAAAATGTAGATTCATCAATTGTAACAAAAGTACCCTTCTGGTAGGGGATGCTGATAATGGGGTAGCTGTGCATGTTTGGGTAGGTGGAAAATGGGAACTCTGTACTCTTCCCTCAAGTTTTGCTGTGAACCTAAAACTGCTGTAAAAAAGCACAACTCCTGGCTGGCTCTGATGCTTACTAGTTAAGTTGCCCTGAGCTAGTCAACTTACTTCAGCCTCGTAAACTGATGGTACAAATGGTATTTACTTCCCAGGCTTGCCAAGAGACTCGTGAAACATTGGGTGTGAGACCACTTTGTAAAGTGCTACAGACCCATTCCTTTGGCTCCCCAAAGAGGCAACCAAGCAATTTCTCATCATTTTCCACAGAGCAAGCATTGGTGGTTGCAAATGTGGAAATACGTCATCCTTTTACGATCTTAAAGAAATTAGCATGAGCTCCAAGAGAATCCCAAACAAAAGCTGATGAAACTTCACTGGATGCCAAGGAAGCAGCTGGCACCATAAACGCCGTGGGAGCTTTGCTGGCGAACCTCCCTCTACAGGCCGCCTAATGTCCGTGCTGGGGGACCTGGCATTGCAAACCTCCCTCTACAAGCTGCCTAATGTCCATGCTGGGGAACCTGACATTGCACTGGGGAAACAAACACGGGAGAGGAAGAGAGGCCATCTCATCACCTGTCCCTGCTCTGAAACAAGAAGACACCTTTGGGAAACTCCTCATTCAGATTCCACCGTGCTAAGGTACATATCCTGTGCTGTACACCCTAAGGGAATGCAAGGCATGGCCCAGATCCTTCAGGATGAAGCATCCAGTTACGTAAGCATTGTTTTAGTTTTAAAACATGCTGTTAATTACCATCCCTCTATACTTATTTATATCTCTGGATAGAAACACAATCTTTAATGCTCCCTAAAATTTAGTTGTTTTGTTTGTTTGTTTAACATTTGCCTGGCTATCTTGTAGGGCATTTGCCAGGCAATTTTTAATGAGCCTTAAAATATTTCCATTTTGAAGAGATACCCAACAACTATCCTTGGAAAAAGGTGAGTGTCACCAAATCAAACAAGGGGGCAGTGACTCTATTTTCCCGTCACTAGGCACACTTTGTTCCATTTCTCCCCCTTTACTACCTTAAATGGGCTTTATATAGCCCATTTAGGATAGTACAAAAATCCCCCCTTATAAAAATGAGTGGTTTTGCCTCCCTGTGTAAATGGCATGCTGGGAAAGAACAGGAAGTACAACCCCAAATTGTCTTTGCTCAGTCGTTTCACATTCCCTTGGCCTCATTAACAGACACACTGCCCGTCTGTCCTGGGCAAGGAGACAGGCATTTTCTCAGGCACCTTTCCTGAATCTTGGTCCATACCTTGGCACTTGTAAGGCCAACATAGGGTGCACCCCCATCCCAGGTTCCCAGGCTAAGCAGCACTAGGTTTTAAAGGGGAAACATAGGAGAGAGAGAGAGGAGAGGAGAGAGAGGAGAGGAGAGACAGAGAGGAGAGGAGACAGGGGGGAAAGAGAGAGAGAGAGAGAGAACTAGCAATCACAGAGGCATGAAAGTGGGAGAGAACATGATTTAGAAAGCTTAAAGGGCATTCAAGTTCTAGATTTCTGTTTATAACAGTTCCTAGACACTTAGCTATGAAAAGAGTAGTAGAAAACACATCTATGTCCCTGATGCTTGGTCTCTAGAATGTTGCAGAGTGATCTTTTTTAAGTAGGTGCTCATTAAATATGCTCACTAATCCATTCATTCTTATGCACCAAATGGGACCATGTGGTAGATAAGAACCAAATCATGAAAGGATTTTTATGCTAGACTAAGGTGTTTATTTTATCCTATGGAGAAAGGAAAGCTATTAAATAACTATGAATAGAGGAAGGTTTTTGTTTATTTTTTTGTTTGTTGCCTTTGCTCTTCTTGGCAGCAAAGTGAAGGATACCCAGAAGGGGTTGAGATTACAGAACTGTTTAGGCATTCATAGAAAGAGTGTTATCACTATGACTGGGAAAAATTCCTTTGGAAGCATGGTATAGGTTGAGTATCCTTTATCCAAAATGTTTAGGACCAGAAGTGTTTCAGATTTCAAATTTTTTCAGATATTTGAATATTTGCATATACATAATAAGATATCTTGAGTATGAGACCTAAATCTAAATGTAAAATTCACTTATGTGAATCTTTTATATAAACCTTACAGACATGGCCTGAAGGTAACTTCATACCATATCTTTAATAATTTTGTGCATGAAACAAAGTTTTGACTGTGTTTTGACTATAGCTCATCACTTGAGGTTACATGTGGAATTTTCCATTTGTGACACTATATCGGTGCTTAAAATATTTCAGATTGTGAAGCATTTCAAATTTCAGATTTTCTAATTAGGGATGCTCAACATGTATTTGTGTTCACTGATGAAAAATAAAAATCATTAAGTTGAGCCTTGAGACCAGAACAAATCATAACTGGAAAGAACAATTCGTACATTTGTTTCCTCATGTGCTTCAATAAATATAGGTTCATCCAGCTTTCCTTCTGCCTCTTCCTAAAATATTCCAGTCTCCAAAATTACCTAAATTTTTTTCATTAAAAACTCAAAATGTGACTATTTATGGATCTGAGTCAGAAATTTACATTCTTTTTTAAAATTAATAGGCTTTGCTTTTTAGAGCAGTTTTAGATTTACAGAAAAATTAAGCAAAAAGTATACAGTTCCCACATTATCCACATTTATCCTACAGTTCCTCCTATTATTGACGACTTGCTTTTGTATGGTACATTTGTTAAAACTGATATAATATTGATATATTATTGTTAACCCAAGTACATAGTTAATATTAAGGTTTATTCTTTGTGAGACTTACATGTAAAACCCAAAACTATAGAAACCATGGAAGACAACCTAGGCAATACCATTCTGGATGTAGGAGCAGGAAAAGGTTTCATGATGAAAACACCAAAAGTAATTACAATAAAAGCAAAAGTTGACAAATGAGATCTAATTAAACTAAAGAGCTTCAGCACAGCAAAGGAAACTATCAACAGAGTGAACAGACAACTGACAGAATAAGAGAAAAATTGTGCAAACTACACATCTGACAAAGGTCTAATATCTAGTAACTATAAGGAACTTATAACTTTATAATTGTAAAACACACTTTTAAATTTTTTTTTCACTTTTTATTTTAGGTTCGGGGGTTTGTGTGCAGGTTTGTTATATAAGTAAACTCATGTCACAGGGGTACATGAATTTATTATTTCATCACTCAGGTACTAAGCCTAGTACCCAATAGTTATTTTTTCTAAGGAACTTAAATTTACAAGAAAAAAAAACAATTAAAAAGTGGGAAAAAAATATGAACAGACACTTTTCAAAAGAAGACATACATGTGGCCAATAATCATGTGAAAAACAGCTCAACATCACTGATCGTTAGAGAAAGCCAAAGCAAAACCACAATGAAATATCATCTCGCACCAGTCAGAGTGGCTATTATTAAAAAGTCAAAAAATAACAGATGCTGGCAAAGTTGTGGAGAAAAAGGAATGCTTTTACACTGTTGGTGGGAATGTAAATTAGTTCAACCACTGTGGAAGACAGTGTGTCGATTCCTCAAAGACCTAAAAACAGAAACAGCATTCCACCCAGCAATCCTGTTACTGGATATACACCAAAAGGAATATAAATCATTCTATTATAAAGACACATGCAAGCATATGTTCACTGCAGCAATAGTCACAATAGTTAAGACAGGGAATCAACCTAAATGCCCATCAAAGGTAGACTGGATAAAGAAAATGAGGTATTAGGTTGGTGCCAAACATAACTGAGGTTTTTGTAATGGCAAAAATTAGGTATTGCACCAACCTAATACATATACACCACGGAATACTCTGCAGCCATAAACAAAGAATGAGAGCATGTCCTTTGCAGGGACATGGGTGGAGCTGGAGGCCATTATCCTTAGCAAACTAACACATGAACAGAATACCAAATATCACATGTTCTCACGTATAAGTGGCAGCTAAATGATGATAAAACATGGGCACATAGAGGAGAACAACACACACTGGGGCCTACCAGAGGGTAGAGGTTTGGAGGAGGGAGAGAATCAGGATAAATAACTAATGGTTACTAGACTTAATACCTAGATGATGAAATAATCTGTACAACAAACCCCCATGACACACACTTACCTACATAAAAAACCTGCACATGTAACCCTGAAGTTAGAAGTTAAACTAAAAAATAAGTAATAATAAATTCACAACACTCTATAGGAAAAAAAGATTTATTCTTTGTGTTGTTAAATTCTATGGGTTTAACAATGCACAATGTCACGTATTCACCATTACAGTATCATACAGAACAGTTTCACTGCCCTGGAAATCTCTTGAGCTCCATTTATCTGACTATCTCTCCTCCCAAAACCCTGGCCACCACTGATCTTTTTACTATCTCATAGTTTTGCCTTTTCTAAAATGTCATGTAGTTGGAATCATACAGTGTGCTGCCTTTTAAAATTGGCTTCTTTCACTTGGCAATCTGCATTTAAATTTCCTCCATATATTTTCTTGGCTTGATAGCATATTTCTTTTTATTACTAAATATTCAACTGTCTAAATGTATCACAGTTTGTTTTTCATTCACCTGGGAAGGACAACTTGGTTGCTTGCAAGTTTTGGCGATAACGAATAAAGCTGCTACAAAAATTCATGTACACATTTTTGTGTGGGCGTAAGTTTTCAACTCATTTGGCTAAATACCTAGGAGTGTGATGTTGGATCATATGGTTAGACTATGTTTAGTTTTGTAAGAAACTGCCAAAGTATCTTTCAAAGCAGTTGTACCATTTTGCATTTCCATCAGCCATGAATGAGAGCTTCTGTTGCTCCACACCCTTACCAACATTTGAAGTTGTCAGTGTTATGGATTTTGGCCATTCTAATAGGTGTGTAGTAGTAGCTCATTGTTGTTTTAATTTGCAATTCCCTGCTGACAAAATGCTGTTGAGTATCTTCTTATATATTGACTTGCTGTATGTATATCTTCATTGATTAAGTGACTGTTCATATATTCCCCTATTTTTCAATAATTTTTTAACTTTGAAATCATTTTAGATTTCCAGAAAAGTTGCAGAGAAGGAGATTTCCTGTATACGCTCCCCCTAGCTTCCTCTAGTTTTAGCATCTTACATAATCATGGTATGTTTTTCAAGACTAAGAAATTAACATTGGTACAATAATACTGACTAAACTACAACATTTCTCAGACTTTGTCAATTTCTTCAGTAATGTTTTCGTTATTATTGTTCCAAGATCCAAACCAGGTTACCATTTTGCATTTGGTTATCCTTAGTTTCTTCTGATCTGAGATAGCTTCTCAGACTTCCCTTGTTTTTTATGCTTGTATTCTTTTTGGTTCAGATCAGTTTGTATGGAGTTGGGTGAAATCAGCAAAAATGGTGGAGAAAGGATCTCAAAAACTTTTCTATTCCATAGAAGCAATAAACACCTGACCAAAAAAAAAAGTCTGAATCAACTTTTTCAGAACTCTGAATTTAACCTAAAACTTGCACCACTCAGGGAGGCATTACTTTAAAAACCATCTGAATCTCAATAAGAACAATGAGCTTTGTGACACTTTTCATATACCCTAGTCCCATCCCTCTTTCTCCAGCTCTATGATTTTCTTGAAAACCAACAGCCTGACAGCCCCTGAAAAGGAAAGAATAGACTGACAGCCACTAGAAGGAAACAATAAGACTGGAGTTGCCTCAGAACCTCATTCCCCCCAAAATTGCCATTATTTGAACTGTCCTATGGTTCCCTGGAAGAATGTCCATTTGACCTAACTTGGAGCTTGCCGAGTGCAAAAGGAGTGGTAGCTGGGAGCATTTGTCAGAAAAAAAAATAATTACAGGCAATTGTTTAATTCTGCAGCGGCCTGAGGTGGTGGATAACAATTAGGGCGAACAATAGACTAATCAAAAAGCTCAAAAGAAAAAGCTGGGGAATGAGATTCCCATAGGGGCTTTGAAAAACTCTGACACATTACTGGAAATCTAGAAGGCTAAGCACCAGGCTAGTGCATATTCAAGAAAAATCTGAGAAGGCCCTAAGCTATCTCTGGTGTATCTTGTGGCTCTGCACAATCAGGAAGGGAAGATCAAGGCTGAATTATTAACTGATTTGCTGAGTGTGGTAAAGAGAGCTCCTGAGCAAAAACAGAGATATTAGACCAAAGCATTTAAGAAAATCTCTGTCCAGTCATTAGCTGACCAGTAAGCTAATGGAGCAGAGATTTCAGAGGCCACGGATGGCAAATAATATCGACTTTACAGTGTCTGGTAGTTTGGAAAAGTCATTAAACAAACAACAGAGTTAGTTTGGAAAAGTCATTAAAGAAACAGCTACTGTGACAAGCAGCAACAACAAAAACCTCAGGAAAGGAGGTAGAATTTTATCTCCAGAGTAATCACATTATATTAAGTATCCAGTTTGAGACAAATATATATATATAAGATGAGCCAAAAAAACCCACCCCCACCCCCACACACATACAAGAAAAAAGAAAGTATGGACCATAAACAGAATAAACATAAATAAAGCAAACAATAGAAACTGTCCCTGAGGAAGCCAAGACAGAAGGCTTAAAAGACAAAAACTTTAAGTCGGTTAAAATTTAAAGAGTTCAAATAAGTTAATCACTAAATGAAAATGTCAGAACAATGTTTCACCAAATACAGAATAACATTAAAGATACAGAAATTGGCCAGGTGCGGTGGCTCACACCTGTAATCCCAGCACTTTGGGAGGCTGAGATGGGTGGATTGCTTGAGTCCAGGAGTTCAAGACCAGCCTGGGCAACATGGTGAGGCCCCATCTCTACAAAAGAAATACAAAAATTAACTGGGTGTGGTGGTGCATGCCTGTACTCCCAAGCTACTGGAGGCTGAGGTGGGAGGATCACCTGAGCCTGGGAGGTGGAGGTTGCAGTGAGCTGAAATTGCACCATGGCACTCCAGTCTAGGTGGCAGAGTGAGACCCCATCTCAAAAAACATAAATAAAATATAGATATATAAATTATTCTTTCATGAATCAAATCAAAATTCTGGAACATAAAAGTAAAGTAACTGAAATGAAAAATGACTTGAAGGACTCAACAGACTTGAGCAAGAAGAAGAAAGAAGCATGGAACTTGATCTAGGTCAATTGAGATTATCTAGTCTGAGTAACAGAGAGAAAAAGGAATTGAGAAAGTGAAAGTCTCATCAACCTGCGGGACATCAACAAGCATCTCAACATATGCATAGGAAAGTATTAGATGGAAAAGAGAAAGACAAAGGGACAGAAATCATATCTGAAAAATAATGGCCAAAACTTTTCCGAAATTTGACGAAAAATACTAATCTACATATTCAAGAAGCTCAACAAACTGCAAGGAGACGAAATTCAAGTATATTCTGAACTAGTTATATCATATCAAACTGTTGAAAGCCAAGGACAGGC
Organism: Homo sapiens; assembly: GCF_000001405.40. Classification (NCBI taxonomy): domain Eukaryota; kingdom Metazoa; phylum Chordata; class Mammalia; order Primates; family Hominidae; genus Homo; species Homo sapiens. Next base: position 108,430,694 of record NC_000009.12, read on the forward strand.
AGAGAATCTTGAAAGCATACAAGGGACCCTCAATAAGATTAATAGCTACTTTCTCTTTGGAAACAATACAGAACAGAAGACAGTGGGATGGCATATTCAGAGTGTTAAAAACAAAAAAAACAAAACAAACAAAAAACCTGTCAACCAAGAATTCTACATTCAGCAAAACTACCCTTCAAAAATGATGGAAAAATTCAAAATCCCCAGATAAACAAAAGCTAAGATAAGTTATTGCTGGCATATATGCTGTACATGAAATGCGGTCCCTCAGGCCAAAATGAAAAAATGTTAAACAGTTTAAATCACTTAGAGAAGTAAAGAGCATCAATAAAGGTAGCTACGCAGGTAAATATAAAAGACACTCCAAAAATTATTTTTTGTATATGACACTTTTTTTGCCTATCCGATTTAAAAGACAATTACATAAAGCAATAATTATAAATTTGTGTTGATGTAATTTGTGGAATGATAGTAGCACAAAGAAAATGGGAGAGAGAATAGAGTTATATAGAATTGAAGTTTTCATATAATATTAAAATTAAGTTGGTATTAATACAAACTAAATTGTTATGAATTATGTTCATTGTAATCCTAGAATAACCACTAAAAAAAAACTTTAAAATAAATATATATATATGGAAAAATAAGGGAGAATTAAAATTGTACACTAGAAAATATCTATTTAACCCCAAAAACACAATAATGGAGAAATACAAGAATAACAACAACAAAAACTCCATTAGATATAGAAAATAAATAGTAAATGGCAACTGTAAATCCTACCCTATCAGTGATTATATTACATGTAAATTGATTAAACATTATAATTAAAAGGCAGAGACTGGGAGAATTAATTTGTTTAATGATCCAGTTATATGCTGTCTACAAGAGAAACACTATAATTCAAAGACACAAATAGTTTGACACCAGAATGATAAAAAATATATATACAGTGCAAACAGTACCCAACAAGCATCTGAAGTGGCTTTAATAATATCAGACAAAATAGACTTTAAGTCACATGTTGTTACTGGAGATAAATAAAAACACATTATGATGACAGAAGGGTCAGCCAGCCCATGAAGAAGATATAACAATTATAAACTTATATGCACATAATGACAGAGTTCCAAAATACATGGAGCAAAAACTGACAGAACTAAAGGGAGAAATGAACAATTCAATAATAATAATGGTTAAAGTCTTCAATATCTCACTTTTAATAGTGGATAGAACAAGATGGAAGATCAACAAGAAAATGGAAGACAGGAACAACCCTATATGAAAATATATCTAACATTAACAGACATCTACAAAATAGTCCACCCAATAGCAACAGAATACACATTCTTCTCAAAGGCACATAGAACATTCTCCAAGATAGAACATATTTTATGCCATAAAAGAAGTCTCAATGGATTTTAAAGGATGAAAATTATATAAAGTATGTTCTCTGAACTCAATGGAATGATACTGAAAATCAATATTGGGAAGGAAATTCAGGAAGTTCACAAATATGGTAAAATCAAACAACACACTTCTAAATAACCAGTGGGTTAAATAAGAAAACAAAAGATAAATCAGAAAATATTTTGAAAATATTTTGATAAAGGAAAACCAAAACACAACATATTAATGCTTATGTGATGAAATAAAAGCTGTGCTTAGAGGGAATATTATAGCTATAATCGCCTATGCTAAAAAAAGAAAAAAATTCTCAAATCAATAACTTAACCTTCTATCCTAGGAAACTAGGAAAAGTAAGCAAAACCCAAAGCAGGCAGGAGGAAGAAAATTATTAATAAAGATTAGAGAAGAAATAAACAAAATAGAGAACATAAAAATAGAGCAAATTATTGAAACAAAAGTTGGTTCCCTGAAAAGATCAACAAAATTGACAAACTTCAGTTAGGCCGACCAGGAAAAAACAAAGATAACTCACATTACTAAATCAGAAAAGAAAGAGTGGACATTACTCTTGGCTTTACAAAAATAAAAAGATAAAAAAAGAAATACTATAAACAATTGTAGGCCAACAATAACAATAAAAATCTAGATGAAATGGACAAATTTCTCAACAAACACAAACTACCAACACTAACTGAAGAATCAATAGATTATGTGAACCTATAACAAGAAATGCAATTATTAATCAAATTGGCTTATCAGAATTATCAAATATGCCTCAATATTTTTATTTTTAACTATAATTTTGTGGCCAGTTGTGAAGATTTGCAGGATGCAATATAAAATGCACTGCCCCTCTAGGTAGGGTGAATAATATTCCTAGTTTCCCATGGTTATCAAAATTGAGTACCACGCTATTCGAATTTGCTATAACGTTTTGTTATTTTGTTCTCCCAAAAATAAGCAAATAAGCATTTGTAATCCTTTCCCAGGTTTCAGGACTTGAAAGAATTCCAGCTGACTGACCGAATGTTTAATCTTCATGAAACCAACAAGATGGTGGCTTTTGGAGTCAGGCCTGGGAGAAAATTCTAGCTCTTTTGCTTGCATTGCCTGTGAGACCTAAGACAAGTCTCTGATAATCTATGTCTTCATTTTATGGGACTTTTGGGAATAATACTGCTTTCTTCTAGTATTGTAAAGAATAATTGGGTTAGAATAAGTGCATACCCTTGCCATCCATGTAGAAGGTATTTGTTGATTCCCAATTTATGCCTAGTACCCTGCCAAGTGATACAACTGTAAGCAAAACATGGCTCCTACTTGGATATGACAGTATTGTAAGGAAGGTACTTTCAGTAACAATTAATATCCTTTTCTTCATTTCTGTCCTTAGAAGCAGAATTTTAAGTTAAAAGCTATATCTCATTCTGGTTAACAATGAAAATGACTATTTTAAAGGTGGTGAGATGTAGATTGATACGATTTTTAGCCTCCTTTTACAGCAGTTCTTTATCTTTGTGTGTCTCCTGAGTATGGAGGGTTGAAAGAATACTTTAAAAGTTGAGTAAATAGACCAAATTCCCGTACTTAATGAATAAAAACAAAATGTGTAGAGGACTTACACATTTCCTAACAAATTATAGACACTAAATCAGGCTTGCAAAATTCTTATCTGTAAGAACTGTTTGGAAAATAATTTACTAATATATTCCACAGCTCAGAAATTCAACTATAGGAACAAAGAATGCTGGTATCCAAAGAACAATGATTAAGGAGTGGTCACAGGATACAGGATAGACACCTTCCAAATGAAGTGTGACCTGTGGCAGAGTTCAATGGTGCAAAAGATATGGTAAGATCTTTATGACAGAGAAAATTTAAAGAACTTTCCATCACTGGGGAAAGTCATGCTTAAAAGTGAGTGCCAAATGACAATCTGTCTTGGTGAGCAGCTTTTACAAATCCCACCAGCAAAGGCAAGGAAAATAATAAAGTCAATTGGAGTATCCCAGTTTCGATTTGACAACTTCTGGTCATAAGAAGAAGTGCTTTCTTCAGAAGATTTCCAGGTTTTTTAGCTGACATTTGTCCTAACTCTTAATTATATTAATTATATATAGCACCATCTAGTGAAATAACTTAGAATACTTGGGTTTTTAAAAGACAAAATTAAAGAAATGGGTAAAAACATAAATCAATGCAAGTTGTGTTTTTTAATGATGGGTTGAGCAAGAATTTGCCTATGTTCTTACCTGAAATGTATTTTTAAGTGCTTAGATTATTTAAGGACGCTTTTAATTCAGTCAGTCACTTGATATAGTGATCATCTCAAGGATGGTTTGGCATTACGGGGAGAGAAATGTCGGAGTAAGGAAGGATGGAAAATACTGATTGTGGAGGTAATAAGTGGGGATAAATTAAGGGCCTATGAATTCCTGAAAAGAGGAGAATGTGCAATGGTGTGCTAGAGCCAGCTAGTACCACTGGAGAGAGCCAACTGCGTGTATCTTTCTTTCTCCAACTTCTTGCTCAGTGATGTCTCATTGGTAGCTTCAGGTCAGCTGGGGTGAGATTATTTACATAATGGATATTGGCAAATGCTATGAATCACAGCTACCCACCCCCAGAGAAGCAGCTGTTAAACATTTATTAGCACATCGCCAGGACATATCAGCATCTGATCCTCCCAACTGACCACAGTCCTTATAGATAGAGGCCAGATAGAGGGACTGGTGGTGGCTAAGGACCCACAAGCAAAAGATATCTGAGTCTAAATGACATGTGGTTTGTTGTGCTAACTAGTGACTGTAAGCCCTTGACAATATGTCAGAATTGCCCAAACTTATGAAAAAAAAAAAAAAACAGTTCAAGATACTTCATATTTCAGCAAGCAATGGAAAATGTCTCCAGCACCTTTGAGAAGAAATAAATCAGGTGCTGATTATTAGCTGCAGGAGGCTAATGTGGAGGCTGAATGCAGGAAAGAGTGTGGAGGCAGCCGAGTCAGATTGCAGACAGGGCTTGACCTTCACCAATGGGGTAGCCTTGGGCAATTTGGACACTGGGCTGTTTCTTCAACTAAAAGTCAAAATGAGACCACTGGGGTTTTCTTTCTTTAATTAATGAAATCTTTTCTTCAAATCACCTCTTACATATAATATCAATACTCTCTAGTAAAGATTAGTGTCATTTAAAAGACCAGCCCCCTTGTGAGATCCCCAAACTCCTCTGAAAACCTCAGAATCCCTTGTAAAAGTCATTGAGTTAAACTATTTCCAAGAGTACAATTTCCCTTCCAACACTGATATTCTAAGCAAAGAATTGGCTATCAGCTTCACTACCTAATTTCCCCGTTTACCCAGAGGTATGAGCTTCCTCTTTCTCCAACCAATCTAAGGAATTTGGGGGGAGTGAAGACAAAAAGTTGTTTATCTCCATAAATGCCCCCAGAGACTCTACTCCAGATGGGTTTTCAACCTACTAATTTCTGAGCGTAGATAGGTGTTCAAGTTATAAGGACTTGATGCTGATGGAAATCATACCTGGACAAGATCTCTCCATCCCATTCCAAAACTTCACTTGTTTTGAAAGTCCGGATGCATAAGTCGATTACCTATCCTAATTTAAAGTATCCTGATCCTACATGAACCTGCTTTGAAAACTATAATATTTATCAAGAGATAATGGTCAAGAAGGGTTATATTTTCTTATGCTTTAAAACATTATTTATTATCAAGAACAGAAAAGATATCTGATCATTTCAGAGCCAAAATCCTCTCTATGGAGAGTCTGTAGCTTTTTCACTTGAAAGTCATTACGATTCTAAGTGACCCAAGATTGTTCAGATAAAGGTAGTATCTCCCCAGTCCGTAACAATTACTAGGGGGCCACAGGTGGAACTGCATATCAGAGAATACACACTGATGGGCCAGGAGCCCATTCTAATTTCCACAGAGTTAGAAAGAAATTTAGATTAGTAGACAACATTTAAAAATTGAGAAATAGCACATGAAAATTCAAATTTGTTGCTTTGGGTAGGGAAAACAAACAGCATGTAACAAAATTGGGCCAAATTCCTGCCTGGCAACCATCAGCTGGGCTGAGAGCTGCCATCCTTTAGACAGGGCACAGGCCTGTTGTGGGCTATAGTCCCCATGCTGTACATCTCCCAATTTCCCACCCTCAACACCCACCAACAACACCCATTGGGTTACTTCCCTGTCCCTGCCTGAGTTTGCACTCCTTGACTTACGGCCATACCAGACTGAGCTACAAGTGACACTGGGCCTTTCTGAGAGAAGGAAACATTTTTAGACATGATACCCTTAGAAGCAATATTTGCTGGGGCCTGAGCCCTGCCCGGGCCCGGAGAGATAAAGATGCTCCTTGCAGGTAAGAAGGCACTTAACTTACGTGCACACTGAAAACCTGATCTGCCTTGAAGACGAAATGGGAAGTTTGTGGTTGAGCACATTTATTTCTGAACTTAATGACATGGAGAACCACAAGGCTACCCACAGTATCAATTTTTCATAAAAAAGGAGAAAGGCTATTGAGTCAAATGTTCCAAGAGTGGCTGATGCAGGGAATGGTATATTTATAGCCTGGATACACTGACAAGAATGACTTGCTCAGTGGAGAAAAGTAATAAGAGCTACTATTATTGAACACTTGCTTTGCATTCTTTCTGTTCTCACACTCACTCAGAAGGGTTTTATATTTACAGATAAAGACATCAAAGCTCAGAGGTGCTAGTTAACTTGAGCAAGTCACACAGCTTATTACATGGCAGAACCAGCATCCACTGCACTGGCTGACTGCAAATCCATGTCTTGTCTGCTATGTCATGCTGGCAATTGACATTTAAAATGGCTCTTTGAGCTCTTCAATGTAATTTCTTAAAGATTATTTCCATTGAGCCCTTTTACAAGTTTATGAGACAGAGGAATCATGATCCACATTTCACAGATTAAAAGTTGAAGCACAAAAAAATTAAGTCTTAATAATTAGTAACTAAGAATGAGTACCCAGGTTTTCTAACTTCTAATCAAGAGTTCTTTCCACTTAATAAGATGAAACACCTACTTTGGACTGAGTGTTTGTGTCTTACTCTTCAGACACTTCATGTTAGAGAGTTGTTATGTTTTTATATTATATAGATGATTTGCATATCTTTTAATGAAAGATTTTTTAATTATTTGAAAAGAGGGCTACAAAATAAAAAAAAAAAAAACTTTCAGATTATTCTACTCATTAAAATAGCCATGCCTCTTTTAAGGTAGCCAGTAAAACTTGTCTATAACTAAGGTCTACTTATAATTTCAGAGATAAATTTAGTCTTTTGTGGCAAAGCAGTTGACAAGGAAAATAGGTCTGGGTAAAATACTTTTTTGTTTTTCAAAATAGTACAACCTAGTTTAGAAGCAACATAAGTTACCAAAGTGAAGCCACAAACTGGAATTTTTTTAAAGGTGGTATGGGGAGTGGGGACAATCAGTGGTTTCAATAGATTGATTTTTAGTGTTGGAGAATACATTTTTCTATGGTTTTACAGGTCAGATATTCCTACAAATAGGGATGTAAAAAAGGCAACCATGAACACTAAAGAAATAAAATAAATTGTTATAATACTCTGGAGAAACACAGTTTCCCTATAGGCAGTTATGCCAGGAGAATGTCTTCTAACTTTCTTTAGAGTGTTTCCAATGAATTCATAGATTTTTCCCAAGTTGGAAGGAGCCATCTGTTCCACCCGCAGACACACATGCCACTTTCTTCTTTCATGTCAACCCTCAGACAATAGATGCCTGAAAGTCCAAATCCAATTTATTCTATAAAAAGGAACAGTTTTTATTCCCCTCATTTGATATGAAGGCAGTGCTTTGAAATCTCTTCCAGAGGGGAGGCAGAGGCTAGGGGTGGGCTGCTCCAGGCTTTGGAGGATGTAACAATCTCATGCAGGGGATCAACACTAAGGAAAACCCACAGGGGCCCTGGAAGCAGAAAGACTAGAAGATGGCAATATTAGGGTGGGGACAGGAAACAGCAATCTGATCATGAACCCTGTGCTAGGAAGATGGCAGGGAACAGGATGGAACTCCATTTTGGAAGATTCTTACAACGATGATCACTGAAAGAAGAAATTGATAGAACTTGGGCATGGCTTCACAGTGAGTTCTGGAATCTAGACCTACAATTTCTTAAACATTGTCTATCCTTCCTCTTCTTGTCCCAGAGGTTGAATCAAGGTTGAAACTACAAGGGGAACTCAAGAAGCTCCCCAACTATAGTCCAGGAATGATTGCAGGGATAGGAAACCAGGCATATCATTGGACTGCAACAGAATCATGAAGCACCAAAAGGCGCCGTCTCCCTAAGTTGGCCTGACAAGGACATCGGCTGTGTGCTCAGCTGCAGAGAGCTGAAGAGAGTTTGCTGGGGTAGTAGACATACCCCAAGAGCATGGATACAGTCCCGTTGATACAACAGATGTCTCTCACTGCACACACGCTAGAGGCTAGGAATGGTTCCAAGCCCTTCCCCTGTACTAATTCACTCCATCTTCGCCCTATGAATATGAAGTACTACTATTATTCCCATTTTTCAGATGAGAAAACTGAGGCACAGAGAGAATGAGTAACTTGCCTTATAGCTACTCACTAGATCACAAAGCTAAAAAGTGACAAAGCCAGGGTGGGAATCCATTTTGGTAGACAGAATAATGGGCTCCCAAAGATACCTATGACTGAGTCCCCAGAATCTATGAATATGTTATCTTTTATGGCAAGAGTAACTTTGCTGATGTGACTAAATTATGGATCCTGAGATGGGAAGAGTACCTTGGATTATTTAGGTGGATCCAATGTAATCACAAGGGTCCTTATAAGAGAAACAAGAAAGTCAGAGTCAGTAATATGAGAAGTGATGTCAGAAGCAAGAAGTTGAGTGATAGAAGCAAGGGTACCTGAGTCAAGGAATGAATGCAGATGGTCTCTAGAAGCCGAAAAGGCAAGAGAGATTGATTCTGCCATGAAGCCAATAGAAGGAATGCAGCCCTGACAACATCATGATTTGAAACTTCTCACCTCCAGAGCCGTGAGAGAATAATTGTGTGTTGTGTTGTTTTGAGCCACTAAGTTTGTGATAATTTGTTACAGGAGCCACAGGAAATTAATAGACGCAAGCAGCCTAACCCCAGAGCCTTTATTCCTAATTATTCAATTATATTATCTTTCCAGTGTTAGATGTTAATATTTCTAGAAAATACTCCATAAAAGGAGTTTCACATTGGTTTCAAGGTCTCTCTTGTTTAGCCCCATAGTGGCTGGTGTATGTAGGAATTTATTACTATATTACATTGCTTGTGATGTACACAGATCTGATATTCATCTCATACACGCTAGTGAGACAGTAGCCATTGTTAAAATGTTGAACCTTTTTTTCAGTTGATAAATTGTCCCATAGATCCTTTCTGCTATTCTGGACACCTTGGTCCCTTCCTTGGGACCCCCCAGAACTTCCCATAGTCAAGCTCCTAAAGGGTTAAAGCTGTACAGGGAAAGGGTCCTCCCCAACTCAGCCCCAACTCCAAAGCCTGAGTCCACGCTAATGGTCAGTGGCCACGCCAAAGCAGATATTTAATATTTTGAACAAAACCCTAGGATACATACATGCTGACTGATAATTCAGGATGCCCTAGAATTTTTACTTATGACTAGAGTTTAACAATATTTTTATTATCAATGAAAGGAAATAAGCCTTTTTAGCAAAATAACTTTCTACAGAGCGCAACAGTTAAACTCTCAGAAGCCCAGATCTTGGCCTCTAAACTCCCCACTTGAATCATGATGTCCTCAACTGAAAAGCGGCCACTCCCAACAAGCCATATCAGTGAATTCCTCAAAGGTTTGACTTCATTATGTGTCTCTTTTTCAAGTGAAACTATGTGGGCATCACACCCCTTATTTTGTCTTCTTAACTAGGACAAGAGAACTTTAAAATCAGATAAGTACACTGTGTATAAAGTATTATGAAATGTCATTAACAACTTTTTCCTCTGACATCTCTGGCTTCATTGAAAAGGAATTTCACGTCCACTCATGCCTCATATTCTTAGTCTCCCTGAATAATATAACTGGGTGAATCACTGTTTTCCTCAGAAGATGCATGCCGGGCTATAGCCTGAAACTCTGTTCAACTGATGATAATCCTAAGCTGTGAAAAGAATCCTTTCAGGAAAAACTATTAAGGGATTATGTCACTATCCCTTACTCTCTGAAATATGTTATGGTGTGCTGGTAAATAGGATGGAGTACCAGGCTTTGGAGTTATACCAACTTCAGACCATCCCTTGCTTCCCTACTACCAACAGTGTGACCTTCACAAGTTAGCTGACTTCTAAAATCTGTTACTAGAAAATGAAGTAATCATTTTCTTCTTGCACTTTGGTCAAGAGAACTAAATGAAATAATGTATTAACATGCCTACCATAACACAAGTGACCTACAGGCTATCAATCCGTTAGTTCACTTCCCAGGGTGTTCATGTGAGACATAAGTGAGAGGCCTAGGTGCTAGCCCAGTACTTTCCAAATTGCTAAATGATGTTTTTAAACGATAAAGTATCAAACCCATCTCTCCTTGATAACTAAGCTTGCTTTGCTTTATAGTACCAAGCAAAAGGAGGAAAACCCATGCATAGGACAAAGGACTTGTAAAAATGTTTTTTGAACCCAAACTAAGTGCAAGCATGTTTTGCTTGTAAGAAGAGGAGAACTATGCAATGGAGAACTCCAGGCAGAGATCAAGTCAAGTATAATTAAAATCTCCCAAAAGCTGCATACAGTGGTCATCCTGAAGGTGGAGACCACCATCCTTCTTTGCCTACTAATCAACCTTCTGCTTTTCCATCAACGATTTTTTCTATTTTCCATAAATTCTAGAAAAGGAATTCAGAGGCCCAAAGTTGCCACTTTTGCCACTTCCAAGTAAGACTTTTAGAAGGGTGATCATAGCTCTGGGATTCTGTTTCTTTCTTTCTCCAGGCACACTACAGGGATAAGATGAAAGAACAGCCGCTTTGCAAAAAGATGGGGAACTGGAACAAGCCATGACCCCCAAAATAGACATGAAGATACAGAGACTGTATTTTTCTACCCAATAGCCCAAAGGAGAAACTCTTCAATTAATAACACTTTTGATACAAAGCCAGACTGCCCAAGATGACTGCCTAAAAATACACAAAAATCTAGGAAAAACAAGCTCTCCATCCTGGAGGGAATGTCAATGGAAAATAGTTGCTAGGCTTTTCCAGTTACCAGTAATAAAAGAAAAATAGGCTCCCCATTATGAATCCAGTGCTGGAGGGCTCGTCAGCTGGTTCTGAGCCAGCTTTGGTATTTTCTGAGTGCGTTACAAATTACAGGAACAAAATGTGGACTTTTCACTCTAACCATGTTTTCTAAGGCCAGACAATTTATTATTAGGTTTACTTCCTAATGGTCTATAGTTGGAAAAGATGTCTCCACGTATGGATAATATTTATAAGCTTTTAAAGCACACATATTCTTATTATGAACAGCAATTACACAATGTGCACAGATTTTAAATGAAAGAATTAAGAGAAATTCAAACAGAAATTAATAGGACATGAATCCCTTCATTATTAAGCATTATAATATGCATAAATATTTGTTGATCTATGTGATTTTTAAAAAATAAGGACTGAGCAGGAAGTATTAATCTCAAAATGCAACCTACATACATATTCTGCATTTCACTTCCTCATAGAGATGTCTTCAAGGGATCTCTATGCCTCCAGTTATTATTAGGGTAACTACAACAAACATCTGTTAAGAAGGCTTCTGCCCATTTAGTTAGTTGTGTACTGCTTTTCTCTGCTAGCAGATTGTGAAGTCTCTTGAAAGTAGGGTCTTATCTTACTCATCTTTGTCCTAATCCTTAATACAGTGTCCAACTTATAGGAGATTTTTTAAAATGTTTGTTGAAGGAATTCCTCTTGTGTGAGCTGCAGGTGAAGGCATTTTCCACTGTGTTTCTCATGGAGTCATATAAATATCCATAGAGTTAATTTCCCTTAATGTTATGAGGGAAAAAAGTCTTCTGGAGTGTTCTCTTTCTATATGTAATAACAGCAATACAGCACATTGTGTTTCTCTTTTCTACTGGGATCTCAGGATGCTCAAGGACAAGTTTTAAGCTCAACTGCAGTCTTTCTCATTGCCTAGAATTTCTGATACGAAAACTTCCCACCTTACTTTCTCTTTTTTCTGGCTCTTTATCTTTTATCCTTGTTTTATGTTAACGTTATTTTAAGCTGCCTCAAATCCTTGATAGAAGAAAATAGGAACTGAGTAAAAAATAATAAATGAATAAAGAACTAAGATAAGAAGTTAGCAAAAATTTCTTCCCAATGACTTCTTATATATGCTGCAGAAATATCCTCAAAATGCTATTACGTTATATCCATGAATATTTCATAAGTTTCAATAGAAATAAGCAGAGCAAACACAGGGTGATATCGAGGAAAAGACTACTGGACTGGAAAACCAGCAGTACAGGTTAAAGTTCAGTCCCTGTCCTTCACTAAGTGTGTGACCTTGAACAAGACACCTACATTTGTGAACTTCAGTCTCATCTCATAAATGGACTTCATTTATTCTTTCACCAGACATTTACTGAGTCCTTACTTACAACAGGGATAGTGGTAGGTGCTACAGATGTCAAGTAAATAAAACAAGCGCCATGCAATCAAGTTAGTGCACAGTCTAGTAAGAGAGACAGAAAAGCGAACAGATTACAGCAAAATGTGATCACAGCCACACATAAGGTATTGGAGCAACACAGAAGGGAGATGTCTACATCAGCCTGGAGACTTCCACAGGATTTGAAAGGAGGCAGTGGTTGTGTTGATTTTTAAAGTTGACTGGGAATTAACTAGATGAAAAATGGGGCAGGGGAGGGGAAAGAGGGCATTCCAGGACTCAAGAAACGCACGTGTGAAACCACAGAGACAAAGAACACCATGACAAGTTGGGGGAACTAAAAATTGTTGGAAGATAATAAAATACGTGTCCTGTCTACCTCCCAGGGTGATTTTAAGGATCAGTTGAGGGGATGTATACATTGAAAGTGCTTTGTAAACTGTAAAGCAACATACACGTATTCAAATGTTAAAGATTATTATAAGACACTTGTTTTTTCCCCCTGCAAATTAGAAACATTTGCTGAAGTAAACACTGTTGATGCATTAGCTGTCAGGATAGTGTATTATATTTGGAAAACATTTGCCAATGCCTGTTCAGTTTTTGAATTTCCAGTCACATGTGTTTTTTGTTTCAGCAAATGCATCAAGTAATAATGGATTTATTGTTAATTGTGCAACGTTGGAGCTTCAAGGTTTAAGTAATCTCCATTTCGTGTTGACTTTATTCCATGTTGACTGTAGAAGTTTGCAGTCTTTATTGATTAATGAAAAGTGATAACTGAGCACTATTACCACCTTGTATTCATCAAACTTTTATCAGAAGAAATTCAGGATTCTGCACGTAGACAAGTGTGCCAATAAAAGCATATTCCCTCCGAGAAAAAGGAGGGAAAGAGGTGTGGTTATCTCCACTTAAAACAGCTTTCCAAAGAGCTCCAATGGAGCTCAGATTCAAATACAAACTTCCCCATTTAACACTTCAAAAATGAAATACTTCCTTCCGAGGAGCATTCTCCCCTGGTTAGAAAAACCAACAAAAAGCATTTGGGATAGAAAAATTGGGACGGATAACTCATGTTCAAAATTCTTGACATTCATACACTATCAGTCACTGGAAGGTTTGAATCACTATGTTTAAAAAGTGCTTTCACTTTTTCCCTCCTGCCTGTAGGAGGAAGATATGAGACAGAGAAGGATAATAGGATTTTTTTTTCATGTTGCAAACAACTTGTCTGGGCTCTAACTTTTCATATTAAACCCTCAGAAAGAACTGTTGTGTCCTGCCCCTGCTCCTCCTTGCAAAAGAGAAACGCTTCTAGTCTTGGAAGATCTGTATTTGCCATGAATTTTATTTTGAGTCATGACTAAGCCACTTATTAGCAATATTGGTGATCAAGGTCTCCTACAGCACATGGATGAACTAAGTAATATGTACATTTATGTCCTTTTGTGTAAAGGAAAACTTATCAAAGCTGGACAGGACCTGAAAAGTTATTCTGTATGGCACTACATTTTATGGATGAGAAAATTTAAGAGAAACGTAAGCTAATTTGTTTAAAGCCAGGCAGTGAATACATGGCACAGTTGGGATTAGGAGCCTCCAGGGTGGTTCTCCCACACCTACCTCGCTGTGGATAGAGGCTGACATCCAGGGAAAAGGCTTGGGAATTGCAGTTGCATGGGGTGAGCGGCCTCAGGCAAGCAGTCCACCTGGTGCCACTCAATCTCACCACTCACCGGGGCTGTCAAGTCCCTTCTTCCAAAAACTAGTGTCCAGAGGACTGGTCCACAATGCCCCTGAAGCAGGTGGCCCCTGCTAGGTGAATTGAGTGCTGTTACAGCTTTGGCAGGGTTCCCAGGCAAGCAACAGCCCCTGCTGTGCCTTGACAAGAGAGGTGGCTGAACCTCCGGACAAAATGACTTGCTTTAGAGACAAGCAGGGAAAATATGATTTGTTGTAGAATTCCTGTTAGTCCAGTCAGCTCCCATCCTCTTGAGAAACCGGATTTGTAGGCACATGCACTGGCCAATGAGTCAGCCCTTAAAAAGTCATTCATAATTTATGTATAAACAAGAATAGCTTTTGTTTCAGGGAATTTGGGAGGTTTTTGTAGCCTGCTTTCTTCCAGTACCATTTTTGAAGAACTGTTCCTGTCTCAAGGCTATTCCTATAGGCCTATAAATACTTTGATGTTCAGACATCTGGAACTTATATTTGGTGTTGACTAATGAGCATTATTATTTTATTATGTATTTATATATGATCTGAAAGAAATCTGAGGTTATATGCCACATAACTCTGTATACACACTGAACAATGACAAATTCTTTTTACCCATTACACTTATGATTTATTACTTGGGCAGAAGAGGTTCTGAGTCATGCAATTGACATATAATTGTGTTTTGGAAGATAGTAATGGGATAGAGAGAATGTAAAATTGCCCTTCACATATATTGTTAAAATAATTTGTAAGTGGACAAAATGGACTCCAGAGATATTATTTCTCTCATTTAAAAAATATCAAAGGATAGCCAATATGGCAACAAACCCCCGCTCTCCTTTTGAATGGGTAAAGAAGAGCCTTGGTCTTAGAAATACATGTGGGTATGTTTGAAAGGGTAATAAACAATGCATAATGGAACTGACATCAAAGAACTCCTCTTGGAGAACCAGACCTAGTTCAAAGTCGAATGCTCGATACTCAGTTTGCCTTGGTACCAATGAGCTACAGGTAAACACTGTAAGATCAAAGGCAAAGGTGGGTGTACGGAGGAGCGTGTGATGACATTACTTTCTCAGCAAAGCATTTCCCTCCAGGGACACTGGAGATGGTACCTTGTAACAGCCTCTGTTGTATATTCAGGAATTTATTTTAAAGGAGTGTCAGAGATATTTTAGTCTTTAAGAATTGCAGCTCAAAGACCATCGAACAAGAGGCACGCTGAAGGTGGCACGCACTGAGGGAAGAGGATACTGGGAAGGAAAGGAATAAATGGCCCCATTATGGGCCATACCAATCCTGCCTGCTTTCTTCTCCCTCCCACAAGCAACATCAGTGTGAACTGGTTTGGCCCATCAGCAGGCCCTCTGGCCCTTCATGGAAGAATGAGTCCTCTGTGCATGCAGGCAGAGCAGTTGCCAACAAAGGCCCATTGCAATGTTTGAAAGCCCGAACTTGCTGCTGAATCAAAGCATTTCCACAGGCTGAAGCTGTGAACAGGATAGGCCATCAACAGTGAGAGGAGCTCTGTGCAGCTCCCATAGAGAAACTTTAAAATTGACTTATCTGTTTGCTGACAGTCCCCAGTTTCAGTGCCACAGTGTGGGCAGTATTCATTTAAAGTCATTCCCCAGAGGTCTGTTAAATTATACTGAACTGCATTTCAGGGTCTTTGTCTAGGAACCAGCTGACTGCATAGGAGAAGAAAAGTAAAAAAGAACCCAATTGATCCGACAACAGAAAAGGAAAAAGTCCTGAAAACAACAACAAAAAAAAATGAAAACATGCTTTAAAGAATGTCATAGGTAGGTTGATGGGGATGGCATTGAATCTATAAATTACTTTGGGTAGTATGGCCATTTTCACGATATTGATTCTTCCTATCCATGACATGGAATATTCTTCCATTTGTTTGTGTCCTCTTTTATTTCCTTGAGCAGTGGTTTGCAGTTCTCCTTGAAGAGGTCCTTCACATCCCTTGTAAATTGGATTCCTAGATATTTTATTCTCTTTGAAGCAATTGTGAATGGGAGTTCACTCATGACTTGGCTCTCTGTTTGTCTGTTATTGGTGTATAAGAATGCTTGTGATTTTTGCACACTGATTTTGTATCCTGAGACTGCTGAAGTTGCTTATCAGCTTAAGGAGATTTTGGGCTGAGACGATGGGGTTTTCTAGATATACAATCATGTCATCTGCAAACAGGGACAATTTGAATTCCTCATCCCCATCAAGCTACAAATGACTTTCTTCACAGAATTGGAAAAAAAACACTTTAAAGTTCATATGGAACCAAAAAAGAGCCCGCATTGCCAAGTCAATCCTAAGCCAAAAGAACAAAGCTGGAGGCATCACACTACCTGACTTCAAACTATACTACAAGGCTACAGTAACCAAAACAGCATGGTACTGGTACCAAAACAGAGATACAGACCAATGGAACAGAACAGAGCCCTCAGAAGTAATACCACACATCTACAACCATCTGATCTTTGACAAACCTGACAAAAACAAGAAATGGGGAAAGGATTCCCTATTTAATAAATGATGCTGGGAAAACTGGCTAGCCATATGTAGAAAGCTGAAACTGGATCCCTTCCTTACACCTTATACAAAAATTAATTCAAGATGGATTAAAGACTTACATGTTAGACCTAAAACCATAAAAACCCTAGAAGAAAACCTAGGCAATACCATTCAGGACATAGGCATGGGCAAGGACTTCACGTCTAAAATACCAAAAGCAATGGCAACAAAAGCCAAAATTGACAAATGGGATCCAATTAAAGTAAAGAGCTTCTGCACAGCAAAAGAAACTACCATCAGAATGAACAGGCAACCTACAGAATGGGAGAAAATTTTTGCAATCTACTCATCTGACAAAGGGCTAATATCCAGAATCTACAAAGAACTCAAAACAAATTTACAAGAAAAAAACAAACAACCCCATCACCAAATGGGTGAAGGATATGAACAGACACTTCTCAAAAGAAGACATTTATGCAGCCAAAAGACACATGAAAAAATGCTCATCATCACTGGCCATCAGAGAGGTGCAAATCAAAACCACAATGAGATACCATCTCACACCAGTTAGAATGGTGATCATTAAAAAGTCAGGAAACAACAGGTGCTGGGATGTGGAGAAACAGGAACACTTTTACACTGTTGGTAGGACCGTAAACTGGTTCAACTATTGTGGAAGACAGTGTGGCAATTCCTCAGGGATCTAGAACTAGAAATACCATTTGACCCAGCAATCCCATTACTGGGTATATACCCAAAGGATTATAAATCATGCTGCTATAAAGACACATGCACATGTATGTTTTTTGTGGCACTATTCACAATAGCAAAGACTTGGAACCAATCCAAATGTCCATGAATGATATAGACTGGATTAAGAAAATGTGGCACATATACACCATGGAAATACTATGCAGCCATAAAAAATGATGAGGTCATGTCCTTTGTAGGGACATGGATGAAGCTGGAAACCATCATTCTCAGCAAACTATCACAAGGACAAAAAACCAAACACCGCATGTTCTCACTCATAGGTGGGAATTGAACAATGAAAACACTTGGACACAGGAAGGCAAACATCACACACCAGCGCCTGTTGTGGGGTGGGGGTGGGGGGAGAGATAGCATTAGGAGATACACCTAATGTAAGTGATGAGTTGATGGGTGCAGCACACGAACATGGCACATGTATACATATGTAACAAACCTGCACATTGTGCACATGTACCCTAGAACTTAAAGTATAATAAAAAATATATTTTAAAAAGTCATAAAATGAAGCAATATTTTCAGTCTCTTCCCATACACACACTTTTTGATTACTTCATTTTATTGTCCATGATAAAGAGACTAAACTTTTACTCAGGAGCCCAAACTTTAGAAGTGTTAGCCTTAATTTAAATGAATGCAAAAGCCTGAGATGAAGGGATAAGACTTTTAGACTATGTTTAGATTCCATGAAAATTATCTGTCCTATATATTTTACATGTGTCACAATACTTTCCTTTGACTGTCTTCAAATGAATATATTTCTTGTCCAAAGAATTATGTGAGGGTTAGTCGACTAGAAGTAAACAAGAACTAGATACACTGAAAGTAAACACAGCAACAGATTCGTGAGAAGCATGAACCAACCTCATTATAAATGATGGAAAATGGATGATGTCAGGTGGTGCCACTGATTGCCTTGTACCTCCCCAAAATGTTCTCTTCCAGAAGAGTTACTCATATCCCAGTGCCTAAGCTAGTACCAGCTAAGCAAGTCAGTACAGCAAGACATCTTCCCTATCACCCTTTCCGCTTTACTACAGTATGCCAGACCTTGGGATTATGCCATATGCTTCTAATCTGGATAGATAAATATGATAAATTTGGAGCTCTAATGAAACTATAACTAAATTCCAACTCCCTCATTCCAGGGCACCTGCCTAGCTCCATAGTTTAACACTCCTGTTTCCATTGTTCTACATTAGCCCTGCCCTTAACATTGTGCTTTTACTTCCCATCATCCATCACTTGACCTGGTTGAATTAGAGTTGCCCAACCCTAGATCTCCCTCCTTCTGGTGAGACATTGGGACCCTACATGACTTTGCTCAGGCCATTTTCATGGGACTATATCCCAGTTCATTTTCCCCAAACTTCACAGAGCTCCTATTTTGCTGCTTCCCAGTATCATCCCTAAATAGTGGTCACTGCTTGGATTCCCAGATGCTGGATGGCCTTGGGATGACCCTCCAGTACCAACTGCTTCCAGAAATCGCCCTGGAATACTGGACCCAGAGGTGCTCTCGACGGACTGCTCTTGGCATCTCTAATGTCAGTCATGCACCTGGGTCTACCTTCAGCACTGGAGAGTATGTCTTTGCCCAGCCCTGGCTCCTTTCCCCTCTGCATATGTGGTGTTGCCAGACTTGACTCATGATGCATTAGATAAGAGCCATCCTGAGCGATGACAGTGAATTATCATCGACAAAGAAAACAAGGCTCCCTTAGAATTATTTTCATTGCCCTCATTTCATTGTCAATAATGATGATGATCAGCCTGCCAGTCAATCATAAGCCCTGCAAAAGATGAGTCTTCACTTTAAATGAGGAAAGGAAGGCATTACACACATTTTGAGAACGTATTTTACACAAAAAAATGGGAGAGAAAAAATGTGGAACAAGCTGTCTGACACAGGGTGGTGGTAAGATGCATTCATTTATTCATTCAAGAGATATTGGCCGGGCAGGATGGTTCACACCTGTAATCCCAGCAGTTTGGAAGGCCGAGGCGGGCAGATCATGAGGTCAGGAGATCGAGACCATCCTGGCTAACATGGTGAAACCCCATCTCTACTAAAAATACAAAAAATTAGCCAGGCGTGGTGGCGGGCACTGGTAGTCCCAGCTACTCGGGAGGCTGAGACAGGAGAATGGCGTGAACACGGGAGGCGGAGCTTGCAGTGAGCCGAGATCACGCCACTGCACTCCAGCCTGGGCGACAGAGCAAGACTCCGTCTCGAGACAAAAAAAAAAAGAGAGAGAGAGAGAGGAGAGAGAAAGAGAGAGAAAGAGAGAGAGAGAGAGAGAGAAAGAAAAAGAGAGAGAGCTATTTACTGAGTATTTTCTATGTGCCTGTTCTAAGTACTGGGGATATGGAAATAAACAAAACCATTTAAAACCCCTGCTCTCGTGGAACTCACATTCAGAAAACAGCTCTGTGACCCTCTCATTCTATCTTTCTGAACTATGTTTTCCTTATCTGCAAAGTAAGAGCTTTGATATAAAAAGAAAGAAGTCTCTTTAAACTCAAACACTCTGTGCTTCTCTAAAAATGCTAGTTAAATATGCACAGACCATGTATCATGCCAACATACAAAACACCTGCCTGAATGGATGTCAAGGAAAGATGGTGATAAAACTCAATTTGATGCAGTAATATTCACTGAGCACCTACTAGGTGCCAGTAAGAGTGAGAAATACAAAGATGGATGAATCACACATGTGCCATCTCTTAGCACCTCAATGCTTAGTGAGACAGGCAGGCATATAAAATTAATTATGTTTACAAAATTGGTTCTGATAAATTCTACTTCTCCATTATTGACAACTTATAGAGTATACAAAAATCAAAGAATATAAAAATAACCAGAAATACAATCAACCAGAGATTGTCATGCTTAATAACTTGGTGAACTTCTTTCAGATGACTCTGTGCATGTACCCATAAATTCCGTGTATATTCTTTTCTTTCAACTGGAAAATACAGACGTTTAAAATACTGCTTTTTCCCTAAGTACATGTCATGGACCTCTTCCCTTGGCAATATATGAATTTACATCATCATTTAATTGCTGTAAAATATCCCATTATTTGTCTATACCATAATGTATTTAGCCAGCTCCCTATTGATCGGCATTGTATTCTAATTTTTCTATATTAACAACAAGAATGCTTCAACAGATATTCTATTGTTCGCTTTTTAAAACTTATTTCTGCCAATACTGCTTTCAAATATCCATAAGTAGAATATGTTTATCAGTGTATATTTACATTTTACACCTTGAATTATTGTTTTCTGCCAAGTCAGTTTCAGTAATCATATAGGAAATTATCTCATTTACCCACACTCATTATCTTTGCTGTGTTTTGTTTCTGAACCTGTTTAATCTTTGCCAATCTGATGGGTGAAATACATACTGAGTTTTGTTTTCATTAACTTCTCTTTGACTATCAGTGGAGTTGAAAATCTTCATATATATTCATTGGCTATTAGTATTTCTTTATTTGTAAATTGGCTACTTATGTCCTTTGCCATTACTCTTTTATCTGTATAAACTTTTAAAAACTCATTTGTTAATAGTTATTTGTATATTAGAAATATTACCCCTTGTGCTATCACAGGTGCTACAAATATTTTCCAGTGGAGGGTTTACCTTTTAAGATTGTTTTTAGGCCAAGTACGGTGGCTCACACCTGTATTCCTAGCACTTCGGGAGTGGGAGGCCAAGGCATGAGGATCACGTGAGCCCAGGAGTTTGAGGCCAGCCTGGGCAACAGAGCAAGACCTGGCCTCTATAAGAAAAAGAAAAAGAAGAAGAAGAGGAAGAGGAAGAGGAGGAAGAGGAGGAGGAGGAGGAAGAGGAAGAAGCAGCAGAAAGTGTTTTTAGCTACACAAAAGACTTTCCTTAATTATTGAAAATTTCAAACAAACATACCTTAAAAAAGGAGAGAATACTACTATGCAGCCATAAAAAATGATGAGTTCATGTCCTTTGTAGGGACATGGATGAAATTGGAAATCATCATTCTCAGTAAACTATCACAAGAACAAAAAACCAAACACCGCATATTCTCACTCAGGTGGGAACTGAACAATGAGATCACATGGACACAGGAAGGGGATTATCACACTCTGGGGACTGTGGTGGGGTTGGGGGAGGGGGGAGGGATAGCACTGGGAGATATACCTAATGCTAGATGACGAGTTGGTGGGTGCAGCACACCAGCATGGCACATGTATACATATGTAACTAACCTGCACAATGTGCACATGTACCCTAAAACTTAAAGTATAATAAAAAAAAGAATGATAAATAGGTTAGAGGATAAATGAAGATTAAATAATGTTAAACATCAACCAAGTTCTTAGAACAACGCCTTACACATCAAAAAAATAAAATAAAAAGGTATTTTTATTATTTAGATTAGACCTTAGCTGCTACCATGTTATTTATAAAAGTAGGGAGATAATAATATTTTCATGTTACAGTAAAGGAAACCTCTATGTAAAGTGTGATTTCTCTAAATCTGAGAACATTTTCAAAGGATGTATTCAGTATTCAAAATCCCTGCCAAAAGTTTACTCTTTTGACTCCTACACATGTTTCTTTCTTAATTTTGAGGTTTTATTAAGAAATTATTATTTGAATAAGGACATGAAATTCTTAATATTACCAGGACAAATAACAGACATTTTTATATAGGACCAAACTTCTGAATTTGAAAGTCTTTTATGGGTCCAGTCTCCAGGAGAGGAGACCACCGTATTGCTAAACCTTAGAGTGTAATTTAAAAAGTCAGTGATAAAGACAATGGTGACAACATCCAATACCAAGAGCATGATGCATGCTGTACCCTTTACTCTCTTGAAATGCCTTAATTAAAAAGAGGGTTCATTCATGCATCCATTATTACTCATTAGAATCAAGTTTGTCTTTTAGTAAACCATGTGGTACATTATTTTCTACAACTCATAAAAAACACCTTATTCTCACTTTTTTGACATAAATCAATGCGTGATGTGAGAAAGTGAAGATTTCAATAATATTTCTACTCTTATTTAATTTTGTATTAAATAGACCATTTTTAGAGCAGTTTTAGGTTCACAGTGAAAATCTGCAGACAGTAGAGAGTTCCCGTAAACCAGCTGCTTCTCCCACCACACACAACCTCCATAACTATCAACATTTCACTCCCCAGTAGTACACTGGTTACAACTGAGAAACCTGTGTAGACACATCATTATCACCCGAAGTTCATAGTTTATTTTAGGATTCACCCTTGGCACTGTACATTCTTTGGGTTTTGAGAAATGTATAATGACATGCATTCACTATTGTAGTATCACACAGCACAATTCCACTACCCTAAAAATCCTTTGTACTCTGCCTATTCACCCCTTCCTCCTCTAACCTTAGCAACCACTGAAATTTTTATTGTCTCCATAGTTCTGCATTTTCCAGGATGTCATATCATTGGAATCACATAGTATGTAGCCCTTTCAGATTGACTTCTTTCACTCAGTAGTATGGGTTTAAGGTTCCTCCATGTCTTTTTGATGGCTTGATAGCTCATTTCCTTTTATCACTGTATAGTACTCCATTGTCTGAATGTGCCACCATATTTTTATCCATTTACTTATTGAAGGGCATCTTGGGTGCTCCCAGCTTTGGGTAAGTATGAATAAAGCTGCTGTAAACATTCACGTGCAGGCTTTTATGTGGACATAATTGCTCAACTCACTTGGGTAATTAGCAAGGAACGTGATTGTTGGATCATGTAGTAAAAGTATGTTTGGTTTTGTAAGGAACTGCCAAATTCTCTGCCAAATTGACCATAACATTTTGCATTTTCTCTAGAAATGATTGAGACTTCCAGAGTCTCCACATCCTCATTAGCATTTGGTATTGTCAGTATTTTGGATTTGGCCATTCTAATAGGTGTGTAGTGGCATCTCGTTGTATTAGAGAATTTGGAATTCCCTAATGATATATGATGTTGAACATCTTTTTGTATGCTTATTTGAAATTTGTATATAATTTTTGACAAGATATCTATGATCTTTGGCCTATTTTTTAATAGAATTTTTCATTTTCTCATCGTTTCAAGAATTTTTGTGTACATTTAAGAAAGTAGTCCTTTATCAGCTACATCTTTTGCAAAAATTTTCTCCCAGTCTGTGGCTTATATTCTCATTCTCTTGACATTGTCTTTCACAGAACATGGCTTCTTAATTTTAATAAAATTCAGCTTATCAAAAAAAAAAAAAGGAGAGAATAATATAAGTAAACCCCTGCCCCCTGTGCCCATCATCCACCTTCAAAAGTTATTAATTCAGGGACCATGTTGTTTCAGTTTCAAACCTCTTTTCTTCCAACTTTTTGTTCTTTTGAAGCAAATCCCAGACACCCTATTATTACATCTACAAATACTTCAGTAGGTATTTCTAAAAGATAGTCTTCAGAGGTTTCTGTTTTCTAATGTCATCAAATTTTTAAAATCAATTTATTTTATTTTGGATTCTGGTTTTTGGGATATATTCAAGGTCAAATTATTTTTAAAATATATTTACAATTTTTCAGGTATTGCCTTGTTTTTAATATTTAAATATTTAATCTTTTTCAAAATTACTGTGGGACAAGAAGCAAGATGGGGACATAGTATTATATCCCTATCTCCCAATACCATTTATTAAATATTTTCCCCAACTAAGGTAAAACATTTCCCCCAATTTTTATTATATAAAAAACTTCCAACTTACTTAAGATGGCTTCTGCATTGATCCACTAGTCTATCAGTGATTTCTCCATCAGTAAATACCATAATGTTTTAATTTATGTTACTTTCTACAAAATTTTAGTAACTGGTATGATGTTTTTCCTCATTAGACCTTTTTCCTAATTTTTAAGCTATTGTAACCTTATTCATCCAAATTAATTTTTTTAAATAATTTTGTTCCATTCTCTAAAATCTTGTTGTGCTTTTAACTGGTAATTCATTTGTATTATAGATTAATTTAGGGACAATCATTATTTTCTAAAATTGAATTTTTCTAACCAAAAATAAGTGGCCTCTTCATTTATTCAAGTCTTTGTCAATCAGTAGTGTTCTCCAGGATTCATACAGGTCCTATCATTTTCTTTATAAGTTAGCTAGTTTATGCTTTTTTACTGCTATCATGAATCAAACCTTTTAAAATATTTTCTAGTTGATTTTTATATATAAGAAGCAGGTTGAAGATACTTCTTATATATCTTATATACATAAGATATATATATCTTATATATATCTTATATCTTATATATATATGATATATATATCTGATATATATCAGATATATATATAAGATATATATCATATATCTTATATATACATCTGATATATATCTGATATATATCAGATATATATCATATATATCTTATATATATATCTATATAAGATATATATAAGATATATATGATATATATGATATATATCTATATATATCAGATATATATATAGATATATATATATCTTATATATATCTATATATATAAGAAGTATCTTCAACCTACTTCTTATATATAAATAATAATAGATAAATAGATTTGTCTCTGTGCCAACTGTAACTGTTTTTATTTTTTCAATCTCTTTCTTTTCTTTCTTTCTTTTTTTAAATTGAGGTCCACTCTATTGCCCAGGCTGAGTGCAGTGGTGTAATCACAGCTCACTGTAACCTCCACCTCCTGAACTCAAGCTTCACCCTCCCAAGTGGCTGGGACTATAGGCACTTGCCACTATGCCTGGATTTTTTTTTTTTTATTTTTTTGTAGAGACAGGGTCTCATTATGTTGCCCAGGATGGTCTCAAACTCCTGGACTTAAGCAAAGCTCCTCTCAAAGCACTGGGATTACAGGCATGAGCCACCATCCCCAGGCCTCAACCTCTTTCTAATTGTGATATTCTTGACCTGAGGGTTCAAGAGTACTGAGTTTTGAGTACTGTCAAGTGAACAAACAAACAAAAAATGGACCAGGGATAGGGCTATTGTAATTATCTGGACACAGAACATCAGTCAAAAGGTTTAGCTCTGCTAGGTGGAGAGGCAGAGAGCCAGACAATAGTAGGTCAATGAGTACATAAAACAACATTATTTATTATTTATGAAGAAAAAGAGAATTCAAGAAGCTTGTCATAGTTAATTCCCTGCTTAAGAAATGCCAACAGTGGAAGGCAGCATTGGAAATGTCGAAGTAGCCCTGAACCTGGGAAAGAGTGAAGGGAAAATAGCCACAGCTCTCCTTCCCATGGCTCATTAATAAATTAGCCATGGTGGACCATCACTCAATTCCCTTAGTGAAGCAGGACTTCATTATAACCTGCTGTGTTGATGTGACACAGCCAATTCCAGAGCTGGAATAGATGTTAGAACATCTCATTAAAACTCCTTATATTTTTACGGGAGGGAAATGAGGTTTAGAGAAAACAATAGACTTGTCCATGGTCACACAGCTAGTTGGCAGTGGACTCAAGTTTTTCTGGATCTAGACTAGTCTGGGTCTCCAGGCATCAGGTGCAGAGTTCTGTTCTTTGTACCATGCTGCTTCAATGAATTTAGATTTGAGATTTCAGGGGATTTAAAAAATTTCTAGCTTAATATTCAGTCTAGTGGGCTAAAATGTTTCTGCTGTATTGCAATACATACAGCCTTGTGTTTAAAAAGACTTTACTCTGTATATTACTTATGAATATAACTGAGAGCACCTAAAGGGAAGTTGGTTTTCAGACAAAATGCAATTTCAGAGATTTGCACATGACTTCTCTTGGCAGAGATGTGAACAAGTACAGGGAGTCTGGGTATAACGTGATCAGGCAGCTCAGTTTTAACAAGAGTGACACACAGTAGGAACACCACTGAACCCTTTATAAACTCTTTATAAATCACGAATTTTATAACATAAATGAATGCCATAACATATAGTTTATAAAGCATAGAACTCAATAAGCTTTTCGTTCTTATTTAATTTGTTTGCAATTATATGTGGCCATTAGATAAACGGAAGAAGCTTGGTGATAGACTCCTTGGAGCTGACAGGCAATCTCTAGATGTGGTTAATTAGGAATGAGATCAGAGGTCTTTCATGGTAAAATATGATAATTTTGAAAAATAAATGAAAGAAAATTGTTATTACCTATGATTCATTGCATTACCTATGATTCAGGCACTGCATAATATCAATCAACTTAACAGGCGGCAAACCAGAGCCACTCACAGTTCTGAAAGAATGAACGTAACTCCCTCAAGGCTACTGTGTATGCAGTACCCTGTTCACCAAAGCACTCAGTGATTTGATACAAATCTGTTGAGGTGAAAAGAACTCCTTGGAAATACTCCACTGGGAAATATGTATATGGCTTGATGGCTTTCCAGAATTTCAAAACCACTGATGGCCTATGAATCTGACCTAGAAGCATCTATGCTTTAAAAGATATAGAAAAAAAGGAATGAAACTTAATTTTCCTTCCCAAACTCAACTCCTGACTTGCTATGAAGTCTACTGTTTCTAACATAACTGCAAGCTGTTCACCTGTACGTAAAGAATAACCTTACTTCGGGCTAAAATATATTAAGGAATCATTGGCTTTTGTTTTTATTTTTCCAAGAAAGTATAAAAGGAAGCTTAACATGGATTTTGAGTGTATGCTGACTTTCATTAAGTTATATTGCCTTTGCATGAGGTTGCAATAGAGAATTGAAGAGCTGGAAAAGATCTCTAATATCATCTCTTCCAGTGGGCTCAACTACTAACCACCAGCGGAGGGAGGTGGTGTACATGGGTAAGGCCTTGAATCCCACAACCACCCACATTTCAAGCAAAGCAACTCTGCTTTAAGATTTTATTTGTTTATAATCCCAAGAACACTTATTTAAAGAAGTGGTTCTGTAAGTATAAAAAACTGAGTTTGAAATCACTGAATCAGTCCAACACTCTTCTTTCAGGAGAAAATACTGACACTAAGAGAGAGAGAGAAGCATGATTTGC
This sequence comes from Homo sapiens, assembly GCF_000001405.40. NCBI lineage: Eukaryota > Metazoa > Chordata > Mammalia > Primates > Hominidae > Homo > Homo sapiens. The sequence continues at coordinate 108,457,867 of NC_000009.12, forward strand.
CAAATAGTAAGTGAGCAACAGTATCTGGACTCAGATTGGTACCTCCCATTCCTTGTTCAGGGATTGTCCAGCAGGTCATGCTGCCTGCTGGTAAGGTGTTTAAATGCCAAGGGCCCTAAGGTTATGGCCGAGTTTCTACAGACTGTGGCATAATGGAGTTTCTGTCCCTCCTAGACTCTTTATTATCCTCTGCCATATCCTCTCTAACACATCTAGGAGTTGAGGACCTCTTATGGCATAATAATGCCTCAGAGTTTCGCTCTGAGAAGATATCAATATTACGAGGAGATTTGTTTGTCAGTAAAGGATCTACGGTGAAAAATTTGAGGATTCACAGTTGGGCTCCCAGTGTAGAACCGGGAAAAGATCAGGTTCTCTCCATTCTTGGCTACAAAGGACAGTGGTAAGAGTGAGCCAGGACCCTGGTGGAGGAAGGAGAGGGTATGAAAGGGAAGAACAGAGGAGCATAAAGGTTAAAGGGAACTGTAGGTGCTCATTTGAAGCAAATCCATCAAATAGGAAAGCAGCCTGAGAATACAGGTAATGGAATGTTCTGTACTATCTTTTGGCCTCCAAGTGTGTTTAACACTGAGTCTAAGAATACTACACAACTTTCCAGGTTAAAGACCTTGGTGTGAATTTCACTATGTGACTAAGAAATGTTAACAATTACCCACCCCAAATTTTCCAGTATGTAGATCGTCATTGTATAACCACATTTGCTTATCGTTTTTGTAAGTAATGATTAATAATAATCTTTATTACTTTTATTACTTTATTACATTTTTTCATTACTATCATTTTTGTCATTCCTGTGACTTACTGAGAAAAGAAACACAAGCTGTCTTATAAGAAGATAATAAAGAAAGAACATCATCCCTCAGTCCATACAAAAAGGAAGCCCAGGGGAAATATAGCAGACAACTCAAAATCAAATCTTTGTTTCTGTTTTCTAGTCCATTGAGAATTATCTAGTCTCTACTTTGTCTGTTACAGTTTTGAGAGGCAACTATTCTGTCCCTCAAAACATAACAGGGAATGAACCATCATTCTCTGGATTCAACCTCAGAGACTTAGTCTTCTCAATTACTTTTACTAGTGAGATTTTAATATTTATTTATGTATTTGTTTATTTTGAGACAGAGTCTCGCTCTGTCTCACAGGCTGGTGTGCAATGGCGTGATCTCAGCTCACTGCAACCTCCGCCTCCCAGGCTCAAACGATTCTCCTGCCTCAGCATCCTGAGTAGGATTACAGGCACCTGTCTCTACATCCGGGTAATTTTTGTACTTTATTTCATTCTCAAACACAGAATATTATAATATTGTGATGGTGGCATGTAAACCACTTATAAGCCCAGCATATAATTCAACAAACAAAAGCATTAAGAATAACTATAGCCACAAAAATTCTATTGAATATACAATATAAAAAGAGGTAAGCCCTGTATCAGTAGCATCAAGTGAGGGAAGGAGAATAAAAGTGTAGAGTTTGCCTATGCAATCAAAGTTAAGTTATGAGCTTAAAATAGGCTGTAATAACTATAAGAGGTTCAAAGCAAAATTCATGGTAACCATAAAGGAAAAACCTACAGGAGATACAAAAAAAAATAAAGAGAGAAGAATCAGAGCATATCACCACAAAAAATCAAACCACTAAGAAAAATAGCAAGAGAAGAAAAGAGAAATAAGAGAACTACAAAATAGAAAACAGTTAACAAAATGGCAATAGAATTTAGCTATCAACAATACTTCAAATGTAAGTGGATTAAACTCATCAATCAAAAGACAAGAGTGTCTGAATGGATAAAAAAAAAAGTTCCAACTATAAGGTGTCTATAACATACTCACTTCAAATTTAAGGACACACAAGGCAGAAAGTGAAGGAATAGAAAAAGATATTCCATGCAAATGGTAACCTAAAAGAGTAGAGATTGGCTGTATTATATCAGATCAATAGATTTCAAGTCAAAATATTTCAAAAGAGACAAGGAATGTTACTATATTATGATAAAAGTGTCAATGTAACAATGATAAATATATATTCACCCAACTTCAAAGTACCTAAATATTTAAAGGAAACACTGACAGATATAAAGTTGAAATAGACGGCAATGCAATAATTGTAGAAGACTTTGATACCCCCATTTCAGTAACAGATCATCCAGACAAAAAATCCATAAGGAAATAATAGGCTTGGACAACACTATAGACCAAATGGACCTAAGAAACACATGTGGAACATTTCCCCAGCAACAGCAGAATATAATTTCTTCTCAAGCATCCAGGGAACATTTTCCAGACAGATCACATACTAAGTCACAAAACAAGTCTCAATAAATTTTAAAGGATTAAAATCATCCCAAATATATTTTCAAACCAAAATAGAATGAAACTAGATATTAATAATGTAAGGAAAATGGGAAAATTCACCAATACCTGAAAATTAACACAGTTATGAACACCCATTGACTCAAAGAAGAAATAAAAAGAGAAATGAGAAAATATTTTGAGACAAATGACAACACAACATTGAAAAATGTATGGGATGCAGCAAATGCAGTACTAAGAGGGACATATACAGTGATAAACACCTGCTTTTTTTTTTTTTTAAAAAAAAAGGAAGATTTCAAGTAAGCTACCTAACTTTGTACCTGAAAGCACTAGTAAGAGAACAAACTAAAGTTAGCCAAAGGAAAGAAATGATCAAATTTAGAGCAGAAATAATGAGTAGAAAATGGAAAAACAGTAGAAAAAATCTACAAAACAGAGTAGTTTTCTTTAAAGATAAAACAATGACAACCTCTAGCTAGACTAATTTTTTTAAAAAAGAGAAGATTCAAATACAATTAGAAATATAAAAGAAGATATTACAATTGATTCCACAGAAATAAGGGATTATTACGAGCAATTATATGCCAATAAATTAGATGGCCTAAATGAAATGGATAAATTCATAGAAACATACAACCCATCAGGATTGAATCAAGAATTATTAATAGCTTCGACAGTCCAAAAATAATCAAGATAGAATCAGTAATTGAAAACCACCCAACAAAGTAAAGTCTAGAACCAAATGGCTTCACATTGAATTCTATCAAACATTTAAAGAAGAATTAATAGCAATCCTTTTACAACTCCTCTGAAAAACAGAAAAAGAGAGCACACTTCTGAACTTATGTTAAGAGGCCAGCATTACTCTGATATGAAAGCCAGACAAAGACACCACATGAAAAGAAAACTATAATCCAATATCTCTGATAATCATAGATGCAAAAGTCCTCAGGAAAATACTAGCAAATTGAATTTAATAGCACATTAAAAGGATAATACATCATAATCAATTAATGGGATGCAAGGACGGGTCAATATGCAAATCAATCAATTGCTACATCACATTATTGAAAATGAATAAAAGAATGAAGAATAAAAATCATGATCATCTCAATAAATGCAGAAAAAGCATTTGACAAAATTCAACATCTTTTCATGATAAAAACTCTTCACAAATTAGGTAAAGAAGGAATACACTTCAATACCATAAATATGACAAACACACAGCTAACATCATATCCAATGATGAAGAACTGAAAACTTTTCCTCTAAGATGAGAAACAAGGAAAGTATGCCTACTCTCACCACTTCTATTCAACATATGATTGGAAGCCCTAGCCAGAGCATTTTAGACAAGAAAAAGAAATAAAAGGCATCCAAATAAGAAAGGAAGTAGTAAAATTATCTCTGAAGATGGCACGATGACCCTAAAGTCTTCATTAAAGAAAGAGTTAGAACTAATAATTCAGTAAATTTGCAGGATACAAAATCAATATACAAAAATCAGTAGCATTTCTTTATGCTAATGAACTACCCAAAAAATTAAAACAAAAATCTCATTTATGATAGTATCAAAAAGAATAAATACTTAGGAATAAATTTAACCAAGGAGGTGAAATCTCTATACACTGAAAGCTATAAAATATTGATGAAAGAAATTAGAGAAGACAGAAAAAATGAATAGAAAGATGTCTCATGTTCATAGATTGGAATAATTAATATTGTCAAAATATCCATACTCCTCAAGGTGATCAACAGATGCAATCCCTGCAAAAATGCCAACAACATTTCTAAAAAAATGGAAATAAGAATCCTAACATTGATGTAGAACTACAAGCCTTTGAATAGCCAAAGCAATCTTGAGCAAGAATAATAAAGCAGCAGACTGCTGATTTCAAAATATGAAGCTACAGTAGTCAAAACAGTATGGTATTGGCATAAAAACAGAATAGAGAGCCCAGAAATAAACCCACACATTGACAGTAAACTGATCATGGTCAAGGGGGCAAGCATACACAATGGAAAAAGGATAGTCTCTTCAATAAATGGCTTTGGGAAAATAATATTTGTATGCTAAAGAATGTAATTGAACCCTTATCTTATACATATCCAAAAATTAACTCCAAATGGATTAAGGGCTTAAATGTAAGACCAAAACCTCTAAAATTCTTAGAAGAAAACAAAGGAAAACTTATTGACATTGGCATTGGCAATGATTACTTGGATATGACTAGTGACAAAAGCAAAAATACACAAATGTGATTATATCAAACTGTAAATCTTTTGCACAGCAAAGGAAACAATCAGCAAAGTGAAAAGGTAAACAACAGAAGAAGCATAAATATTGGCAAATTATATGTCTGCAAAATGCATAAGAACCCTTACCACTCAATAGCAAAGAAACAAGTGATCTGATTTAAAAATGAATAAAAGATCTGAATAGACATTTCTCCAAAGAAGACATACAAATGGTTAACAGGTACATGATAAGGTGCTCAACATCACTCATCATCAGAGAAATGCAAATCAAAACCAAAATGAGACATGACCTAACACTTGTTAGGATGGCTATGACCAAAAAGACAAAGTGAACAAGTGTTTGCCAGGATGTGGAGAGAAGGGGATTCTTGTACACTGTTAGTGGGAATATAAATTGGTATAGCCACTATGGATACAGTATGGATGTTCCTCAAATAATTAAAATTAGATCTACCATATGGTCCAACAATCTCCTTTCTTGGGTGTACACTCAAAAGAATTTGAAATCAGTACCTTGAAGAGCTGTCTGCACTCCCACTTTAATTGCAGCAGTAATACAATGACAAAGAAATGGAAACAACCTAAATGTCCACCAAGAGACGAATGGATAAAGAAAATGTCTATTTATATATATATATATATATATATATACATACATATATATATATACACATATATATATACATATATATATATACATATATATACATATATATATACACATATATATATATACACACATATATACATATACATACACACACACACAAGAATATTATTTAGCCTTGAAAATGAAGATCCTACCATTTACTGCAACATGGATGAATTTGGAAGACATTATGCTAGTTGAAGTAAGCTAGACACAGAAGAACAAATAGTACATGATCCCACTTATATCAAGAATATAAAATAGTCAAACTCAGAAGCAGAGAGTAGAATGGTGGTTTTCAGGGGCTGGAGGTAGGGGAAACTGGAGAGATGTTGCAAAGTATACATAGTTTCAGTTATGCAAGACAACTAAATCCTAGAGAACTACTATGCAGCGGAGTGCATCTAGTTAACAATATTGTATTATATGCTTAAAATTATGTTTTATGTTAAGTTCTTATCACACACACAAAAATAAAAAGAGGCCAGAGAGATAAAACTTTAGAGATGATGGTTATGTTAGTGTTTATGGTGATGATTTTGCAGGTGTATATGTACTTATCTTCAAACTCATCAAGGTGTATATATTAAATATGTACAGGTTTGCGTACATCAGTCATACCTCAATTAAGAGAAAAAGGTCTCAGCTGCACAGAAGTGAGTCTGATCAAGATTCTAACTCCCATCTTATCAGTTGTGGTCCCTCATACACCCATGGTGATGACCCCAGAATCCCATAGATAGATGGTGACCATTTTACAAGCACTCCACCAGGGTCAGAGGAGAACAAGAGGCTCAAGATGCTGTGAGCCTGAGGACTTAGTGGCTGTTCTTCAAATATCCTAGGGACACAGATAATTTAAGAGGGCTCCTTATTTAGGACTCTCAAAACCTCTTACCAAATGTGAGCCATGCTGGATGTTTGAGATGGAATAAAAGGAGTGGATGTGGGACTATGGGACACAGCCAAATTCCCAAGAAGAGAGCCAGAGTTGTGGCTGAGACCCAACCCTTGCCAGTGGAATTCAAAGGCCAGTGGTTGAGCAATGCTTTCTTGGCTTATTCAAAAAGGTGGTGAAAGCTTGGTGCCAAAGTACCACCGTCAGCACCAACATCTTTACTATGGTGCATTATTCACTTACTCCAGCTAGACCCTATTCAAAGCACACACTTTATACAAAGAAACCCATGAGGCGTGTATCATTTTCTCCATTTCACAGAGGAGGAGACTGAGCCCCTGAGAGTCTGGGTGAATTGCCTAACATCACACAGCTATTAAGGGCAGCCCAGTACTCTCTAAGGGATGAAAACTGTGAATTGATATACACACCCAGAGCCTCCACCAGCAGCCATAAAGTTTGCAGCCGAGACAAAGTAAGTTATTTAACTGATTTTATAGCAGTTCTGCCTTGCTTCTATTATACTAACAACTGGGCATTGTCCTCTTGGTGTAGCTGTAAGGGCTGTTATATGGTAAAGCAATTAATTATCTGCCTTTTGATATTTTCTCTTTGCTCTAGGAAGCCAAAATTGTTTTCTCTTTTTTTTTCAGTTCCACCTGTAAAGGAAATGTATGAAAAATTAGTTCTACTAGGAAATTCTATGATACCTAGACTGTAAAAAAAAATTTTATCTGGAATTTGCAAAATCTAGCATAATGTTTTACTATAGAACTAATGTGTCATCATTGGATCTAATCTGGCTGCCATTTATTTCTCTTCAGAGAAGCAGACTTGTTTCTTGTTCTCGATGAAATATGTCTTAAATTCTGAATGCACTGTGCTGTGTTGCATTCGTCATTACATAGCTACAGGGAATGAAAATGAAAACAACCAATTTTCTTAATTAAAGAGTTCTAGTAAGACAAGCATTGCTCTATGCACCACTTTTCATTTGTCTTGGCAAATAGTAACGACAATAATAACAATACTATGAATTTAGACAGTTCCTTTCTTCCAAGAAGTTCAAAGCTCTAATGCGTCATGAGAACAGACACACAGGTAGTAGTAAACTTGGAAAGGAGAAATAAATGTTATGTGTGCCATATTAAAACACAAAAACAAAACCACAATTTATTTGATGAATATTTTTTCTTCAGATGGATGCAGTATGGTGTGAGAAAGAAAAAGAAAAACACACAAAACTTAAGACGCAGATGTGTGTGAACCTCAGCCCTGCCACAAACTAGCTGGGGGTCCAGCCTTAAACAACTTTCAGCCTTGCTAAGTCTCAAGATTCTCACCTATAACAGAGAAATAGTGAATATCTGTCTCATATGATTATCATTGTGATAAAGTAAGTTATGTAAGGCACTTTATAGGTCACAAAGTCTCATAGCACAAATGTTACATTATTGTTTTCTTACAATGCAAGTAGAAAAAGTTTCAAGCAAGCTAACTTGCACAGCTGCACATCATCCCATCATTCTCCACAACCCATCCTCAGCTTTTATTCTCCAATTCTTGCACTGGTACCTGGAATGTTCATCAATCTTTATTGAAATGGGATGAATTAAATTCTACTAAATTTATATTCTTTACACAGATTCATAAAAACAACAGATATGGCAATATGATGTCCCATACCTTTTAATTCTAGGAGATCAGCTTTATAACCCACATGAACAGAGGCAGCTCCAAATTAACTTAACAGTAAGGATTTAGGAGGCTAAAAATTCTTCAAATGTCTTTAGAATTCAATAGAACACTTGCTTTTAAATTCAATTAATTGAGAATCTTTAATGTTTTTAAGATATATTTTAATCATTCAAGAATAAATAGGAATTTCAAAATAAATAGAAGTTGGTACTTATTTTCCCAACTCCCAAATACTTTTAGGCTATTAAACTCTCATCCCTTTGGGGAGAAAATAGTTTCGCAACAGAATTTCAACAAGGGAAAATTATCACCTGCAAGTGTACATCATATTACCACTAAAAAGGGCTTCCACATCTCTTGTTTTGTTCTGTTTTGTTTTGTTTTGTTTTGTTTGAAACCAAGTCTTGCTCTATCGCCCAGGCTGGAGTGCTGTGGCGCAATCTCGGCTCACTGCAACCTCAGCCTCCCTGGCTCAAGCGATTCTTGTGCCTCAGCCTCCCAAGTAGCTGCGATTACAGGTACCTGCCACCACGCCCAGCTAATTTTTATATTTTTAGTAGAGACATTTTAGTTTCACCACGTTGGCCAGGCTGGTCCTGAATTCCCGATCTAAGGTGATCCTCCTGCCCTGGACTCTCAAAGTTCTGGGATTACAGATGTAAGCCACCATACTGGCCTTCCACATCTCTTATCTAATTTGATCCTCATAGTAGTTTCCCATTCTACAGATGATGAGACTGAGTCATAGACCAATTATGTCACTTGATCATAAGCAATGAGGTTAGGACTAAAAACACAGTTCTTCATTGCCTGAAAATGATAATAACTCCAGGAATAGAAAAGTACCATGAAAGTACCCTCAGCTTTAAGCATTACACCAATAAATAAATGATTCGTTTGGCTGACTATATGAGCAAAGGAAGAGTAGCTTCACCAACACTGCCAACAAAAACTGAATAGCACAGCCAGCCTTTTGAACTTGGCCTACTCAGTACCTCAGACAAGGTCTGGGTGTAGGTTTAATAGTTATGGGTTGGTGGTGGAGGTTGATTAGGTTTTTTGGTTTGGTTTGGTTTTGATTTTGTTTTGTGGATTTGATTTTCTTTTCCCTAAAACTGAACTAACAATTATTTGACTAACTGACCAAATGAACTAGCGGTTTTGGCATCAAAAAGACATAACCTAAAAATAGAAAAGGAAACAAAGAAATAGAACAAGAAATAATGGGGTTAAGATGAAAATATAATGGACATTAAAATCAGACAGCAAAAAAGAAACAATAAGGAAATAAAGCACATAGATATTGCCCCTAAAGTAAGTATGTACTCCTAGAAAGCTGAAAAAAAGATAATTTTAAAGCATTTAATCACTTTTATACTTTTTACTTAATTGTTTTTGTTTCTTTGGGGAGGGGAAACAATGATAAAATGGAAAATAAATTTTAAATAATCACCCAAGATGCTGATATAAAATGTATTATTTATTTTATATTTAAACATTTCTAAATGACTTTAGGATGGATTACATATACTTTTTCCAAGTCCTTGATGAAAAGAGTAACTGCTTTGTGATTTATCTTTGTGTAAGTACAGTCTTCCACGTAGCAGATTTGTTTAGAATAAAATTCAGGCTGGTAGCAAATCCTTCCTGGGCTTCCCTGTGGCTCCTAGCACATTTCTCTGTGCAATGTCACAGAAAGAGCCAGACTGGAATAAGCAGCTCTCTCTTCCAAAGAAGCACTTATAAAAGTATATATACAACATGGACCGTCATGACTATCATCAGCCTTCCTACAAAAGATGCAAAACTTCCTTATAGAAAAATCTACCACACATTGAGAGCTTTGTGTTAGTCAGATACAATGCAAAGTCCTGAATATAATTTTTATTTTTATATAACCTTACAACAACCTCTGTGACTAGGTACTCATATTCTCACTTGACAGTGGAGGAAATTGAAACTAAAAGAAGTTCAGTAAGCAGCCTGTGATCAGAGGGCACACAAGTGTTGGAATTGGGATATAAACCCAAGTGTTCCAAGTTCCAAAGCCATTTTGGATGTGGTCACTGCTTTAGAAGCAAAGAGCATGGTCATGCCACTGTCATCTGCAGGCACACCACCAGGGCCAAAGTCCAACAATCCCGGATGTCAGTTTTCACAGAATTGGACTTGATCCTAGGAGAGAGCTTAGTGAGTTCCAAAGAATGGCAGATTGGCATGTACTTCAGAATAGTCATCTACTTTGTAATCACTCTCCCAGCATCATTTTAATGTCACTCCCTTCTCTATTTCTGCCTTTAGTTTTTATACTGAGAGGTTAACCCAAAATATACTGTGTTATCTTGCAGGGAGACAGTGTGGGAAGGCAGTAAGAACGTGCACTCACTCTGTGGAAAGTAATAAGGATAACAACAGTGACTAGCTATGAGGCACTGTCCTGGGGCGTCATTGATGCATTCTCTTCTAATCTTCAGCTATTCCATGGTGTATTTATCATCTCCTCACATAACAGATTAGGAACTTGAGCTCGGAGGAACTTCCGGAGTTTGGCTCCAGGCTCCTTCACTCACTCCCCGAATGACCTTGAGTAGCTTGGTCAAGCTACTCAACCTCCTGAAGCCTCAGTTTATCATCTATACCAAACTCATGGAACTACTGCAAATATATAGAGTAATCTTGACACACAAAGGCTGTTTGTCTTACTCTGTTCAATACATCTTTTCAACATCTAACAGAGTGCCTTAAAGTAGTAGTGAGGTAGGAGACCAGCAGGACTTTTTTTCCTAGTCCAGACAGGATGAAGTGGAAAAAACAGCCAGAACCAGCAGGTGGCGCTGAAAGAGATTGCTAGTTGCCCTCATTGCTCATTAGCATAATATATTCCCACCAGTGCCATGACAGTTTACAAATGCCATGGCAATGACCCGAAAGTTACCTCCTGTTTCCATGACAATGACTTCAAAGTTACTACTCCTCTTCTAGAAAGTTCTGCATAAACGACTCCTTGATTTGCATGTAATTAAAAATTAGTATAAATCCAGCTAGCCAATAGCACGAGTGCTAACTCTGGGCACATGGCCTTGAGTTAGCCATTATCCACAAAAAGCAACTCCAATTCAATAAGACATTGCTGTCTAACACCACTGGCTTGCCCTTTGGTTCTTTCCTGGGCAAGCCAAGAACCCTCCGCAGCTAAGCCCCAGTATTGGAGCTCACTTGCCTGCCTGCATCAGCAAAATTTGGTTATGGTTTAATTTGGTGTTGATATAGAGATTAGTTGATAGAAAGATGGAATGGTGTTGAAAGGATGATATGAAATGAACATCTGTGGATTAAATTCTCAGGAAGCAGGAGAGCCTGTCAGGCCTGTTGAAGAAGGAGCCCTGTGAACTGTGGCACTCATCTTCTCTGCCTTCAGCCTGCTTATCTGAGATACGAATTTAACTGCAGGTCGTTGGAGATAGGAGAGAGGAGGATGGAAGAGCTCCTCCCCCACTGACTTCCCTCCATTGGTTAAAGTGTAAAACTCCTCCATTGTATGACCCCATTATGCTTTCTCCACTTCATGTAGTAACATGACCTGCAAAACCTGATGTGTTGTCCATTCCAGACCAATAGCTTTCTATGCCTCAAACCCCCCTTGATCTTTCAAACCTCTGTTGATTCCACTCCCTCATTTAGAATGCCCTTCCATCATTTCTTCTTGCCAAACTTCCAGATCCTCCTAGAAGAACTCAAATGGCATTTCTTTTCAGGACCTTCTTGGATTTTAGCACAGTTAACTAGATCAACCCAGCACAGTCTACATGGTGTCACACTAGATATAAATGTATGCCCCATACAACACACTCGAGGAATTAATTTCGCCTTATTCCTCTCTGTATCCACAGCAGATGCCCCAGAGTCTGGCCCGGGATACTTCTTGTACAGCTGAAAAAAAATAAAATGGGGTGAGATCAGAGTTCCCTTAACCTTGACCTCCGCAGTAGACCATAAAGCAAGTATATGTTCCCCAGGGCGTCGACGCCTTTATCCTCGGCTCCCTTTCTGTTTCTGCTTTAAGTATTAACAAACTCAACACGGCTGTGGTTTGCCTTCCACGGCAATGGAAACTAGATTGGGTTAGAATTATTTTAATACTGAAAATAGGAAGAACACTGGTGAGTCATCCTCCTTAGTCACCATGGGGCCAAAGTTTAGGACAAACCAAGAGGGAACTCTGCCCTTAACCACATCTGAAATGGAAAATGTCCACTGGCTCTCATCCCCACCATCCTTTACCATGATTCTTGGACTGGGTTCCATAGGAAGTGTTATAGAGCTGTTTTCCATTGGCATCGAGGTGAAGCATGGGTGGAATGTACCACAGTGACGAAAAGGCAAGCAGTGAGGGTGCAACACAAGGTCCTAGAGTCACAGCCCTATTGTCAGCCGTCTTTTCCTGGTGTTTCTGTGGCCTGTCTCTAAAGGTACCAAATGCTTAGAAGGCTGAGTTGTAACCACCAACATTATTGTGTACACATATCTGTCCCCTTTCTCCTCGCAACAAGAGCAGAGAAACTCTAAAATTAAGACAAACGAATTGGTACACTCTCATGAGTTAACATGTATCTATTGAGGGCCTATTATGAGCCAGGAGTTAGGCATAGAGGATACCATGGTAAGCAAATATATCCACAGCCCCTACCATCATGGCAAATAGCATTGGCATGAGTAGAGTGAACCCTGGAACCAAATCGCCCATCTAACCTGATTATCAACTCTGCCATCTGTAATCCACAGAACCTTGAATAAATGGATTAGCCTCTCTATGCTTCAGTTTCCTCATCTGGAAAATGGGAAGGATAATAATAAATATCTACCTTTTAGAGTCATTATAAACACTAAATAACACATGTAAAGCTCCTGAAAAATAGTAAACTCTCAGTAAATTTTAGTCATTTGCATTTTAGTGAAGGACACAAACATTAACCAAAATGACATCGAAAGAAACCGACGTGATTATAAATGAGCTACAAGTGGTATGATAGTGAAGGTGAACACTAGGCATGCCTATATGAGACTGGTGATCAAAAAAGACTTCCCTGGGGAAGTATATTGAAAAGGTGGGGTAGGAGTTGTTTAAGGCAGAAGCTCTGCGGTGAAGAATACAGAACACATTCCAGAAACTGGAAAAGCAACGGAGCATCTCCCACAAGGTTTAAGGAGCCTGCTCCAACATGACATGAACAGATGAGCTCACATTGGATGGAAAGAGCACCCACACAGCACGCTCAGAGGGAGTCCGCAAAGGATGCACAGTTGGCCCAGGTGCAGGTCTCCATGCTCCTCTACAACACAGGGCCCAATTTTCCACCCTGGACTCTGAGTGGTTTGGAATTATCACTGGAACCCTTGCGCAAAAACTGTTCAATGCTATTTTAGTGTGTTAGAGTATCTGTATGTGTTTCACAGAGTAAGAGAAAGGCAGGCACCTGAGTAAGGAGGAAATAGTCTGATCTCACTCTCCCTGCCCATAATTGGCCACTCCTTGCCTATGGCCATCACTTTCCCTATGGGCCCCTGAGGGAGAGACTCACTCACAGACAACTCTACTCCAGTGTGTTATGGGACTTGAGGAGACCATTTTCCCCTTTGAGAACTGAGTTTTGAGGCCTGGCCCAGTAACTCACACCCATAATCCCAGCACTTCAGGAGGCTAAGGCAGGAGAATTGCTTGAGGCCAGGAGTTCAAGACCAGCCTGGGCAACATAGTGTGGCCCTGTATTTACTAAAAATAAAAAAAAAAAATTTGCTAGATATGATGGCACATGACCGTAGTACCAGATACTCCTGAGGCTAAGGCAGGAGGATGGTTTGAACCCAGAAATGGTGACTGCAGTGAGCTGTGATTGCACCATTGCACCCCTGTCTGGGTGACAGAGCAAGACCCTGTCTCAAAAAAGGAAATAATAAGAAGAAGAGGAAGAAGAATTGAATCAGGTAAAGTCAAAGACCTTGTGTAAAGCCCCAGTTCCATTCACTATTCGTGACACAGCCCACTTTCCCATTTTTCTACCTCTTCTGCTTTAGATTCACATATCGCCAGATGTGGAAACACCTTCATTTTACTTAGTGGATATGAGGTGAATAACGTGCCAAGATTGGAAGAGGGAGAGGAGGAGAGAGAGTTTGGGCTCCTAATCAGGATGGATCAGCTGAGGCCCTGTGCAAAATTAAAATGCGAGACCCCTTTCTTAAAAAGTTAAGAATTTCAAGATGGCAAAAACACAGCATTCAGTCAAACACAGAGCCCTCTGAGCACAGGCTCAGTGCAACTGCAGGGTCACACACCCATGTAGCCTCCTGGCTCTGGATCTAATGCCCTTTCCTCTGTTACCTGCTGACTTCTCCTTTCTCCTCATTCCCATTCCCAGCCTCCATAGATTCTAAGTAACAAAGAAATAAATGCTATGTTTAAGTTTGAAAGACTGATTGGATTTATGAGAGAAAACTATGCAATCTCTGGGGAAAAAATGAAAAACAATTGAAGAACATCATCTCTTTTAATTTTTTTTTTTTTTTACCCTCTTCAAAGTTCTCTTTACTTCCAAGAAACGGCCATGTGAGCAGAAAAAAAAAGGCCAGGATACAAAATTCAGTAGGTTGGAGATTTGGGAATAAATCACACATTGAATTTTCTAAATAAAAGTCAGCATGTCCCTATGTACAACAGAGAATACCCCGGGCCCCAGAGAACAGCTCTGGACAGTTCCTATTTCTGGATTCCTGAGTGGGTTACTAATAAAGACCATCCACATTCAACAAGACAAAGTGAGATGCGGTCAATACAAAGCCCTGCCATTAGGTGGGTCACAGCCCTGATGGAATCAGCCGAGCTGAAAAAGCCCAGGTTGAGAGGGGCCGGTTGACATGATGCTTGTCACAGGGCAAAGGTCTCACAGGCCTGGCAAATAAAGTTAAAGGTACCACAGCTGGCTATATCAACAAAGGTATAAAGGCCATGGCATGGAAGGTGAAATTCTGTTCTACGTGAGCATTAAGAATGCGGAGCTGTAGGTAGGATGTTCTCTGCTTTAAGTCCTTCATCATAAGTGGTAAAGGATAAGAACATGGAGAAGTGTTGTAGGTCAGGATGGAGGAAGATCTCAAAATGGCAGCACCCATGGAAGAAGCTCTTCATCTGAAGAAGAGCAATCTCAAGGAAGTCCTGGGCGGCTTTGAAAGGCTGTCAGGAGGAAGCTGGATTCAGCATATTCAGTGTAGCTCAGGAAATCAAGAGATGTGGGTGGGTGAGTGGTATACACAGGAAGACAGGACAGGGACCTGTTCCTGGAAGTGGACGCAATGGGCACCTGTCCATGCTATATCAAATGCAGAGTTCTGCTGGATGGGACCCCCGGGTCCTCTTCAAAGTCTATGAACTCCTGGGAATCAAACACAAGAAAAGAGAGGGGATGTCTTGAGTCTTGAGGTGACCTAGTTCACAATCAAAAGCAACATATCTTAATGATTTTATAGTATCAAGGATGATAAGGGGGAGGGGAGCACAACATCAAGAAAGGGTTAACTGGAAGAACACAGGTTGGACACTTTACAAATTGAGAGAAGAGGTGCCCAGACACTGCTGCGGGCACACGATAGGTACTTGCTAGGACCAGGGCCAGGACAGATTGTTGGCTTAACACCGAGTCATCCTCAGGTTACCTAAGGCCGGCCTGGAATGAGGGAGTGGTGGCTGTTCTCCAAAGACATTTGTGTTGACCAGTCTTGAGCACAGATAATCAGCAGCAGCAACTTTTGGCTGTGATAAGGAAGAAATTTTTAAAAAGCTGTCTGCGTGTCTGCATGTTTTTTTGTTTTGGTTTGGTTTGCTTTTTTGCAAAACCTGGGTCCTGTTGCCTTTTACAATCATGTAGTGCCTTTGTCAAGACAGTCTGATTCCTTGTTTGTTTTCTTTGGATTACTCCACCCTGCTGTGGGAAAATTAACTCTTTGGCATGCCCACACGTATACATCCATGTAGACATCCACCCCCAGCAACGAATCCTCAGGAGCCCCACCAAGGCTACCAGGTTAAAGGAAGAGCTTAAAGTCCAATTAAAGTCTAATGAGCTCTGCTAATTGAGATTATTCTTGCAAATTGGTTAAAATTCTAATGAGTTGGCCTTAAACGGAACCTCCAGTGGATGTTTACTCTGGCTCTGCCCCAGCAAATTTGTAAGACAAATGCAATATCCCTGTCCTCACCAGCCTCAGTGAGAACGGGGGATAACATTACTGAATGCCAGATAGTCACAAGCATTAATCATCATCTTAGACTGCTAAAATGCTGTCAGCTACTGATACAAAAACTGAGATTGAACACAATGGGTGTTTTCTAGGAAAGATGCATCTGCCATCTGCTAGGCACTGAGCTAGGGGCTTTTGGAACTTAGAGCACACTCAGATAGACACTTGCCTGATTTGATTAGAATTCCCAAAGTAATCCTGTGTTGGGGAAAAGGGAGTCAAGAAAGAGGGATAGCAGGGGGGAGGGAGGGAGAGTTAGCCAACTATTCTTTCTGCTCCAGAGAGCAACATCCTTACAGCAAGATTTGGAGTTCATTCATTTTAGATTCTAGCTACAATATTACAGAGGATTTACAAATAGAGATTATAAATTAGTTACGTCAATTAAATATATGCATGTGTGTTTTAATCTAGCAGTAGTCTCCAGTGGGGGAAACGAAAGAGCCTCAATGAATCATGGCCTTCGGAGTCCCAGACAAGGAATGAGTTAAGTACTCACTGCTCTATCCCCTAAGTCTACAGGAGACACAAGACATCAAGCATCACATGATGTTTCTTTTGAAGGCTCTCTCACTCAGATTGAGAGGAGAACAAAAGCACCAGGGAATGAAGACAGCTTTCTCCACAGAATATGTCACTCTCCTGGGGGTTCAGCCTCCAGCTCTGACGTAGCTTAGAAGCGGGTATTTGATTAATGCCGGCAGAACCAGACCTGCAGTCTCTCAGTAGGTCTGGCAGAGGTGGCCCAGTACCTTGCTTTGGGATGTGAACCAATTGTGCTTTTCTCCTCCTCTGGGATTTTTGCTGAAATTCCAAGGAAAGTGGGAGAACCATGTTTAATATCCTGTCACATAGAATTATGACCCTCTTAGTCAGAAATCCTAAGTGCAACCAAGTGAATCCCTCCATCTAATTTAAGCAGAAACGAGATCTGTTGAAGTAGTACACAGAAACTCTGAAGAGAGCCAAGAATTCAGTCTGGAGTCTACACGGAGGAGCAACACCCAAACCTCTACCAAACTAGGTCTCAGACTCTTTCCAGAGAAGATGGAGTAGAATTTGTAGTGTAAAATATCTCAGATATGTAAGAAGAGTATATTAAAAGTTTATGAGCAGTCACAAACAGGGCAATTTTCTTTCCATTCAGTTTAACTAACAAGACACTTAGGGATAGAAGTTTCCAAGACGGAGCCACAATTTACCTATTCCAGCCTCTAAAACTATCCTATTTCCACACCACCCTGCTGTGGGAAAATTAACACTGGCATGTCCACACGTATACATGCCACCTATAGAAAACAAAGCGGCTCTCAATAAAGTCATGTCTTTGACATATTCATTGTCCTTCTAGATTCTAGAAACGTATTAACCTGGTTTTTTTTTTTTTTTAAAAAGCCCTAAACTTTATTCTTGAAGTAGAGTTTCTAAAATGAACCCTATTTTATCTTTGCTAAAATGGTTTTAACAGCAGTCTCCCCTTGAAATGAACTTTTTTTTCAGTTATCCCTTTTCTTATGATTATTTCACTGAAAATGAATTTAAGATCATTAAAGCAGATATCTAGATACATTTTTACTGAGCTTCATATTCATCAAAAACAAAGCTCTGTACATGGATAAAGTAATTTTTCCTATACACAGATAATTACTATAGCAATTAAACTGAAGTAAATGTGGTGAAAGAGAAGCGTGGTTTAAATGCTGCAGGAGTGTAGGCCTGAGAGATCATCTAACTGAAGAAAGAATAGAAGGTTTCAGACAACAGGTATTATCCATGGTGACCTTAAAAGACACATAGGATTTCAACAGGAGAAAGGGATGAAGGGAATTCCAAGTAGAGGGAGAAGTGTGAACCAGGTAAGAAGCCAAATGGTGGATAAAGACGCACAATAGAGAAAAGGACTGGAAATAGCAATTGAAGACCTTGAATACCCAGCTAACAAATTTGACCTCATTCAGTAAACACTGGAGAGTCCTGATTTTTCATCACCGGAAGGAACTGTCAGATCTGGGCTTTAAAAGACCAGTTTAATTGCAAGTGTCCTGTGGGCTAGATAAGATCTGGGCTTTAAAAGACTAATTCAATTACAAGTGTCCTATGGGCTAATAAGCAGACCAGATCTGAAACAAATTTGACCAGATCACCAGAACCAATTTTCTTTAAAATATCCCCATCCTCTGGAAAAATTGGCAAAATTAGAAAAGGATTTTCTCAGTAGAAAAAATGCTTTCAACAACCTTTGGAAAGATAAAATCATGGATAAATTACCATATATTTGTCACAGGAAGTAGACCAGGCATTTTAGCTTGGTGTAAATTTCTGAGCCATGAAATTATTGAATATTGCTATGAAAGTCTTTTAGAAACTACTTTATCAAACCCCTTCATATGGTATCTGGAAAAACCAGGATCCACAAGGAAGCCATTTGGGCTTGTGCAGTAGAGTAAAACTTAGTGTGTGTTAAATACAGGGTCTACTAATGAAAGACCAGTGTTTAGCATTCTTCTGTGCTCATCTGTCCAATGATAGGGACAAATACTCTTTTTCATACAGGGCCATATAGTACAGTGGAGGTCTGTGTTCAAATCCCAGATTCTCCACTTAATTCTTGGGTGAGCAAGTGACCAACTGTCTGTTTTTATTTCCTTTTCTCTAAAAAAACGTTGGCGGGGGAAAATGAGTACCTGTTTTATAGGGCTGTTGTGGGGATTAAGTGAACTAATTTATATAAAGTTCTTAGAACAATGACTAGCCCAGAGTAAGTGCTCCATCAGTGTTAGTCATTCTTATTTATAGAAAGAATATCAGAACCAGAGCTCTTCCAGAATAGAAGCAGTTGCTTCAACCAGCAGGAAATGTTCTGTTGATGGACAAGTCCAAGCCCCAAAGCCTCACCAGGATGGTGGCCTAGCATCACATGGTCTAGGTTAGGAGGTCTACCTGCCCTACACAATGTCTCGGTCTTTGAAATAAGAATAAAATGATGAGTGTTACAGTTTTATGGAACAAAGTAAGAATCCAATAACAATTCAGTGTTCCATTTAAACCATATCATGCAAAGTAAATCATTTATCTCATTTTATAGATAGGAATCTGAGATATGCACACATTGAGGGTCTTTTGACTACAACTCCAGGGTCTTTCTCCTGCTGAACCCTGTGTGGCCGTGGAACAATCATAAGTGAACATAATATACAAGATGTAGGACATGGGCCCGACAAGAGAATCAACACGTCTCTAAGTGCAGACAAAATCATAAGAATTACAGGGGCTCCTAGATTGGAGAGGCCTTAACCAGGGCTTTGGAATTATGGCAGCAAAAGAATCTCTTTGGTGAAACTGCATCTTAAAAACACTATGTAGAATCGAATCTGGATGCAATGCTAGCATTCAGAACAAAACCCAGTTATTGGATACTTAATATAAGTTAAATATTCAATTATGAAGTTTTATGCACACTAAGGAATTGCTTGCTATCTCTTTAGTAATTGATGTATTTCCATACCCGATCAGAAACTAAATCAGCTCTCCACTTTCCAGGACATAAAACTTTCCAATTTGTTTGCATTTCAAAAAATTGCTCACACACACACATTTGAATTATGACTCATGAAAAGAGAAATAACAATACAGTCAGTCACACGTTGCTTAACAGCAGGGATATGTTCTGAGAAATTGTCGTTAAGTGATTTCATGGTTGTGCAAACATCATAAAGTGCACTTAACACAAATCTAGATGGTATAAGCTACTACACACCTAGGCTATATGGCATAGCCTATTATTCCTGGGATACAAACCTGTACAGCACGTCGCTGCTTACCTCAGAAGCACCATAAACATGTGAGTAATTATGATGGCTATACTGTCACTCGATGACAGGAATTTTTCAGCTCCATCATAATCTTGTGAGACCACTGTCACATACGCAGTCTACAGTTGACCAAACATCATTATGTGGCACATGACTGTACTTTTTATTTGTACATTTCTTTCTAGTTTCTATTGTGCTGTACTATCCATCATAGCAACTGAACTTATAACAATGCTGTGTGGTAGGTATTGCTATCCTTGATTTTATGGTCAAGACGTCAAAACATTGACTGGTGCAGAGTCACCCAGATAATTAGGCCAAAGCCATAGAAACAAAATCTGATGACTCCATGTCTAATGCTTTTCGTGCCACGACAGAGCCATCATGAACAGTGAACATGAAGGATCTCCACCAAGCTTGATGTCTGGGAACTATTCAACCCTCGGTGGAAGTTTGTTGGGTTCCCATGTTTATCTGAGTTATTTTACCAGGTTCCTGTAGGACTCACTCATCTCACTGGACTCTGCTGCCCTAACCCAAGGGGACTAGGCAGGTTTTCCCAATGCCAGATGGTTGGGCTGGGAGAAGCATTATAAACGAAATGAGTGAGCCACTACATCCCAGGGGAAATGCCGCTTGGATCTTTGAGAAGAGGCCAAGGGGGTGCCTGACAAGACCCAAAGGGAACCGTTATTATGGGCAATTCACAGGGTCCATGTTCTGGCCCTTCCCCTCACAGGCTCATAAATTCCTCCTGTCAGAGCTACAGATTTGACTGGGCCCAGAGCACTGACTCACACTAGTAATGCGCACAGAGACATTCATCAAATTAGCTGCCAAATCTGCTCGTTCGCAATGAGGAAACTCATTGTCAAGGGGATGGGTGCTCGTGTCAGCCTGACCAGCTGTGGGCAGCCTACAGGGAGAGTCAAGTAACCAGAGGCTCTTTCGTGGGCCTCACCCTGATTAGTGGCAGAGAATTAACTGGATGATCAAAATGTTTAGTGGTCAGAGGCGGGATAACAGATGACACTTCTGTCTCATTGCAGGACAGACTTATCAGAGAGAGAGAGAAACTGAGGCCAGTCTGACCAGATGTGTCATCATAAGGCTGCTGAGATGACACTGGCACCCTCTGTGACCCTCCTTTAGCTGAGTTTGTTCCGTACCAACTCCGTTCTGACAGACACATTCTGAACTACATTTCTGAATGTCAAGTTTGGCTGTAGCCAGGACTAATTCTGGCCCGTGAGTCATTCTGATTCTTTAAAGAGATTTTGCCCCACTCAAAACTAATACTTTCTATGTTGATTTCTGAGCCTAATTCCCAGAGTGCAATCTGATGTCCCTTATTTTCAAGTTTGTGGTGAGACTACACTCATCACTGTCAGCCCTGTGTCAGAACAGTCTGACTCACCCATTTCACTTTTGCAAAGTAAAAAAAAACAAACTTTAAAAATTCTTATTACAAAACCAACATAAGCCCTGTATTTAAAAACTAGTAAACATATGTACACACATCCACACACAGATTTAATCTCCTTTAATCCCAATGACTCAGTACATTCTGTCAATTCTCTTTATGTACACATTTTAATAAAATAATAATATTTTGAAAATTGCTTTTTCACTTTACATATTATGAACATCTTTGTTAACAAATAGAATTCTAAAACATCATTTGGATGACTATCTGCTATTCCATTCTATGAATAAAATTAAAATTATTTAAGCAAGCGTCAGTGGTTGGATATTTAGGTTGTTTCCAACTTTTTGCTCTTACGGCACACTGCACTGCAGATCCTTATGGATGAATATTTTTAATAAACATTTTATTTTAGAAGTATTTTAGGTTTGCAGAAAAGTTGCAGCCAGTATAGAGTTCCCATAATATAGAGTTCCCCTAATGTTAACATCTTATATTACCATGGTACATTTGTCATAACTGAAAAACCAACATTGGTATGTTAACATTAACTATACTCCAGACTTTATTCAGATTTCATTAGCTTTTCTACCAATGTCCCTGTTCCGTTCCAGGATCCAAATAAACATATCACATTGCATTTAGTGTAGCTGAATTTTTACGCACACATATACAAGAATTCCGTGACTTAGGCAATGGGGTTATGTCCTCATAAACCCATCATAAGTTGAAAATATCCTAAGTTGATAATGCATTTAATCCAACTAACCTACTGAACATCATAACTTAGCCTGGCCTATTTTAAACATGCTCAGAACACTTACATTAGCCTACAGCTGGGCAAAATTATCTAACACAAAACTTATTTTATTAGAAAGTGTCGAATAGCTTATGTAACTTCTTGAATACTATACTGAAAGTGAAAAACAGAATGATGGTGTAGGTACTGAAAGTATGGTTACTACTATACCATGCATATTGCTTCTGCACCATAGTCAAGTCCAAGGCTCTTAAGCAGAACCATCATTAAGTTGGGGACCATCTGTATTACTTCCATTTATTCCTGGACATGAAAGAATAAACTCCTGGAAGTGCTGGACCAAAAGACACAGAAGTTTTGAAATTTTTTGATACACGTAACTGAATTGCCCACCAGAAGTGTTATACCAACGCACATTCCTCCCATTAATGCATTAGAATGTCCATATACATGCTGACAATGCTGTTTCTTGTAACCACTTTGAACCCTATTATGATGGTGTCACAGCAAAGTCAAATTATAGAAAGAATAAGCTGATTAATGTTGAGGGCCCTATCTCTGTTTATCTGGCTGGGTGCAGGGAGGTTTTAGCATATGTGCAGATTGGTGAGCTATATGTCCTTCAAGCAATCCTCTAATGTCTTATGTGATGACTAGCTAAGCCTTGAATAGATATCAAGAAGTAGTGAGCCTAACGGTCAATGCATGGCCAGAGAAGTGTACCTGGGAGCTCTTTCATGTTGCCAAGATTACAGTCGTCTTCAGTACAGCTCCATAGACACGTGTGCTGGAAGGAATCAATGTGCTGTACTACATCAGCTTTCAAGTTTTTTTTTTTTTCTACCATGACTCCCTGCTCAAAAGCACATTTTAAGTCCCTAGAAAAAATTATTTACTATGAGCAATGCTGTCTGAAATTTTCCATTCTATTCGATTTCAATGCGTAATCTTACAAGCACTGAACTTGTGCTGTCTGCTATAGACCCGCAGCCACATGGCTAGCGAACACTGAAATGTGGCTAGTCTGAATTGAGGTTTGCCAAAAGTGGAAAATACACACCAGATTTCTCGAATTTAATTCAACAAAGTGAATGTGCAACATCTCATTAACAATTTTATATTAATTACATGCTGCAGTGATAATATTTTGTGTATATTAGATTAAATAAAATATATTATTAAAATTAACTTCAACTGTTTTTATTAATGTGGCTACCAAAAAATTCTAAATTACATATGTATGTGACTCACATTACATTTCTGCCAGATGATAGTGCACTAAACTAACTTTATGATACGTCCCAAGCCGCAGTTTAAGAAACACTGCTCTAGTGGGCTCTGGGTTCCCTACCAGGAGTCATGGCCAAAGGCCAGTTGCTATTTGGTCATTTGTCCCCACATCTCTCCTGCCACCCACCTTTCTGGGAGCCACACACCTGAGATTAGGCCAGGATTCTACTTGAAAAAATGGCTTAATCTGCTTTAATATCCAGAAGAATGGAAGGCCTGTGTTCAAAGTTCTACTCCATAGATCGTAGCTAAAATAGTTTGGAATTCACTACACATTTCTGAAAAATTCAGACTTGTCATCAATATATTTTGAAGGCTAAAATAGCTCCTTCGAAACAAATTGATACCTAAAAAATGAATGTTTCAGTGACAGAGACTTCCTCAAGTGGCCACTGTTAAGCTGTTTTGTTCTTATTGTTTACAACTCCATACTATTTTGCATTTTATAGTCCGAGATATTACACAAATAATTGGTAGATGCAGAAATAGCTCACTAACTGACTACTGGGAAAATATATAATCTTTTGGATATGTTGACTTTAAGACCTAAAGCAGAATCTTGTTTATTTCTAATTTTTAACTACATATATTTAATGTCTAGTAAATTTGCATACTTTCATAAATTCTATTTTAATAACACTCTAACATATAGTTGAAAGTACAGTGGAGAATACACCTTATACAAAAATTGTAGCTTCAGTAACATGTGTTATGACATTGTTTTTATAACATCTTTATAAACTAGAAAGGGCCAAATGTTAAATATTGCACAGAGACATTGAAATGGCATGTATATTATTTATTCAATTATTCTCTCTGAGATACAGGTTCATTCTAGTTTAAAGTCCACTTCTTTGTCTGAAATAAGAAGAAACTAATGATGCAGAATATACTTGGATCTTATCATCATAAGCCCCTCTGCTCTCCAATAAACACTGCCAAATGTTTTCAAGTGACTAATGGATGAGCATAAACATATCAACCTTAATAATAAGCTTACTTCCCATGCTATCTTCTAGATATTTTATGCTATTGACTAATTGTTGCCTTTTTTATTATTAAAGCTTTGCTTAATTAGCTAGGTAATACAGGCTCATGTAACTAAAACAATCTAGAGATGTGGAGTGTAATGACCAAGCATCACACATGCAAAAATACAGTAATGACCACTTTGCAGCAGATACAGTCAAATCTCTCCTGAATTACAAGGTCTTGGAGGGATTGAGCACCATTTGCTTTTTAAAATAAAAAATAAAACTAAATTATTTTCCTTTATACACATAATGTAACTAACTCTCTTGTTCATTTTTACTAAATTTTATTATTTGTCATTCCTACATGTATACATTCCCCTAGACAGTAAACTCCAAAGAAGCTTTTCTGTCTCTCCTCCTCAGCCCAGCACCCGATATTCAGTCAGTATTGCCTGGATACAGTCTCTGAGTCTCTGAAAGGAACACCTGTGCTTTGTATCTTCCCCTTCCTGGCTTCTGCTTCCATTACAGGTGTCCTTGGGGGCTGGCTAGGACCACACAGGGCTCTACGGCATCCCTAATATCATGCAATCAGGGTGTGACCCTAACATCTGCCTCAATTTTCAGTCAGCAAATGAAGTGATTTCTACGCAATGGGCCCTGTTCTGTGAATGAAGGAGAAATCGGGTGAATCAGGGCTTGTTCTCTGCCTTCAAGGGACTCACAGGTACTTCAGGAAAATGAGGAAGGTGGTGAGCACAGACCCTGTGCTCTGAGGTGAGAAGTAACAGTGCCAGGAGACAGATAGATGGTAGGTGTGGGCGCAGAGCTGGAAGAACTGGGCCTAGAAAGAGTGGAAGAATACTCATGGAAAAGGCAGTAAACAGAACCCAGGAATGAGGAAGGAGGCAGGAGATATAGATGGGCTTCAGAAGACACTAGGCTGAGTTCTCCTGCCTTTAACCTCAACCTTCAGGCCTATGAGGACAAATGGACCATAAACAAGACCAATCCCCATATAAAGGTAGCCTGGAAGACAGATGGATGAAAGGGGTGTGACTTCCCTGTAGGAGAAGTGTGGCCCAGGTTTGGCTCAAGTTTAGCAGGCCTTCCTTGGCCCTTGTGGGGGAGAAAGGGAGTAGAAGAAGTACCGTGAGGAGTTAATGAAGGTGGGGGCATATGGAGGCATACTGTGAGCACTGTGAGGAGTTAATGAAGGTGGGGGCATATGGAGGCATATTCATGGAAGAGAAGCCATCCCATGGGTTCAGATCGTGACAGAGGGGCTTCCTTGTGTACTCAGAAATGGGCAAAAGGGAGACCTGTGGAGAAACCCTGATGCTGGAGAACTATCAATCTGCAAAATAATACAGGTGGGAGTGAGGATTATGGTGGTGGTTGGGGGAGGGGTCTTGGAGCAGAGAGTGTATAGTGCATTGAAGCTGCAGAAAGACACCAAGACCCCTTCTCCCTACCCACAGGCACAGAGTCAAACCATGCTTCAAGGCTCTTGTGCACTGAAGAGGGAGCTGTGAGGCCTCAGGCCACTGCAGGAAGGGATGAGATGGGGGCTCGCAGCCAGGCCTCTGCTCTCTTTGTGGTCCCTGAAGTCAGGTGGCCACAGTAGGTGACCCTGACCTCATTGATGAGTCAGCCAACCCTTTCAGGTCACCACATACCTGTGAATGACCCTTCCTGTCTGTCTGGGCTGTGATTTGCCTTCACTGAAGAGAGATAGAGAGAAACCGAAGAGGACAGCAAAGGCAGGTCTTTATGCTTCAGAATTTTTGTGTTGCCTACACTGGAATAGTTGCTCAAGTACAACAAGAAGAAAAGCCAGCAGCAAAATCCAAAGGCCCTTCAAGAAACAGGGCTTGGGAAGATTCTTGGAATTTTGAGTGTCCTGAGCCAAAATGCACAGGAAGAACCTATGTGTCCACAGGTAGGAGAAAAAAAGAAAGTAAAAGCTCATATGTTTTTGGCTTCCGTGTGCTATCATTAATCATTTTCTCAGGAACAGAGGATGGTTTCCTTGCCATAAGAGGAAAAGAGAAACAGATCCCTTTGACCAATGTGCTACCCAGATGTTCTCCAGGCCCCAGTATTTTTCCCCCATTTGATCTGACAAAGTGAAATAGATGACAATTGAGGGGAAGTTATTCCTGAAGACTACATCACCCATCCCTTCTCAGCTACAGCAACAATCACCTTCTGCTGGGGGAATCGGATTACCTGTTCTGAGAGATTTCAAGATGACTGCCAAGCTATCTTCTGCTGTAAGCCATGGAAAAATTTGGTGGACTAACTCTTTCCTGGATCAGCCATGAGTTAAATTACCTGGCTTATACCAGGTAATAAGAAGGAGGGAGATACATGGGTAGCCTGTTGCTACAGGCATGGCCCTGATCTGAAATTCCTGGACACATTCCAACCTCACCTGGCTTCCCATTGCACCATATGTTCTTGAGAAGTTAACTGCCACAAGAAAGAGTTAAGGCACATACTCAGTGGAAATAATTCTTGGAAGCTTCAAATTAGAGGGACAAAGGTGAGTGAGACACCAAGACTGTGAAGTTCCACAAAATCAACCTAATTTTAAAGCAGCAGTCCCCAACCTGGGTCTCCATAAATGTTATTATTTGTCTTTTAATTACCTCACATTTTTACATACATAAATGTTTTACACACAGAAACCTTATATCACCTTAGTAGAAAATTAATAGCTCTTGCCACATGCAGATATTAACTGTGAAAAATAAACGGAGTAACAGAGCATTATGAAATTCCTCTTATAGAGAGCATAACTTTTACAAGCTTTTGAGCCTGAATCTTGATTTCACTTTATTTATAAACAAATGGATACATAAAGATGATCAGGTAGAGGAGAGGTGATAAGGGCATGTTGGCTTCAAATTGCAACCTTCTCTGTGGCTAATCTGAAGGCTGGAGAATTAAAAAGGGAATGGGTTCTCACTATGAGTCTACAGTATTTAGCATTGTATCCAGATACCTCACCAACATGACCCTAGAAACCACGAGGGGTAAATCCCTCACTTTGGAGAATGCCCAACTAGATGGGCTCTAAAAGCCTTCGAACTCTGATATTCAGAAATTCTAGATTGTTATAGTGATGTCTTTTAAATTACATAATCAGTAAAATGATCAATGTGAGGTAGGCATGACTATATAAAATGGACTGAGGAAGCAATAAACCTGATTTTCCTGCTTGACTTTGGAAAAACAGTCTTATACCTTTATAATGTCTCTTCTCCTTGGTCACGGCGTCATACATAAAGGCCTCTTATGATTGACTAAGTCATAACATGGGTTGGGGTGTCCCAAAACTCCAGCTGCTTAGGAAATGAGCCTACAATGCACAGGTGGTTTTTCTGTACTCTAAATCAAGGTTTCTATGACACTTGATTGATAAATAAGCTGTCACCGTCATATACCTTTTTCTAAATATTTGTCTATCTAGAGATGGTAAAAGTCTTCCTCGGGTTACTGTCAATAAGGTGAAAAACAGCCCAAGAAAAAGACAAGACATGGCCAGATGTGGTGGCTCAGGCCTATAATCCCAGCACTTTGGGAGGCCAAAGTGCGTAAATCACTTGAGGTCAGGAGTTAAAGACCAGCCTGGCCAAAATGTCAAAACCCCGTCTCTACTAAAAATACAAAAATTAGCCAGGTGTAATGGCGTGTGCCTGTAGTCTCAGCTACTCAGGAGGCTGAGGCAGGAGAATCACTTGAACCCAGGAGGTTGCAGTGAGCCAAGATTGCACTACTGCACTCCAGCCTGGGCAACAGAGTGAGACTCCACCTCAAAAAAAAAAAAGAAACAAAAAAAGAAAAAGACAAGACAGGCCCAATACTAGCATATAGGCAGGAGAGTCCTGGAAAACAGCTTGAGCTCAAAAGTATCATCTAAGACTCTACTGTCAAGGCAGAGAATCCACAGTGAGGTGAAGCCATGGTCAAGAGACAAGCTGAATTATTCAGGAAAAACTAGCTGTGAGGTGAACGAGTGTTTTGATAGTAGACTGAGCAGCAAGATAAATGAAGAGAGAGGTGAAGAATAAGGAAGAAGGAACCAAACTAGTGGTTCAATGAGCTAAATTGAAGAACAAGTCCCATATGCTGGAATGTTCCATCTATGTGCCACCTGCAGCACACTGCCAAGGCAAGCACTGGGCAAAGAAAGAGCCCCTCCAAACGATGCACACAGTGCCTCTCCTGCAAGCCCGCAGGCATGCACACATCCATCCATCCATGCACACAACCCTTCCCAGTGCCTGGAATGTGTACATCATTGTGTGAGGCTGTGCTGAGGGGAATGCAGAGGTGAATGAAATATAGGTAAAGATGCTTAGAAGGAAGAAAGAAAAAAGACAAGGGAAACTATAGCACTCAAGGCAGACAGTGTCCAGTGAGCCAAGAGAAGCACAGAAATCGCCACAGAAGGGAGCTCTGAGAAAGGTAGGGTCATACTGGAGTGGGAGAAGTGTGAGTGGGGAACACCTAGAGTTCTGCAAATATCTCTGCTCCATCATGAATATCATAAAAGGAGAGAATTTCATAGAAAGTGGGTGCCTTCAAGCAATGTCCTCAAAAACTGGGGAGGTTCAGATGGATGTGACAATGACGGAAGTGGGAAAAGATTTTCAAGCAAAGAAAACAGTTTGAGGAAAGGCAGAGGCAATTATTTACAGCTTCCTAGATGTTTTCTAACCACAGAAACCAAAACCTAAAGAATGTGTCAGCACATTCGGGGATTGCTGACTGAACCTTGAAAATTTACAGGCAGCTGACACAGGAGAATTGGGTATTTCCTTTGATTTTATCATTAGCACCCATGATCTTACATGGAGAGAAAGAAGTAAATGTTTTAATGATTTGAAAAGGCTTTTTCTTTTATTCCACAACCTGAAAATTGTTTTGTAATAAAATACCTTGACATGCTTATAAATACCATATTACAATAAAGTGAGCCTTTCTGAACCACAGGCTTTGGGGATTTCTTGGATGGAAAATTGGGAAATTTCTGGAAAAAAAAATTAACTGAGTTTTAATGCACTTAGAATCTGGTCACATGTTCAAACCACAGCAGTTTGGGTACCTTTTGGCCTCCAGATATTGCAAGGAAGCAGAGCTTACTTCTATTGATGGAGAACTCATCCCCTTAACAGCACTGGCATGTTACAACTAATTCTCTTAATATTGCGAGATGGAATAAAAAGAAGAAAATGTTGGTCTTCAGATAAACATCTGAAGAAAATGGTAAAATGAAGACTATCTTCTTGACACTGAAATAAAGTGCTGCTTTTTAAAAAATCTCTATCTTAAAATAAAGCAAGTGGAACTCAAAGAAATTATATAAATGACCCAAAGTCATGTATCAAATGTCTTAGTTCATTCAGGCTGCTGTAAAAAAATACCATGGACTGAGTGACTTAGAAACAATGGAAATTTACTTCTCACAGTTCTGGAGGCTGAGAAGTCCAAGATCAAAGCACTGGCAGGTGCAGTTTCTGACAAGGGTGGCTTCCTGGTTCATAGACAGCTGTCTTTTCACTGTGTTGTCACATGGCAGAATTGGTGAAGAGGTCTCTGGGGTCTCTTTTATAAGGGCACTAATCCCATTCATGAGGGCTTCACCCTCACGACCTAATCACCTCCCAAAGACCCCATCTCCAAATGCCATCACATTGAGGATTAAATTTCAACACATGGATTTGGGGGGACATAAACATTCAGTGTGTCACATCAAGTAAGGGGTAGACAATTGGGGTGAGACATCACTACTTCCCTTGTCAATCCTTTCCTTGAGCTATGCCCTTGGCCCTCACTCCTTATAACTTTAACCCCAGACCTGGATCCACCTCACTTAACCCTCCCTCTGTCCTGGGCCTGCTCGCTGGACCTGAATTTTACTTCATATGGAATTCCTTCCACCATGCCACTGCCAGAAGACAGAACCAGTAGTGGAGAATCTTACTCTTTCCCCAGTTTCCCCATCTTGGTAAATATTAACAGCATCCATTAAGTAGCTAACATTAAAAAACTTAATAGTTATTCTTTCTTTCCCTCTTCCTCTCTCTATTAGTTTCTCATGGATGCCATAACTTTACAACAAATTTGGTGGCTTAAAACAATAGAAATTTATTCTCTATTGTGGAGCCAGAAGTCTGAATTAGATGCCACCAGAGTTGATTCCTTCTGGTGGTTCTGAAGGAGAATCAGTTCCATGCCCCTTCTAGCTTTGGGCGCCTGTGGGCAATTGTGGCATTCCTTGACCTGCAGATGTATCATTCCATTCTCTGCCTCTGTCTTCACATGACCTTTCCCTCTGGGTCTCTGTATCTGTCTCTTTTCTGTCTCTTACAGGGACACTCATCATTGGATTTAGGGCCTACCCTAATCCAGAATGATCTCACCTTAATTATATCTGTAAAGACTCTTCTTTCAAATAAGGTCACATCCTGAAGTTCTAGGTTGACATATCATTCCAGGGCCACAATTCAACCCATTACACCCTCCTCCCCACATAATATCTGTCCTAAGTCCTGCCAACTGCACTTCCACCATATATTCCATTATCTTTCCTTTCTCTCCATCTTCATTGCTACCATTCAGCCTGGCACCACCATCATCTCTCCCTGGACCACTCCTGTGGCAGCCTAACTGGATTCTCTGCCCCTACTCAGACCTTTCCATCCATTCTCTTTAGAGTATCCTGAATCATTTTTCAAAAAATTATACCTTATCACTACCTTACTTAAAACCCTCCAATGATTTATCACTCACTTAGAATAAAACCCAAACCCCTCACCATAGCCTCCTGAGAAGCCATGATCTAGCCCCTACCTGTGGCTCAAACCTTCTAACCTACCATCCCCCAGCCCACACTGAGTTTTTCTGAGTTTCACTGTTGTTGTTTTGTTTTGTTTTGGGTTTCTTTTTTTCTGCAGTTCCTCAGACACTTCAAGTTGCTTTTCCTCTTAGAGCTTGCTTCTAGCTTTCCCTCTAATAGGCATGCCCTTTTTGCTGCATTCCCCCATCCCTACAAGGCTGCCTCCTCTTCCATCCTGATTTAAGCTTAAAGGTCACCTCTTTGGAAAGGCCTTTCCTGACCACCATGAAGTTGTCACATAGAAACTTTTCATCAAAACACTTAGCCTTAATTCTCTGCATAACACCCAGCATGTCTGATAACTTTCGCATTTGCTAGTTGCTGTTAGTTTTGTGATTGTCATTTGCTCATTCTTTAATCATCCACCTCACCTCCAGTAGGATATATGTCCTGAAACTGGAGACATAATCTATTTGTCACTATTAAATCTTCAATTCTAGAACTCTCTGGAACATAGTACTTTTTCAATAAATATTTACTGACCAAACAAATCAATGAATGAAAAAAATGAAAGTTGCTCATGCTTAAAGATACTGACTTGAAGTTGGGTAACAGGACACAGCTTCTGAAATCCTCAGACAGGGAAAGATCTGGTTGGATGAGTACCCAGGAAAAGTCCACAGACAGTTTCTAAAACTTGGAACATGCAAAGGCAAGTAGGGGCAAGAGATTCCCAACTGTTAGGGAATCAGACCCAGAAACTTTGTCTTCTTACCTGCACGTAAGTATGCAAAATTTAATGCTGGAATTGATTACAAAATACATGTAATTGAGGAGGCCATGGACATCAGCATTAGTTATAGATCCTGGAGAACTTAAAATAACAAATGAAAAGGAAAACTTGTTTCGGCCATGAAAAAAAGAATAAATATGACAAGTATAACATAATTTCTCCAGATTCCCATGCATCATAATGAATACATAACACATTCAACATGTGTTAAATTAAGGTAAGTGTAAATGTTACTACTGACAACAATAAATCATAGACCTCTCTAGGGGGCAACACAATGTATCACCTAAGTGACCTGAGACCACCTAAGTGACCTGAGACCCACACCACCATCATCAGGATCAGCCAAAAAGTGAGCCACACAGTAGCCAGGAGCCTCTTGAAATAAGGGGTCAAATGAGAACTTGCTTTGGTCTATGGGATGAGAGGGGGCAGAATGCTGTGGAGTGATGAATTCACCTTTCTTTTCCTGGGGCTTTCCTGGTTTTGGCACTGCAAGTCCTTCCACCCTGGAATACCCTCAGTCCTGGGAAAACTGAGATGATCGTCACTTTAAATGGTGAGGACTAAGGACTGAAACTTTCTGTTGAATTAGTAACCCCTGACCCAATTTTATTTCTAGCTCAAAGGACCTAGCAAACATTTTCTCCAGCCAACACTATTGCCTCACGTGCTCTGGCTTTTCTCTCTTACTGACTGTTAAAGACAATTTGTCTAAAATGTTACTCCCACCTTTGCCAACCACCTAAACTTTGGGCCCATGTCTCCAGCCCAAAGACCCTATATGCTGATTTTGCCTGAGAGCAGATGCCCCTCCCCCACCCAAAAAGTAGGGTCAGCATACCCCACACCAGCTGCTCCCTCTGTGACCCTACTCCCTGCCTTCTTGGTGCCTCCTGAGCTTCCTGTGGCCCCCAGACCCACCACATTCTTGGTGCTGTTCTCACCTCTGTGGTGCAGTTCTCTCTCCCACATCCCAGGCTACCCTTTCCTGTTTGATCCAAACCCGTCTGTTTTCTGTCTTTCCAAGATTCCTCATAGTTCCCAGTTCACTATGTCGCTTCTTGCCCCATATCAGGTAGATACAGATTTATCTTAAGGGTTTGTCTTCTCTATTGTTTCCTGGAGTTAGTGACATGTGAGTAACCGTAGCATACGCTCAAGCTGCCATTTTAAAACACTATGGCACGCACAATTTAATCCCCATTTAGGGAAACTTGAAAATACTTGTAATGTAAGAGGGAAAAGAAGAGTGAAAGAATACATGACATATGCAAATAAATGAAACCACCACCACCTCTAAAGGTGATGACAGCAGGATTA
This sequence comes from Homo sapiens, assembly GCF_000001405.40. Taxonomy (NCBI): domain Eukaryota; kingdom Metazoa; phylum Chordata; class Mammalia; order Primates; family Hominidae; genus Homo; species Homo sapiens. The sequence continues at coordinate 108,491,224 of NC_000009.12, forward strand.
GCTGCACCCAGAAGGGGAGAAGTATCCTGAATCTGCTTCTCTACCTTTGAGATGTTGCTCATTGATTTTAAGCCTGAGAACCTCTTTTTCCTGTAATTTTTAGGTGCAGCATGGTCACAAGATCTACTTTTGTGGACCTGGGATTATAGTAGGCAAGTTTTCTGCAATGCTTTTAATAAGAGTATTCAAAGAGTTTGAGTTGGGGGCTTAATTGGTTTTACCAAAAGTTATTATAATGACATCACATCTGATTCTATCCGGTGAATTGTTTACCTCCCTTCTGAACAGCAATTTGTTTATATTTTAAAGAGAACATTATTTTGAAGAATTTAGATAAGCTTTCCACTTTGTTTTAGATGTATTCTTTGTTAGAAAAATAAGGAGGAAATGACCATTTAGTGTACTGGGTGCTTTGCCTGCATCGTGTCATTTAATCTTTGCATTCACATGATGAGGTGGTACTAATATCCCCATTTCAAAGATGAGAAAACTGAGGATCTGAGAGGTTACATAAATTGCAATTAATCACACAGTCAGTAAGTGAAGTAGCTAGAATTTAAACCATATCTGCCTCTATTAAGGACCTCAAAAGAGCCTTGGATTTTCTACTTAGTGCAGCTTTCCTTGTTGATTCCTAGGTGATTTTATATATACATACACACACATATATATAATAAAATATATATTATATATGTGATACTACCTATAATGTCTTAACCATTAGAGTTTTGTTTTGTTTTGAGACGGAGTTTCACTCTTGTTGCCCAGGCTAGAATGCAATGGCGCGATCTTGGCTCACCACAACCTCCACCTCCCAGGTTCAAGCGATTCTCCTGCCTCAGCCTCCCAGGTAGCTGGGATTACAGGCATGCACCACCACGCCCGGCTAATTTTGTACTTTTAGTAGAGACGGGGTTTCTCCATGTTGGTCAGGCTGGTCTCAAATTCCTGACCTCAAGTGATGCCCCCATCTCAGCCTCCCTCCCAAAGTGATGGAATTACAGGCATAAGCCATCGCCCCCGGCCTGCCATTAGATTTTTTTTTAAGTAACTTATACATATCATTGCTCAGGGAATAAAAATGTTTTGTTTTGTTTTCAGAAAATGAGAGTCTGGATTTTATTTTATTTTTACGTGTTTACATTTATTTATTGTTGTTTCTTCTAAAAAAAAAAAAAACAGGATGTATATGCAGAATGTGCAGGTTTGTTACATAGGTATACATGTGCCATGGTAGTTGGCTGCACCTATTGACCTGTCCTCTAAGTTCCCGCCCCTTACCCCCAACCCCTCAAAAGGCCCTGGTGTGTATTGTTCCCCTCCCTGTGTCCATGTGTTCTCATTGTTCAACTCCCACTGACAAGTGAGAACATGTGGGGCTTGGTTTTCTGTTCCTGTGTTAGTTTGCTGAGAATGATGGTTTCCAGCTTCATCCATGTCCCCCCAAAGGACATGATCTCATTCCTTTTTATAGCTGCATAGTATTCCATGGTGTATATCTACCACATTTTCTTTATCCAGCCTATCATTGATGGGCATTTGGCTTGGATCCATGTCTTTGCTATTGTAAATAGTGCTGCAATAAACATACGTGTGTGTATCTTTATAGTAGAATGATTTATATTACTTTAGGTATATATCCAGCAATGGGATTGCTGGGTCAAATGGTATTTTTGATTCTAGATACTAGAGGAATTGCCATACTGTCTTCCACAATGGTTGAACTAATTTGCATTCCCATCAACAGTGTAAAAGCATTCCTATTTCTCTACAGCCTCGCCAACATCTATTGTTTCCTGACTTTTCAATAATCGCCATTCTGACTGGCATAAGGTGGTATCTCTTTGTGGTTTTGATTTGCATCTCTCTGATGATCAGTGATGCTGAGCATTTTTTCACACGGAAAAAAATGTTTTTAAAGAGAAATTCCTTAGGACCATGGATAAGTGGACTATTTGGATTTGTGGTGACATAGACGTTTTACTTCATCTTAAGTTTAGTGTTAAATTTGGAGCACTAGATAAGAGTTAGAAAACACCTTTAATTGATTAAACGGAATCAAAAGAACTTTCTGTCATCATAGGTAGGTAGAGGAAATCCAGTGGACAGAGCATATATACATCCTAAGAAGTAATTCATTCACTCATTGGCAAATGGCTACTGTGTAACTACCACGTGCCAGGCACTATTGGAGGGAGGCACTAGAGATCCATCAGTGAACAAAATAGACAACAATCCCTGTCTTCAAGAAGCTTATATTTTAGTCACAGAAGACGGATAATAAACAAAGGAAATAAGTTATATGGCATGTTTGAAGAGGGTAGATGCTATGGAGGAATTAAGCAGAATAATAAAGAGCAATTCGTGAATGGTGGTGCTTTTGGCCTCCTTGTGAATTCGTGTCAGCACATTCTGTAGGTGACTTGCAGATGGCAAGACTACATTTCCCAAAGGCAGCTCAAGATCAGAATTAAAAGAAGTGTCTAGGAGCCGGACAAGGGCTGTACTCTATTCTGCGTTGTTTTGAATTACATAAAATTGGAAAGGAAAATAAATATTTTGGATGGCAACCAGAATGAAAAAGAAAATTCCACAGCAAGCTGGAAAAATGATCAGAATCTAACAATACAACATGAAATTTAATAAGGATCAATGTACATGCCTCCTAATATCAGCTTACGAGCATAAAGAGGGAGAGGGAATTTTGATTTAGTACTGAGAAAAGACAAAGAATTTTCATAGACTGTGTCAGTTGTTCCCACAGATTATAGCTAACAAGAAAAGCTATTGCAAACTTAGACTGCATTACCAGAAGAATCTTATCTTGGACAATGGTGGTGATAATGCTATTCTACACAAACCACCTCTAGAGCATCCCATTTTATTCGCATTTCAAGAGAGACTGAGATGAAAATCGCCAGAAAAGGGTGGTCCAGGTATAGGGAACTCAAGCCAGTCCCATGAGGAAGGACTGAAGATACAGGATTTGTGCACCTAGAGAAGACAAGACTCCAGAACTTCATAGCCAATATCTTCACATTTCTGAAGTTCTGTCATATGAAAAAGCAACTGGACTTATTCTGTGGACTCCCACTGAGTAGGATGCAGAATAAGGGGTAGAAGTTACAGGAGTACGATAAAGTGTGATAAAACTGACTTTCTGAAACATAAGTTGTTATATGTTCTCTTTATGGTTTTATTTTAGGAATGTATGTAAAAAAGTCTCCTATTGTCTAAGATAACTTCAAGCTTCCTGTTATATTTACAGCAACCCTAACAACCAGCTCAATATGGTAAGATCAAACGGGAAATGCCATGTCTCAATAATTTGAATTCTAGAAACTTAGATTCTAGTCTTCCATGTGCCCAACAATGGATGTCTAGGCATGTTTGCTGTGGCATTGTTTGTAGTAACAAAAAACTACAAACAACATAAACGCCCATCCATGGGGAAATAGTTAAATAAATTTTGGCATGTTCATAAAATGAAATTCTAGGCAATTGAATAAGTGACTATGTGTTTTGATGAACTGATATGAAAATATGCTCCAGATATAATAATAAGGAAAAACTAAGGTTTCTAACAGAGTGCACACAATGCTTCGATCTCATGAAGTAAAACATAAGCACAGAATAGCTCTGTAAGAAGGAAAGACAAATGAATAAGAGAGGCTGTCTGGTACCAAGCAGGAGCTCAGACCATGGCTGTGAACGTGAACTGAAGAGTGGCCATCATTCTTGATTGCCATAGGTATTAAAATGTCATATAGTTTTATTAACAAAAAGAAACTATAATATCCATTTTCAAATCGTTTTCCAATATGTTTTGTATAAGTACAAATGGGCACCAAATTCTTTCTTCATCAAAGATTTATAGGAATAAATGGATCATAGGCACTGAGGGGATGCTGATGGGCTATCCAATCCCAGAGAAATTAATCAAATCTATGAACAGTTATTTAACAGATCTAGATGATTTTTAAGCTTCCATTTCAGCTGTCAGAAAATATATGTCCAATTCTGAGACAGGAGAATGGCCTTCTATCTTCCTTGTACTATTTGGCAACAAAAGTAATCAAGGGGTCTAGGTGGGCCCACGTGGTTCCTGTGCTGGCCTGATGTGTGGTACAAAAAATAGTAATAATAAATAGAGCACAATCCCAACAGAGCAATCAAAGTCTGTTTTACTACTTTGACTTGATTTGTGTGATTAATATTTCCTTTTTAAATTTTAATCTAGTGGAAAAGCTGCTGGTGAGGAAAAAAGAAAATAAACTGCCAGCTTAGCCTTATTTCCCATATGGTCAGCTTCCTAATCAAGAGGCAAAAAGAAGTGCTCTGACTGTGAATGTATAGAGAGTTCAGGAGCTTTCTAGACATGGGTTAATCGAGCAAAGGCAGTTGACTATTTAAATCTGGCGCAGGTAGGAAGTTGCATTGAAATGGATGTAAATGGCTATGTGTTAAATGAGCGCCTTCCGTGGCCTGGTGCCTGGGATCTAGGATGAGTGCTCTCTAGGATGGTGGGTGGGCCCAGCACAGGCTATGCTTGCATGGAGTTTGCTATCTTGGCAGGAAGATGAACACTGAGATAAGTCAAAAGATGTAAAATAGCATGAAATAAGCACACCCCAATCAGAGGAAGGACTCACTATTCCTGATTAAGGGAATTAAGTAAAGCTTCACGACAATAAGATGATTTCTAAGCTCAGCCTCGAAGGATGAATACAAGAAAGTGACAGGGGTATTGCTGGCCAGCATGAGCAATGACAGATGTGTCTGATCTTGAAGAGGCTGGAACACCAGGCCTTCAAACTTGAGCTTTACCCTGTGGGCTGTGGACACATCATCAACTGCTCTGAGAAGGATGTGATCTGAAAACACCTTTGCTTCTGAAAGCTCGTGCTGGTGCCTGTGCATGGAATGAACAGGCCACCAAGAAATGCAGTTAGGAGTTAGGGAGCTGCTGCCGCAACCCTGTGATGATATGAGGGGCCCTGACCAAGGCTGGGGTAGGAGGAACTGCAAACAGAGACTTTGGGGAGTAAAGCACAAAGGGTTTGGGAACACCTAGAGGCAGAGAAAGAGGGAGAGGGAGGAGTGAGGATGACTCCAGTATTTGAAACAGAAAATGGGAGGAATTTTGTATTTGCTGAAATTGGGAGAAAAAAAGATTGGGAAGAAAAAGATCATTTTGCCCTGGGTCTCCCTGGCCTGATGCTCATTCTCACTTGGGATACTACCAGGGCTGACCAGCTCCTGCCATGACTCTCTGAACAGTCATTTTTTTTTTTTTTTCAAAATAGACGATACTTACCATTTCTTTCAGAATAGGTCTATTACCCATTCCTTCAATGGACTGGTTTAAATATCAATACTCAAGGGGATTTTCAAGATCATCACCACATTTCTGCCGACTTCCTCCATTCCAACATACTAGTTAACCCTTTTCCTTCACCCCTAACGGAAGCTATAAGGGACAGCACAAAAAAAAAAAAAAAAACACACACACACACACACACACACACACACAAAATTTAGAATCAGATAGAGCAGGTCTCCAATACTGACTCCTCCATGGCCAAGAAATGCGACCATGGGCAAGTTTCTTAATGGGTCTGTAAGTGCTGACACTCAAAATGGCAACAGGCTTTGCATTCTCCGTCATTAAAGAACCAGAGAGCAAGGGCTTCTGTGACCACCCAAGGCTGCCTTCAGGGTGGTTGTTGGCTTCATCCATCATATGCTTATTGAGGCAACATCTTTGTTACCAGCTGCACTGAGAACAGCTGGCTCCCAGACCAACTACGGCTCTCAGCAAAGCACAGGCTAAAGAGCAGTTATCAGCTGATTCCAAGCAGAGAGAAAAGCCAAGACAGGAAGATCAGGCCAACCAGCAAGGAATGAGCTGCTCCCTCAGCAGTCATGCAACATGGGTTCTGTATGCATGCCCGGGGAGCGTCTCACTTCAAGTGGGTCATTGTTATCATCATAATTAATATCTTAACATCTGTACAGCAATTTATAATTTTAAAGACACTTTGATCTTCATAGCAATTCTCAGAGCTATAGATTTTTATCCTCATTTTATAGTTAATAATTATAATGTATTAATAATATAATAATCACATTGTGTTATTAATTAGCTACTGTGTTCTAGGCACTGTGCTCAAAGCTTAGCTTGCTTTATCTCATTTAATCCTCACAATCCCAAGCCCTTGACAACACTAGTGTCTGTTTTACAGAGGAAGAAACTGAGACACTGAGATGGCCATATGCAAGGCTGCAGTGACTGACTCCAGAGCCGACCCTGTGGTCCACTGACCCAGGCTGCTTTACTGGGGATGACAAAGGGAGGCACAGAGTGGGCAAGAGCCACTTCAGAAGTTATATGACCAGTAATTGCAGATCTGGAACTCAATCTATGATCCCTTATTTTAGACCCTAAGCTGTCCCTACTACCCTCTGCTTGCACATGTGCTTGGAAGAGCAAAATGGTAAAGACCAATTCCCATTACTGATACAAAAGATAACATTGAGTATAAGAAGTGACTTTTGGGATGGAGCCAAGATGGCCGAATAAGAACAGCTCCAGTCTAGAGTTTCCAGCGTGAGCAACGCAGAAGACTGGTGATTTCTGCATTTCCAACTGAGGTACCAGGCTCACCTCACCGGGGAGTGTCACAAAGTGGGCGCAGGACAGTGGGTGCAGCGCACCCAGCGTGAGCCGAAGCAGGGTGAGGCATCGCCTCACCCAGGAAGTGCAACGCATCAGGGAATTCTCTTTCCTAGTCAAAGAAAGGGGTGACAGACGGCACCTGGAAAATCAGGTCACTCCCACCCTAATACTGCACTTTTCCAATGGTCTTAGCAAACGGCACACCAGGAGATTATATCCCGTGCCTGGCTCGGAGAGTCCTACGCCCACGAAGCCTCGCTCACTGCTAGCACAGCAGTCTGAGATCAAACTGCAAGGTGGCAGCAAGGCTGGGGGAGGGGCGCCTGCCATTGCTGAGGCTTGAGTAGGTAAACAAAGCAGCCAGGAAGCTCCAACTGGGGGGAGGCCACTGCACCTCAAGGAGGCTTGCCTGCATCTGTAGACTCCAACTCTGGGGGCAAGGCATAGCCCAACAAAAGGCAGCAGAATCCTCTGCAGACTTAAATGTCCCTGTCAGACACCTTTGACGAGAGTAGTGGTTCTCCCAAGCATGCAGCTGGAGATCTGAGAACGGACAGACTGCCTCCTCAAGTGGGTCCCTGACCCCCGAGTAGCCTAACTGGGAGGCACCCCCCAGTAGGGGCAGACTGGTACCTCACACGGCCAGGTACTCCTCTGAGAAAAAACTTCCAGAGGAACGATCAGGCAGCAACATTTACTGTTCACCAATATCCACTGTTCTGCAGCCCTCCGCTGCTGATACCCAGGCAAACAGGGTCTGGAGTGGACTTCCAGCAAACTCCAATAGACCTGCAGCTGAGGGTCCTGACTGTTAGAAGGAAAACTAACAAACAGAAAGCACATCCACACCAAAACCCCATCTGTACGTCACCATCATCAAAGACAAAAGGTAGATAAAACCACAAAGATGGGGAAAAAACAGAGCAGAAAAACTGGAAACTCTAAAAATCAGAGCACCTCTCCCCCTCCAAAGGAATGTAGCTCCTCACCAGCAATGGAACAAAGCTGGACGGAGAATGACTTTGACGAGCTGAGAGAAGAAGGCTTCAGACAATCAAACTACTCTGAGCTAAAGGAGGAAGGTCAAACCCATGGCAAAGAAGTTAAAAACCTTGAAAAAAAATTACACGAATGGCTAACTACAATAACCAATGCAGAGAAGTCCTTAAAGGACCTGATGCAGCTGAAAACCAAGGCTCGAGAACTACATGACAAATGCACAAGCCTCAGGAGCCGACTTGATCAAGTGGAAGAAAGGGTGTCAGTGATGGAAGATCCAATGAATGAAATGAAGCGAGAAGAGAAGTTTAGAGAAAAAAAGAATAAAAAGAAATGAATAAAGCCTCAAAGAAATATGGGACTATGTGAAAAGACCAAATCTACGTCTCATTGGTGTCCCTGAAAGTGATGGGAAGAATGGAACCAAGTTGGAAAACACTCTGCAAGATATTATCCAGGAGAACTTCCCCAATCTAGCAAGGCAGACCAATATTCAAATTCAGGAAATACAGAGAATGCCACAGAGATACTCCTTGAGAAGACCAACTCCAAGACACATAACCGTAACATTCACCAAAGTTGAAATGAAGGAAAAAATGTTAAGGGCAGCCAGAGAGAAAGGTCAGGTTACCCACAAAGGGAAGCCCAGCAGACTAACAGCGGATCTCTCAGCAGAAACTCTACAAGCCAGAAGAGAGTGGGGGCCAATATTCAACATTCTTAAAGAAAAGAATTTTCAACCCAGAATTTCACATCCAGCCAAACTAAGCTTCATAAGTGAAGGAGAAACAAAATACTTTACAGACAAGCAAATGCTGAGAGATTTTGTCACCACCAGGCCTGCCCTAAAAGAGCTCCTGAAGGAAGCACTAAAGATGGAAAGGAACAACCGGTTCCAGCCACTGCAAAAACATGTCAAATTGTGAAGACCATCGAGGCTAGGAAGAAACTGCATCAACTAACGAGCAAAATAACCAGCTAACATCATAATGACAGGATCAAATTCACACATAATAATACTAACCTTAAATGTAAATGGGCTTAATGCTGCAATTAAAAGACACAGACTGGCAAATTGGATAAAGAGTCAAGACCCATCAGCATGCCGTATTCAGGAAACCCATCTCACGTGCAGAGACATACATAGACTCAAAATAAAGGGATGGAGGAAGATCTACCAAGCAAATGGAAAACAAAAAAAGGCAGGGGTTGCAATCCTAGTCTCTGATAAAACAGACTTTAAACCAACAAAGATCAAAAGAGACAAAGAAGGCCACTCCATAACCGTAAAGGGATCAATTCAACCAATTCAACAAGAAGAGCTAACTACTCCAAATATATATGCACCCAATACAGGAGCACCCAGATTCATAAAACAAGTCCTTAGAGACCTACAAAGAGACTTAGACTCCCACACAATAATAATGGGAGACTTTAACACCCCACTGTCAACATTAGACAGATCAACGAGACAGAAAGTTAAAAAGGATATCCAGGAATTGAACTCAGCTCTGCACCAAGCAGACCTAATAGACATCTACAGAACTCTCCATCCCAAATCAACAGAAAATACATTCTTCTCAGCACCACATCTCACTTATTCCAAACTTGACCACATAGTTGGAAGTAAAGCTCTCCTCAGCAAATGTAGAAGAACAGAAATTATAACAAACTGTCTCTCAGACCACAGTGCAATCAAACTAGAACTCAGGATTAAGAAACTCACTCAAAACCACTCAACTACATGGAAACTGAACAACCTGCTCCTGAATGACTACTGGGTACATAACGAAATGAAGGCAGAAATAAAGATGTTCTTTGAATCCAACGAGAACAAACACACAACATACCAGAATCTCTGGGACACATTCAAAGCAGTGTGTAAAGGAAAATTTATAGCACTAAATGCCCACAAGAGAAAGTAGGAAAGATCTAAAATTGACACCCTAACATCACAATTAAAAGAACTAGAGAAGCAAGAGCAAACACATTCAAAAGCTAGTAGAAGGCAAGAAATAACTAAGATCAGAGCAGAACTGAAGGAAATAGACACAAAAAACCCTTCCAAAAATCAGTGAATCCAGAAGCTGGTTTTTTGAAAGGATCAACAAAATTGATAGACTGCTAGCAAGACTAACAAAGAAGAAAAGAGAGGAGAATCAAACAGACAAAATAAAAAATGATAAAGGGGGGGGAGGAGCCAAGATGGCTGAATAGGAACAGCTCCGGTCTACAGCTCCCAGCGTGAGCGACGCAGAAGACGGGTGATTTCTGCATTTCCATCTGAGGTACCGGGTTTATCTCACTAGGGAGTGCCAGACAGTGGGCGCAGGCCAGTGGGTGCACGCACCATGCGCGAGCCGAAGAAGGGCAAGGCATTGCCTCACTTGGGAAGGGCAAGGGGTCAGGGAGTTCCCTTTCCGAGTCAAAGAAAGGGGTGACGGACGCACCTGGAAAATCGGGTCACTCCCACCCGAATATTGCACTTTTCAGACCTGCTTAAAAAACGGCGAACCACGAGATTATATCCCACACCTGGCTCGGAGGGTCCTACACCCACAGAATCTCGCTGACTGCTAGCACAGCAGTCTGAGATCAAACTGCAAGGCGGCAGCGAGGCTGGGGGAGGGGCGCCCGCCATTGCCCAGGCTTGCTTAGGTAAGCAAAGCAGCCAGGAAGCTCGAACCGGGTGGGAGCCCACCACAGCTCAAGGAGGCCTGCCTGCCTCTGTAGGCTCCACCTCTGGGGGCAGGGCACAGACAAACAAAAAGACAGCAGTAACCTCTGCAGACTTAAGAGTCCCTGTCTGACAGCTTTGAAGAGAGCAGCGGTTCTCCCAGCACGCAGCTGGAGATCTGAGAACGGGCAGACTGCCTCCTCAAGTGGGTCCCTGACCCCTGACCCCCGAGCAGCCTAACTGGGAGGCATCCCCCAGCAGGGGCACACTGACACCTCACACGGCAGGGTATTCCAACAGACCTGCAGCTGAGGGTCCTGTCTGTTAGAAGGAAAACTAACAACCAGAAAGGACATCCACACCGAAAACCCATCTGTACATCACCATCATCAAAGACCAAAAGTAGATAAAACCACAAAGATGGGGAAAAAACAGAACAGAAAAACTGGAAACTCTAAAACGCAGAGCGCCTCTCCTCCTCCAAAGGAACGCAGTTCCACACCAGCAACGGAACAAAGCTGGATGGAGAATGACTTTGACGAGCTGAGAGAAGAAGGCTTCAGATGATCAAATTACTCTGAGCTATGGAAGGACATTCAAACCAAAGGCAAAGAAGTTGAAAACTTTGAAAAAAATTTAGAAGAATGTATAACTAGAATAACCAATACAGAGAAGTGCTTAAAGGAGATGATGGAGCTGAAAACCAAGGCTCGAGAACTACGTGAAGAATGCAGAAGCCTCAGGAGCCGATGCGATCAACTGGAAGAAAGGGTATCAGCAATGGAAGATGAAATGAATGAAATGAAGTGAGAAGGGAAGTTTAGAGAAAAAAGCATAAAAAGAAATGAGCAAAGCCTCCAAGAAATATGGGACTATGTGAAAAGACCAAATCTACGTCTGATTGGTGTACCTGAAAGTGATGGGGAGAATGGAACCAAGTTGGAAAACACTCTGCAGGATATTATCCAGGAGAACTTCCCCAATCTAGCAAGGCAGGCCAACGTTCAGATTCAGGAAATACAGAGAACGCCACAAAGATACTCCTGGAGAAGAGCAACTCCAAGACACATAATTGTCAGATTCACCAAAGTTGAAATGAAGGAAAAAATGTTAAGGCCAGCCAGAGAGAAAGGTCGGGTTACCCTCAAAGGGAAGCCCATCAGACTAACAGCGGATCTCTCGGCAGAAACCCTACAAGCCAGAAGAGAGTGGGGGCCAATATTCAACGTTCTTAAAGAAAAGAATTTTCAACCCAGAATTTCATATCCAGCCAAACTAAGCTTCATAAGTGAAGGAGAAATAAACTACTTCACAGACAAGCAAATGCTGAGAGATTTTGTCCCCACCAGGCCTGCCCTAAAAGAGCTCCTGAAGGAAGCACTAAACATGGAAAGGAACAACGGGTACCAGCCGCTGCAAAATCATGCCAAAATGTAAAGACCATCGAGACTAGGAAGAAACTGCATCAATTAACGAGCAAAATCACCAGCTAACATCATAAGGACAGGATCAAATTCACACATAACAATATTAACTTTAAATGTGAATGGACTAAATGCTCCAATTAAAAGACACAGACTGGCAAATTGGATAAAGAGTCAAGACCCATCAGTGTGCTGTATTCAGGAAACCCATCTCACGTGCAGAGACACACATAGGCTCAAAATAAAAGGATGGAGGAAGATCTACCAAGCCAATGGAAAACAAAAAAAGGCAGGGGTTGCAATCCTAATCTCTGATAAAACAGACTTTAAACCAACAAAGATCAAAGGAGACAAAGAAGGCCATTACATAATGGTAAAGGGATCAATTCAACAAGAAGAGCTAACTATCCTAAATATATATGCACCCAATACAGGAGCACCCAGATTCATAAAGCAAGTCCTGAGTGACCTACAAAGAGACTTAGACTCCCATACATTAATAATGGGAGACTTTAACACCCCACTGTCAACACTAGACAGATCAACGAGACAGAAAGTCAACAAGGATACCCAGGAATTGAACTCAGCTCTGCACCAAGTGGACCGAATAGACATCTACAGAACTCTCCACCCCAAATCAACAGAATATACATTTTTTTCAGCACCACACCACACCTATTCCAAAACTGACCACATAGTTGGAAGTAAAGCTCTCCTCAGCAAATGTAAAAGAACAGAAATTATAACAAACTATCTCTCAGACCACAGTTCAATCAAACTAGAACTCAGGATTAAGAATCTCACTCAAAGCCGCTCAACTACATGGAAACTGAACAACCTGCTCCTGAATGACTACTGGGTACATAACGAAATGAAGGCAGAAATAAAGATGTTCTTTGAAACCAACGAGAACAAAGACACAACATACCAGAATCTCTGGGACGCATTCAAAGCAGTGTGTAGAGGGAAATTTATAGCACTAAATGCCCACAAGAGAAAGCAGGAAAGATCCAAAATTGACACCCTAACATCACGATTAAAAGAACTAGAAAAGCAAGAGCAAACACATTCAAAAGCTAGCAGAAGGCAAGAAATAACTAAAATCAGAGCAGAACTGAAGGAAATAGAGACACAAAAAACCCTTCAAAAAATCAATGAATCCAGGAGCTGGTTTTTTGAAAGGATCAACAAAATTGATAGACCACTAGCAAGACTAATAAAGAAAAAAAGAGAGAAGAATCAAATAGACACAATAAAAAATGATAAAGGGGATATCACCACTGATCCCACAGAAATACAAACTACCATCAGAGAATACTACAAACACCTCTATGCAAATAAACTAGAAAATCTAGAAGAAATGGATAAATTCCTCAACACATACACTCTCCAAGACTAAACTAGGAAGAAGTTGAATCTCTGAATAGACCAATAACAGGAGCTGAAATTGTGGCAATAATCAATAGCTTACCAACCAAAAAGAGTCCAGGACCAGATGGATTCACAGCTGAATTCTACCAGAGGTACAAGGAGGAACTGGTACCATTCCTTCTGAAACTATTCCAATCAATAGAAAAAGAGGGAATCCTCCCTAACTCATTTTATGAGGTCAGCATCATTCTGATACCAAAGCCGGGCAGAGACACAACCAAAAAAGAGAATTTTAGACCAATATCCTTGATGAACATTGATGCAAAAATCCTCAATAAAATACTGGCAAAACGAATCCAGCAGCACATCAAAAAGCTTATCCACCATGATCAAGTGGGCTTCATCCCTGGGATGCAAGGCTGGTTCAATATACGCAAATCAATAAATGTAATCCAGCATATAAACAGAGCCAAAGACAAAAACCACATGATTATCTCAATAGATGCAGAAAAAGCCTTTGACAAAATTCAACAACCCTTCATGCCAAAAACTCTCAATAAATTAGGTATTGATGGGATGTATTTCAAAATAATAAGAGCTATCTATGACAAACCCACAGCCAATATCATACTGAATGGGCAAAAACTGGAAGCATTCCCTTTGAAAACTGGCACAAGACAGGGATGCCCTCTCTCACCACTCCTATTCAACATAGTGTTGGAAGTTCTGACCAGGGCAATCAGGCAGGAGAAGGAAATAAAGGGTATTCAATTAGGAAAAGAGGAAGTCAAATTGTCCCTGTTTGCAGACGACATGATTGTATATCTAGAAAACCCCACTGTCTCAGCCCAAAATCTCCTTAAGCTGATAAGCAACTTCAGCAAAGTCTCAGGATACAAAATCAATGTACAAAAATCACAAGCATTCTTATACACCAACAACAGACAAACAGAGAGCCAAATCATGAGTGAACTCCCATTCACAATTGCTTCAAAGAGAATAAAATACCTAGGAATCCAACTCACAAGGGATGTGAAGGACCTCTTCAAGGAGAACTACAAACCACTGCTCAATGAAATAAAAGAGGATACAAATGGAAGAACATTCCATGCTCATGGGTAGGAAGAATCAATATCTTGAAAATGGCCATACTGCCCAAGGTAATTTACAGATTCAATGCCATCCCCATAAAGCTACCAATGACTTTCTTCACAGAATTGGAAAAAACTACTTTAAAGTTCATATGGAATCAAAAAAGAGCCCACATTGCCAAGTCAATCCTAAGCCAAAAGAACAAAGCTGGAGGCATCACACTACCTGACTTCAAACTATACTACAAGGCTACAGTAACCAAAACAGCATGGTACTGGTACCAAAACAGAGATATAGATCAATAGAACAGAACAGAGCCCTCAGAAATAACGCCGCATATCTGCAACTATCTGATCTTTGACAAACCTGAGAAAAACAAGCAATGGGGAAAGGATTCCCTATTTAATAAATGGTGCTGGGAAAACTGGCTAGCCATATGTAGAAAGCTGAAACTGGATCCCTTCCTTACACCTTATACAAAAATCAATTCAAGATGGATTAAAGATTTAAACGTTAGACCTAAAACCATAAAAACCCTAGAAGAAAACCTAAGCATTACCATTCAGGACATAGGCATGGGCAAGGACTTCATGTCTAAAACACCAAAAGCAATGGCAACAAAAGCCAAAATTGACAAATGGGATCTAATTAAACTAAAGAGCTTCTGCACAGCAAAAGAAACTACCAACAGAGTGAACAGGCAACCTACAAAATGGGAGAAAATTTTCGCAACCTACTCATCTGACAAAGGGCTAATATCCAGAATCTACAATGAACTCAAACAAATTTACAAGAAAAAAACAAACAACCCCATCAAAAAGTGGGCAAAGGACATGAACAGACACTTCTCAAAAGAAGACATTTACGCAGCCAAAAAACACATGAAAAAATGCTCATCATCACTGGCCATCAGAGAAATGCAAATCAAAACCACAATGAGATACCATCTCACACCAGTTAGAATGGCAATCATTAAAAAGTCAGGAAACAACAGGTGCTGGAGAGGATGTGGAGAAATAGGAACACTTTTACACTGTTGGTGGGACTGTAAACTAGTTCAACCATTGTGGAAGTCAGTGTGGCGATTCCTCAGGGATCTAGAACTAGAAATACCATTTGACCCAGCCATCCCATTACTGGGTATATACCCAAAGGACTATAAATCATGCTGCTATAAAGACACATGCACATGTAAGTTTATTGTGGCATTATTCACAATAGCAAAGACTTGGAACCAACCCAAATGTCCAACAATGATAAACTGGATTAAGAAAATGTGGCACATATATACCATGTAATACTATGCAGCCATAAAAAATGATGAGTTCATGTCCTTTGTAGGGACATGGATGAAATTGGAAATCATCATTCTCAGTAAACTATCACAAGAACAAAAAACCAAACACCGCATATTCTCACTCATAGGTGGGAATTGAATGATGAGATCACATGGACACAGGAAGGGGAATATCACACTCTGGGGCCTGTTGTGGGGTGGGGGGAGGGGGGAGGGATAGCATTGGGAGATATACCTAATGCTAGATGACGAGTTAGTGGGTGCAGTGCACCAGCATGGCCCATGTATACATATGTAACTAACCTGCACAATGTGCACATGTACCCTAAAACTTAAAGTATAATAAAAAAAAATAGAAAAAAAAAATGATAAAGGGGATATCACCACCAATACCACAGCAATACAAACTACCATCAGAGAATACTACAAACACCTCTACACAAATAAACTGGAAAATCTAGAAGAAATGGATAAATTCCTCAACACACACACCCTCCCAAGACTAAACCAGGAAGAAGCTGAATCTCTGAATAGACCAATAACAGGCTCTGAAATTGAGGCAATAATTAATAGTTTACCAACCAAAAAAAGTCCAGGACCAGATGGATTCACTGCCGAATTCTACCAGAGGTACAAGAGGAGCTGGTACCATTCCTTCTGAAATATACCAATCAACAGAAAAAGAGGGAATCCTGCCTAACTCATTTTATGAGGCCAGCATCATCCTGATACCAAAGCCTGGTAGAGACACAACAAAAAGAGAGAATTTTAGACCAATATCCCTGATGAACATTGATGCAAAAATCCTCAATAAAATACTGGCAAACCGAATCCAGCAGCACATCAAAAAGCTTATCCACCATGATCAAGTGGGCTTCATCCCTGGGATGCAAGGCTGGTTCAACATATGCAAATCAATAAACGTAATCCAGCATATAAACAGAACCATCAACAAAAACCGTATGATTATCTCAATAGATGCAGAAAAGGCCTTTGACAAAATTCAACAACTCTCCATCTAAAAACTCTCAATAAATTAGGTATTGATTGGATGTATTTCAAAATAATAAGAGCTATCTATGACAAACCCACAGCCAATATCATACTGAATGGGCAAAAACTGGAAGCATTCCCTTTGAAAACTGGCAGAAGACAGGGATGCCCTCTCTCACCACTCATATTCAACATAGTGTTGGAAGTTCTGACCAGGGCAATCAGGCAGGAGAAGGAAATAAAGGGTATTCAATTAGGAAAAGAGGAAGTCAAATTCTCCCTGTTTGCAGATGACATGATTGTATATCTAGAAAACCCCATCATCTCAGCCCAAAATTTCCTTAAGCTGATAGGCAACTTCAGCAAAGTCTCAGGATACAAAATCAATGTACAAAAATCACAAGCATTCTTATACACCAATAACAAACAGAGAACCAAATCATGAGTGAACTCCCATTCACAATTGCTTCAAAGAGAATAAAATACCTAGGAATCCAACTTACAAGGGATGTGAAGGACCTCTTCAAGGAGAACTACAAACCACTGCTCAATGAAATAAAAGAGAATACAAACAAATGGAAGAACATTCCTTGCTCATGGGTAGGAAGAATCAATATCATGAAAATGGCCATACTGCCCAAGGTAATTTAGAGATTCAGTGCCATCAACATCAAGCTACCAATGACTTTCTTCACAGAATTGGAAAAAACTACTTTAAAGTTCATATGGAACCAAAAAAGAGCCCGCATTGCCAAGTCAATTATAAGCCAAAAGAACAAAGCCGGAGGCATCACACTACCTGACTTCAAACTATACTACAAGGCTACAGTAACCAAAACAGCATGGTACTGGGGCCAAAACAGAGATATTGATCAATGGAACAGAACAGAGCCCTCAGAAATAATGCCACATAACTACAAGCATCTGATCTTTGACAAACCTGACAAAAACAAGAAATGGGGAAAGGATTCCCTATTTAATAAATGGTGCTGGGAAAACTGGCTAGCCATATGTAGAAGGCTGAAACTGGATCCCTTCCTTACACCTTATACAAAAATTAATTCAAGATGGATTAAAGACTTAAATGTTAGACCTAAAACCATAAAAACCCTAGAAGAAAACCTAGGCAATACCATTCAGGACATAGGCATGGGCAAGGACTTCATGTCTAAAACACCAAAAGCAATGGCAACAAAAGCCAAAATTGACAAATGGGATCCAATTAAACCAAAGAGCTTCTGCACAGCAAAAGAAACTACCATCACAGTGAACAGGCAACCTACAGAATGGGAGAAAATTTTTGCAACCTACTCATCTGACAAAGGGCTAATATCCAGAATCTACAATGAACTCAAACAAATTTACAAGAAAAAAACAGCCCCATCAAAAAGTGGGAGAAGGATATGAACAGACACTTCTCAAAAGAAGACATTTATGCAGCCAAAAGACACATGAAAAAATGCTCATCATCACTGGCCATCAGAGAAATGCAAATCTAAACTACAATGAGATACCACCTCTCACCAGTTAGAATGGCAATCATTAAAAAGTCAGGAAACAACAGGTGCTGGAGAGGATGTGGAGAAATAGGAACACTTTTACACTGTTGGTGGGACTATAAACTAGTTCAACCATTGTGGAAGTCAGTGTGGCGATTCCTCAGGGATCTAGAACTAGGAATACCATTTGACCCAGCCATCCCATTACTGGGTATATACCCAAAGGATTATAAATCATGCTGCTATAAAGACACATGCACACATATGTTTACTGCGGCACTATTCACAATAGCAAAGACTTGGAACCAACCCAAATGTCCAACAACGATAGACTGGATTAAGAAAATGTGGCACATATACACCATGGAATACTATGCAGCCACAAAAAATGATGAGTTCGTGTCCTTTGTAGGGACATGGATGAAACCGGAAACCATCATTCTCAGGAAACTATTGCAAGGACAAAAAACCAAACACCGCATGTTCTCACTCATAGGTGGGAATTGAACAATGAGAACACATGGACACAGGAAGGGAAACATCACACTCCGGGGACTGTTGTGGGGTGGGGGGAGGGGGGAGGGATAGCATTAGGAGATATACCTAATGCTAAATGACGAGTTAATGGGTGCAGCACACCAACATGGCACATGTATACCTATGTAACAAACCTGCACATTGTGCACATGTACCCTAAAACTTAAAGTATAATAATAATAAAATAAAATGAAAGAAAATGTGGCACATATACACCATGGAATACTATGCAGCCATAAAAATTAATGAGTTCATGTCCTTTGTAGGGACATGGATGAAGCTGGAAACCATCATTCTCAGCAAACTATCACAAGGACAAAAAACCAAACACTGCATGTTCTCACTCATAGGCGGGAATTGAACGATGAGAACACATGGACACAGGAAGGGGAACATCACACACCGGGGCCTGTTGTGGGGTTGGCGGAGGGGGGAGTGATAGCATTAGGAGATATACCTAATGTTAAATGACGAGTTAATGGGTGCAGCACACCAACATGGCACATGTATACATATGTAACTAACCTGCACGTTGTGCACGTGTACCCTAAAACTTAAAGTATTATTTAAAAAAAAAAACAGAAAACAAATATGTAAAATGCCAAAAAAAAAAAAAAAAAAAAACAAAACAAAAGTGACTATTGGGCCATTGGGCGCCTAAGAAATCCTCTTCGGTGTCTGTCCTTGTCCCTTATCCCTACTGCAGCTGAGTGCTTCCTGCTTTGGGACAGCTACTTCTTCTATTTGACCCTCTGTTTAATTCCCTCCTTGTTGTATTGGGCTTCATGGTCAATAATTTCAGCTGAACTCCACAAGCACCCTAACCCCTTGACATCCCCTAGAGCTCACTCCATGAACCTCCACAAGTATAAACCCCAATACTGCTCATTCGTCCAAGTACCTTCAGGTCTGTAATGGTTCATATTAGGTGTCGACTTGATTGGATTGAGGGATGCCTAAATGGCTGCTAAAGTATTGTTTCTGGGTGTGTCTGTGAAGATGCTGTCAGAGGATATTGACATTTGAGTCAGTGGACTGGAAGAGGAAGACTCAACCTCAATGTGGGTGGGCACCATCCAATTGGTTACCAGCATGGCTACAAAAAGTAGGAAGAAGGAGGGTGATAAGTTTGCTTGCTTGCTTGGATAGGTTTGAGTCTTCTGGCTCTTTTTCTTCTTCCCATGCCAGATGCTTGATTCTGCTCCTCCTACCCTTGGACATCAGACTCCAGGTTCTTCAGCCTTTGGACTCTGGGACTTGCACCAGAGGCTTAGGCTTCCTAGGCCACAGACTAAAGGCTCCACTGTCGGCTTCCCGGGTTCTGAGGCTTTCAAACTTGGACTGGGCCACTACTGGCTTTCCTTTTTCCCCAGCTTGCAGACGGCCTACAGAGGGACTTTGCCTTTTAATCATGTGAGCCAATTCTCCCTAATAAACTCCCTTGTACATATACATATACCCTACTCATTCTATCCCTCTGGAGAACCCTGACTAATAAAAGGTCTGTTAAAATTCCTAATATATGCAAGGTTGACTAGCTTCTGCTTTGTCTTGACTCCTCCAAGGAGGCTATGACCATCGAGACATGTCCAAGTGGTGGTAGAATTGGCTACTGCAATAGCTTCCTAGTTAGGCTCCTTTCATTCCTCCTCCTTGTCTGATTCATATACCCGCATGACACAAAGGCAATTTTTGTGCAACACACATCCAATTTTGACACATTCCTGCTCAAAAACCTTCATGGACTCCCAGTTGCGTAAGAATAGATTCTAAACTCCTCATTGCATATTGAGTCACGATGAATCCCTGCCCTTTCTCTCCATGGGCCTTTGCTCAGACTGTCACCCCCCTGCCTACCATGTCCTTTGCCTCATGCTTAAGTCGAACCATCATTTTTCAAGGCCTAGTTCAAGATATCACCTCTCCATCAATTATTTCCAATGCCCTCTTCTTAGAGTGCTTTCTTCTTCATGGTTTTCCCCAAACATGCGATTTGCATGATCAGAATATGTATTACCAACTGTGCTGTGTTAGAATTATTTTATGAATGAGAGTTATATATGTATCTATACCCCCCTACTTAACTGAAAGTATCTGAAGTTATTTGATATTCATTTTTGTCTTTGTTTTCACACATAAAACAATGTTTTATGCAATACTGAGCCAGATAAGGTGAGAAGCGTGCTACACTTGGGTGTTAGAAGATGGGTAGGTAAAATCTTACTGACGACTGGTGACCATGAATTAACAGGTCCCAGAAAAGAAGTGGCTTATCCTCTCTGGACATTTTTCCAGCCTCACACTGAGCCGGGGTCCCAGGCTGTGTTCAGGGAGGAGCCAGAGTGGATAGGGGTGAGCACTGGCCCCAGGTCCCTCCCTCCTGTTTGCCACATTAGTTCCTGATGCTTCTCACTGACCTCTGGCCACTATTCAGTCAGGTAGGGTGCCTTTGACATTGGCACTCAAGAGGCAGCATTTCAATCACCATGCCAGCCAGGTGGACACTCACGCCTCCATCCTGCGGATGATCTCTCTGGCTGAACAGAGTGGATACTCCATTAAGAAGGATGGAAGGTGCTGGGTGGAAGTGTTAGGAGTTCTTTCTCTCTTTCTGAAGTTCAAAATAGGCCAACATGGATGGCATGCCCAAGTATATCTTCTCTTTAATCTGAATTGTACCAAGAAGAAAACTGATTACACAACTCAATCATCACATTTTTTACAGTGCAGAAACTGAGGTACAAACAAAGCATGGGACTATAATAGTCAGGATCTAGGCAGGAAAACGAAGCCTGGGCTAGCTATAGAAGAAATGAGTCACACAGGTTTCAAAAGGGCCTAAAAGCAAAATAAAGAATAGAGAGTCAAAGCAGAGATTATCAACAGTGGAAAGTCACTACTGTCCCAAGGGCTAGAGGGATAAAAGGAGGGGTGATGTTATCAGAGCCAAGGATCTGGGATTTCCAACAGAGAGCTGGAATCATGGCAGTGGCTGCATGGCAAAAAAAAAAATTAGGGGCCACAGAGGGAGGGGCTATCTGATGGCAGCTGGAATTGTGCAGGAGATTCTGCCATTGTTGGGGACACTTTCCTAAGCAGAGAGAGGAGGAGAGAAATACCCTGGTGTCTCACCCTTCTGCTTTCTTTAATCTCTCACCAGCGCCTCCTAGTAGTTGAATCTAGCTGGAAGCCAGTTGATAAGGAAGCCTGGGAAATGTTTGCAGGGGTCAGCCCAAAGTCATGCAGAGCAGAGCATAAAAAGAGCAGGGAGAGGATCTGATGCAGAGGAGCTGTGAGCGGCTAAGGGGCTTTTCATTGGCGTTTCTTTTCTATTCCATCACCCAAAGTTTATCGAGCTTGCTGCCTGCACCAGTATTTCTTGAGTTTCCTTTCTGCACCAAGTGCCATGACAAGCCTTAGCATAGAAAACTAAGACATGGACTCTGCCCATCCTGGAGGGCCTCTAAATCCTTCAGGGGATATAGAGGGAAATAGTCAGCAGTAAGGGACATGTGCACTGGACCCACATGTTAAACCCATAAAGATTTAAAAGGGATGAAAACCTTCCAAGCACAGGAAACAGCATAAAGCAAAGGCACAGAAGCCTAAAACAAGTTTGTCCAACCACGGCCCATGGGCCACATGTGGCCCAGGATGGCTTTGAATGCAGCCCAACACAAATTCATAAACTTTCTTAAAATACTGTGAGTTTTTTTAATAATTTCTTTTCTTAGCTCAATCAGCTATTGTTAGTGTTAGCATTTTGTATATGTGACTCAAGACAATTCTTCTTTTTCCAATGTGGCCCAAGGAAGCCAAAAGGCTGGATACCCCTGGCCTAAAAGTATGAGGAGAATGCAGGGAAGAAGTAATCTCAAGTGGATAGTGAGATGTCAGGGAGTGGCAGGAGATGAAATGGAATATTAGGTAAGGCCAACAAGTTAAGGGCCTAAGTAGGCCTAGCTACTTGGGAGGCTGGGGCAGGAGGATTCCTTCAGCCCAGGAGTGTGAGGCTGCATTGAGCTATGATCACGCCCACTGCACACCAGCCTGAGCAACAGAGACCCTGTCTCTTAAAATAAAAATAAAAATAAAATGACTTATGTGGCCTCTCTTTTAAAAGACAGCAGAATCACCCCATCCCAAAAAGTTTTTCACTACTAATAGGCAAGTGTTTCCTATCACATATATGTAGAGAAGGAATCAGTAAATTGGATTGCAGCAGTAAGGCAATAACAGGAAGACAGAGAGTTCTGAAATCAGACTTCCCTGATTAAAATCCTGATCTGTCACTTGAAAATATATCGCCTTGGATAAGTTAGTTTAACCTTTCTGAGGCTCACTTGCTTCACCAGCAAAATGGCTGTAGCAATATCCACTTCATAGGATTATCCCAAAGATTAGAAACAATGAACGCAGGGTCAGGCACATGGTAGGACTCAATCAATGGCTGCTCCTGGTGTGTCTAAGGGGCAGATGGGAGTGAGTGAAAGTCTTTACATTTACTGCAAATAATCTATCGCACAAAGAACTCACAAGAGACATCAGCTCGGCAGTGAAAGGGAATATAAAACTACCTGAAGTATATTAGAAAAAATGTTGCCATTTATTATTCTCTTGCTGTTTCTCTTACAAAGAAATTCAGTTTTGTCTCACCTTCATACCTTTCCTCAAATGAAAAACAAACTATATGTAACAACATCTATTTATTCCACAGACATCAAATGAAGCCCTCTCTTACAACAAAGCCTGTACAAGGCACAGAGAAACCCAGATGAGAGGCAGAGTCCCCAGCCTTAAATTGCTTTTAGTCTACTGGGGGGAGTCAGACGCATAAACAAATAATTACAAGTAAATTGCCCCTTATTTGCAGTGTAAGGTATTTTTGACGATTCTGATACTATTTCTAAGAAAGGGTGCATAACTTGCCTGATAAAGCAAGAAGTCCTGTCCACTGATGTTGATGTGTCAGCTATTGTTAGTCAAACAATTGGACGATGGCAGGATAAGCGATATCACAAATGTCTACATAAAGTGTTCGGGAGGTACAACATTAACTAACCTATACACCGAAAGTGGATTTCCCTTACGATACCAAACACCAGCAAATCCATGGCTTCTAGATTTACAGATGAGACCTACTTGAGAAGACAACATGCTCCAAAGAGAAAAATCAGAGAAAATGAGGGAAGTGCAGGAACAAAGATGAGGAGAAAAAGGAGAGGAGAGAAGGTAAGGAGAAGGGAAGAAAAATGGTCTTTGAGACCTATAGAAAGGAAAAAACTCTGCCTGGATAATTTGGGGCAGACATTACAAACAAAGGGACATTCAAGCAAGGCCTTGAAAGTTGAGTAAGACTTTGAGAGAGGAAAGATATGCCAGACAGAGTGACTGGGTATATAAAAAATATATGTTCATCAGGTGAAAATGTTTGGTGTAGCTGGAATGTGGTGGTATGTTTCTGTTGGGACACGGACAAGAACGGGAAATAGTATCAGAGAATGAATAAAAATTAGGACCAGACTGTAAAAAGCCTTGGATTTCAAAGTAAGGGTTTGGTCCTTTTCCTGTTTGCAAGGAAGAGCCACAGAAATATTTTCAGAAGCAGCAGGGGACATTATTAAGTTTATGTTTTAATTTAAAAAAAAAAATTCTGGCTGCAGCATGGAGGTGCAGTCAATGTAACATGCTACCTGGATTCACTTCAAAAATGAAGGATTTGAGATGAAGTTACTGGAAATGCTGTCAGTGTCTTTGGAGGATTGCCTCAGGTAAAGGGATATCCCCTTTGTATCAGTCTGTTCTCACATTGCTATAAAGAACTACCTGAGACTGGGTAATCTATAAACAAAAGAGGTTTAATTGACTCACAGTTCCACATGGTTGGGGAGGCCTCAGGAAACTTAAAATCATGGCAGAAGGAGAAGGGAAAGAGAGTGGTGGCAGGAGAGAGAGAAAGAGTGAGGAAGTGCCACACATCAGCTTTCCTGAAAACTCACTGAGAACTCACTCACTATCATGAGGACAGCATGGGCAAATCCACCCCCATGATCCAATCACCTCCTACCAGGTCCCTCCATCGACACATGGGGATGACAATTTGAGATGAGATTTGGGTGGGAACACAGACCCAAACCATATCACCCCTTCCAGAGGTGGCCAGCACCCAGTGTCTGGTTGACATATGTGGGAATAAAGGCCCCCCCGCCCATCACCCCAACTCAGAGCAGCTCTAAAGGGTAATTCTCTCAACTCCCTGCAGGGTGGGCTAGGACTCCATCCCAGCCTGACTTCATCCTCTACTCATTGTTGATTCTCTTCCTTCTCCTCCCTTCCCTTTCTGGGTGTTTATTACAACAGCACTCCTAACAAACCTCTGTACACTAACCTGAGTCTCAATGTGCTTTTCAGGAAACCTAACTGGGGCAGTGGAGTAGATTGAAAAGGAAAGAGGGAAGAGGCAGGAGGCTAGTTGCTGTGGACCAGGCTGCGCTTGCTGGAACCACACACACTGAACTTCCTGGGACATCCCCTGTCTGGGTGGACACCACGTCCTGCGGCATGTTTTCTGCTAACGTGATTTTCCTAACTCCTCGGCTAGTCTCCTGGCTTCTGATTTTATCAACATGTATCAGGAATCAAATTAAATTTTGATCATTTTTGGAAAGGAGAAAGAAGAGTCTTCCACAGACAATTAAAATACAAAAAGAAAAACACGGAGCTATCACGGGACAGGACAGAATGATAGAGAGGATGGACCCGCCACACTGGAAATGGAAGGAAGTGAAATAAACCAATGGACCAGCTACTGTGAAACCTGTCATCCTTCCTGAAACAAATCATTCAAGAGACAGCCCCTTTGAAATACATGAGCAAACACTGCTCAGGCTTTTTAAATCAATGCATACAAACAGATTTTTAAACAATATATGAATGAAACGACATGCCTAGTTTCATATTTTGATTTTTTCCCACCCTATATTATTTCACATTTTCTATACGAGGAAGAGAAATAAACTTTTGATTCAACAGGGGCTCCTGGAGTCAGTTCGTACACTTGGGTTTTTATTCAAAATATAAATCAGTGGATTTAAGGAAAGCTGGGGTCATGCTACCTCATAAGAAACTGGCAACCCACCAAATGCCCTTCCTTCAAAAGTGTGGCCACAAGGCACTCACTCACCCTTGCCCCCTCCCCCCACACACATCCTACCCCTGCTAGGTAAAGGGGTTCAGCTTGTCTTACTAAATATGGTAGATATAAATAATATTCATAAAATAATTGTAACATATACAATATTCAAAAAACACACGTAACTTATAAGAATTACCATAAAATGAACAATTTCGTTCACACTGCCTATTTTAAAAAAAGAACATTATCATTACCTTGAAATCTCCTATAGTTGTCCCACCTCACTTCAAACCTTCTCTCCCCCTCAAAATTAGTAATCATTATCTCAAATTTTGTGTTTATTTCCTTGCTTAACTTTATAGTTGTATACACTTTTGCATCTTTAAACTAGACACACACAAACACACATATACAACACACACGGCTATATGTTTTTGAGCTTTATGTAAGTGGAATCATACTGTGTGCATTCTTCTGTGGGTTTTTTTCACTCAATGATATAATCCTGAGATTCACCTACATGCATTTAATTGAAGGTAAGTTGGTTTTGTCAGCTCTGAAACATAAACACCATGGCCTCCAATGTTAATAAAAGCCACAGGTAGTCAGAAGTCAATAACCTCCCTAACCTATCCCAAGAGAAAAGAGACATTTGCAAATCAGTGTCAGGGTTTCCATAATGTAATGGTCCTGCTGGAAAACATTATTTTTTTTTCCATTCCTTTCACCACCCTACCTCCCACAGGGACAATGGGCACCGCCACCAATATCACTATGGAAAAATGTGTCCAGTGAAACATCCCTCTCAGTAAGCCAGGCATTCAAAACTCTCTGCATCCGGAGGGGGACAGGCTCAGCATGCTAGTCCTCTCCTCTCTGCTCTGCTCATCTCCTGCCAAATATCCTGTCCCAGCTCTGCAGCCAGATGAGGGATTCCCAGCAGCCGCTGCAGCCCACGTCAAACCCCTCCTGTATGTCATTGCCCTGGGCTGCACACTTGACCATGGCTTTCTCAGCTCACACCCACGAAGAAGAATGATCTTGGAGAAACTACTATCTTCTGATGTTCTGGATCTATCCTTTCACTTGGCATTTTGTTTCTGAGACAAATTTTCCAAGCCCAAAAGGCAACCCCACATAGAAGAAAGGTCATATCAAGAGCCACTTCCCCCTCATTTCAGCCGGATAAAATGAGAGTCTGTTCTGTTGGCATTCCACATATAGCATTTCCACTGCAGCTGCTGCTGGGAATTTCCCTTCTGAAGAAGACCGAATTAGACCCTCGGCCAGGCTAGCTGGCCATGAGGCATCTGAATTCCAAATGTCAAAGATTTCCATCCAAGAGGTTCCGATCTTTTGCTCACATTGCTCTGTTTGCAAAGGCATAATTAACAAGCCATGGACTTCTCCTTTCCAGGAAATCTATTTTCCTGGTCTCATGAAAGAAATTCCAGTTCTGTACCAGGCATTCTTTCTTCACATGTGACATCCCTGGGACTCAGCATCTTATCTCTGAAGGCTTCCTTAACCATCCCACAACTGCAGCATCACTGACTCATCCCTCCTCTGCACCCCTCACTCACTCTATATGAAGTGCACCCAAAACATATTCTTGCCTGTATTTACTTAGACCATTTGCTTCCTTATTTTGTTATGGGTTCCTTTAGGGTAGGAGAGTGTCATATCCATCTCTATATCCTCAGATTAGGCCAAGGCCTGGCACAGAAGAGGAAGCCAAGGAATCTATGAAGGTTGTCCTGAATCCCTTGCTCCTGGCCTACCCCACAGGTGACCTGGATGGCCAGCCAGAGTGTCAGATGAGCCACTTGGAGCCAGAGGGTATGCTCTAAGAGGCTGACATGGGTAAGTATCCTTCTCTGGAAAAGAAGCTGCAGAACATGAGTGAAACGCCAGGCCAGATTCCTGAGACAAAAATGAGTCCAAACTGAGGATACCCGGCACTAACATTGAGTCTGAAATGTTAGTGTGGGAGAATCCCTGGGAGACAAAGCCAAAATAAGCTGGATACTAAAGTAAACCACAGCAGAACAAGAAGACTAGGAAGACTTAGAACCATGAGCCAACCAGGCTTAAAGAGGGTTAAGGCAAATAGGTCATAACTAAATTTTGAATGGCCTTGAATGCTATGCTATGGTGTTTGGACATTATTCTGTTAGACAATGGCAAAATTATCCCCATGGCACTTGAAGTCAGTTGGCTTCCCCGAAATGGAGCCGAACTGCTTGAGAGGAGCAATGCCACTTCTTACAACAAAAGGAATTGAATTGGTATTCTGTCTCTGACTACAGTACCAGGGAAGGCACCTACTTGGCTCAAAAAGTCTTGGCACAATGTTGGATTAACTCCATAAATGAAACCCAAGCTGGCAGACTTCAAGCAGAGAGAGAGAGAGAGAGAGAGATGGGATAAGGCCCAGTGACTGCCTCCTTCCCCTTGATGGTTCTCTCACTCACTTATTCTCCGAACCATTATCCTCTGTAAAATGAGGATATTAAGTTTCTTTCCAGTTCATAATCTATGAAGCTAGAAGGCATTTTTTTTTTTTAGAAACAACCAGATACAAAGCCTGCAACTGTACTTGTTGACAGTTTGCTAAGGGTTTTGTGGGACAGTGAAGGCATCCATATTCCCAACATGTCAAATCACAACACTGAACAGAGCCCAGGCCCACGGCACTTGACATAACATCTACAGGGATCTGGAACCGAGAGGGCTTTGTCTGGACATATTTCTGAGAAACCTGGACACCATGTAGAGATTATCCCAAAGTGAGATCATCCTGACCAGATATGACTGGTTCCCATATCCTTACATCTAAAACAAGATCATCAAATTCTGTTAAAAATTCCTAAGCCAAAAATCCTGGCCATTGACCTTATTTTATGAATAGAGTCTTGATAAAAACAGAAAGAAAAATGCAAGTTGAGCATTTCAGACCAATAATGACCCTTAAGGTCATCCAGTCCAACATCCTAATATTACAGATGAAAAAACCAAAGCCCTAAGTGGGGACTAGCCTTGACCAATGTCGCATATCTGCAGAGAGGAGGAACTGGGAAACAAAAATCATGTCTTCAAACTTCAAATACCAATCTCAAAAACAGATTCAAGCCTGGTATTATTTTTAAATGACAGAATAATAGTAAAGTGTTATAAAATGGGAACAACATGGGAGAAAAGTTCAATTCAAACACTAAGAGGAAAAATACAAATAACAGAGAAAACGAACTTTTCAAATAGCTGATACTAACCAGAGAATACCAGGGCCAAGGTTAATAAATTACTTATCTCTTATGAAAATGTGAAATAAGGGTGATGACGCTGGGGAGCAACCCGTGCTTTTAGCTCCTCTGGACCACTAATGTCAAGAGCATGGGAAGTTTAAATGGTTAGGCTTGCTAAACTGAAGGAAAGTGAAAGAAGGACTGGGTGCATTTTTGGATGGGCCCCCACTGGGGGGCTCCAAATGGGAATGTAGTAGGTGGGGGTAGTGGGAGCCACCTCGTGAAACTTGACTTGCAAAGAATCTGCACAAATGTCCAGAACACTGAATTCCCTTCCCGAGCCTCAGTTTCCACAGCCCTGAAATGGTGATCATAAGACCCACTTCCCAGGGCATAACGTTAGCAACATCAAAATCTCTGGTAAACCATGGTCTTATAGTAATAGAAGAGCACTGTTACTCAAGTTTTTATGGGACCAGGGAGGTTTGCTTGAGAGTCTATGATTTCTGAACCTGCTTTTTGTAACAAATAACAAAAATATTCCACAGAGGAATAGAAGAAATTTATCTTCAACAGGGAATAGAAAGAGGTATTTAACAACCTATCAAAACAACCATACGTCTTGCTGCCTGCCAGATCAGTAAACAAACCATAAATTTAAATGGACAACAAAAACAAAAAAAAAACAGAAAAAAAATGTGCAGTTGTTTTAGAATAATGAGATTCTAATGAGCCATGCATCTTCTGTGCAATTACCTAAGCAGTTTCTTATTTGAGATGATATTTGGAAGACACCAGTGACAAAATGCTACTGCTAATCTGAACTGCTACATGTCACATTGTTCCCAAAGATGTTACCCTGGGAGGGACATCAACCTGGAGAACAGGACAGCTGGGTTCTCATCTCAGTTCTGCTCTGTCTTTACTGAGGCCTCAGCCACATTCTGTCCGCTCTGTTGGTCTTGGATTTCTGGTCTGTAAAATGAAGATTTGACCCAGAGGTGCAACTTCTGGATCCTGCCATGTTTAATTCTCAGTCTCTCTTTCTAGCTATTGAGTTTGGCTTGTTGCCTTCCTAACATACCAGAGTGAGAAATCATCATGCAGTGGGGAGCTGGGCTCCCAGTGGACAGCGAATGGCAGGTTCTTTGGGTTTCTCTTCCTCTTTGGACAACTTCAGGAGATGAAAAGAAAAGAGATTTGACATGGTGTCCCAGTCTGGGACATTTCCCTTTTGGCATCTGCTTTCCTTCTTCATTTCCCTTTCCATACTACCTCAAACCCCACTCACCATTAGATCACCAGTGCCCTCTACACCAGTCATTGACTGCCCCTCTCAAAACCAGAATGGAGAGAACTATACATGATTCTCAAAATACAATATTCACTCAAACTAAAACTCACCAATTACCTGGGCACAAGAGAAAACCCAGGAATCATTTCACATCTCTGACAATCAGAATATATGCAGACATGTTCTGAGTGGCCCTCAAAGAGCCCTAATTAAAACCAACAGGTTACAGGAGAGAGCTTTAACATAATAACACATCAGCCTATTTTATGTTCTTCCTAAATAGCATCCATTTAATAAAACTATTTTGGTTCTGAAATATTTTCTTAAAATAAATATGAACATGATTATCTAACAGTGCCGTGTGTGTGTGTGTGTGTGTGTGTGTGTGTGTTTTCACACACTCTAGGTGTTGTTATATGCTTTTAGCCAGCAAGAACTCTCAAGCAGGTGGCATCAAAGGGAACTCTACCCCCATCCTTGAACTGAGTGTGCTCTGCAACATGTGTCGTTTATCTGTTATGACCTGTGTCTATGTATGCATGTATGTGTGTGTGTTTTAACCCGCAGTGGAATGCAAAACCTGTTTGAGACTAGCGCTGGAGTTTTCTAGAATTTAAAAAAATCTGTTGGATGTTGTATTAGTTTGTTCTCATGCTGCTAACAAAGACATACCCAAGACTGGGTAGGGTAATCTACAAAGGAAAGAGGTCAAATTGACTCACAGTTTGGCATGGTAGGGGAGGCCCCAGGAAACTTACTATCATGGTGGAAGGGGATGCAAATACATCCTTCTTCTATAGTGGCATCAAGGAGAAGTGCAGAGCAAAAGGGAGAAAAGCTCCTTATAAAACCATAAGATCTCCTGAGAACTCACTCACTATCACAAGAACAGTGGCATGGGGGTAACCCATGATTCAACTACCTTCCCACCAGGCCCCTCCCATGACATGTGGGGATTACGGGAGCTACAATTCAAGATGAGATTTGGATGGGGACACAGACAAATCATCAGACTTTAAATGGCCATTAAATTGCAAATGTTCCTGCATTTTAAGACTCCAAGTAAGTGGATGAAAAAACTGAGATTGAAGACTAGCAGGTAATCAGGAGGGACTCTGCCAGATTGTCCCTGTTCTTCGTTTTCTGGACTGTATGCTGATTGGCGAAGTTTCTGCTCAGTGCCCGACTGTATGGGCACTTGTGTTGCTCCACAGAAGTGATCTGTTTGACCTACCCCTGTAAGCTGGAAGTTGGTCAGAATGAGCTTAGACGCAGAAAATACAGCGCATTATAATGCCTTGACTACATTCCTACAAGATGTCCAGAATCTTAACCTATATTACATCCCTGCCGGATAGCCCAACTTCAAGGGCTCCTTACATTTCCTATTGCTCATTCAAGAACGTGTCCTCTAACTGTTCATGCAAGGCATCTTGTGAACTCTCAGAGAAGCTCTCAGAGACTCTCTTCTGCCTGTCATCTCCTAGGAGTTTTACCTCTCAGAGGCATCGTGCCCTTTCTTTACATAGTTAAGTTTGTGCTTATAACTCAGGTTTTTTATTGCTTTTCATTTTCACTTAGAAGGACGTAATCACTAATAACCCACAATAAAATATTTGATTGGGAAAAAGATGATAAGCAGTCATTTAGAGACTGGTGGAAGACTTTTGATATTATATGATATTGTTGGCATCATAAGTGATCCTGCAGCCTGGAGAATTGAACAAGAATAATCCAGTGGGGGAAGCCATAACTGGAAGCATGTGGTTGGTGACTTTAAAGAATATGAACAGAACAGAAGAGCCATAGGAACATGTTTTGACAGGAACCATGCTACAGAGACCCCCATATCATGCAGCGTCATTTAAGGGTCCCATTTCTCAAGTCGTACCCTAGTGAGAACTGCCACAGGTTTGGTAATGGCAATGGGCTATTTCCCAACACTGGAAGTTTTTGAACATCAGTTGGATGTGAAAAGATGAATGCATAGAGATGTTTATTTAACATTATTTACAGTGGTGAAAAAAACAGAAATAAGCTAAAGCCCAACAATAGATGATTTATTACCAAAATATGGTAAACGCATACCATGGAATACCATAAACATTATGATATAGGTATATATTTATTTATATAGGAAAATAGTGATAATATAGTGAACAAGCAGTAATGTATAGTATGATCTCATTTATAGAAAAGACTCTAGGTAGCTATGCACCCAATTGCTAACTACATTTATCCCCGGGTAGTGAAATGACACTTACTGTTGTTGTTTTCATTTTGCTTGTATGTGTTTTCTAATTTTAAAAAGTGAATATATATTGTTTGTATAATATTTTCAGGTTAAAATAAATAAATAAGGGTTGATTGGTTTTCATAGCACTTAAACCCTCCTCTAACATTGAGACTCTATGAAACTCATGACCTAAGACCATAAACAACTAATGTCTTCCTCCTCTCTCAGCTGGCCAACCTCTAACCTGGAGGATCTTTTGCATCCTCTGGATATATGTCACCAGCAATAAACAGACAGCTGGTCCCTAGGACAAGGGGCTACACCGATAAGTCCCATGATCACGGCAAGAACTGTGATGGGCACAGCAGTACCGAAGTGGCACATTCAAAGGGATGATATGGTCAAAATAACACCAGCACTCTGCAAATGATAAACAGGATGGAGCACCGCTTGACTCGGGTGAACTCTGCAGTTTTTCTTTTTGTTGTATTTCCCCATCTGCAAAACAAGGATTTGCCTTTGGGTCTCACAGGCCCCACGATACTGTTATCTTGAGTTGTTCAGTGCATTGCAGAGGACGAGAGGACACCTGTTGGTTCTACATCTAAACACACCACCCACTCCAGGCAGCATAAACACTATCATCTGGAGTTGACGGATGAGATTTATAGATATGTATGTAGAAGACAAGTTGAAAATTTGCAAGAAGTAGAGCATTATACTGAAGATAATAAATGTAATCCATTTTGTCAACAAAGTTGGCCAAGAATTGTATTTTTAAATTAATTTGTAGAAGGATAAATACATTTAATTAGAGGCTGATATTCTAAATATCAGGTCAAGATTAAGGTCAATGTTAAACTCTAATCTTCATATCTCACAAGAGTGCTGAAGATTTAGTTCTGGGAAGATGATGGACCCGAAAGTCCTTTATATGCTTTGTGAAGGATTGTTACTGTTGGTATGAGTAATAGTAAGAAAACAATGTAAGTTGTCCTGTGATATCTTAAGAACACTAACTTTCACCAAAGGCCTGTTATTGCCTGCTGAGTTAAGATACACAGAACCATGTTAGAAACATCATTGTTTTCTTTGCTGATAAAACTGAAGTCAACATCTAGAACCCCACAGAAACATGTAAAATATGAGGAAAAACATCTTCATAGGACTAGGCATGTCAGCCCTTGCTTTAATGTATTAAAAATATTGTATCTGGAGGGAAATCATAATTCAAAATACTTCATGTACCACACCACTTCTGAAACAAATATTAAGATTTTAAGTGTCTAACAAATGCTTCATACAAAGTAATATTTATGAAGCCTCTATCTTGGCACTTCCATATGGTTTTCACTGTTGGCCTGTGAAAGGGATATCACAACCACGTTTTATGTACGAAAACTCAGAAGCTAAGAGTAATAAGGTGATCCCCCCAAGGATCCACAAGCAGAAACTTTCAGGGCCAGGATTCTAATCCACATCTTTTGATTTCAAGACTCATGCCCTTTCTACTTTAAATGAGCTACCTGTCTTCTGCTCCACTGGGCAGCCCCATGATACACAGTATGGGTTTACTACTGGAAAATCCCTCATTTCTACAGAGAAGTGGCTTATGAAAAATGGTTTGTGCTAGGCAGGTCATCTTCTGCCCTACTTGTGACCTGCTGGTTGCCTAACTCATGATTACAGTGAAGTCACAGTTATCCTAATTGCCATCATCACAAGATCAAGCCATGCAGGAAAGGTGTTTCCTCCCAAACCCCAAGCATTTGGACCATTGTTTATGACGGAAATAACGTTGGTGGCTGACCCGGGATAAAACAGCTGGTCACGTAATTTAAAATCATGTTCTATTAACAGGAAGATGTGCAGGTTCCTGATGCATAGGAGTTTATTTGCTGCTGTCATTCTTATTCAGGTTCCATCTGAGTTGAAAATGGAAATAATGAGTGTAGTCTACACTTAGATGCTTTGTCAGAATTAAGAGAAAAATGTTCTTCCCAAACTGATAGAAAACATTTGAGAAGTATTTTGGGGGCAATGGAGAAAGCCCAGGTTCTATAATCCCATAAATCTGGGCTTTAATACTTGCTAGGTTATAAGATGTTGGGCCAGTTATTCAACCTTTTTTAACCTTAATTTCTTGGGGTGCTGACAAGTTTTTATACATCTCACAGCTAGGTCCTCACAGAGCCAGGACTGTAATTCAGATTCCATCCAAGGGAGGCCTGCTGCACATTAACACAGATGTACATTTCAGAAGACCCATGAAGTTGCACACACCGAGGGTGTGCTGGTGCAGAGTGGGGAGCCTGCCCTCACACTGAAGGATACCAGAGACCAGCTGATGGAGGAAGATGTATGAGAGAAGTTGTTTTAGGAAAATACACTGTTGATGAAATGAAGAGGCCCACATAAAGAATTCTAAGCTCAGAGGTATTTGATGAGTCCATCTGAGGTTCTGAGGGCAACCTCTCCATAGAGATTTTGTTCAGTTCCTTGAGAAAAACCAAAATCCTGAAAGCTCTCTAATCGCATGTCAATCAAACAAGTTTTTTGTCTGAAATGCACTAAGCATTTGTGCCGGCCGGGCACTGGCATGCTCTCCCCAGAGAATTATCTAGAATCCAGAGGGAGACACAGACACAGAGACATGTACACAATGTCAAGCTGTAAACTAAGTTGGGTGGGAAGACTTTTGTTCAAAGCATGAACGAGAGCTAAGGAGAAAGCTTGCTAGCCTTAAGTCTCCAACTTTGGTCTCTAGAGTTAGGGATTATAACCTGTCTATCTCATGTGATAATGTTCTCTTTGATCTTGCTGTTTCCACTTCAGTTCTCCTCCTACTCCCTACTTTCTCCAATAATAATAATAATAATAATACCCTCAGCTCCATTAGAAGGCATGCCATCAGACCCATCCCAATGTTTTCCTCATTTACTGAAGAGTTTGGAATTTTATGACTTGTCTTCTTGTCGCTTGTCTTATCATCTCTCTTGGTGATGTCATCATCCATGTAGATTACCCACTCATGGCTCTGGCCTCTCACTTACATCCTTAGTTTCACCTTGGACCTTACTAACCTGTCCTGCTCACCTCTGAAATTTCTTTTTTGACCATCCCACCCTAGGATGCTCACCTCCTCTCTTACCAGCTTACATCCTCTACCAGACCCATGCCAATAATTCTTTGGCCCAATTATGAACTCCAATTCACTGGGTCTACACATTTGTTCCTTTTCATCACCTCCATCATATCCTCACTTTCCTCTTACCAGGTGGGTTTCCATGATTTGTTTCATAATCACTCCCTTGCTCCTTCAAATCCCTTGACTCTCTCCATCAAACTCCCCTGGAAAAACTCCAACCCTAGTCTGCAGAATTGAGTAGGGGCCATAAGCACAAATTCTCCATATGTGTGAGACGATGTAGCTCCCCAATTAGAATTAGAATTAAAAGCCTAGACAAATTCTGAGTGTGGCAACAATTCTTTCCAGCCAATGAGTTGACTGGCTTTTTGTACATGTGTTCTTATATGCAAGTAAAAAAAAAAATAAAGCATTGTTGACTTAGACAGATTAGGGAAAGGAGATAGGAAACTTATGAAAAATAAGTTTCTGGCTCTAAAACGAATATAGTAATTGGATCTGCTAAAGCAGCGCCAGGGAGAGGCCAGACAACTTGCATTCAATACATTGCCTGATGATCTTATAAACAGAAGATGCTTAATTTTTTTTAAGACAGACTCTTGCTCTGTCACCCAGGTTGGAGTGCAGTGTCGCAATCTCGGCTCACTACAACCTCCACCTCCTGGGTTCAAGCAATTCTTGTGCCTCAGCCTCCCAAGTAACTGGGATTACAGTTACACACCCGGCTAATTTTTGTATTTTTAGTAGAGACAGGGTTTTGCCATGTTGGCCAGGCTGGTCTTGAGCTCCTGGACTCAAGTGATCCACCCACCTTAGCCTCCCTAAGTGCTGGGATTACAGGCATGAGCTACCATGCATGGCCGAGGATGCTTAATTTCTTAACAGAATCAATCTCTTATTAAAATATCATTCACTATCACCTTGTTAACTCTCAATATTTAGTTAACAAATTTCTTTGTAGAAAGAGGAGGAAAAGATAAAACTTATGGCACTTTTATGATCATAAAGCTAATAAATGTTCATCATAGAAAATTTGAAAAATATAGGCAAGAAATCCCTGGAACAAAGTGAGCACCCAACAGTTAGTTATCTGTCCACATCATTAAAAGTTGTTTTTAAATATTATAATGACTGCATCCTACTGATGCTAAAGAGCTAAGATTGAATTATTCCCCTATTATTGGACATTTAAATTGCTTCTTTTTAAAAATTATAAAAGCACTGCCAAGAATAACTTTGTAAAAACATCAGCGTGCACAATTCTAACTACTGGTTTTTGTTAAATCGAGCTTAAAGGGATATTTTAGTTTTAAGATTTTTGATCTGCAAATTGGCTTCTTGGAAGCCAATTTGTCTTCCAGGAAGTTTATACCTACTGGTGTTTTCACTCCCAGAGAGGAAGAGTTCTTCGGAGGGCAGACAAACACATAAAGTAGCTTGAAAAAAGTGAGAAGGTTTAAGTTTAGACCAGGCTAACATGGTCCCCTAGGATAAGACTACAGCTCACTCCCTCTCCACAGAGATTTGCAAGGATCATATGGCTCTGAAAGCTCACAGTGCCGTCCTTCAGCATGTGACAATTGCAAAATCAGCAAACGTCCTGGCCTGGTGCAGATCTCAGCTTCCCCATCTATACAATGATCTCTCTAGCAATGGTTCCCAGACTCAATGACACATGCCTTAAGAACATGTTAAAGTTCACAAAGCGTGCACACACACACACAAACACACACATTCATACACATACATACACACAGCCGCATACATTTCTGCATTACTAGACCCACCCTGTAAAGGTCCAGACTCAGTCTTAGACTGGGGCTAGGAATTCCCATTTTCAACACTCTCCTTGGTAACTGTGGTACCGAAGAGCCTCTTAGCAGAGCAGGCTTCTGAAAAGATTTCTCACTCACTCACTTATTGACGGCACTAGTTCCTCAGCTGTGATATTTTCACTAACTTCAGCTTGTCATAAAAATGATCGAAAACTTGGAAATAGGCAAATGAGGATGCTGTATATTCCATCATGCAGTGCTGGGTTTGGCCCTCTATTGACAAGAGCTTTTCTACAGCTCGGTAGGGACACAGGATCACTTGCACATTTTCGTCTAATAGAGAGGCAAAAAACTCCTGTTTGGTGGAAAAGATGGCTCCAAGGATTGAGGCTGATGATGTGTTGGACATTGACCCATTTTGTATCTAACATAGAAATCTATTAAAGTGGTGTTATGTGCCTGGCTTCTCAATTACTCTCCAGACTGGTCATAGCATCTTACTAACTCCCTAATTAATTAATTAGTTGAATCGGTTCTTTAACATGTGTTCATTTTATATTTGTTAGAGTCTAAAAATTATACCTGAACAGTGTATCACGTTTTGTTTATCTTTTAAAGGAAAATATGTTTTCTTTAAAATATGGCTAATATTAGGCAGCTAAAGTGCTCTCTTTTTAAATTTGATGGGGAAAGTTTTGAGAACATTTTTAAGACGAGTGGTACTTAATTTTTTAATGTTACATGATTATTTTGTCCTCAAACATATTCCAATATCAGTTTCTTTCAATGGATTCTCAAATGCATCTATCTATGTATTTTCATAATCCTGTGGTTTTGTAATCAAAACTATTTGTTCCTTGGTTTTTTTCTTCCCTTAAAGGTATGTTGACACACAGTTGAATATACAGGGAATGTATTTAGGCCTCCTTATCTACACTCCCCTGGCACTTCCTTCCTACCTCTAACCTCTGGCCCAAGATAGTAAGT
Source organism: Homo sapiens (assembly GCF_000001405.40). Classification (NCBI taxonomy): domain Eukaryota; kingdom Metazoa; phylum Chordata; class Mammalia; order Primates; family Hominidae; genus Homo; species Homo sapiens. The sequence goes on from NC_000009.12 coordinate 108,529,612, forward strand.
GGCCCATGAGCTGCCCTGCCTTTCCGCTCATCTTTTCATTTGCAATTATAACAACAACAATAACTCTTTGATTCAGCACGTACCAGGATTCGGAGAGTGTATGGAGGACTTTTATAGAGATCACCTTGGCTCTCTAATATTAGCCAATGCTGCCTTGTAATTCATTAGATGTGACTGAATTTATTAATTCCACCAATACTAATAAACACAAAACAAAACATAGTTTCCTTTAAAAGATAAACAAAACATCACATACTGTTTAGGTATAATTTTCAGACTCTAATATAAAATGATCATGTGTCAAAGATCTTATTCAACTAATTAATCAATTATGGAACTAGTAAGATGTTACTGAGAGGTGACAGCATGCTGGCCGCCCTTGCAGCCCTCGCTCGCTCTCGGCGCCTCTTCTGCCTGGGCTCCCACTTTGACGGCACTTGAGGAGCCCTTCAGCCCACCGCTGCACTGTGGGAGCCCCTTTCTGGGCTGGCCAAGGCAGGAGCTGGCTCCCTCAGCTTGCAGGGAGGTGTGGAGAGAGAGGCGCCAGCAGGAATCGGGGCTGCGCACTGCACTTGCGGGTCACCTGGAGTTCTGGGTGGCCGTGGGCTTGGCGGACTCCGCGCTCAGAGCAGCCGGCCAGCGCTGCCGGCCCGGGCAATGAGGGACTTAGCACCCAGGCCAGCAGCTGTGGAGGGTGTACTGGGTCCCCCAGCAGTGCCGGCCCACCGACGCTGCGCTTGATTTCTCATCAGGCCCTAGCTGCCTCCCGGCGGGACAGGGCTCGGGACCTGCAGCCCACCATGCCTGAGCCTCCCCCGCTCCATGGGCTCCTGTGCCGCCCGAGCCTCCCCGACGAGCGCTGCCCCCTACTCCACGGCGCCCAGTCCCATCGACCACCCAAGGGCTGAGGACTGCAGACACACCGCACAGGACTGGTAGGCAGATCCACTGGGTGAAGCCAGTGGGGCTCCTGAGTCTGGTGGGGACTTGCAGAACCTTTATGTCTAGCTCAGGGATTGTAAATGCACCAATCAGCACTCTGTATCTAGCTCAAGGTTTGTAAACACACCAATCAGCACCCTGTGTCTAGCTCAGGGTTTGTGAATGCACCAATCGACACTCTGTATCTAGCTACTCTGGTGGGGCCTTGGAGAACCTTCATGTCTAGCTCAGGGATTGTAAACACACCAATCAGCACCCTGTCAAAACAGACCAGTCCACTCTACCAATCAGCAGGATCTGGGTGGGGCCAGATAAGAGAACAAAAGCAGGCTGCCCAAACCAGCAGTGGCAACCCGCTCGGGCCCCCTTCCACAGTGTGGAAGCTTTGTTCTTTCGCTCTTTGCAATACATCTTGCTACTGCTCACTCTTTGGGTCCACACTGCTTTTATGAGCTGTAACACTCACTGCGAAGGTCTGCAGCTTCACTCCAGAAGCCGGCGAGACCACAAGCCCACGGGGAGGAACAAACAACTCCAGACGTGCCGCCTTAAGAGCTGTAACACTCAGCGTAAAGGTCTGCAGCTTCACTCCTGAACCAGCGAGACCACGAACCCACCAGAAGGAACAAACTCCGAACACATTCGAACATCAGAAGGAACAAACTCTGGACACGTAGCCTTTAAAAGCTGTAACACTCACCGCGAGGGTCCGCGGCTTCATTCTTGAAGTCAGTGAGACCAAGAACCCACCAATTCCGGACACATTATGACCAGTCCCTACTGAGCTGTAGAAAGCTCCGTCAGTAGAAGGCCAAGCCCAGCACTGCATGGTGGAATATGCACCATCCTCATTTGCCTATTTACAAGTTTTGCATCATTTTCATGACAAGCTGAAGTTAATGACAATATCACAGCTAAGAAACCAGTGCCATCAATGAGTGAGTGAATGAGTGAGAAATCTTTTATCAAAAATGCGGTGCAGCCTTCTGGGATCAAACACCAAAAAAAAAAAAGAGAGAGAAAAGAAAGAAAAAAGGAAGAAAGACATCAAAAAAGAAAAGAGAGGAAGGAAAGAAGGAAGTGAGAGAAGGAGGGAGGGAATAAAGAAAAAACCGGGTTGCCAGTTTTATTCCTCATTCTTCATGCCTAGAATTTGGATTCACCCAACGTATGTTATTTGCTTAGATATTTTATCCAACAGTGTTTATAGTTCTGTCAAAATCAAGGCAATTAGGGTTGCATACTAACAGTATCTGAATAAATACAGCATTATGTTGAAAGACTAGAGGAAAGCTAACGTTACTTATGGCTTGTTCATCTAACAGTTTTGATGTACATTGATGGCAAACATTCTGTGGTTAAATCAGATATGGTACATGTTCATTGTTAAGATGCTTATTTAAATTACTGCATTTTGGTTTTGATATATACTTCGCTATTTGGATTTTTACTCCTTTAGAGAAAAGGGCATGACCATTTTTTTGGAAAAATATTGTCATAAGTGTTTCAGGCACAAATGTCTAAATCCTTCTGACATGAAAGCGATATGTTTAGATTGAAGCTGAGCAGGAAAAGAAATAACCTTATTTTTTCCCTGCTATTTGAAGCAAAAATATTCAGACATTTTTAGATGTTTCTAGAATTTATTTTTTTTCTTTTCAATGCAGTTTAAGTTTTCAATTTATATTGATAGAAACAAATTCCAGAAAAAAAAATATATTTTTTAGGAATGACCAAAGCCATGATAGGTTGGAACAACTGAAAAGAACCAAACAGACATTTGGATGGATGTCACTTATATAAATCTACCTTACAATCCCATGAGGGAAAAAAAATTCCTTGGGATATTTCCTGTACTCTTTGGTTTGGCTAACCAGAAGTATCTTCGAAGGAGTCTTTACACTAATACTATAAAATCTCTAATTTTGGAAGTTAGTGGAAATCAGAATCACAATGCCAACAATAAATGGAAACAAAATAAAATTATTTTTTAAAAGTTTCCCAGTTCCAGCCAACATTTTAATTATCTAAATGTCAGTGTAAGGAATCTTAACTAAAACATGTCAGCCTTTGAAGAGACAAAACATAGCACCCCATTTAGACTGACAGAGTAGATATTGGTGTTGACATAGATGAGCTCTCCTGTCCCTTTCATGAATGGCTTCATGTGTGTGGGAGTTGCAAGGAAGAGAAGAATTACTAAAACAGTTTCTTCCACCCCAAACACTGGAGAAGGATGGCAAAAGGACCTGATCATTAATGACAGCCATTATGGCCAGACACTTCACAAACACTATCTCCTTTAATCCTGCCACTCCCTGTAGGATAAATGTTATCCTCTTCCTTTTAATAAATGAAGAGACCAAGTCTCAGAGAACTTGAACAACTTGCCCAGGATCACATAGGACCACACACCAGAAACATCAGCATGGTAAAGTTCACTTCCATTGAAAACCATTTCTTCCTGTAGACATCCACAGCCTGCTAGACCCTTAGTCAAAGGCTATTGGCCAGCAGAAAAGCAAAAAAACAACAACAACAACAAAAAATACCTCTTCCATGATCAATCTTTGAACAAGCACAAACCAGGAAAGAGATATGGACTCTGGTGTTCTGACACCAAGACTTGGATGTTCTAGCATCGCTGCTTCTATGTTCAGTCTGAGGTTCAGAGAAGGCCTGGTTCTCTGAACACATTCACATTCTGGATGTGCCTATATATATATACAGGTATGTCTAGGTCCACTATATCTATAGGGAGTACTTAAATCACACATAGTCCTCTCAACTTGAAACGCCTCTACCAGTTGTGGAGAGAGCCACATTGGACAGGTGTCCATTGTTTTTCTAAGAGCTGCCCCATCTTGGATGTGATGCTAATGGGATGTAATGAGAAAAAAATCACAAAACAATCACTGATCCCCATGAACTGAAAGCTCATATTTTAAATATTCATAATTAAGCATCCCACAGGTACATTACCAATGAGACCTTCCAAATCATAAACAATGACCTGTCAAAATCAAAAGCTACGACAGAAAAGAAAAACCACAATTTATACAGCTATCCAAAAGCAACAAAAAAGATACAACTAATTCTTGGAAAAACTGACAGGCTAGATTTTACTCAAATTTATTTAGACCAAATGGTCTTGAGATGTGGTTAGCTGTGTTGAACTGCTGTTGCCAGGAGCATGAAACTTTGTATGAATTCGTCTGAAAAAAAAAAAAAAAAGCTGCTGTATTTAGTAGGTTTTCATCAGAATCTTAAACACCTTGATCAATAGCTTAATATGGCTCAACTATCTGGAATACAATTTGCAGGTAAATCAACATGACATGCCTCACAGGGTCCAATTTCTCCAATTAGACATGGCACAGTGCTATATTTGAGTAAGCGGAATGGAAAGATGGTCATTCTTTACTTCAGCTTTTTCCCAGGCTAACCTCTCAACCATGCTTTGATCACTCTCCATTCTTAGAACTTATTTGGCATCAGGCTCCATGAATGGCATAGAGAATGAGGTAATAACAAAGATACAGTTCCTCTAAGAAGCACAAAGCCTACTGGGGAATATAGGCAAGTAAACCATCAACTGCAAGATAATCTTATAGCCTAAGTCCAGAGAACCTTGAAACATCAATCTGAACCATCTTCAGCCAAACTCAGGGAAGATTTCCAAGAAAATGTGAAGCTTGATCTAAGTCTTGAAGAACAAGGGAAGCATACTGGGTAGAGAAGGAAGAAGAGGACCCCAGGTGAAACGAACAGCATGTGGGAAGGTATGCGAGTATGAAAGAGTCTTATATGTTTGAATGTCTGGTTCTTCTCTTCTAATGGGAGGCTGGATGGGTCCTGAGAGGTCCAAGTGGTGGAAGCATCACCTTAAATCATAGATCTAAAGTCTCAGAGCTGTGGGTTTACTAAAATCAATAAAGCATGCAAACTGAGGTTCCAGAAGGCAGACTGAGAGATCCAAACTATCCACCAAATTAAGTAGAATCTGAGAATGGTATCAGAAGGCAAAATGTGGGGCCAGGGGAATCTAAGAGCCAGGAGGTTATAAGTGGTAATATTATGTTGGAGAGGCAGGGGGTGGGGGAGTCACTGTTCAGGAGGGTCTTTTACATGCTTTTTGCAGCAATATATGAGTCCGTTCTAGTTAAAATACCAGAGCAAGAATGTTCAAACTAATGGTAGTTTAATCTGTGTCCTTGTAGATAAACCTACCAAATGTATAATAAAAACTGATTAGAGTCCAGGACTGTTTAATTAGAGTCAGAAAACAGAAACCACTCTAGGTATTCAAACAGAGGGAATTTAATACAGGAAATCATTTATACACATAGCTGAGAAACCACACAACGGTGGTGAGTTACTCATAGATTAGTAACAGCAGGAAACTTCTAACACACCCAATGCTGAAGGGAGCACAGGGGCCAGGATCAGAAGAAAGACACTGGAACCATGATAGCCCTGTCCAACAGGGGCTGGAGTCTTGGAGGGACAAAGCTAATGCTGGAGCTGCTACCCAAAGCAGAGATGAGGGAAGAAATACCCTGGACTATCACCTCGTCCTGCCCTCCAGTCTTCTGCCAGTTTCTTGTCCTCCTATCGACCAAACCAACTGAGAAGCCAGAGAGCAAAGAAGCCTGGAAAATGTAGTTCCTTATAATAGAGAGCAGGGCAAAAAAGGGCAAAGAGAGCATCTGACAGTAAACAAGCGAATAACCAGCAAAGTCAAAGTTAAGACAGAAGACAGAAGACACAGGGAGAACAAGATCATGAAGCATCCTTTTTGTATTTTATTCTTCGGAAAACAGAAAATGGTTAAACAGTTTTAACTATAGCCATCTTGGTGTTTTATAAAGATCACTCTGGCTACATATGGAGGCTGAGTTTTAGGAGGGTGACTGTAAGAAGCCAGAATACTGTTGTGATTGATTTAGCTAAAAGGCAGAACAGCAATGTTCATGGTCCTAGGCATAGGGATGCCAAGAGTCAATGTAGGGCTTGGGGTCTCCATCAAACATCACCATGAGAACAACCAAAAGCCCTCCTTGAAGATAAACATCCTGATTTTGAGTGAACACTGAAGCTTTTATCTAGCTGGACAAAATTACACATTGGATTTTATACTTAAATTCACTTGGTAGCATTTCATTTCCTGGCCCCCTTGTGGCTGGGTAGGGTCATGGGACTAGTTCTGACCAAAGAGGTACAAGCAGGCGTGGTCTGTATCACTTCCAGGCAAGGGCATTAAATTGCCAGTGTGAGACCCTCCAGAGTTCACACTCTCACTCAGCTGCGATGACCAGCAACATTTGATATGGTAGCTTCTTCGTCAACCTGGGTCCCCAAGTAAGCAGGCATGGTGCAGAGTCCCCTAGCAAACTGACAGTGGACAAATCCCATGGGCAAGAAGGAATCCATCTTTGTTGTACACAGAGATTTTGGAGTTCTTGTTAATACAGCATAACCTAGCCAATCCTGGCTAATACCATAGCCATAATATCCTTCAGAGTACCAGTCTCAATTTCCTCTTCTGTATAAAAAGGGAATAATACCATTCTCGTATGTAATTTTAACAATAAAATAACCTGCTATATGTGGATGTGCTTTGTAAATGACAGCTGTTTTTCTTTATTCAGTAAACTGGAGGTATGACCAATATCTTTTTAAAGAGGACAAATATGACGAGAGGAAATAATTACTCTTCAGTTATTTTTTTCTACCTCTTAAAAGAAAACTTTATGTTCCATTTCAATAGGCTTCCACACTGATGGCAACGTCTTTAGATAAAATTTTGTAGCTTTGAGTGACAGGTTTGGGAAGATCTTTCTTACTGCTTGCTGATATAGTATATACAGACCTCTAGCAGGTCTCGGCCACCTTTGACTAGCCCTTTTGAAATGTGTACTCCTGTACCTCAGCCCTTTTGAAATGTGTACACCTGTACCTGAGGAGACACCACTGTCAGCTTTGGCTGGAAAAAAAAATTCCTCTAATGTGTGTTACTCAACCCAGCATCACCCTTCTACCAAGCTTTGGATTCATTTATTTAATTAGCAGTCACAGAAATATATTAAGCATCTTTTATGTGCTAGGGTCAGGGTAGCTATACTTTCTGAAATTCAAATTAGGACAGAAGGCCTAACAACCAAAATTGTACAGGCAGAAACAGAATGTTGAAGCTGAGCCTATCATGGATAATATGGCCATCTATGATAGCAAATGGGTATTCATTCATTTATTCACTCATTCATTCATTCACCACTTACTGACTTCCCACTACATGCTGTGACTGCCAGTAATAAACAAAAATAGTTACCATCTCTGCCCTCAACTTACTTACCATCTGGATAGGGAGAGACATGTTAGTGAAATAACCACAGAAACATGTCAACTGGCCACTGAGATAAGTGATATAACAGCCATAATGTCATAAAAATGTCAAGGCATTCAACTTAGCCAAGGAGGTCAAATGAGCTCTCCTGCAGGAATTTATGCTTAAGCTGAGATTTGAAGGTGACTGACTGGAGAGAAGAGGCTATTTCACACAGAAGGAAGACATGGGCAAAGGCATTGTGAGTAGAAGAGACCAAAAGACAGCTGGAATAGAGAATGCAAGGAGGAAATGATGTGAGGTGAGTTTGGATTCATGGCAGATGAGTAGGAAACGCTCAGCACTGATGTACCAAGAGCAATAAGAAGCCACGGAAGACATACAGAGAAGTGTCAGACATGACAACAATCTGACCCTGGGTGGCATAATGTCTGACAAGAGGACAAGACATGTCCAGCAGTAGCAATAAATTAAGGGAGATACCAGAATGCAAACTCTCCAAAGTCAGGGATCTTTGTTTGTTCACTGAGTCACCCTAAATACCTAGAATAGTACCTGGTTCATGGGAGGAACTCAATAAGTATGTGTTGAATGGATAATGAGACAGGACTTAGAGGGGCCCAATGAAGAAGCATCACTCTCAGAGATCAGGGAGGGTGTCAGGAGGCAACATCTGAGCTGCATCTTGAAGGCCAAGCTAGGATCATGCTACACGGAGATGAAGAGTTCAGTTATTCAGGGAGGTATTCCAGGGAGAGAGGCCTGCTTGAGCACCTGAGCAGGGAAGCCTCAGAGTCACAGATGGGATGGGCAGTTCACTTTGGCTGGAACACAGGGTGCATGAAGGGGAGTCGTGAAAAGTGAGACTGCAAAGGCAGGTTAAGGTTAGCTACTAGGGGGCCACTTTGAATGTCAAAATCATTTCCCAAGCTTATCCATATACCTTCTCTTGGCATTTGCATTTCTCACTTGTGGGAATGCTGTGTACTATAGCAGGAGGAAACAGGCGCCAGGAAATCCAGCTCTGGAGAAGTACCAACTCTGCACCAACGTGATGATAGAATTTTTGTTTGTTTTTATTTGGGAATTCCAGCAGGCGAGCCAGCCCTCCTCAGCACATCCTCCAGGGAGCCACTGACCGTCTTCCCTCTATCTGACACGTGGATCTCACAACCCTAGCCTGCACTTGTTCTACCCTTTGGGAGGCAGAGACAGGGATGTGGAACTGAGTGAATGTAATTCGTAATTCCGACACCATCCAGGAAGAACGTGGGCTGCCGTTCAGTCAGGCAGAACTTCTAAAGAAGTGTTTCTCCCATGGAGACTCCAGACACTGTCTGCTTGCCACTGTTAATATATGTTGAACTGCTCTTGGACAAATCAGAGCTGTTGGAACGAATTACTGATCACAAGAGTTCTGAGTGTTAGTGGGTGGTAGGAATGAAATTCAAGTTACACTCTTTTGCTCTGTGTTTGGGTGTATTCCATTCCTTTCTTAACTTTTTGATGTTGGGTTCACTAAAAGAATAACAGATTGAGAGTCAGGAGTCCTACACAGTAATTCTAGTTTGCCACAAACTAGTTTAAGTCTTAGTTACTTCACCTTTCTGGGTTTCCTCATCAATTAAAAATTGATACCAGACCAGGCGTGGTGGCTCACATCTGTAATCCCAGCATTTTGGGAGGCTGAAGCAGGAGGACCACTTGAGCTCAGGAGTTTGAGACCAGCCTGGGCAACACAGGAAAATCCCATCACTACAAAAAATTTAAAGATTAGTTGGTGGGCCTGTGGTTCCAGCAACTTGGGAGGCTGAGGTGGGAAGATCACTTGAGCCCAGGAGCTCAAGGCTGCAATTAGTTATGATCACACCACTGCACTGCAGCCTGGACGATAGAGTGAAACCCTGTCTCAGAAAAAATAAATAATAATAATAATAAAGCAGAGGGTAGAGAGTAAGGGAGTGTGGACAACTGGGGCCCTCTGTGGCTGGGATGTGCCAAGGTCTTTGATCAGGAAGGTAGCATTTGGGTGAAGGATGGTCCAAGGCAGCAGAGATTGAGAGGCATACAGAGCAGCAGTGGCTTTGGTGCCAGTCCCTTCCACACGAGGCTTCATTGAGCACTCACTCTGTGTTTATTCCAAATGCTTTACAAGTATTAACCCAGCTAATTCCTGAAATTGTTTCAATGAAAAGAAATGACCAACAAACCTGGACTGAGAATCTGTTTTGGACCCACAACTGTGCTAAGCACTGGGAACATGGCAGTGAACTCCCAAGATATCCACCCCTTGATGTCCCAAACATAGCCATCTGATATGGTTTGGCTATGTCCCCCACCAAATCTCATCTTCAACTGTAACTCTCAAAATTCCCGTATGCTGTGGGAGGAACCCAGTGGGAGGTAATTGAATTATGGGGGTGGGTCTTTCCCACGCTGTTCTCGTGATAGTGAGTAAGTCTCACAAGACCTGATGGTTTGTTTGTTTTTTTTTTTTTAAAAAAGGAGTTTCCCTGCACAAGCTTTTTCTCTTTGCCTACTGCTATCCATGTAAGATGTGACATGCTGCTCCTTGCCTTCTGCCATGATTGTGAGGCCTCCCCAGGCATATGGATCTGTAAGTCCATTAAACCTCTTTCTTCTGTAAATTGCCTAGTCTTCGGTATGTCTTTATTAGCAGAGTGAAAATGAACTAATTCACCATCCTACTTCCTCCTGTCATCTGTAGCTATGTTATTTGAAAACAGGAGTCATGCTCCCAGGCCCAAGTCTTCTTTGCTGCAGACTGAACATCCTGTGTCCTCTGCTCTGATCATTTTCCTCTTTGTCCAGATCCTCCTGAAATTGCATCCAGGAGGGAACACGCATGGTGGCCTAGGATGGAAGTGGTGTTACTATATTTTATAATGCAGCCCTACAGCCAGACAGTGACCTAGCCTAGCATAGGTAAAAATGCAGATCACATTACTGATTACAAATGGAACCGAGTTTGGGGTACCTATGAAAAATACCAGAAAGAAACCTCTATCACCTCCCACCAGTCTGATACTTTGTCATTCTCCTTGTCTCTAAAAAGACATTTTATAACTGAATTAATAGGAAAGTCAGTGAGCATCTCTAGGGGACTTTTTGCCCATGTACTGAGTTCCTACTGGGATCCGCTCCATAGACCAAGATCACTTTGTTATAAATGTCTTAGATTTAGGCCTCAATTTCCCCAATCCACAATGTTTTCCCATTTGCTTTGCCCCAGGTCTGATCTGTCTTCCTCAAATCACCTCCTAGGTGCATGCTTGGAGAAGTGGAGCAGTTAAGAGCTTTTGCTCCAGCCCTGTCTCCATGTAGTGCAATACCTGAACACCTGGAGACTCCTGCCCTTTCTGGTTGCAGGTGCATTGGGGACTCTATGGACTGATGGCTCTGCTCTGTGGCCTTCTGCCTCTGGAGAGGGAGAGGGTTCCTTATGATCCTTCTTTCCTCCTCAGGTGGTCTGACAGGGGATGGGAGGGTGCTGGGGGTAGGGTGGTGGTGGCAGCAAAGGTTCATGTCTGATTTTTCTTGAGCATTTAAGACAATACACAGCACACAGAAGGCGCTCAGTCAACCTTTGTTGAATGAATGAATGAATGAATGAACAAAGGAACACGTGAAAAGCAACTGATGTTGAGCCTGGAGAAGCTAGTATTTTCTCTCAGAATTCTCTGGGCACCCTCTATTCTTCTGGCCAATGCCTAGTGTTAGAGGAGAGCCCTTCTTCCTCAGGAGGGAAGGGGAAATAAGGAACATGTATTGGGCACCAGTTGTGTGCCAGGAACTTTACTTACATTGGCTCAGACAATCCTCACAGCAACCCTGTGAAGGTGGTATTACTAGCCCCCATTTTACAGTTGAGGAAACTGAGATTCTCACTGCTAAGCCACTTGCCCAAGGACATAGAGCTGGTAAGTGGCATGGTGGGAATTAGAACACCTTGATCCAGCTGGCTGTGAACACTTGATGCTTGCTACAGTGCACCAAGCTGGCCTGATAGCAAAGTTATTGCAAGAACTGACTCAGGCCCACAGCCTCATAGGCTAAGTTCTCCCTAGTGAACTTCCAGAGAGTCAGGCTGCCCTGTGATGGGGTGGGTGGGAATAAAGGGAGCTAGCACAACACCCCATCTGTAGAGGTGTGCAAGCCTGGTGCCATGTGGTGGCTGGTCTGGCTAGTCACCAAAGCTTCTCTCAACCCTTAGGTCCCTCGCCTTGGTTCCAAGAGATAAAGGATTCTCTCCCAGGTTGCTTTGGGCCTCAGGGCTATTCTCCTGCTCCTTCCACTGCAAACCAATCCAAGAAATCACACGGTTTGGGATCAAAGCTGCTGGGAGGCGTCCTGAAGCACTCTGTGCTGACCCGCTGCTGATCCCTTGAGCTGCTGGGGAGGTCTGGGGAGTATCTTCGTGGTGGGGCTGGGGCCATCCACCCACAGGAGGCTGCCTGAGGGGAGAGAAACCCAAGAAGGCTTCTGTCTCCTCTCCTTAAAGCGGAGCCAGTCTTAAGAGCAGAAACAAGCTCAACTTGAATCACTCTTTTCAGCTCTTTCTGAGCAGCTGCCGGGACTGTGGCGTGAAGAGGAAATGGGAGGACTCAAAGCAACTTCCATGGATTTTCTTAGAAAGTGCTCACCCTTGTTTCACCCAGAAAATAGCATCAGAGGACATCTCTAAAGCTTCTCATTAGGACCCTTAGGATCAAGGCAAATGCTCGTCCTTGAGGAGCATGAAAATGGAAAACCGTTTGCTAACTGCTGCTTGTAGATCTGTCACCCCAAAACCATTGTAGAAATTGGCAAAGAGCTCAGAGACAGAGTTTCATTTCTTGAATCCAAGGTAAAAAAAAAAAAAAAAAAAAAAAAAAAAAAAAAAAAGAATCCAAGGTAACAAAAAAAAAAAAAAATTCATGCTGGGTGGTCAGATTGGTTTCATCACGTGATCAGGACCTTCAGCGGCATTAATGTTCGGTAACAAGCACGAACATGAAATGATGAATCTGACGAATACTAAAAAGTCCCAGAATTATATGTTATAGCTGTTTGCCTTCTGCCATGTTTACTCAAGTGTTTGATCTTTTCCTGCTCCCAACTGCATGAATTTCAAGAGGGAAATACTTGTGAATTTTGTTTTTATACTGTATCCCCCCTTCAGGCTGAGATTCCAAGGCTGTCAGTAGTACTACCTAAGTGGGGAAGACTTTGGGAGAAAGGCATAACATACCCAGTTAGGAATCCAGTGTTACTGAGGAACTGAAAGACAGCCTGACCATGTCACCACCATTTTTATGATAATCATTTCCTTTTTAGTTTCAAGGATGGCCATACTTTTTCTGTTGGTGTATTTCTATAAAGCAGCTTCTTTGCCCGTTAAAACATATTAACCACCAAGACAGAAAATTAGGAATTAGTCACATTATTAGATTGATAAATATGCACTAACAACTCTTGACTTGGGTGAGGCAGCAAATGGAAACAGAAATCCCACTGAACCAGGCTGTATCCCAGCTCTCCAGTGAGCGGCAGCCTCCCTAAGCCTCAGGTGTCTTGTCTTCAAGCTGGGAATGACTGCTTCTTCCCGGCCTAAGGATTCTGTGAGCACCAACTTGGAACCCTGTATATGAGATGCCTTTGTCAACCATGCTACACCTTCTTCAATGTGGAACATGACAGATATTGATCAGCATGGTGGCCCCTGGCTTATTATCTGTAATGAAGGAATGGTCTTTCCAACATGACTGCTAGTCCCAGACACAAATAAAATAAAATTGTAGTCCCGCTGAATATTAAGGAAAAGTGGGGAGCAGCAATGATGTCATTAAACACAGGAAATCAGGCCTGGATGCTATTGAAATGTTTTAAATAAATGCACTCCATCATTGATCAGGCACCTCTTCTAGGTGGCAGTGGGGAAACTGAGGCACAGGCCCTCAGTTGAAGGGAAACCACCATCTTGTGAAGAGACCAGAAAACAGGGCAGATGTTAAAACCATGTGTCCTGAGGTGTGAGGTAAGCTCAGAGAACACCTGAGCCAAAATCAGGTGATCTGGGACAAGTACCTCAAAAAAGCTTTAATGATTGGAATCCAAGGGCGCACCGCCCAGAAGCAGAATGAACCCCCTCCAATTTGCTGCAAAGTGCCCAAGTTCACCTTTCATTCTTGCCCCAGGGATCGGCAGCCCAGGGAAACAGTTAGCTGTGCTCTTGTCTTTGCCCTTGTCTCTCGGGTGTACTTGTCATTCCCACCTGCTGCTGTGTTTATATTCTTCTGCGAGGCCATCAGCTTCTCGGCACAGGGGCTGAAGGTGATGGAAGTGGTGGCTGCTGCTGCTAACATCAAGTGTGAGCTCTCAGAGCTAATTCCACTAGGAGATACTCACACCCACCTCCCAGGGGTGGCACCTGGGAGTGTCCAGGAGGAAGAGTCAAGCCCGAAGAATGCCTAGACCATTGTTAAGGAGCTGCTCCTCCCCGCTGCTCTTTGTGTCATTTAGGCCAGGAGGATTAGGGCGTGTTTTGAGGTTGGCCTGGGGGGATGCCCCATTTCCCCAAACACAGAATGCAATTACAACAGAGGGAGGTCACAGGGCCTGATCTTGTAAGCAAATAATGCTGTCACTAGAGACGGAGAAACTAATGATTTATGTCATTTCCCTCTAACTCCTCACTTTCACGAAGCCCCATTACTCAGACCTGGGACAAAGGTCTGAGTAAGCTGGGGTCCCTCCCACACACAAGCCATGACATGATGAGCTGTTTCAGGCCATGTGCCTTCTGCATGGAGTTCCCTACCTCCACTTCTGTGCCTCAGGGAAGCTCCTACACATCCCATAAGGCCCCATTCAACTGTCACCTCCTGCCTGTAATCTGGACTAATCAGTAGAACTAACTGAATTACAGCACCAAGCCCTGAACTGCCATAGGTCAGCTGCAAACGGGCTGGGCATATTCGATGCCATGAAGAAGTAAGGGTTCTTATAGCAAAGAAGAAAATGCAAAGGAGTATTAGGTAGGAAATAAATAGCGCCTGCCATCAAAATAGTGCATTTTGTACTCCCCACCCATCATTTTCTCCTTTTGGTGACCATAAGATATATTAACATATTAAAGTTTTGAAAACTCTATATATCTTGTTCTACCCAAACTTTCCCTCACTCATATGGCCACAGGATGGATGTTTCTTTCACTTTTTTTTTTTTTTTTTTTGAGATGGAGTTTCGCTTTTGTTGCCCAGGCTGGAGTGCAATGGCATGATCTCCGCTCACTGCAACCTCCGCCTCCCAGGTTCAAGCAATTCTCCTGCCTCAGCCTCCCGAGTAGCTGGGATTACAGGAATGCACCACCACACCCGGCTAATTTTGTATTTTTAGTAGAGACGGGGTTTCTCCATGTTGAGGCTGGTCTCAAACTCCTGACCTCAGGTGATCTGTCTGCCTTGGCCTCCCAAAGTGCTGGGATTACAGGCGTGAGCCACCGCGCCCGGCCTCTTTCAATTTTTTATAACACCTATTAAAATTCTTTAGAAAACACGTTTGAGAAATGCTATCATCTATTTGAGACACGTAACATTTCTAGGAGATAAACATAATTATTCCCATTTTATAGATGATGAGATTGAGGCATCAGGTGATCAAGTAAGTTGTAAAAGTTTACCCAGCTAGGAAGCAGCAGAATCTGGGATTGGAAGCCAAGGCTTCCAACTCCAAGCTAGGTCTTTTTCCATTAAAACCAGATAGGTAGAGAAACAAAGAAACTAAGAGAAGAAAGACAGGTGGATTGTGCTGAATATAAGCAGAAAGAACTGCAAAAAGGAGAGGAAGTGAAGGAAAAAGGGCCTCTTCTGTTAAAGATAGGTCTAAGACAGCAGACAAAGGGCAAAGAGTGGCACTAGTGGCCTCAACTCCATTGGGACCTAGCAGGGGACTGAGTAAAGTGAGGCATTCAGGAAAGGGCCTAGGTCTTTACAGGCTTCTGTCTTTCCTTCCTTTGTTCAACAACCTAGCATTCATGTAACAAATTCTGATTGAGCATCTGCTCTGTTTCAGTCCTTGCTGGATACCAGAGAGAGGACACAGCTTTTAGCCTCTAAAAGATTCCACTCTCCCCAGATAACACGGACTTGTGACCACAGAACCCTTCTAACAATTTCCCTGAACACCCAGGACTCTTGCAGGCTGCCATGCTTTGCACATTCCATTCCTTTCCTGGAGAAAGTCTTTCCCATCTTCGCTTTCTAGAAAAATCTTGCTCAATTTTCCAAGCCCAGCTACACATGGCCCATCTCTGATGCAGCCTGTCCCAGATCCCCCATGGACAATGTGGCTATGGAGCCCCTGAGTCCCTTCTTAGGCTGCCCTGGCTTCTGCCACAGCTCTGTGCACTGTGGTCCGTGTAGAGGAGTTCTCATTCAGAGAGAGTTGGCCCTGAAGGAGTGGACTAAACGAGGGAAGCTCCCACAGCATGAAGAGCACCATCTTCCCAAGTCATCTTCACTTATGTTCCAACTCAAAGCAAGGGAGCAGAGCACAGCTGTGCAATGATGGGAAAGGTGTATACTGATCAGTAATCCTTATGGAAGAGAAAATAGTGAAGAGGAGGGAGGGGCTCTGTATGCCTTTGTAAATCAAAAGCACCCCAGACAGTATTTACTGCCTCAATTCTGTCAATAATGTATCATCGTCACAGCTCCATATGTCAGAGTTGGAAGTTAACATTCCAACATTCTGTTCCCTTTAGTAATGCTTGGATCTGGAGGATATGTGCTGGTCTGGAAAAAATTTTAAAAAGACTCAAAAAGGGCTGGACACGGTGGCTCATGCCTGTAATCCCAGCATTTTGGGAGGCCAAGGCGGGAAGATCACCTGAGGTCAGGAGTTCAAGACCAGCCTGGCCAACACGGTGAAACCCCGTCACTACTAAAAATACAAAGATTAGCCGGGTGTGGTGGCGGGCACCTGTAATACCAGCTGCTTGAAAGGCTGGGGTAGTAGAATCACTCGAACCCCAGAGGCGGAGATTGGAATGAGCCAAGATCACGCCACTGCACTCCAGCCTGGGTGACAAGAATGAAACTCTGTCTCAAAGATAAAAAAAATTTTTTTTTAAAAGTCCTAAAAGAATTTGTCAGAGCCTGTATATCCCTGCCCCAGTAGCCAACACTGATCCTACGTGACAACAGCCTTCTGGTTACTAGAGAGAAGATTCCACTGTGGAGCAGGATTCACTGTCTCTCCAAACCCTTTAATGCCATCTGCTTTGCTTTCATGTTCACCAACATACTACTGAAGATTAATTTCCTTGCCTTGCTAGCCTGCCAGTATAACATAATTACTAGGAGCATGGGCTATGGTATCAAACTTGGCAGTATTCAAAACCCAGCACCACCATTTTCTTAGGAACCTTAGACAACTAACAATCTCTTGGAGGCCTACTTTCCTTATCTCTGAAATTGTAACAGAGAGAAATACCAACGTTTTAAGTCAGTTGTGGGATTAGATAACGTAAGGCACAGCAAGTACACAGTGCTTGGCAGACAGTAACCCCTCAGTAAAGGGCAGTTATTATTAGTAGTATATTTTTACTGTTACTTCCTTGATACAGTGTCTAGAACATATCTAGATTTTCTATCTTATAAATTCAGGCACTGACATTCAGCTTCTACCAGCTAGAGTGAGAGCTAAGAATTCACTCAGCATGACAGTGAGCTTGATAAGGTTTAGGAATAATGACTAGCTAGTGTTCTTGGACCTCAAAACCTTGGGTCAGTCCCCTGTGACATTACTGTCCTGGCATCAACTTCTGCTCCACTCTGTGGCCCCTCATTCCCACCCCATTGGCCGATCACCCTTGCTTTTGAAAAGCTCTAGGTTGCTTTCTCTGTTTCAATGAACTTCAAACGCTCTTTCATGTGAATGGCCCCCTACCAGAATATTAGCATGTGGAGGCCAAGGCACTGTTTTCCCTGTCTCTAGAGCTCAGCACCTGGCCCAGAACAAGTCTTACTGTGTATGGAATGGACAAATGACTTTAGCAGGAAGTCACAAGTGACTTGATGAAGATATTATTATTTAGGTCCATGAATGACAGTGTTCGATGAGACCAAAATGGAAGAAAACATTAGTTCCTTTTGTAACTTGTTTTCTTAGTTCTAATTATTTCAGAACATGCATTATTCCCACAGTGTCCCATCCTCTCCTCTTCTTCCCATTGCTCTTTTTAATCTTCACATCCCACTTCTGCCTCTTATGTGGAAAGCCCAAAGTGGAAAGATCAATGAGGAAAATGAGTACTGTATGGACTATCATCAGCATTCATCCACCCTGAGTTCAAGAGGCATCCCCCTGTGGAGAGCTCAGTAAGAACTCAGTCAAACCTAGACTGTCCATGAAGCACCACGGGTTAATAAATAAAGAACAGAGGAATAAGAGATTAAGACACTAAAGGAATATAAGATAAAGTTAGAGAAACCCAAGTAGCTGCCCAGGACACTAGCTGTATTAGGATGCCAAATAGGTCCCCCAAATCTCAAGGACTTAATACTACAAAAATTTCTTTCTTGATCATAACACATATCTCATGCAGGTCAGGAGAGGGCTCCATCTGGTTATGCAAGGACCCAGCCTAGCAGGGGGAAGAGCCATGATGTTGTGACACCACCATCCTAACACATGGCTTCAATGCTCACCATGACAAAGGAAGAGAAAGAAGAGGAAACTCACCCTCACTTCTAAATATCTTGGCCCAAAATGACAAACATCACTTCCACCCACAGCCCATTGGATGGACCTACTCAAGAAGCAGGACCTACTTCTTGAACTGCAAGAAGACTGGCATGTGAGGCCCTTCTAGATGCTCCAAAGGAGAGAATATGAGAATATGCATAACTGAAGTCTCTACCACAAATTTTGAAACATCATGGGAATCAGTAATAAGGTCGGTAGTAAACTCAGATTTCCATGTATAGAACTGGTAAAACAGAGAGCACCCTCAAGTGGAAATTTTACAATCGCGACTCACTGGGATCACCCTGTTAATAATGAGGTTAGTTTCATTATGGACATTGCTCAGTACAATCGTGGCCTACCCACCTATCCAAAGACCAGTCAACTGATTTTCCCTGGAAGCTAGCAGAAAATCTGAAACCAAATCATACCTAGGGTCATGCTGTTTATTGGCAATGGGTGATTTTGTGTACTACTTAAAATTTAATTCCATTAACAGGCTTCCCAAGAAGTTGTCTGGATCAGAAAATCAAACCAAAAAAGCTTAAGAGAGTGAAAAACAGAAAAGTGAGACATTTTTGGTAAAAGGTAAACCAGGAATAGCAAATTTTAAAGCTCTTCTGAATGAGATTGTGCAACTATATTATTGGAAGTTACCTTCATCCTTCTGAGTTTTAGTGACTTATGCTATCCATATATAGTGATGGAAAAACTAGGACCTAGATGGCTATTTCAAATACACTGAAATATTATATTAGAGGCAATGCATATAATGAATTCCTTGTTTTATTATTTTTTAATGATTATTACTGATACAGGGTCTATCACCCAGACTGGAGTGCAGTGGCACAATCTTGGCTCACGGCAACCTCTGTCTCCTGGGCTTATGAGATCCTCCCACCTCAGCCTCTTGAGTAGCTGAGACTACAGACATGCATCCCTGCACCCTGGCAAATTCTGTGTTTACAATGTTAACATAGAGTGAAATAAATTCAGTATAATAGAGAATCGGCTTCTCTCCTCCTTCACTAAAATAAATATTGAGCAAATATCTTTAAAACATTGATAAGAACAGATGCCAAATTAGCCATCTGAGGCATCCCACATCTCACCCCAGGCCTGGGCACAATATAGGTCTAATGGAGCCAGAGGCAACTCTATCTTTCTGTAGGCACAAGGGAGGCATCTTGATGCAGACAAAGACATTGGATTTGCATCCAACAGCATATAAGTACTGGCGAGGCAAGTTACTCGCCAACTTGGACAACCTATTTAAACTAGCAAATGGCAATAAGAATGCTTATCTTATCAGATTATTTATTTGGTGAAATAAATAAGCTATCAAATATATATCTCCCAGCATGAACCTGCCTGGTAGATAATAGAGCTTTAGTATCTAGACCTAAATCGATTGACTGTTGTTGCAGGCAGGAGACTTGAACTTCAGCCAAGCAAGATCAACATGAAGTGGGACAATTCAACAAACTATGCCTCAGCTTTCCTTTCCGCAAAGTAGAGATGACAACAATTGCTTCCACCTTCACAAGAGAGCTATGAAGATGACCAAGATAAAGCAGGAAAGACCTCTGAACTCTCAGGAAAAAAGACACTAGAGAAATCCACACTATTATTACCTTTGCTGAGTAATAATAGGGGATTTTCCCAACCAGGAAACAGCTCTCTACTCTTGAGAATGCTCACTGTCCATATCATGCAAATGCTACAGTGCTGACCTATTTGCCAATGTCAAGTAAAATCTTGGCAGGGCTGTTAGTTAACCAAGTTCATTATCCTTAAAGACAAAGTATCAGGTGAACAGGAAAATCCCGAGAGGGCCTCCCTCCTGCATTCTGAGTGTAGGAGTGACTGAACAGGTTTGGTGCTGAGTCGTCAGCAACAAAAGAGAACTAAACAAAACTTTACGCATCCAGTTTAGTTTGCATGCTTTTCGGACATCCCTGGGGTTTCCCATTTCCTGTTCCCAGTGTCCAGTGGAAGAGCCCTTTTCTCCTAGGGACCACAGATCCAGCACCACTTTTCTTAATGACTTATATTTGCCAACTGGCCGACAAGCAATCCAGGAGCTGCCCTTGTAGAGCCAAGCATGAGATTTCACTCAAAAAAACACAACAAAAACAAAAAAAAAAACAAAAAAAAAAACCCACATGCAGCATTTGTTACTTCTACAATGGGAAAGAAACATTCACGAAAACTTAATTTTGAGCTGAATTAGAGCCCACTTTGGCAAAGGGGGGAAAAATGTGTTTTCACGTTTGCTCCAAATGGTAGCAAACCTCTGCACAGGCCCACAGCCTAGAAGAGGCAGCTCATAAAATCTTCTTTGAAACTTTTTAGTAAAACAAAACTCATTTCTATAGGACCAATCCCTCCTGAAAACACCATGGCAGATCCTTGCTGGCCTTCTGAACAGTGAGCACACCCCTGGGAATAACACAAGTCCCTGTCCTTAAAGAAGCGGATGTCTCTGAGCACTGTCTCATTAATCTTCATGACCAAGCTACAACGAAGTCAAAAACAGTCATTATTTTTTCCCATTCTGCAAATTTTATGGGCTCCAACACTTGCCTGAGGTAACAGGACACATTTGCGGCAGAGTCAGGCCTCCAGGACTGGCCAGCCTCCTGGGAAATTACTGCTTTTCAGCAAGTTCTTGTGTCATCATACGGCCACTCATTTGTTCACATGCTGGACAAGCATTCACTGGATGCTGACTCTGTGCCAGCCACTGAGCTTCATGCCAGGATGGACAACTGATTAATAGGAAAGGCCCTGCCCCAGATAAATTTACAATTTAGGAGGCAGAGGCTGGCAAGTCAATAGATAATTACAAGAAGATCTGAGAACCACAGGCAATATAACTGAGTGGTGAGGAGCACGCTAGGTGTAAAGCAGACCTGGGTTCAAATTCCAGCTCAGCCTTACATTTGCATTTTTTTCATAGTACTTATCTCCTTCTAACATTCTACATATTTTACCTCTTTATTGTTTATACACATATACATGCATGCACGCACGCACGTGCACACACACACACACACACACACAAGAATAAAAATTATATGAGGACAGACATCTTTGTCTGTTCAGGGATGTATCTCCAGGGTCTAAAACAGTACCTGGCATGTAGCAGGAGTTGAATAAATATCCGTTGGATGAGTAAATTCACTATGTGTCCCTAGGAAATGTACTCATCCTCTTTGAGCTTCAGTTTGCTTGTCCATACTAAAGGGGACGCCAAGGTGATGGGATTAGATAACATATAAATGCCCGGCAAAGAGCCCAGCAAAGATTATCATAAGCAAAATAAATGGCTATTCATGTTCAATATTGATAATACAGTGGGCTTCAGTGCTAAGAGGGTCTTAATGAGCATCAGTAGTCTCTGCTTGGGAGTGTCAGGGAAGCTTGCCATGTTGAGTGCTGAAGGATGAGTAGTACAATGTTGCTAGAAGAAAAGAAGAAAGAAAAAGGACACAAAGCAGCAAGGAAGGCAAGACAAAGGCTGCGAAGCCTTCATGCTGCTCTCAAGCCCTACTGTCTAAAACACCATATCCCATTTTTGCTCACAGCCATCCATCCCTGTGCCCTTGACAACTCCTATACTTGAGGGGTACTATCTCCAGGATCAGTTTCAGGACCCAGCATAGAGCAAACGTCCCCTAATTCCTCCTACACAGAGGCAGATTAGTCTTCAAAGATATTGCAGCGTTGGCCTTTCCTTGGGGCCCTTGCCACGGGCTGGATTCTGTGTGCTCAGTATAAATCCACAGAGATGAGGCTGGCCATGTAGTGACTGCAAGAAGTAAAAGAAGCTTTCCGCTCGATGACACATCTCTGATTCAGTCTGCCCTGACAAAGCTGGAGATTAAGTTTCCTTGCCTAAAGCTGCAAGGAGAAACATGACACCCTTTGCTGGCTACAAGTGGAACACGCTTTATTAACCCAGCCTTAATTATATTCCATTTTGAGATTCAATAGTTTCGATTGCAACACTGCATGAAACCAGGGTGACTTGCACCCCATGGGACTCTGTCCATAAATGAAAACGGAAAAGTGCCTTGAAGGCAGTGACCCGCTTATGCCAGCCAGTCAGAGACGCAGCCTAGAGCCTGTGCCTGGCTCCGGGGGAGCCCCAGAGGTGGCCAAATCAGGGCAGGGCTGGGTCCATAGTCAACTGGGTAATGGGAAGGTGGCTTCTATTTATGAAAGAAATGATGGCTCTCTCTGAAAAGTCTGAAGCGAATGTGGCAGGAGTTGCATATAGCCTAACATGCATGCAGCTCTCACCTCACAAATGAAATTCTTTTTCATCTGATCATCACATTCTCTCTTTTCCTCTCCCAGTTTTGAGGAAAAAAAAAAGCAGATTACCTTTCTTTTTTGTATACAGATTACAGTCTACCCTATCTGAGGCAAGCGAGCTAACCTTGTATTCTTTTTTTGAGGTCAAATTTTCTGCAAATATTTTACATGCCTTCCTACGCTTTTCAAATAAGGTAACTGAGGCAGTTGATTGGTCCGAGGGCTGAGTGTCTCCATTATAATACTAATAGCTACCTATTATTGAGCATTTACTATATGCCAAGGAATATGTGAAGGGTTCTATGTGAATTATCTCATTAAAGCTTCGCAACAGCTTTAAGGGCCAACATGTGCATTTCATTTTTCTCATTCCCACAGTGAGAAAAAGGCAGAAGAGAGACTCCCACCCAAATCTACATGAAGCCCAAGTTTGCACCCTTCTTGCTACACTCTGCCTCCACTGCACTGCAGGATCGAGAGGACAGGGAGGATGCCTGAGTCATACTACGTCCCCCAGCACCTGGGAGAAGTCCTGATGAATGGCAGACCTCAGTAATGTTTGGTTAGTTAATTAATTAATTAGGTAATTTTAAAGAACCTTAGACTGGGAACAAAAGGGTTAGTTGGAAGCCAGCTCTGACAGTAATAAGCCACATGGATTTGAGCCAGGTACTTCCCCTATGGGCCTTGGCCTTCCCATTTGAACAGTGAAGCAGCTGGACTAGATGACCTCTGATGGTACCTGATTCAGGGTCTTGCCCCAAGTTCACCCAGCCAGGCAACGTCAAAAGTCTGCCTCCTCATCTCCCACCCCACATCCAAGTCCACGTTCACAAAAACAGGCCCTTAGCCTGACAACATGTTGGCCCAAGCCCCAGTGAGTCATATGTCAAGCTAAGCAGGTACGTAGGCGTGTCTATGAGTTACTGCTAAAAACGCAAGGCTGTTGACTGTCTACTAAAGGGAAGAACAGTTAGCACAACCAGAAACCAGCGTTCTCTTCAAGCCCAGGAATGGAAAGGAAGAGCCTTTCTAAATATAAGGGACCCTCATCTCAATCAGGGAGACATGCAAATGTTTAAAAAAGAGCCTTCTTGGACACAGGTGAGGTGTTTAAAATTAAACCCTTATCACTTAGTCACTGTTACCAGAACAATTTGGTTGTTTTGCCACATTCAGTACATTGCTTTTAGCACCTACCTGGTACTAAGTACTAAACAAGGCAAAAAGAATATAAAGAGAAAAACAAACAAACAATTCTTACCTCAAGAGCACACAATCTTGTGAGAGACAACTATAAGCCAAGTTGGACTTTTAGGAGTGAAAAAAAGGAAGTGCTAATTCTAACAGGGAAATGGGAAAGGAGGAAGAGAGGGTGGAGGTTGGGGCTGCTTTCTCAGTGGACACATTTGATTGAAACCTTGATGAAGAAATAGGCTTTGACAGGTGGAAGTAAAAGAAGACTATTTACCCCCAGGCAAATGATTAGCAAGTGTTAGTTGTCTCAGCATGATGTGTACACACGTGCACACACATGGGTATCCATATTCAGAATGTCCCTTTGCACGCACCTGCACCCATTCATTGAGGTTTCTGTCAGCCAGCCCCAGGAGTGCTCACTAACCATTAGGACAACTGGTCACATTCCCCAGAATGGCCAGATGGAAACACATGTCTCTGTTAAGTACAATTTAAACCATATGCTTCTGGTTTATTTCTGCCTAGTTCATCAAAATTATCTTTCACATTTTAGTTTGGATAGCCAGGAGCCTTCCAAGATCTTTTTTTTTTTTAATTTTACCGTGTAGGAAGTCACTTTTATCGAAGTGAAACACACTGAATTCTCAAAAGATTCCAGGATGCTCTTAGCAGAGGATGTGTTTGGATTCACACACAACGTCTAAAAAGGGAGAGATTCTTCCAAAGTGGGTTTATTAGTTCTGCATTTTCCTCTATTTAATACTTCCCATAAAATTTAATGTGAATATATAGTTTATAAGGTAATTCAGGGCCCCAGGGCAGGGGCCGGCAACTAAAGCCTGAGGGCCAAACCTGACCTGCCATCTATTTATGCATGACCCATGTGTTAAGACTTGCTTTTACATTTTTACTTTAAAACAAAATTTGTTTTAAAAGATGAGATCTTGCTATGTTGCCCAGGCTGGTCTCAAACTCCTGAGCACAAGTCATCCTCCCGCCTCAGCCTCAGGCACATGCCACCACACCTGGCTAATTTATACATTTTAAATGATTGGGAAAATTTAAAGAATAGTCATATATTTTGTAACATGTGGAAATTACATGAAATTCATATTTGTGTTCATAAAGTTTTATTAGAATACAGCCATTCTCATTCATTTACATATTATCTGTGGCCACTTTCACACCACGGTGACAGGGTTGAATAGTGGTAACAGATACCATACGACCTGCAAAGCCTAAAATATTTACTATCTCACCTTTTGCAGAAAATGTTTGCCAACATCTGCTCTAATGTAATAGAATGCTCTTGCTGAACTAGATGCTAAGATTTTTTTTAATGAGTCCTAAAGCTGAAAAATGAAATCATATGAAAGTTGCTGGTAGTTTTTATCTTCTAGGAACTAAAGGGTTGAATTTACCTTTAGGTCACACTGTCCCAAAAGTTTTTGAAAAATAAATCTAATGGGCCTTTTAATTAACCCGATGTAAAGCATTATACCCTGCCATTATATTTGAGGTAAAATAAAGTCCCCATTAATCTGAATGTAGATGTTTATACTAAAAAGTAGAGAATTCTCTTTGGTATATAAGTTAGATATTTGTTTAAGCATAGCTATGTGTTTGCAGACTTTGTAGCTTCTTTGAAGAAAACATTTCTTTTCCATATATGGTTTCGCTCTTGCCTGTGATTGTATACTACTGCTTATTCTTGGGAAAAGGGGTGTGTGTGTGTGTGTATGTTTTACAGAATTTTTTCACAGGAGATTGGTAGTAAAGACCTAAAAAATCTGGAAGATTCTATATTTAAGCTGTGGTTAAGATGAGCTTGGCTATGTTTAAGTCATCTTGAAATAGACTATGATGTTATGCACGATGAATAATAACCAGTGCTTTGTGAAATAATGGTGAAATAGTGCACTCTGATGTGATGGTCTTTGGGGGATCAAGAGCTCATGGGCAGAGCTTCCCCTGGAAAGAATGAATGTCCCTGCTGCACATTATTCTCAAGAGAAGCCAAGTGCCTATGCCAACATATGAGGACTAAGGAGGCGAGACCTGGCTGGTGGGAGTGGGAGGGAGATGGGAATAAAATTCTATTCTCATTGGGCTGTCATAAGTTGAGGTCTAGACTCCAGCGAAGGAGACAGGCTAAAGGTCAGAAAGACTCCCATAGGGAAAGGAAAATGGCCTCTATGAGATAGGTAGGCTGGACAATGACCATTCAGGGGCCTACAGAGGATGGGTCTGGACCTATGGTCCCTGAAACGGACATATGAAATAGCAGTTTTTTAATATTCTCTGCTTGTATTTGCCTCCTATAATCTCCAAAATTCCATAAAGTTGTGTTCAAAACTTACAGCCTAGGCTTGAGTGTGCTGTGATCAAATAAAAGAAGAGCCTGCTCTATATTTGAGTGAAATAGGAAAGGGGGAGCAGGCCCTCTCTCGAACCCAGGACACAGCCATGATAACCAACTGAGGATGGCCACGCCGCACTGAGCCGTGGCTGACAATAATGGAAGCTCCACAGCATGGCAAAGAGGTAAAAAATGTATCTATTATCAGGGCCTATTCATTTATACACATAAGCCAGCATCCATAAGAACTCTGAGAACTAACTGAGAGTTCTCCAAGGAGGATAAACATTGGCCATCAAAGCTGAGAAAGGCTCAAGTCAATAGTGATAGGTGTTTAAGGAACGTGACCTCATTTTATATTCAAAGGTTGACGAGGACTGACCATACTGCTGACAGTCTCCATAAGATCTTAAGTTCCTTTACAGTGAGCACCATGCCTTTGTAATCTTTCCACCTCTACCAACTAGCATAAATTCTTGGGATTTGAGTGCAGTAAATGCTTGGAAGAGAAGAGTGCAGGGGTTATTCACGTGCATTTTCACGTTAAAGAGATCGCACTGGATCAAGCTCAGGGGCTCACTTTAAGACATTCATTTGTTCTTTGGACAAATCATCTGATAACTATTCCATTGAGGAACAGATACTTCTGCCTCCAAAACTTACCTTGAGAAATCTGCAAGAACAAAAGTGGATAATTTCAGATACATTGCAATGGCATGTAGACATATCTTAGGAGAACATCTTAATTACCCAGAAAGTATTAAAGATTGCAAATAAAATATTCCACAAATACAGCCTGTCTGCTTGTGGCTACTAAATTGATTATTTGAGATATTTTTCACACTTGAGAGTTATATTAGCACCTAGTCAACACCCAGTAGATTAACCACAATAACTATAACTAATTTATTCTATCGAACGTGGAATCCCAAAATGTCTGAGTGATAAAGGACACACAGATCATCTAGCCCAACACGAGGTTCACATCCTGCTGCTCCCTTTTCCCATGCATGTAGCAGACACTAGCAGCCCTCCTTCTTGCTGAACATGACCATGGCTTCACAATCCCTATCAGCTGAGCCTTCTGAGCCAGGAATTCTAAACCAGGCATTACAGCACCCAAGGGGCCCAAATTTGGTTTTTGGAAGATGAAAAAAATACTAGATATTATAATGGTTTGTGGCCTTCCAAAGAGTCATAGTACATAAACACATAGGCAGTATATCTGTCACATTAGAATTACTTGAGAAAGGAGAATGACTAGGGAAAAAAAAGGTCTGAAAAGACTCCTTAGGAGTTGAGAACCACCAATCTAGGCAATAGCTACCAACCCTCTACAGCTGGCACATAAAAGGAAACTTACTTGCCATCCCAGATCACCCAAGCCTCCCATTTTAACTGACAGGAAAAGTGAGGCTCAGACCGGTGAAGCGAGTTGTCCCAGGCAACATAGGCAAGAAATGGCCAAGCCAAGTCTTAAATTCTGACTTTTAATTAAGTGCCCAGTTCATATTGCGATATATCATGTTATTACCAAAAGAGAGCCCACTTTACAATCCACTTAGTTAAAATTACATTTATAAAGCAGGCAGAAAGGAATAATAAAAATATTACAGAAATATTCAGTTGTTAGTTCACAATGTAAATGGTGTAGGGGAAATGGAGCATTAATACAGAATACCTATGTTCCTTTACTGAGCATCTACTGTGATCAAGAACAAGTGTCATGTCTCAGGTTCCCCAAGAAAGTGACCAAGATTATTCTGAAGATCCTCTTTTTCTGTCATGACACATGGATCCCCATCTCATGTGTCTATCGATAA
Organism: Homo sapiens; assembly: GCF_000001405.40. Taxonomy (NCBI): domain Eukaryota; kingdom Metazoa; phylum Chordata; class Mammalia; order Primates; family Hominidae; genus Homo; species Homo sapiens. The sequence goes on from NC_000009.12 coordinate 108,557,354, forward strand.
GCTGAGGAAACTGCAAAACACACCCACACACACACAATCAGTCCCTAATCACTGAAGTTATCCCAAGTCAAAAGGAGGCAAAATCACATTAATTGTTAGATTGTAAAATGGATCTTAAGGGTTTTTTTTTTTTTCCTAAATTGAAACAGCCCACATGGACTGAACCACTTTTAAAAAGAAATTATATAATAACAGAATTTCCAGGGCACCTCTGCTAAGGCTGTTCAGAGCCTTATCTATTCTGGCCAAGGTGGTGGCTGACAATACTCTGTACATGGGCAAGGAGAGCTAATGAGTAGAATTTGCATGGAATCACTGAAGCTGATTTTGGCATCCCGGCCAGCCATCTGTGCTGATATCTTACTCTCTCCTTTCACACCTCTCCTCACTGTACCAGAGGGACCTCTCTAAAATGCACATCTGATCATGTCATCCTCTGTTTACATATTTTGGGTGGTTCCCTGCTATCTCCAGTATCCATTCAGACTCCCTGGCAGGGTGGGCAAACAAAGTGCTTCTCAGATTGGCTTGGATCTACCACTCCAGCCTCCTTTAATGACACCTCCTCACCCCATCCCACCTCTTTCCCTTTTGGTGCTACACTTCAGCCAAACTAAAGAACTAGTTGCTTCTCAAGACCATCCATGCCTTTTCCTGCCACTATTTCTTTACAGAAGCAGTACTCCTTCTCGGACATGTGAAGCCAACAAACCCCTGTCCCTCAATACCCAGCTCAAATGTCAACACACATTTGCAGCCTTCCCTCACCCACTTATACTTTATATTAGAGAACATAGATATTCATGCCATTGCTAACACAGACATTCAGGGCATCACTCCAATGCCATCATTCATGGAGGGGTAGGGAAACATCACAGCCATTTCCAACCTCCAGCCCCATAGAAACAGAACAATGTTAATGAGAACACAAACTTTAATGTTAATGAGAACACAAACTTTCTCAGGGATAGGGTCACATCTTATTTACTGATATGGTTTGGCTCCATGTTCCCACCCAAATCTCATCTCGAATTGTGATCCCCACGTGTTGGGAGAGGAATCTGGTGGGAGGTGATCGGATCATGGGAGCGGTTTCCCCCATGCTGTTCTCCTGAGAGTGAGTGAGTTTTCAGGAGAACTGATGGTTTAAAAGTGTGTAGCAGATCCCCATTCTCTCTGTCTCTCCTGCCACCATGTAAGACATGCATCGCTTCCCCTTTGCCTTCCACCATGATTGTAAGTTTCCCGAGGCCTCCCCAGCCATGCTCCTGTACAGCCTAAAGAACTGTGAGTCAGTTAAACCTCTTTTCTTGATAACTTACCCAGTCTCAGGTAGTTCTCTATAGCAGTGTAAAAACAGACTAATATGTTTAACTTTGCATGCTCAGATCATAGGAGGTGTCATTAGATGTCACTGAGTGAATGGATAGATGAATACCAACTTATCTATATATGTAACTGAACTAGCACAACTGCTACTGCTATTCACATAAATGACCACAACTACCAAACTTACAGCTAATGTTTACTTGTTAATTATAAAACTATGATATTGTGCAGTGTTTCTCACAGGACGAGAAACAACTTAAGAATTTTTAAATTATGGTGACAGAATTCTACACGGACACAATGTTAAATAATGTTGGGCATGTTGGAAAAGTTATTTCTTTTCCAATTCTGTTTCAGACCTTCCAGTGATGTAAAGGAGAAAATCTCAGTCTGATGCCCTGTGATTTTAACACCTCTCTAAAACCATGCTAAATTTTTTGAACAAAGAGAGGGTAGATCTTAGGCTCAGAGACTTCAACAGAAATTAATACTTAGCTAAGATATAATAACAGTGCTTCATTCTCATTGTTTTTATTTTCATGGTTACTTTCCAATTAGAGAAAGCAATATTAGTGTTTTTATTTACTGTAGTAATATAAAGTTTTCTTGTTAAATGTATTTAAGCTAAACATTAGTCAGTTTAAAGAAACAGAAGAAAGAAATAATATTAGAGGTAGTTTCAAATATTGCAGAAATAGTGAGGATGGCACCCAAGTGCCCTGCTAGAGTGGATAGAGCTCTAGGCTTAGAAGGCAAAAGGCCTGAGGGGAATCATAAGTCTTTTGCTCTTGGGTAAGTTACTAAATTTCTTTGAGCTTTTTTTTTTTTTTTTTGAATTGGCAGAGTATGACTAGTAGTTGCAACTTTTCCTATTTAAATTTTTTGTGAAAATCAGATTAAATTATGTGCATGGAAATGCTTTGGAAATGGATAGAGAGTTACAATATTAAGATCTAAACAACTCAGCTATGACACACTGCACCATTCCTTCCCATCCTGCATACCCAGCGTGGTTGAAATTTAATTGAGTTGAGTTGAAGATGTTCACTTGTGCCCGTGAATTTAATCCTCCTCCTTCCCAAAATCCTGTTAAAATGACCAAAGCCATTTTTATGTAATAAAATATCACAGGAATGGTGTTATTAACCAATCAAAATACATGAGGAATTTTTGCCAGATGTAGGACATACCAGGACCATTAAAGAAATCACTGAATTGATCGACAAGCCCACCACCCAAGAAAAATAAAGGAGACAACCACAGGGCCAGTAACAGCATCCCCAACTCAGCCCCCACACCCTGAGCAACAGGGGCAGGAGGCCCCATTACACTGGGATGAGGACAAAAAGAAAGGGCCAACCTCAAACCCACAAATGACTTCTGGAAACTACCTTAGTCCAGGCAATCAAATTGGGGTCGGGGAGGGGCACTGGAGGGGTAGGGAGACATCACAGTCATTTCCAACCGCCAGCCCCACAGAAAGAGAATAAAAACATTAAATAAAGAAGTGATCTTTCACTTACAAACAACTGGCCCTCCAATTTAACAAAATAAAACTACAAGAATCTAAATTTTTCTTCTTTTTGCCCCTTATATCGTCATCAGGAAACTCCAACCAGGAATCTATAGAATGTATGGCCACCTCAACTTCAGATCCTGAATGAGTTCTCTGAGGATTTTGAGCTCATGGGAAGCTTAATATGAGACACTAGAAGAATGGCTCTGCCCAAAAAGTCAATAGTATTTGAAGCTCTATTGCTAGGACTAGAGTGTTAAGAAGAAGGGAGGTAGACAGGTGTGATCTGCTTTGCACGGATTAAACTTTACTTGTGGTAATTCCTCTAACCAATTCTAAATCCATGCATAATAAAGGCTGTTTAAAACATCATATGTCTGGAATCTCTCCCCCACCTCACCCTTCCTTCTGCCTCAGTAGTAAAAACCTGAGCCTAAGACAGGAGAGAAGAGGAGAAATTAAGGAAGTCTGAATGGGCTGAGTTAAACAGTTTTTCAGAATTTTGACGAAGAAAGATAAGAGACTAAAGTTAAAGCAGAGAAAAAAGAAAAAGACAGTAAATATAAATTTCTTACATTTTGCTGTTAGGAAATGATCCCTTTGAGGTTTTGTTTTGTTTTGTTTTTGTTTTTTGAGACAGAGTCTCACTCTGTCGCCCAGACTGGAGTGCAGTGGTACAATCTCGGCTCACTGCAACCTCCGCTTCCCAGATTCAAGCGATTCTTCTGCCTCAGCCTCCAGTGTAGCTGGGACTACAGGCAGGTGCCACCACACCTGGCTAATTTTTTATTTTTAGTAGAGATGGGGTTTCACCATGTTGGCCATGCTCATCTCGAACTCCTGACCTCAGGTGATCCACCGGCCTCGGCCTCCCAAAGTGCTGGGATTACAGGCGTGAGCCACTGTGCCTGGCCTTGAGGTTTTCAAATAATTTTATTAAATATCTAAATGTGTTCTCAATCACTTTTGGTTGTGGACAAAGACTTGGAGTGTGACATGAGCCCTCCCCGCCTTAACTGGGTCACACATACTTCAAGAGGGATAAACTGGAGGGTGTTCAAAGCACAGTGGCTCAAGTGTGAAGCCCTGAAATGGTGTTGCATGAACAAAACCTTGAAGAAATGGGCTACTTAGCTGACAAAAGGACAAGACTTGTGAGCAGGGGCTGAAGGAATGTATTTGTTCTACCCTAAGAGGGAGAATTGGGACAACTGGTAGAAACTGTGGCAGGGACAGAAATCTGCTCGATATTAGGAAACAATTTTTTTTAACTGAGAGTGCTGTGTGAAGCAGATTGAGCTTCCTAGGCTGGAGACAGGGATTGGAGATTACCTGTCAAAGAAAATACCCAAATTCGGTTTGTAGAATCTCTTCAATGGGACAGTTCAAGCAAGAGGGAGCTGGGGAATGAGGCTTGGTTTAATGATTTTCCTAACAGATACAAAGATGGGGGTGATGAGAGAAAAGGAAAAAAGTAACTGAATTTTAAAAGCCCAAAGTTTTAAGGCCAATAGAGGCCCCAAGACCAATCTTCGGATGCCAAGGACATTTTTCCTATTAGATTCATCAAAAAAGACATTCTCTTTTGCTAAACAAAAGAAGTTCCCTTCTGTTCTCTCAAAAGAAAAATAAGCAAACACTAACTATCCTCTAACTTGCCTGTCCAATTCTCCTGCCTTGGAATATCGCCCTAGACATAGTTCTATCTCCTCTCTGATGACAAGTTATACTTTCACTGTCTCACTGTATTCTGGCCTGAGAAAGACCTGGGGTTTGCCTGGTCAGCCCAGGCTACAGCTGACAATTTGCAATGTTGCCGTGGATTAAATACAGACTCCCAGAAGACAAATTCTCTTCTCCCAAGGGTGTCTGCCTCAGCAATTTCATCTCAAATGGAGAGTAAGACTGAACCAAACTCAGAGAATCCCCAGAGGAGGCTAAGGCCAGGAGTCAACACCAGCAGCTGAAATCCCCAGAAGAGATTGCAGACAGGAGCTGGGTCTTCTCCATCCCTGAACTAAGACTCAGGCAATAGCTGGCTGAGCGTGACTCAGAAGACATATCTGTGCCTGTGAACAAAGCCCAGGCCTTTGGGCTGCATGATCATCACATGACACTCACACCAGTGTGCCAACAGGTGAGCTGCTGTGACTAGCACATCAGATTTCTTTCTGTCCAGGCTTTCTGCAGAGTCCGCTCCTCACAGGTAAGGCAGGAAATCTGAGTAAGGCAACAGCAGCAACCGCAATGAGTCAACAATAGGATGAGTGAATATGCACATGAGGACCTATGACTGCCTTGTCCTGGGGAGGCTCAGGAGATTCACAGAAAAAGGAGAGATGGCCCCTGCCCTTAAGGAGCTCACAGTCCATTGGGAAAACAGTCACATGATCTCATCCTGGTAACATAACGGGGGGACACCCTCATAGAGGTGAGACCTTTGAGGGAGCACAGATAAGGGAGTGATGGATTATCCCTGGGTAGCTCTCCTGGGCATTATATCATCCGAGCAAGAAAACGTGTAGTAAGGAGAGGAAAAAAAAAAAAAAAAAAAAAACATGAGAAAATGCACAAAGGCAAGACATTTGCTTCAGCTATTTGCGGTAATAGTTTGAGTTTCATTTATTATAGAATTAAATACAAATGAAACTTCTGTAGATGATGGCCCCAATACTAAAAGTGTTTTGGTAGGTAGAATCAATGCCTTCCACTGATGGGACACCAGTGAACACTGATTGGTATCCCAGAAACAGATGTAAATTTCTATCCCAGAATGTAAAGTCTATCCCAGAAATAGACTCCAGAGCAAATTACATATATCTATCATGTCAATAAACATACACAAGGAATAGTAAATAAGGAAGGAAAAAGAAGGCTTCTTTTGGTTACAGAGTATTCAATTTAAAAAAGTGTCTGCCAAGCACAGACTTCCACTATGGGGGCAGAGCAGTAAAAATGACGGCACTGAAGGGCAGTGACTGGGAAAATGCTGGAAATGTGAATAGGTCAGGTCGTTAAACATGGACATAACTTCTTTCACTCTCTATAGGAACACTGAGTAAATACATGAGAGGTGAATTTCCATCAGAATTCAGCTGCCTCAGCCCTGACCAATGACCAATTTAGATGAAGATGTTTGACAAGACATAGTGGATCATGCTTCTAGTGACAGATCTGCAGGCTTTTGTCCAGGATAAACACCTTCAGCAAAACCATCCTTTCCTGACCTCCCAGGAGACTGTGGGATGCCTACTGAATGGAGCTACCTGCATGACCTAGATTTTTCTCCTTATAAATTTTAGAAAGAAAATCACATCACGGGTCACCAAATGAGCTGTCATTGACTTGGTCAAAGAAAAATCCATGGGCCGGGCACAATGGCTCACACCTGTAATCCCAGCACTTTGGGAAGCCAACAGGGGCAGATCAACTGAGGTCAGGAGTTTGAGACCAGCCTGACCAACATGGAGAAACCCCATCTCTACTAAATATACAAAATTGGCTGGGCATGGTGGCGCATGCCTGTAATCCCAGCTATTCGGGAGGCTGAGGCAGGAGAATTGCTTGAACCCGGCAGGCAGAGGTAGTGGTGAGACGAGATTACACCATTGCACTCCAGCCTGGGCAACAAGAGTGAAACTCTGTCTCAAAAACAAAGACAAAACCATAAACAAATGATAATTCCAGCAAACGCAGGTAACATTGCTCTATTATTTTATCCCATTTTACTGGAGGTGGAGGAGGCAAATAGAACAACATGCTTTTCTTCATATTTCATTTTTGAAAGCTATTTGAGGATAGTTATCTCTCTCAGATCAAAAGAGGTGGTTTTGGAGTAACAGAAAGTGCAGTAAGTAGGTCAAAGGGTTGTTTGTTTGTTTGTTTGTTTTAAAAAGCTGGGTTTACCTTACAGCCTCTAAATTTTCATCCTGAGCAGGTCACTCTGCCTCTCTGGGTCCATTTCCCAAGATGATCTTCTCATTTACCACACTTTTTTTTTTTGAGAGACTATGACTTCCAGGCTGGTTGATAGATTCAATCTTAAGATTCAGATAAAAATTTCATTCATTCATTTACTCAATAAATATATTGAACTCCTATTATGTATCAATAATTGTCCCAGACATTGTTTCAGATTTAATGAGTTTCCTCATTCTTTGCTCCAAAGAGAACTTGAGGCAGCTTGAAATAATAGTTCAGTACAATAAATACCAATTTTGAGAAAAATAAACTGAAATCAGGCATCATATAACCACATATGTGTAACATAAGGTCCTTCTTAGTTATTTGCTAGAGATAGGCCACTAGTTATTTGCTAGAGGAGACTAATTGTCTCTGAGCTTGCTAGCAGCCAATGCAAAGAGGGAGACACTATCTATTTCATAATTTTCTGGGTCTAAAAGATACAAATAACATCTAAGCTATTTCTGATACTGAGATCGAATATTTAATGTCAGTTTGTCATAAATACATCAAGCTACAGAAACCTTAATTCAGCAAACATTCACTCACATCTACTCTTGTGCCAGGTATTATAATGAGTGAGATGAGTAAAATCTAGTCTGTGCTCTTCAAGTTTTTCATGTTCAAAAACTGCAGATCAGGACTCGTAGACCGTCACTGTCAATTCCTCCCCATTCCTGAAGATGCCCCATCAACCCACCATGATGTTATGAGGCAACCTTCTAGAAATCTTCCTAGCTTAGGGAAAATTCCAGCAGTGTGTTGAAGCTGGGCATACAGAGATGGGGAGATGAGGGCAGGAATGGGGTGTTCTCTGTGGTTAGGAGACACAATGTCCCGTCTCCACCCATTGCAGCTCTAGAATGTGTATCTAGAACACAGCACATGGAATTTGCGGATGTTTTTTAAAGTCTTTATCATCAACAAAAAATCTGCTTTGCAATGCTTTAAAATGCCACCATTGGCAAATGAGAATCATCTGACCTGAAAGAAGCTGAAGGCCCCCTCTGTCCTGTCTAGAGGGCTGTGCTAATGCCAGGCCAAGGTAACCCATTTCTCCCCAGAACAGCCAGATTGCTCCTGGGTACACAGAAGTTGACTAAGAAAATATACTGCCCTTCAAAGGATCTGCTCTACAGATCTTTGAAGGCACCAATTTTATTGTCCTCATTGTCCCAAGAAAGCATCCCATCAAAACCCATTAAACAAAAGTGAGTCATGAAGCAGACGAGTGACTTACTCAAGGCCATACAAGGCAGAGTAGGAACTCGACTGCAGAAACACTCCACAACATGCCTAGACCCTATTTGGGATTTTAAATCTCAGCTCTGTTGGGACTGTGGCTTCCTGAGTATAGAGACCATGTCTTCATGTCTCGTTCATTTCTGCAGCCTCAGTGGCCTATCCTATGCCTGGAACAACATTAGGAGGTCACACTGTGCTGTTTGCATTCGGTTCTTACAACCCAGGGGTGGATGGACTCTATCTAGCACAGACTATCAATGCTGGAAGCACACTGGAGCACCTGGGAAATGTTAACAAAACATGGATATGTGGGCCCCACCCTGAACCAAGTGAATCAGAACTGCTGATCTAGCTCTTAAAGTACCAAAGCATGGCCATCTTGCCTCGGGCTGAAGCCCAAAGTCACAACAGATCTCCAAATGCATTGTTCTTTGAAGGTTAATTCCATTGGGATGTCCTTGCCAAGGCTTTCCCCATGGTAATCCCAGAATATTCTTCAAAAACCAAGGGCAGGAACCTATTCCCTGTTACTGTTCATACACTGCCATCTAGTGGTTGCTGTGGCTCTTCCGGGGGAGTGTCATAAAGACATAGTTGTGCCCAGCTGTAGCTGAGAGATTTCCTTGTGTGCCAGAACCCCAAGCCATTTTATTATTTGGATGTTCTTTCCTTGCAGAATGTCCCATGATTTCATCTCTTAGGGTATCTACAAGTCTTTGATTTTATTTGGATAGACAGTCCAGGGTGGAAGTGGAACCAGGCCCAAACTGAGAATCAGCAACCTGTATGTGGGCCCTGTGTGTGAGCTCAGCAATGTGCCAGTCATCAGACCCTGGACATGTCATTTAATTTCCTGTGCTTCAGTTTACTCATTTGAAAGATGAGGAGAATAACCCAGCCCTCTACATTACCAGAAAGTTTTTATATCAATGAGATCACTAATGTGTGAATTAGCACATTTGTCACAAACATCCACGATCATGAAAATAAACAAACACACACACACATATTCCTTGTTATGCGGGTCATGACACACGTGGTACATGGACAATGAAAAATAATTCACTGATTAAATACATGGAAGCTAATTTTGTGATTTTGAGTCCTATGATCATGAAGATGACAAAACTACCTTTCAAATGTGTGGCTTCGACTTTCTAACGGAATGGATAGAATTCACATCCCACTGAAAAGAGTTCTAGGTCCACTGGATTAACTGAAAGGTCACTAAAGCAGAGAATTCCTGAGATGGGTCATTAGTGTCTCCCTAACCCAGTCATCATTTTGTGTTTTTTTTTTTTTTAGACAGAGTCTCGCTCTGTCACCCAGGCTGGAGTGTAGTGGCGCGATCTCTGCTCACTGCAACCTCCACCTCCCGGGTTCAAGCGATTCTTCTGCCTCAGCCTCCCGAGTAGCTAGGACTATAGGCGCACATCGCCAGGCCAGGCTAATTTTTGTATTTTTAGTACAGATGGGGTTTTACTATATTGGCCAGACTGGTCTTGAACTCCTGAACTTGTGATCCACCTGCCTCGGCCACCCAAAGTGCTGGGATTACAGGCGTGAGCCACCATGCCCAATCCTCAATTTAAAGAGGCTGTTAGGAGAAGAAGACCTGTTGGTGGATTCTAACTCCTTGTGGAGATTCCAACCAGGAAACCTCCTGGTGCAGTCTCCATCCCGGGAAGACCAGGGGAGGTGGCGGGAAGCAAGTCAGGAAGTTGCAAAGAGAGAAGCCTCCTAGGAGCTTTCTACCTGGGGAAGTGCTGTATGCAGGTTCTACCTGGGGAGAGGGTGTCTTAATAAGGGGCATCTCAGAAGAGTCTTGCAATTTGAAGCCCACACAGACTCAAATCTATTCATTGGTGGGGGGTGTAATTTTCCATCTTTTGCCAATTGCACTTTTTAAAGAGCTAAGGGTCAGCTTACAGAAACTAAAAGATAGGACTTTAAAATTTATTTTAATGCTTTAGTCAGAACAGCAGCAAGTCTCCTACTCTGGTATGTGTAAGAATCACCTGGGAAGCTACTTTCAAATGGGCCCCAAGCAAAGATCCTGACTGCAGTGCTTTGGATGGAGCCCAGGATTTTTAATTTTTAATAGACACTTCCAGGTGATTTCATTCCAGGTGCTCCACAGATGGCACATTAAGAATCCTTGTTAAGAAATCTGATTTCTCCTAGGCTTTAGATGCTATAAAGCCACCAATTTTTATCCAGTGGAGTGGGACAAGATGTCTACTGAGATAGGTTAAAGCTCAGAATGGGGAGCAAATTCCCCTAAACACATGGTCTGGGAGGAAATCCAGTTCAGCAAAGCAGAGAAGCCAACAGTCTTGGCATCAGACAGTAGGTGGAGGTCAGGATCAAAAGACATAACGCAGCAGGTCAGAGGGCATGGCCAAGGTAGGCATGACAAGCATGGGGTGTTAGATGTCACAATTTCTCTGATTCTCACTGCAGGAAGGGAGGTTTCTATTGTCTCTATTTTATCACTAGGGCAGAGGAAGTCTATTGTTTACCCCTCACTGTATCTATCATACCATCACCTAAAGAATGCTGTGGTAGTTTCCAGGGCCCCCTCAGCAGGACATCGGGGCCTTTACACATGCTCTTTCCTTAACTATGCCCTCTCTAGTCTCTTCCCCCATCTTTCTCCCCTGTCTGGGGGACTCATGGCTAAAGACTGAACTCAAACATCTCTTTTCTTGCAAGACCCAAAATCAGAACAAATTATTATTGAGATTTTGAAGCACTTATTTAACAATAACTCATCCCCAGACATGAGCTAGGCATGTTGCAAAGGTATCTCACGTGACACAAAGATTGCACAGCTAGGAATTAATATCTAGAACAGGGATCAGTACACTATGTCCCCCAGGCCAACCGGATGATCACCTGTTTCTGTAAATAAAGTCTTTTTGGAATACAGCCATGCACATTTGTTTACATACTGTCTTTGGCCTTGGCAGGGTTAAGTAGTTACAGAAACTATACAGCTTCCAAAGCTGAATATTTACGATCTGGCTCTTTACATGAAAAGTTTGCTGACTATAGTTTAGGAAGATGGATGACATATCTAAGATAATCCAGTGGGCATTCTGAATCTCTCCTAAATGAATAATTTGAATCCAGGACTCTCTGACTTCTGAACTAATGCACAATCATGTTTTCCCTCTTTCTACCATTGGCATCTTGCTTGTAAGTCATTTAAAGCATTTGTCATCACTGTGCTCATATAGACGCCATTTACTTATTCAACCAATTTTTACTGAGCTCCTACAAATAAGATAGGGCTCATACCCTCCAGGATCTAACTACTGGAGCAATGACCTTCAAACTTTTCAGATTATTAACCCCGATCAGTAAAACAACTTTTGAGCACACAACCACAGTATAGGCATATTTATTAGTCACCAAATATACATGTTTACTATTGTAACAACATATTAGGCACATTAAAAAATATTCATGTAATTGAGATGAGAGTTCTATCCTATTCTTCCAACATCCAATTTTGGAAACCACTAGACTAGAGGATTTATAGGATGTGGTGGAAGGTGCTAAGGAGAAAGGTGAACATGGCACCTCTGAGACTTAGAGAGAAGAGAGGAATCAAATGTGGGAAGGGCTGTGAGAGGAAGTTTCAAAGGAGGGGCATTTGACCTGAGTCTTTGGAGATGAGCAGGCGATGATCAGGCAAAAAAAAAAAAAAAAAGGCGTGTGGAAGGGCATTCTAAACAGGGGAACCAGCTTGTCCAAGACACAGAGGTGAAAGTGTGCTGTCTTCAGATAATGGGGCTTTGGTGTCTATAAAAGGAGGCTAGAGGAAGATGAACTGGGTCAATGGGACTAGAACCAGTCTCTGCACAGCAGGGCCACGTGTTCCAGACTAAATCTGAAGTTTCTCCTGAAAGCAAAGAAGAGATATTTAAGAAGAGGATTGGCATTATGATGTTAGAGATCTCTCTGGAAACTGGGCGAAGGAAGGATTAGAGAGACTGCCAGCAGAAAGGTTAGTCCACAGCATTTCAGAATTTATTGAACCCAGGTTTGTTCCATTTCTATAATCAGGGCTTTCTTTTAATTGAGCACTCCATCAAAGTAATGGTGGTCATGTTCATCTTACTACTCTCCCCTTCTGCACCCAGCATTGAGCTGATAAATAGAAGCTAACGACTATTGGTTGGATCATATTGAAATGACACTTTGTCACATTTGCAAGAATGAGACTTCCCAGGGTGAGATCTTTGCTGCCTCTGTAAAACCACCATGGCCCCAGGTCTGTGCCTGAGATGGGGAGATAAAAGGACTTGAGGAGGCATGACTCCACACTATAGGAGCACCGGCCACACAGAAGGCCAGCAGCTGGGCTGACTCGGCACCTGGAGAAACTGCTGAGGATGTGTGTTAGACCAGCCTGGCCAAGTCCTCATCCCGGGCTGTGACTCACTGAATCAGTGGATGATGGTCTTGCCCTGGGCAGTATTGGGAGGCCAGCTGCTGACTAGGGCTCTATTGTGAGGCAACTGGTCTGGCACATGTGTAAAGACTGATGTTGGGTGCCTCCTGCCAGGGAAGTCAGAAGGAGCCCCCAGCAGCTCTGTGCTGTCAGAAGCAGAAAATCAGATGTCCACATCCTCACCCTCCTTGTCTTTCTAGCTGAGCACTGAAGAGCAGAGTTTGCCAAGGGCCACAGAAAATGAGCTGCTCTAGTAGGAGACATCAGGCTTGAACTAAAAACCACCCCAACAGCTTGATCTAAGAGTACCATTCGGGGACAAAAGGAAACCTGAGAGTAAAAAGAGAAAGCAAGCAAACAAACAATATAACCACATATGCATAACCCTAGATAATCCACCTCCAAGGTTCACAGAAAGCTAGCCGGTAGTGTAGTAAAAACAAGAGTAAGGTTTTGCAGAGGAAATCCTTCACATACTAGACACCAGGAATATGATTTCACATACAGTTTAATATAATTCATCATATTAATAGATCAAAAAAGAAAAATCATGTGCTCATCCCTATAAACACTGGAGAGGTGTTTGGAAAATCCAAAACCCAAGAAAACTATTTTTAAAATAAGAATATGCCAGGTGTGGTGGTACATGCCTGTAATCACTTTGGGAGGCGGAAACACGCAGATCACTTGAGCTCAGGAGTTCAAGACCAGCCTCAACAACATGGTAAAACCCAACGTCTACAAAAAATACAAAAATTAGCCAGGTGTGGTAGTACGTATCTGTAGTCCCAGCTACTCAGGTGGCTGAGGTGAGAGGATCACTTGAGTCCAGGAATGGAGGCCGCAGTGAGCTGTGATCACACCACCACACTCCAGCCTGGGTAATAGAGCGAGACTTAGTCTCAAAAAAACAACAAAAAATAAATAAATAAAAATGCATACTTATTCAATGGTACAAAGGCTATATCCCAACCTAAAATGCAGCATCATACTTTTCAGGAAAACAGAAGAAGCATTTCCATCAATGTCAGAAATAGGACAAGGTAGTTCTTTACCATCATTAGTATTTACACTTATTTTGGAGCTATTTGCCAGCACAATAGCTAAGATATAGAAATAATAGATGTTAAGAAATAAAAAAGAGGCAATAAATTCATTAACACTTGCAGATAATATCACTATTTGCTTAGACAATCCAAGGTAAACAATAAGCTTAAACCTCAGGATTTATAAATTCTTGAGTTTTTGGCGGTGGCATCAGAGAAATGAAAATAATCAAAAATATTTCCCCTGGAAAACATCGTGAACTCTCCCTGTTGATATTAAATGCACTAATCATGCCAAAGCGAATAGCATTGAAACAGAAATTTCAGTCTCAACACCACCATGACGTTTCATGTAAGCACCAAAGAAATACCCCTCCCCACAAAAAGAAAAGAAAATTCAAGAAAAGCAATTGACAAATGTTTAGAAACGATGTGAAAATTCTTCAGGTGGATGAATACAAAATTAATATACTGAAACCAATGACTTTCATATATGCAAACAAGAGCCAATTAGAAAATCTAATAAAAGGAAAACCCCATGTATGATACAAAAACAAGATAAAAGACCTAGCAATAGACAAGGTCAACATGAGGAAAACAGACCTACATGATCTACATACAAAAAATGTTTAAATGCTACTCAGAAAAAGAGAAAGCAAGCAGAAGGCATGCTATGCTGTTCAATAAGAACACTTGATATCACTTTTTAAAAATCAGTTATCTTAAATCAACCTACAAATTTGATACATTTTCAATAAAAAATAACAATGGGATTTTTTTTTTTTAACCAGACAAGAATATTCTAAAATTTACATAGGAAATAAATAAGAGTAATACAAAAAATGTCTGGGGGCAGGGGAGAAAAGAGTAATGAGTAGGACCAGCCTTACCAGGTATTTAATGTTTTAAAATCTATTAAAAATTAAAATAATGTGAGATAGTCTCAAGAACAGGTTGATCAATAGAATGGAGAGGAGGCCAGGAGCGGTGGCTCACGCCTGTAATCCCAACACTTTGGGAGGCTGAGGAGGGTGGATCACTTGAGGTCAGGAGTTCGAGATCAGCCTGGCCAACATGGTGAAACCTCTTCTCTATTAAAAATACAAAAATGAGCCTGGCATGGTGGTGTGTACCTGTAATCCCAGCTACTCAGGAGGCTGAGGCAGAAGAATCGCTTAAACTCGGGAGGCGGAGGTTGCAGTGAGCAGAGATTCTGCCACTGCACTCCAGCCTGGGCAGCAGAGTAAGTGGAACTCTGTCCCAAGAAAAAAAAAAATGGAGAAGAAAGTTCAAAATAAATACAAATGTATATTGGGATACATGTGAAGACAGGTAACATTTTAAATCAGTGGGTTGGAGAAGAATTTTTTGATAAATGATGTTTTCCCAACTAGGAAGGCATCTGGAAAGAAAAATAAAGTTGGATCCATACCTCACATCTTCCATGAAGATAAATTCTAGGTGTGTCAAAGATTTAAACATGAAAGAATAACATTTAAAAATGTTAGAACAAAGAAGAATCATTTTTTACATTTTCAAAGTAGGGAAGGCAGTCATTCTAACTATGACAGAAAACACAAACAAAAACAACAAAAAACTAATATGTGAGACTACATAAAAATTGCTACATCTGCCTTTTTTAAGTCAAAATAAAAGCAATCTGGGGAAAATCCTTGCAATACATATCATAGGTAAATGACTAACTTTTTTGAATTTACAAAAGAGCACCTACAAATCATTAAGAAAGAATGTAAACAGATAGTTCTTGAAATAAAATGCAAATGCTTCCCAAGCCATTGATAAGGGTGTCTCAGTATCACTGATACTTAGGGAAATGCAAATTAAAATCAAAATGAGATATCATTTATCACCTACCATTTTGGCAAAGTTCAAAATATTTGGTAACATATTGCATAGGCCAGGATGTGGGAAAAGAAGCATCCCTGACATGTCTGCTGGGACTGGGGATCGCCAAAACACCCATGAAGAGCAATGTGGCACTATCCATCAAAATGTTAAAAACACGTGTCCTTTGATCCAGCAATTCTGCTTCTAAGACTTTATTCTACTTGTCTGAAATGAGAAGTGTTCAAATATTTTCACTGCAACAGCCTTTGTACAACTTTTTGGAAACAGTACTTACATAAAGCAGTCTATGGGGACTGCTTAATTAAATTATAATGTATCCATATGTTATTTAAAAATAATATATCCATATGTTATTAAATTATAACGTATCCATATGTTATTTAAAAAGTTGCAGCAGCCCCATCTGTACTAAGATAATTTCTGTAATATACTTTCAGGTGAAAAAAGCCAGGTATAAAAAATAATAGAGAAAAGAAAATATGTTTGTACATGCATGGATTACCTCTGGAAAAAATACACAAAAGAATTGGTTATGATCAATCTTCTGAATAAAGAAACAGAGTGGCTAGGGAACAAGGGGGGAAATTCGTTTTTCACTGAGTATGCTTCTGTGCCTTTTAAATTTTGTAGCATAAGCATTATCTATAAAAAATTAATATAATTCTTTCAATATACACCATCTGCACCCCTCCCTGGTGTTCCTGTTTCTAGAATTGCAAATGGTGTATCTCAATACAGACTGAAAGGATCTGGAAACTGAAATGGATCTTACATCATCTAGTATGGTCTTGAATCTAACTCTTCAGTTCTCCTACAAACATGCTACTAAAAATGTGGTCTGCAGACCGGTAGTGTCAGCATCACCTGGAGTTTGTTAGGAACTCAGAATCTCGGGCCCCAGCCTAAACCCAATGAATCAGAAATTGTGCTTTAATAAGATTGGCAGGTGAGTCCTGTGCACATTCAGGTCTGAGAAAGACTGCTTTTGTCACATCACCCACTGAGCCTGTGCTGGAAAAGCCCTGGAGAAGGGGAGATTTCTTCCTTAAGAATTCACCAGTTCATCTTTAATAATTATCATGTACTGAGCACCAGTATGTGCCAGAAGGTCACCTAGATAATTATTCTTCATTAGTCCTCACAATAACCCAATGAGGTACGGAATTTCCCAAGCTGAAGGACAGGTACCACCAGTAGTGAGGGAAATGATTCTAGGCAAAACATCTGAATTGCGTATGTTCTTAGAGAATGAGACCATTACTTCCTTTTCATTTTCAATGCTTTTAATTATTCACAAAGAAAATCACAGTTTGGTTCTAGTGTGTCCTTCATGCTTCTTTACATTACTGATACTTGCCCCTCCTATTTCCCCCTTTAAAGCTAGAACCCTCTCAACAGCTTGGTTATTGAGTTGTTTCAATGAACCAAAGCTATCTTCCTATAACTTTCACACCCGTTATAATTTTATCTATTGGATCCACATCCAGAAAAGAACTGAGAGAGAAGCTTGCCCAATGAGATGTTAAAATGTTCCCTACTAGGACAATAAATAGATGGCAATGAAGCTGAAATAAGTAGGTAGATCAATAGAAAGCAATAGATAGTTCAAAAACAAATTCAAGTTTATTTTAGAGCAAGTAGCCCTTAAAACTGAAAAGGGAAAAAAATTAATAAATGGCATTGTTTGGGGACTACTTTGGGGGAAAGCATACAAACAAGTATTGGAGCGATTAAAGATACAAATGTGAATAAAACACATGTTAATATGGATATAATCTTAGACAGGAGGGGAGGGCATTCCTAAGCACTGCGCTCAAAGGTGCAATCACGAAGGATGAAACTGATCCTCAAAAATTTTAAACATTGGCACCTGGGATAATATATGTGCAATATACATGACATCAGATTAATTATCCATAAAATACAGATTTTACAAATTAAGAAAACAAACTCTCTAAGTTTTAAGATGGGCAGAGTCAAGATGGGAAAACAAGACCAAAGCATGAAATATAAATGTCCGATAAATACATTTAAAAGTTTATCACCATTAAGGAAATGCAAAGTAAAGCACAATGATTATCAAATATAAAATTAGAAAGTGTTAAAAAGTATTAAATTTGAAGATGTGAGAGGTAGAGACATGGGCTCATTCTCATTTATGTACTAATGGTAGAAGTTTAAATTGGTAGACTTTTTTCAACTGCAATTTGGTGATATGTATTTTAAAACCTAAAAATATTTTGACCTGGTAACTCTGCCACCAAAAATTTAACTCGTGAAAATAATTAAAGACTAGCATGAAGATTTTAGCTATGAGGATGTATGTCAATATTGAGAATAACGGCGGGGGGCAGAGTAAAGAAAGCAAAGGAAGGAGAGAGAGAGAAAGCAAAGGTGGTACATCCAAATGCCCAGCAATAGGAAACTATTTAATAAATTATGGTATGTCTGTCTCATGCGATACAATATAGTCATTTAAAAATAGTACAGAAGTAGGTTTATTTACAAACGAGGGTCATATATTACTGAGTGGGGGAAAATATTAGAAATATAATTTTCAAAGCAAAATCCAGGGGTGTGGGAAGTGTATGAGAGAGAAAATGAGAGAGAGAGAGAAATATATAAAAATATAGACACAGGATGTTTATTACTGCAATGTGATGACAGCATAAACTAAACAAACTTGAAACAACCTAGATTTTAATCAATGCAGACTGGTTAAGTGACCTAATTATAGCATAGCTGTATCATATAGGCTTTTGAAAGAATTAGGAATATCTGTTTGTGCTGGTATGAAAAGATTTCTTAGATATTTAGTGCAAAAAAAACAGGGAAAAGTACAGAACAAAGAATATTATTTCATTGTGGAAAATAAAGATATATAGCTACAGATAGAATGTGATTTCATATACATATATCTCTTTAAAGGATACCAAAGAAACTGTAAACAGTGGTAAGTTACAGAGTTGAGAACCCAGGTAAGGGAATGGAAGGGGAGATTCATCATTCTATTCCTTTCTGTACTGCCTGAATTTTTCTGACATGCGTTTATTGCTATGAGCACATACAGACCTAATTTATCATAGAAAAAAATATATATATACCTAGATAGACCACAAAAACCTAACGGCAATTATCACCAGCTGTTGAGATTCTGATTTTTATCTTATCTTTATTCCCCAATTTTTCCATAGTCAACAACCATTACTTGTGAATATATTTTAGTCATTTCAAAAATTAAAACATGGAAAAATATATAATACATTTAAACATAAAACATTATATTTATATATAATATATAATACATTATATAATAAATTATGCATTATACAAAAATTATATAATACATTTAAAAGGAAGAACATAAAATGTTATATAAATCTTGATTTTGTTTTAGGATATATTTATATATGCATAGAAAAATGACAGGAAGGGAATGTGAATAATGGAATTATCTATTGATGGGATTACTAGACAATTTTTATTTCTTTATACTCTCTCTGTTTGCCACTAAGTTTTCCATATTCAATATTCACTGCTATAAAATAAGGAATTACTCTTATTTATAAGGTTATAAATAACCCACATGGGAAGAAGTAGATTCCACAGGGCAGAAGAAAGGCACAATGATGTGAGGACACTTGGCATTAGTAGCAAAAACAAATGTCAGAGCCTCCATTGGGCACAGCTGGTATCAAGTAAAGCTGAGAGATACAGAGGCTAAAGTTCCCTTGGCATATAGTCAGAGTTCTAGAATCTTGAAGTTAGAGGAGACTTTCCAGTTATCTAATTAAGCCCTTTAGTTGAACCCAGATCTTGCAGAGACCTCTGTTCCTCCAGCTACATGGGGGGATGTGACCTAATCTTTCACTTAGGGACAGGAAGGGAAAAAAGATATCCACATTTTGCACTGAAGGGGCCAGCCTGCTCCCTGTGGTGGCCCAGTTTCATGGATATGTCTTCCAATCATTCGTTTCACAAATTAGCACCTCCCTAATATATGCAAAGTGTTAGATATGGTGGATTCAGGCCCCACCTTCATGCTCTCCCAAATTCAAGGTCCTCCACCTTCCCTCTGCAGCACTTGTCCACTCTAGGACATGGGACAGAGTAGGAAGTTTCTCTGAGAAAGCCTTCTCCCACTACCTAGGACTCAAGGGCAATGATGATCCAAGTGTACTCTACAGAGGACCACAGTGCCTGTAAGAGGATCTGACAGGGCAGTCATCTCCATGATGCCCTAGCTGTGGGGGCAACCGAGAAGGAGATAGACTTTCCCTTGAGTTCCAGCTCAGTTCAGATGGGATTGGGACACTCCGTACCGCCAAGCTCATGCATTACTCACCTTCTGCACAGGTAGGTGGAAGGGAGTTTGCCACCATGGTGTTTCCATGGGCTTTGACATGTAAGGGCATTCTTTTAAGCCCAACAGGCAAATACTCCTTTGAGAAATGAGGCAACCAATTTTGAAGGGAACCTACCTGTGGGTGGATATGAAACAGTTAAGTTGCAAAATCCAAAAGGAGTACCAAGTAGGCGATTTTCACTCCCAGCTTCTGCAGCCCATGGAGACCTTTGCAGGTGGGAAATGGGAATCCACCATTAAGGCAAGAACTTCTGGGTCGTAAGAGAGGCTATTCCATGTGGCACTCAAAACCAGAAGTCATTTTTCCCAAGTAAAGCCAGAAATGTTTATAAATATCCCTCCAATCACCAAAGCACAAGAAACAGGGAAGGAAATATTTGCATATCAGAGCGGATGGGGGTTAGCGCGGACCTCCTAAATATAATCAGTTCACACCAATCTATATGGTGCCAAATAGAAACTGTTCACAGTGGTTATCAGTCCTCGGTGTGCACAGGAGTCACTTGGGACACTTCTAAAGATTATAGACAACTAAGCCCCAAAGCTTCTAATTTAATCAGTCTGTGCCAGGGCCAGGCATTGATGTTTTTTAAATGATCCCCCAAGCGATTCTAGTATCTGGGATGCAAACTGCTGAACTTGCCCAACAGAAGTCTGACGGGCACATCTACGCACACATGAGAACAGACTTTGAGCAGAGAGGCTGAAACCCAAGCTTGGACCCTCCAATCTGCTCTCCACTCAGTCGCCAGAAGGATCTTTCTAAGAGGGGGAGCTAACCACCCCCACTCCCCTACTTAGAACCATTAAGAAGTCCCCATGGCCTACAGGGTAAGACCCTCCTTAGCAGGACCTATAAGACCTCTCATGATTCAGCTCCTGCCCTTCTCTCTCTGCTCACACGCTGTGCTCCCACTGTGTTGAAATATCAAGGTTTTTTTTTTTTTTTTTAGGTCTCTCCTAAAATTTCTTTCTGCACTCTCACACCAGACTCACATACTTATCTTTCAAGGCTCAAATTGAAAAGCTCCTCTACAAAGCTTTTCTAACCAGCTTCTCATTTCTCCAGTAGAACAGCTCTCTCTCTCTCCTCCATCCCTCATGTATAGACTACCCTTTCAACATGTTACTGTGATCTTAAGCACACTCATACTGCTCTGTCAGTACCTATTACTGTGATTGGTCACTTGCCTGTATCCCCAATAAAATGGAGCCCCTTGAGGGCTAAAGGTCTCATTCATACCTAAAAACCTAAATCAGTGTACAGCCTGGATATACCACACTCAGTCCTAAGATCAGGCAGATCCCTAAGATTTGTAAGGCCCGGGACAGAAGTTGAAACAGAGGCGCAAGTAGCAAATGGCTCAACTATTGAAAAGTTATAAGTCAAGCTAGCTTCCTGTTGACTGAAATATGCTCTATTCTCCTACCATGAAAAATATGCATTATCAATCTAGAAGGCTAGGCTCAAGTTTAGACTTCTGGGACACCTCAGGGCTCTGCACTAGAACCAGGAGACACAGGAGAGAGAGCCTTGCCTTCACCCTGAGCTGCTTTCTTCTTTTCCATGCATATCTCTGTCTTGCAGTGCTCTGTCCACCTTCCATGCATATAACTGGTTGCTCTAGCCCTAATGTCCAAACGTCATCTGTGTCTTCCCCAAACACTCTATATGACCACTTTTCAGGCCCAGGGGTTCACCAAGTGATGCAGTCAGCCCAAGGACCTGGGAAAGAGGCTCACACAGGACCCAGAAGTAGGCTCTGAGTTGTTGGGGCATAAAATTCAGGGTTCAAACTATCTGGAGTGTGGTCTAGAAGAGGTGGAGGGGCACAAGTCCTGGGTGTGGATGGGTCTTCCTCTTAGACAAATGGTCTCCTCCATCCATGGGGACAGGTACAGCTGGAGGAGGGCCAGAGGGGGGCCCTCTAAGTCTTGGGGCCCAGGGCAGGGATCCTTCTTGTACAAATCCAAGGGAAGTTCTGCTTAAGACATGTTAAGCATCATCGCCTCCTTCAAGAAACTTCCCTGATTCCTCATGCTAGGAAATGTTCCTCTCTACATTCAAAGCATCTTGTGGGTATTTCAGATTCTTCACTTAGCCCGGTGTATTACAATGATCTGTTCCTAGATCTGTCTCTCTCTCTTTGGAGCTTCTTAAGAACATGAACTGTATCTCATTCCTCACTATGGACCCTCAGGCATCCTGTTCAGAGGGATGGCACAGGGCAGGCACTTATCCAATAACCAGTGAATGCATTCATGAAGCAGATGGTGGTGGAAGGAGAGGATACTGATCATATCCAGACACTAACTCCCTTTACCTCTCCAGGTTAAGAGTTTTACCAGTGACCTTTTGAAGACTGAGTGGCAATTAACATTGTAATTGAGATAAACTCTAGTCACACCTATGGACAATTTATGATTTATCACATATACATTACCTATGAAGAAACAGAAGTGCTTTATTTCCTACTGAAATTCCAATTTACAAATGACCTTTTTGCTGTCTTAATAAAGTCACACACACACCCTCCAAAAATGACACTCTCGGGTACTGTTGAGCAGAAGAACCAAATCTTAAACACCTAAGGTAACTTCTGAGCAGGCCGTGCGAGCAGCGCCTCTCACCAACAGGACTTGAACTGAGCTACTTCCGAATAAGGAAGAAGGGTCCTTTCTCCTTCTCACATCTGTCATTCCACAGGACATTCAAGACCTTGTTGATGGGACCACTTAGGAAAAATGGTTTCCCTCCAGTAATGAAGGCCTCCATAAATCTCTGGATGATGACAGAAGCAATTTGCAGATGAGATTAGAGTAACTCTCCTATGGTGATATGCCTTTTGCTTCATGTAGCAGTGGCTGAATCCTTGGTCTGTTGAGTTGGGATTTTTTTTTTCATCCTCTGCCAATTTACCCAAAGATGTTCTGAAATTGTGCAATTGGCAAACTGTAATAGCCTGCACCCAGGGAGCGGCAGGGGAGTGACACAGTGAGTCACAGACCACAACAAAGCCCTTCCTGGCATGTCGGGCTCTCTTGGCAAACCCAGAGGATGTAAAATTGACAGTAAGACAAGGAGCATCATTGTTATTTGTCAACAAATTGCAATGACCATTGCAAGGTCTTGGCAGCCCCACACAGGGAAGCCTAGAGGCAAGGAATGGGGGAGCAAGTCAACAAAATGATGGAAAACCCCTGTCTCCCAATGAGCAAGTGTCAGACAGGTGTGTCAATAAGAATATTTTTTCTGACCCCAGTGACCTATTTCTCTGTCATGTTCAACAAAACAGAAGGGTGCTGCTTTAGTGGCAGTGGGAACCTCAGATGCACATGAATAATTAACTGGCCTTGAAATAAAAAGACTTAAATATCCGACCCTATTAGCTACCAGCTGTGTGACTCTGGGCAAGTCGTGTGATATCTGAGCATTTGGTTCCATATGTCTGCAAAATTCCAGTATCGTCAACCCCACCCAACTCATGAGATTGTTGTAAATATCAAGCAAGATAAAGAAAGTAAAATGAGTTTATAGGTACAAAACTCAGCACAAATCATATTTCTGGTTTTTTTTAAATTTATTTAAGATAAGACATTGTCCAAAAATCAAATCCAGGAAAACTGGACAGAATCTGATTTGATTGTATTAGGTTCATAGAAACAAATGCATTTACAAACTAATGTCAGGTGTCAGAAGGTCTGCTCGTTGCTATATAGTCTACTGCCACAATGGAAAACTTAAAGAAAGTATTACCTCTTGCCTCCTGTAAAGGGGCTTAGTACCAGTCCATCTGCACAGCTTCATTCTTTGAGATCTAAGCCTTGGGTTCAAACTTCCTCTCAGTC
Source organism: Homo sapiens (assembly GCF_000001405.40). Classification (NCBI taxonomy): domain Eukaryota; kingdom Metazoa; phylum Chordata; class Mammalia; order Primates; family Hominidae; genus Homo; species Homo sapiens. The sequence goes on from NC_000009.12 coordinate 108,580,999, forward strand.
AACATTTTCTAAGCACTTACTACAGGCCAGGCCCTGTGCTGGCCACTATGTAAACAAATACAATCAAGACAGCCATGTTTCCTGCTCACTATGGGATGGGGGAAGGAGACAAACCATTCAGAGTGCTACATGTTGCAGGTACCTGTATATAAGGTACAGAGAATGGGAACAAAAGTCAGGAACAGCTATTTCTGCTTGTGCAAACAAGGAAGCTTCAAAATACATATACCTACTATGTGCCCATAAAATTTTTTAAAAATAAACATTTTTTTAAAAACAGCTTCAGAGAGGAGATGACTCTTGAACCAAGTCTTAAAAGATAGGCTGACTTTTACCAGGCAGATGGTAGCTCGGAGGAATTCCCATGAAGCTAAGAGATCAAATGCCTGATACAATCCTACTATTCAGGGAATCAAAAATTATCTGACCATGGGAGGGAAGGGGCACTCTTAGAGAAAGGTGAAGGGAGAGACAAGGATCAGATCACTGCAGTCTTAATAGGCAAGCTGACCTTTACCCTGTAGGTAATAGGGATCCAAGGAAATGTTCTAAAGGTGACTATGACATGATTAAACTTTCACTTTAAAAAAATCTCTCTGGTGTGCTTGGAATATGCCTTGGAAGAGAAAGGTGCCTACAGGCTGGAAAGCCAGCAAAAGGGTGATTTTCCTGCTTGTTTTTTAAATATATCAGCACCCTTTGTTCCAAGCCAAATCTTAAGTGGGCCCTCATGGTGTGACACAGATGAAAGCACAGCCGCTTGGTGGAAGGTAGGATCTAGGGCCAGGAAGGGGGCTACTGGGCCTCCTTTCAACAGCACGATCATGCCTGAGCCCCCTCTATAAAGTCCTAGGGCCCTGAAGAAAATGATGTGTGTCACTGTGTTAAGAAGACAACAGGAGAGGCCCCGGGGAGAGAGGAGAGAGGAAGAGGAGCAGAAATGTAGACAGGACCCAATCCACAGTTCCTGGTGATGGACTGACTACAGGAGGCAAAAAGGAGGAACCTAGGAACGAATTCAGGGTCTAACTGGGACAAGGGAGAGGACGAGGGCGTCTCTCATGATGTTGGGTGAGATGAGTTCTGACACATCAGGTGAGAACTTCCAGTGGGCAACTAAGGGGGATAATCTTAACTAGAAAGAAAAGATGTGGCAGTTAAGAGCAGGACCAAGAGAATCGGTAAGATCACCATGGAAGAGTGGGGACAGAGAGCAGAGAAGGGGGCCTGAGATAGACCCTCAAAAACCCCTGGAGGTGAGGAGTAGGAATCTGGGAAGAGAGGGACAGAAATAAGAAAATGGGGATAAAGACCCCAGAAACCAAGAGGAGAGAGTATCTTGAGGATACAGAATGTGTCCCATGAACCTGCAATGTGGGACAGTATCCCAACTCACACAGGGTCCATCAAGCTAGGAGACAAGGTGTTGCCAGCGTGGCTAGGACTGAAATGTTTACTGGAGCAAGAAAGACACTCACTTTGCTTCTTGGGAAGTCACTCTTCTTACAGCCAGAGCTTAACTTTCCATATGTCATATCCTTAAAAAAGAGAGTCCAATGTTGAATAATTAGGCAATATTCCCAAGGAAGGAGTAGTAGTTGAGAGACTATGAGGATTCAAAGAATTTCACTGCTCATCTTGTCCAGTTATACTCACGTTAAGTGGTCACTGCATTTACCATTACCTAATATGAGCAATAATGATAATATAAAGATTATCACAGTGCTTTGCTGCTTCATTTGATCCTTCCTCACAGTGTTCCTACCAAGTGGTAAAGTGGTAGCTCATCTTCCGACAAAATGCTTATAACCTCACAGGGCAACTCATCACATTTTCAGAATATCTCTGCTTTAAAAAAAAAAGTTATTTCTGGGTTGAGCTGGGCTCTTCCTTCCTGTAGTTTCCACATTAGTTCTGCTTCTTAATGCCAGACAAAGCTGATTTATTTGAAGATAAAGACTGTGTTCTCCCCAATCTCTCTTTTTTCAAATAGAAACATAGGCGGGGCACAGTGGCTCTCGCCTGTAATCTTAGCACTTTGGGAGGCCGATGTGGGCAGATCACTTGAGCTCAGGAGTTTGAGACCAGCCTGAGCAACACGGTGAAACCCCATCTCTATAAAAATATAAAAATTAGCCAGACGTGGTGGCGCGCACCTATAGTCCCAGCTACTTGGGGAGCTGAGGTGGGAGGATCACTTGAGCCCGGGAGGTCGAGGTTGCAGTGAGCCATCTTTGCACCACTGCACTCCAGCCTGGGTGACAAAGTAATACCCTGTCTCAAAAAAAAAAATAGTTTAAAAGAATAGAAATATAATCAACTCCTTCAACCATTCATTCAACCTTCAATCATGAGGCATGATTTTGAGTCATTTCATCATCCCTGATAGATCTCTGAACAGAGTGACATTGTTTAACCTTTAAGATTGGCATGAAAAAGACAGATGATTCAGCTTTTCAAGTGTCCAGGTAGTAACCACGTAGCCCTAATCTGAAAATGCCCCCTGGCCTCCATCTGTTCACCCAGCTCAGTGCCTTCGCCCTCTCTCTAACCATTCAGTCCTTGCTTTTTGTGCCCAGTTCCTGGAGTGGGGTGATCCATCCAGGTGTTACTGCTGCTAATACCTCTGCCTTTCCTCCCACCCCACCTTTCACCTTTATTTTAAATAGTTGGAACGAGAATAACAACCAGCAGTCACTTACTATAGGCAGATGCTAGGAGAGGTGCACTTTCATGCGACTCATATCATTTAAGTCTCATGACAACTCTGCAGGACAGTAACTTGTTCAAAGTCATGCACAAAATAAGGGATGGAATCGGTATTCAAACCCAGGTCTTGCTGAGTACCAAAATCCCACACAGAAAAATCTAGAGCTGCCCTGTTCAATACAGTAACCATTCACCACATCTGGCTATTGCACCTGGGATATGTGGCTGTCTGAATCGAGGTGTGATATAAATATACACCAGATTTTGAAGACTTCGTTGAAAAAAGAATGCAAAATATCTCACTGATAATTTTTGTGTTGATTATGTGCTAAAATAACTTTATGGATATATATAAAATATATCCTTAAAATTACTTTCACTGCTTTTTACTTTTTCTTTAATGTAGCTGCTGGAAATTTTTAAACTATTTATGTGGTTTGCATTTTATTTCCTTTAGACAGCTCTCATCTAGAACACAAGAATAAAAAGTCTCAACTCTTTGGAAACTGCTATCTTGATATAAGAGCACTTAAGGAGTAGCTGTTTAAGTAGTCTGGCATTGGATGGGATATTGTGAACAGTGATGCAATCAGAGCTTTACCTCTCTGTATTCTGTTGTTGTCTTGTGTTTTATTTTGTTTTTCAGTCTTCCCAGGGCTTTGTATATGAGGTGTAGTTTATGAACAAAAGAGATAAATTTATATCTCTTGTATCCATGAGTACACGCATCTTTTCCTTTAAGGTGCTACAGTATGTCATATTTCACATAACTGACTACACTTGGATAAAACCATGTGTGTTTAAATTGTGAATCATCCTTAGTAGGGATGGCTGAAGCTTTTAGAGAATAAAGAAATCCTACATGTGATATTTTTCTGTTTTGCTGTAATAATTTTTTCTCTTTAGGTTTTGCAAACAAAAAAGTAAAAAAGTATTTTAAATGAAGAATCTCCAAATCAGACACAGCAATTGAAATCAAAATTAGCATAAGAAGTCACTAAGTTTACTATTATCTGACATTAATAAAAATAATAATATGTAGCATATTGCACTGTTTAACATATGCAGCCTCCTTTAATCCTAATCCTATATTAAAGTCTATGAAACGGGCAGTAGCAGTTTAATTATGCCAATTTAACAAGTTAAAGTTTGAGGTCATGGGAAGTTGAGTGAATAAAACCCAGGGCTTCTGAGTCCAACTGTGGTGATGTTTCCATTTTGTATCATGTTGGATAGTGAAGGGTATTACAAATAAGCTACCAGGGAAATCTTGATCTGGCAGTTCTCTTTTCAATGTTGTCTGGGGTTTACAGAGAGTTCCTTCCTATGGGATAACAGATTCATTACCAGATTAATTTAGACGTCACAGAAAAGCACCTGACACAGTGTTGAGTATATGACAGTTACTCAATCAACATAATTTTCTCTTCTTTTACCTTTCCATACCAAGAAAATCTACTTGTTAGATAGTGCTACATGATCACTCATCCTTGTTCTTGGTTTCTGGATCAAAGATATTTGACTTCCTTTCACGGAGTTATCTGGATGCACTGTAACCTCATCACTGTTATCATTACATTGCTTTAACACCCTGATAAAGAGAACTTGGACTTAAAATCTTAAAATCCAGGTCAAGGAAAATTAAAGAAAAAGAAATCATTGGCTTGAAGATTATAGTATTTGCTATTTTCAAGAGTAAACCTATTCGTGGTGATTTGACAAACCATCAGGTAGGTTCTCTGTGAAATCCACAGATCTCCATCACCTACCAAAACCTGTAAGGATAAAATACAACAAATGCAGTCTGGGATGCTGCCTGTAGCCTGGGGTTCAAACCCAAGCTGTCAACCCGAGGCTTTGGTATCAAAGAAAGAGAATCATTCATTATGATGTCAACATATAATACTAGTTACCATAATAATGTCTTACATTTATAATTGTTACTCTATTGCTTTAAAAGTATTTTCACTTTAATATTCACCTCATGCAATTCCAATTTACAGATTTGGAGATCGAGACTGAGAGAGAATAGTGCCAAGGGTTACAGATCTTGTAGAACTCACCCAGCAACACTGGCTGACTGCCTCTAGCTATGTCCAGTGGGAATTTTTCCGTTGAAAGGCTTTAACATCAAAAATGTGTTTCTACTTTCATTAAAGAAAAGTAGAGAGATGATACCTGATTCAGGAAAGCTTGATCAGGTCAATGATATGACCAGGAACTGGGCTTCTCCCATTTTCCACTCTGCCTTCTCCAGGGTCAACTTTGCCCCAAGACCAGCCACCACCATGATTGCAAGATGGCTGTCTGCAGTTTCCAGGCCCACGTGTTTTTCCCTCTGCATCCAGTAGGAAAGTGTATGGGTCTTTGCCTCAATATTCCTGGCAAAATCCTGAGATTCACCCTCACAGGAATGTCTTGGGTCACATACCTCCTACCCCCGCCAATGAATCACGGAGGTCAAGGCAGGGGATGGACTCATTGACTTAGCCTGGGTCATGCACTCCTTTCCTGCAGCCTGGAGTGCAGACAACTAATGTGGAACTCTGGGAAATCCCAAAGGAAATCAGGAGTCCTTGAGAAGAAGGAAGGAGACTGAATGCTAGAGAGTCAAACCAACAAAGGCCAGCTATACCAGTCTAGTATTTCTCCCATGAAGGCACAATGGTAAGGAAGACTTTTAAAAGAAGTTAAGTAGACAGTAAACACAGATGCACTGATTTATCTTGTAGCACTGGCGATGGATTGAAGAGTCTGTATATGGAAATGAATTTTCCTCCTACAATGTAAAATCGTAAGCTGAGTATGCTAAAAGTTACTTAAAAGATTTGTTTCCTATAGCACTGAGTTATTCTGAGTCCCTAAAGTGAAAGAAGACCAGGAGACATGTGTCAACATTAAAACTTGTACAGCAATTGTGCAAGAGACAATGCATTCCTGGTGTCCCTATGCATCACCAGAACTAGGTGATGGTGACATTTTGACCACAGGTTGCACTACTAACTAATGAGCTAACTATTGCCCAGCACTAGGACAAAATGTTTTATACTCATTTCATGCTCCAGACAAACTCTGAAATAAGAACTGATTACCATCCCCATTTCACACATGAGGAAACTAAAGATCAGAGAAATTAAATGATTTACCCAAGCTCACTCAGGATAGGAATTCAGCTCCATTTCAGACTCTGTGCTCTTAAACATTGTGCCACTCTGTCAGGTGGACAATAGCAAATTTTGCATCTGTTTGGCTCTCTTGGAGACTTCTGCTGTTTGTAGGTAGGCTCAAAAATCAAAAGCCTTCTCCCATTACAATGCATCCCTTGTAGAAAAGAAACAAAAAAAAAGGGGGGGGGGAAACTCCAAGTACCCCTGGAGCCCACCTTCAGAATCACTGACTATTTTAATATCTTCCAGAAAGTGACAGAGTGCCGAAGTCCCACAGATCTGTATTTGAATCCTGGTTCTGCTACTGCCTGCAGTTTAACCTTTAACAAGCCAATTAACCCCAGTGAGCCTCAAGTTTTTATCTGCAAAATGTAGATATTGGCGGGGCACAGTGGCTCACGCCTGTAATCCCAGCACTTTGGGAGGCTGATGCGGGTGGATGTCCTGAGGTCAGGAGTTCAAGACCAGCCTGGCCAACATGATGAAACCCCAACTCTACTAAAAATACAAAAATTAGCTGGACGTGGCGGCGGGTACCAGTAATCCCAGCTACTGGGGAGACTGAGGCAGGAGAACTGCTTGAACCTGGGAGGCAGAAGTTGCAGTGAGCCAAGATCATGCCATTGCACTTCCAGCCTCTGTGACAAGAGCAAAACTCCTCAGAAAAAAAAAAAAAATGTAGATATTACCTGCCCTCAGGATGGCTGAGACATAAATAAGGTCACAGGCTGGCACATAGAAAGTGTAGTGTAGTGTAGTGTAGTGTAGTGTAGTGTAGTGTAGTAATTATTAGCTGCCTTTCCCTCCTTTCCCACTATGACTTCACTCTTTCCACTTCCTTTGAATATGGTTGCAGATGCTTAAGGTTAGAAATCTCAGAATATGTTTGCAGGGTCTTCTTTCTTAATATGTATTTTTTTCCTGAAATTCCAGGTGACCCTATACACCAAATAAGACAATTTTACATAAATCTTTTACTCTCTCTTGCTGAAATCTTAAAGATGTTTTTCCTATTGTTGGAATGGTGGAGAAAGAAATAACAAAACTAGTTTTTCATTGGAACACTTGATCTTGTCTTTAAAATGCATTCACATGCTCTTTTGTGGAAAGGCAGTATAGCCCGTTTAAAGGAGGCCCTTCAGAGTGAGAGGTAAGGCCAGTGGCCAACTGAGGCTTTAATGAGTTAGCTTAAGTATGTAAGCTAATTAGTAAACCCAAGTTTCCAGAGCAAAGAGCTAAGATAAAGAGAGGTAGCCAGGTAGTTAAAAAAATGCCTCTGGAAAAAGTACATCATTGGGAAATTATGCTGTTGATGAACTTTAATCACTTTCTCTCCTAATTTATGCCAAGTTTTGAAGGGCAGAAAATAATTTTGTTATATTTTGTTTTGCTATGTTTCTCCCGAGCTAAGATATGAGAAGAAACTGGACCGCTAGTTAATCAGATCCATGAGTGTTAATAAATAGTGAAGCCCATGGATTTCACCAACCTTGTAACAGAGAGAAGAGCTCCTGCAGAAAAAATGCAGGGTGGATGTGGTTACCCCAGACTTGACACCACAGTTCACTTGGCAGAAGCTTCCCCAAATTGGAGGCAAAGTACGTAATAGAAAACAACCTTCTAAAATCAAACCTTCCAAAAAGGGATAAGCATCACTGCAATCATTCAGGAAGTAATCAGAAGAGTTCCACTGGAAGCTTTTGATTTGTGAGTTATACATCTGTGCTCTGAACACTAAGTGATCTGTAGGGATGACCCTAGGCCCTTGTACTCGATGTGGCACCAATATGAAAGTGAATACACAACAAAGGCAGAATTAGAGAGCAGTTTAGAAACTATTACTGGGCTTGTTTCCTCCTGGAGAATTTTATTAGATGGGAAATGTGCAATTAGAAATCTTAATATGAAAGAATGGACTAGTAAAGACCTGCCCTTTTTGTAGAGTTCTAATTTAGTTACTAAGCTGAACCATATGAAATTGCTATTTCATAAGTTAAAAATGGTCCAAAATAGGAAACTTTCTGTGGTTCAACCTAATATCCTTCAGGCATCTTATAAAGGGGACATGATGGACTCTGGTGGACATTTTTTGAGCACCATCATGTGTTAAAAATCATTCTAAGTGAATATATATATGCACATATATTAAATCTACTTATCCATGCACTGTTCCTCTAACATACCAGACGCATTGCAACTTCCAGGTCTTTGTAGCTTCTTTCCCTCTCCAGGGCATGATCTTCACCCTGACATTCACTTAGATTCATTCAGGGCTCTGCTCGAACATCAGAGAGAGCCTCCCTGCTAAGTTTACTGAAAATAATACCCCATCACTCTGTCTCTTACCAAGTTTTATTTTTCTTCTAAGTATTTATCACCCTCTAACATTTGTTGGTCTTGTTTAACATTTATCCCCTACTAACAAAATGAAAAATTTGCAGGAACAATGACATTGCCACTTTTCATTTGCGGGTCTTTTTCCATTGCCCAGAACAGCATCTGACATATCATAGGTATTTAATATGCACTGGTTGAATAAATGAATGAGACTCCAGAGCCCAAGCATTATCCTCTGCACTGCACTTGTATGGAGAAGAAAGGGTAGAAAAAAGGAAGAAAATGTAAAGATGGAGAAGGGGGACACAAGGCAATAACACAAGGAAGGGCTATTTCTTCTGTGAAATCCTGACCCAAATTTCCCCTTTTTTTTTTTTAAGGCTCTGCTTTTGAGGCTATTATAAATTTCTGCTTATTGCCTCAGTAGAGCTGTGGTGAAAATGTCACTTTGTATAAATTTGAGCTGCTATATGGGTATGTAATACACAGATCAAATTCATGTTTATTGCATATTCAATATGACAAATATAGATTCCTAGTGGATACTGGCAGCAGGTCAAGGTAGTTACCAGAGAGAGAGACAGCCAAATGGAGAACAAGAGTGAAGAAGGAGCAAAGTAGAAAATTAGGCTGGAAATCTCCCTGAAATTTTGGTACTTCATTTCCAAAGTTGTCTAAGTCATTGCAAGAATTTGCCTTAACCCCAATAGCCATCATATAACAGGGGCTAAAGAGATGGATCTGTATGCCGTGTAAATCCTCAGGCAGCAATTTAATGAACAGACATTCTTCAAGAAAACATGGGATTCTGCTTGAAGTGTCACTGTGCTCTGATGACTGATGAAAATATCTGGAAAGATGCTCTTCTTTAGGTAGACCATTCTCCGTAAGAAAATACATGGAACACTATCTGTGTCCTTGAGAATTATGTACTGTTGTTTACTTCCAAAAATGGACATAGGTTTTGCTATTCAGATAGGATAGCCATAAGTAATTCTATTCTCTTCCTTTAATCACATTTTCCACAAATAATGAAAACAGAACCTTCTAGCAGGTTGTAAGTTAGCACATGGGTCAATGGTTTATCATTGGAAATATCGACAAGATGACAAGGAGCTTTTGCTGTAAATAACACCTCCAATGGCACCCTTCCAACCAGCACTGAGCCTTCTTCATGCTGTTGCTCAATGTCAGGCACTCTTTGTTCTCCAGGAACTGGAATATCCAATAGGTAATATATGGAGAACAAGCTGATTATAATCCCAGAAGGGATACGGCCTCTTTCCAAAGAGCCCAGCACACACAGTAACTTACACGCCTTGATATGATGTGAATAATTTTGCCAAGATCTCTATGTCACATAGGCAGTGATCATAAAAAATTATTATGGTAGAGCTCCCGCATCAGCATGAAGCAGGGTAGAAAGAAACATGGATCCGGCTGTAGGTTAACATAAACGTGGTTTATACTGGGTTAAGGATCTCACTGTGGGTCAATATAAATGTGGTGTACATATTTAGACTCCTTAAAATGTCTTTGGCCTGTTATTTTGGCTGAATATTATAACTGAGGGTCTCCCTCAGAAGCCCTGTAGTTTTTTCAGTTTTCCTAAAGCGTCTCTTGATTTTTTTCCTTCATTCAACTCTGCCTCAGGATTCTTTACAGGCTACCTCTCTAAGCATGGACCAGCAGAATCCGCACCCCCCGGGAGGCTCATCCTAGACCTACTGAATGAGAATCTCATTTTAACAGGATCCCAGGAGATCTGAATGCATGTTATAGTTTGGATATCTCTGCTTTACAGTTCAGAAGATTCTTTTTTGTAGGTTATAAAGCCTGATTAGCTGGTCATTATATTACTACACAATAGGAAACATACATCTGAAATAATTCTTCAAGGGAAGTTTATTCCAAATTCTTCAGTCTTCAGTTGACCCCTGATTCTCTAAGACTGAAGTCTTTAACTCAGGTAAATCACCAACACTGATTATCTAATGTAAACAGTACATTGTGGATAAGGCTATCTCTGTTCTATCCCAGGCTACTGATCATCATTATGCCATAGGCCCTGGATGGCAAAGGACAAATGAATTTAATCTCTCTTTTTACAGTCAATTGATAGTAAATGATGCTTGAAATACTGTGTTGCGGAAGATTCTAAGGTAATTACCTCTAGGCTGAGCTGAAGAGTTACAGGGATTGATTAACAGTGTCTGCTCTAAATACAAGAGAGAAGAATGGTGCTAAGAGTGTGGCATATTTACATTCTATTATAGGCCTTCAGGTAACATTTAGCACATTCAGAGAATCAGCCTGAAGAATTTCCTCCTTTGTAGAAACCTCAAAATGAAGGGTCTGCAATGAACCATGTTCCATGGATCACAATTCAAAACCACTCACAGTCAATAAAGTCATGTCCTGTGAGACCCGACCCACCAAGAGGAATCTCAAATTTCTAATGGTTTCTCCCGGAAAGGGAAAAGAGTTTGCCTTACAGTTTCTTCATGCCACAGGGGTAAGCAAAAGAAACCTTTTTCTTATGCGGGCTGCAGAAGAAGCCAGACCGACACCAAAATATCATTCTCCTGCATTCCACACTTTAAACAAGACCATGTTGACCTCCTCCACCACACTGTGAGCTCTGGGAGGAGCTCACAGTGTTATAGGAGGTGTTACAGGAGTGTTATAGGAGGTGCCAATGATGCCCTTTGAGTGAATGTTAATTGTGCAAGAAAAAAAAACACAGATTTCACCTTACTATGCCCCAATAGGTATTAATCCACAACAGAGAAGGTAAATCCACCAACAAAAAAAGGAGAGAAATCACAAAACTTGATAGTTCCTATTCAATTATGTTGCATGTTTTAGGGGAATTTATAACTAAAAAGATACATCCAAATATGTGATAGCAGATCATTTGATCTTCAACTTGATATTGAATTACCCCACTTAGAATTTTAAAAACTGGGTCTCAGAGAATTTAAGCACCTTGGCTCTGATTTCTGAGTTTGACTTGCTAAACCAAGGGTCAGCAAACTTTTTCTGTAGAGCCAGACAGTAAGTGCTAGGCTTTGTGGGCCATACCATCTCTGTCACAACTACTCCATTCTGCCACTGTATTATGAAAGCAGCCATCAACAATATATAAACAAATAGATGTAGTTGTGTTCCAATAAATTCTAATTTACAAAAACGGACAGATTTAATCCACAGGCTACAGTTTGCTGCCTCTCAAGCTAAACTCTTTTCTTTACAGCACAGTTGACGATCCAGAAGCCCTTGTCAAACTCTCTACGCTTCTATTTTATTTCCATTTGCATTTATCGAGCACATACTAAGTACCTGTGCTAGGACTTAGGACTCCAAAACTAAAAGAGAATCACATTTCCACCCTCAAGGAAGTAGAGTGCTGGCTGAGGATACAAATGGAGACACTTTGTAAATGTCCATCTTGAAGTTCCAACTCTCCCTTATTCAACTCCAGGGTGGATTAGTTACTATTTCACTAATGCCCCTATAGCACATAGGTATATAACTCTATTGTTCACTCATCACTTCTATATTACAATTACGAGTCTCCCCCACTAAGGCCATGAGAACAAAAGTTGGAGATGCATCATACCTGGCTCTAGGTCCCAATCTCTACCAAGGTGCCTGATGTGTATCAACAAGCTTGATTTTTTTAATGATTATATATCATGTGGAAGTTATGAGAGAACTAATTTATTAAGATCTATTTAGTAAAGGATTGTAATACCAGGCTACGGAAATATTGTGGAGCATAACTTGTGGAGGTCTCATTGGTCACAGACCTTGGGGCTGAACTTTCTAAGCCAAAGAATGTATGTGACTAAGAATGTATGTGGCTAAGATAATGTATATTTGCTCAGCAGCTATTAGCAGATTTTACATCATGGCACTTTACTGACACACTGTTTCCACTAAGTGGTCCTCACAGTGGACTTTAGCTAATTGAAAGCTGTCATTCTATATGTTATCCAAAGAGAATCCAAGCTTTTATGTGAAGAGAAAAAACTGAAACCTGAATTCTTCCATGCCCAATCTATATTGAAATAATGCTAAAATGTATCGTATAGAGCAAAGAAAAGAAAACTCCCCACAATGGCAAAAACACAAAAATATGTGTGTTCCCAGCAAGCCCCATTAGCAGAGCCTCAAAGCCCGCTCTCTGGCTCACTCACACATTGATCCACTGATCAATGAGAAGAGAGTGGATTCAGTTGGTCCAGTACCCAAGCATAATGCTGCTTCTGTACTGTGTTGTATTAGTCCATTCTCACATTGCTATAAAGAACTACCTGAGACAGGGTAATTTATAAAGAAAAGAGGTTTAATTGGCTCATGGTTCAGTAGGCTTTACAGGAAGCAAGGCCAGGGAGGCCTTAAGAAACTTACAATCATGGAGGAAGGTGAAGAGGAAGGAGGCACATCTTCCATGGCCAGAGAAGGAAAAAAGATAGCGAACATGGAGGTGCTACACACTTTTAAACAACCAGATCTCTTAAGAACTCACTCACTATCATAAGAACAGCAAGGGAGAAGTCCGCCCCATGAGGCAATCACCTCCCACCAGGTCCCTCCTCCAACACTGGGGTTTACAATTTTGACATGAGATTTGGGCAAGGACACAAATCCAAACCATATCATCTGCTATGAGACCCAGCACCGGTTTTGCAGAGAGAAGAAAGGAGCTGGCAAATGCCTTGTATATGGGAAATGAGCCATCTCCAATAGAGACTTTAGGTAGGATTTGGTGTTTTGACATTAGCTCCTTGGTGCAGAATTCACCCTGGGCTGGGCAGAACTGACCGTCTTGGACCATGTCAACAACCTTCCCATCCATCCTGGATGGGACTTAGAAGAGGCATCTTTGCTAAAGCCCATATTGAAGGGCTTTCAGAAGGAGTAAAGACATTTATACTAGTATTAATTCTCCATTTTGACTTCTTCTCTGGATGAACATTTGCCTACAAAACAAAATTCCTACTTTAGTTTTCGTATATTCAATATGGCCTAGAAGATAAACATACAGGTTTTACAATTACACTGACCAGAGTTACAGTCCTTGCCCCACCATTTCCAAATTGCCGGCCTTGGGTCTTTTCCATGATCCCTCATCCCTCAGTTTTCTCATTGTTAAATGGGAATAATAATACCTTTTTAGAAGGTTTGTGTGATGATTATATGAGATCAGGAATGTAACATAATAGAAAATAGCATTTATTGAGCATGTAGTTACTATTTTGTTACATTCCTGATCTCATACAATCCTCTGTTCTAAGCAGAGGGTCACAACAACTCTATTAGATAGACACTATTATGGTCCCGTGTCCCAAATTTCATAGCTAACAAGCACAAATAGAGTAGGATTTAAACTCAGTGTGGGAAAAAGCAAGAGAGATCAGATTGTTACTGTGTCTGTGTAGAAAGAAGTAGACATAGGAGACTCCATTTTGTTATGTACTAAGAAAAATTCTTCTGCCTTGAGATTCTGTGACCTTACCCCCAACCCCGTGCTCTCTGAAACATGTGCTGTGTCAACTCAGAGTTGAATGGATTAAGGGCGGTGCAAGATGTGCTTTGTTAAACAGATGCTTGAAGGCAGCATGCTCCTTAAGAGTCATCACCACTCCCTAATCTCAAGTACCCAGGGACACAAAAACTGCGGAAGGCCGCAGGGACCTCTGCCTAGGAAAGCCAGGTATTGTCCAAGGTTTCTCCCCATGTGATAGTCTGAAATATGGCCTCGTGGGAAGGGAAAGACCTGACCGTCCCCCAGCCCGACACCTGTAAAGGGTCTGTGCTGAGGAGGATTAGTAAAAGAGGAAGGAATGTCTCTTGCAGTTGAGACAAGAGGAAGGCATCTGTCTCCTGCCTGTCCCTGGGCAATGGAATGTCTCGGTATAAAACCCGATTGTATGCTCCATCTACTGAGATAGGGAAAAACCGCCTTAGGGCTGGAGGTGGGACCTGCGGGCAGCAATACTGCTTTGTAAAGCATTGAGATGTTTAGGTGTATGCATATCTAAAAGCACAGCACTTAATCCTTTACATTGTCTATGATGCAAAGACCTTTGTTCACGTGTTTGTCTGCTGACCCTCTCCCCACAATTGTCTTGTGACCCTGACACATCCCTCTCTTCGAGAAACACCCAAAAATGATCAATAAATACTAAGGGAACTCAGAGGCTGGCGGGATCCTCCATATGCTGAACGCTGGTTCCCCGGGTCCCCTTATTTCTTTCTCTATACTTTGTCTCTGTGTCTTTTTCTTTTCCAAATCTCTCGTCCCACCTTATGAGAAACACCCACAGGTGTGGAGGGGCAACCCACCCCTACACTCAGTCTAACTACAGAGCAGAATATCTTAACCACTCTATTCTTTTGCTTCCACGACAAATATTACATTCTGAAAAATAGCTGCTATTTTAATGACTGCTAGTACTATAGCTCATCATCATCATCTTCATCATCATAAAATGTCTAGAGATGGCTTAGACCCAGTAACACTTAAGGGTGCTGAGCTCTCTTCTGACATAATCCACACTATTTTCTTGTCGATAGGAGAAAATTCCAGACTTTTGCAACTGACAGGGCTGAAACCAACAGTATGTCCCTACCTGTTCAGTTTTAAACCCAGGAACTGGGCAGAACTCCTCAGTGACCGTCACTATGAACAAATGGATCAGGGTAGAGGGGGAGAGTATAGTTTTTGCAGAGGTATGTTGGAGTCTGCTCATATCAGCTCCATACAGCCAACAGAGCAGATTTCTTTTTAACTCTCTGTTTAATAACATGAAGCTGGTAGCTTGAAATTGATCATGATAAGAATACACCACAGAAATAAGCAAACACTACAAATCAAGGTGCTTTTCCCCCCAGAGACGTGGTTGTTAAACATTTATCAGCACACTAGTGCTTTGAAATCAGACAGGCATGAGTTTGAATCCGTAGGCAGTCAAGTGAGATGGCAAAGAAGTTACTTAACTTCACTGAGCTTTATTTTCCTCATGCCTATAACAGGAAAAATAGCTCCCTAATGAATTGTTGTGAAGATTTAATGGCATACTATTTGTAAAGTTCTTAGGAGAACATATGGCACTTACAAGTCAATAAGTCAATAAGCTATTACGTTAGTTTTATTATTTGCATTGCATTAACCAAAAGTGGATGGTGGAAACCATGCTATAAATAAGAATATACAAGCACCAGCTCAGCAGGCCTGTTCTTCACCAGGATTGGTTTCGCCCTTCCAAAAACTATTCTAGTCATATCCCAATTTTAAAAGCCTGAATTTAGGTGCTTTCTGCTCTCTGCTCCAGTAATGCATTTTCATTTGGATCCATTTCTAATGTTACAAGCCCCTGCCCGTACCATTCAACCTGTGTTGGGGTAAACTTTACCTAATTAACAGTGGCATAATCAAAACAAATATTATTTCAGTTCCACATGACATGATTAATTCCCATATGCATTCCAGGTCAGGCCTGCTCTTGATTCACCAAAAACCAAATCACAGAATCACTAAATATTTGAGCTGGAAAATAATTTTGGGCCCCTCTTATCCACTTTGCAGATGGGTGTATTGAGTAGTTAAGTGACTTGTGCTCTATAAATAGATGGCTTTATGCCAATAATTTTTTGTAACTTTTAAGAGACAATTCACATGTACTTAGCACATACTAAGGGCAAAGAAGAAAGCCAAAGACTTAGTGATCCTCTCCACTCTGTCACCAAGTCCTACCCCGCCACAAATCTCATCGCCACTGCTGGTTTTATGTCAAATTACATACCAAAGAAATGTAATGATTTAATGATGTCATTTATTCTCTGGTAGAACTACTGTATTTTATTAAATTCAACAGTTTCACATCTGGAAGGACCAAGTCAGTTGCCCAACTCACTCCTTGAAAACTTTAAGGGCTATACAAATTGAGGGGTACTCAACTGCTCTGAATACTCAAATTCTCAAGATGTCAGAGCTTCATGTTGTATCTCTCTCTTACAGAAACATGATACATATTGCCATACTAGAGACTCTGAGAAGCTCTGCAGTGCAAACATCATTTACAACATTTTATTAATCAAATGTTTATTTTTAATTAGTCTGTTTTCCAAATTTTATTGACTAGAACTAGAGAATTTCTTTTTTGCTGCATATCTACAAATCTCAGACAGAGACTACTCAGTGGAAGACCCGTTTGGTAATGGCCGATCTAGTCCATGCCCTCACGTTTAGAGAAGAACCTGACTTTCTGGGTACAGACTTGGGAAAGCCATACAGCTAATCAGAACAGCCAGCTCCTCTGCCTCCCACTCCTTGCCACTACCATTCCTTAGTGACCCCTTGGTATGTGAATAGGATAGTTTTGGGTTGTGTGATTTCACTGGGGACCTACCCCAGCTCCAAACCCCAATCCAGTATGCCAGTGAGCAAGTTAGGAGAAAATCCAAGGAAGTAACTGGGACAGGGAGACAACCCAGTGAGAATTCAAACAGGGAAAGAGAAAAAGTAAATAAACAATAAAAATTGCATGAGTAGGTGAGAAGACCAATGAATGGACAAGTGGATGGATGGATGGATGGATGGATGGATGGATGGATGAATAGATGGATGGATGGATGATAAAAGAATCGAGTAGATGAAGAAGCGAAAGAGTAAAAGAATGAATGAAAAACAAGGCAAGAATGAGTAAGTATGTAAATGAATGAGAGGAGGTTCACTCCCAGTTGTGCTGTGATTAAAGAAACAATGGCTCCCTTCTAGCCAGTGACACCAGACCTTGTTATAACTCACAGGCAATGCGTAAGAACATATACCTTCTCTTTTTCTTTTTCTGCAAATGAGGTATTAAGGAACTTGAATTTTAACCTGAGGACAATGGAGAAATCATGAATAATGCAAGCAGGAGAGGAACATGCTTATACTTATGTTTTTGAAATGTAATTCTAGAGGAAGAGGTAGGTGAGAGCCCCTTGTGTGGCCCTTCTCAGTGGAGTCTCGGGTAAGCCACTGCTTAGTCTTTGCTTCTCAGTCTTCTCGAAAGAAGACAGAAAAGCAGTGATTATATGACAATTCTCTTAGCACTATGGAGTTTACTTTTGCTACCGCTTTGACTAACCTTCACCTCCACCTGGCTTTGAACCTTAGAGGAGGTGGATAATATAGACACCTACCACTTGAGTTTCTTATATAGTACTTGCATGTAGAGATCAGGACAGTATTGTAGAATTCTTGGGAAGTGAACACAGGGAGCATAATTGACTAACTAGGAATCCTAGCTGTCCTTAAGAGATTCTAAAGTAATACTGAATCTGAATATTGGCAGTTTTAAGAGACTATTTTATGACCTAAAAGGAAAGTGGTACTTGACAGAGAATGCAAAAAAAAGTCATGCTCACTGGTATGTGATGTAGGCCACGTTAACAACAAATTCAAGGATGTCTGGCACCCTGCACAGTGCCTGGCACCTAACAGGTACTGTACAAATAATAGTTGACTAATCTATACTGAGTTCATAAAAGAAGCAAATTCATCCATGTGCTCAGTAAACATATACTAAAGGCCTACTATGTGCTAGCACATGCTCTGGAAGCTGGAGATGCAGCAGTGAATAAACGAAGTCCCAGCCTTCATGAAGCTTCCATTTGAATGAAATGGCATTTAAATGGAAACTTCATGAAGGCATGATAATATCCCAGAATGTTAGAGTCAGAAGTTATAGATTCTACAGCTCAACCCTTTCATTGTTTAGAGAAATTCAGATGCACAAAGCAGAAAAATTTTCCCAAGTTAGTAATAAAGATGAGGTTTAAGCCCCAGTCTCCTGACCATAATAAATTCAGTGCTTATCTATTTATACAAGCCTGCCTAGATTATGGCAGTTCCAGAATGTTTGAGATCATAACCTTAAAGAAAAGCCGTGGTGCCATCTAGCATCATTTAATTACAGACACATCGGATCTTGGCCAATGTTTTTGGCTTAGTAAGTTAATTACTGTTACTTTAAGGAACGAAACAAAATTAACCAGAGATCAGGAATTATTACAACCAACAAAGAAAAAAAGAGGATTGCCATTTTATGTTTTCTCCAAGTAAGTAACCGTGAACTAGGAAACCTTAGAATCAAATTTACTTTTGAATACCAGTTCTGCCTCCTATGATGTACATGACCATAGAAAACTCACAGGTCATGGGCCTCCATTTCCCCACTTGCAAAATGAATCATAGAATTTTTATGAGAATTCTATATAATAAAATATGTAGAATACAATAAGGGCTTAACAAGTGGTCATTCCTTATTCCTCCCCATACCTCCTTCCTGTTTGGATGGCCAATTTCCCTATTTTAGGGCCAGTCATTGAACTAAAAAATGTTCAGACACTTAGACTGGTGAAACATAAAAATGTAATAACCTTAAAACATCTGAGGAAAATGCCCCTAAACTCATAGTGTGCACAACATGCCTGGAATTTGGACTTTTTCATTTGGTGGACTTTTCATATTTTCAGCCTTTGGTCAGACTTAAATTCCAGGGGGACTACCTCGCCTGATATTTTGGCACTTTCCCTAGTCACAGTTGGAAGCCAGAAGTACAAAAATGAGTGAAATTGAAAAATAATGAAAAACAAAAGTCAATCAACTATTTTATTTTCACTTTTTTTTCCTTCAGTGGAATAAAAAACAACAAAAAAAGCAAATCTGTTTGACTTTAAGTCAAAGCCTGGGATATCAAGTTTTAGTTCTGAAACCTTTTCCCATGCTCTAATTCAATAGGCTTCCACTTACCCCATGCTGGTCACATTTTAGAAACCCAAGACCTCCTTTTTCCAGGTAATGTCTTATTAAGACCAGTGACTCTTGTGACTAATTCACAAGTCATGTTTTTTGGAAAGATATATTACATGCACATAGGTCTTGCTGGAGCTGAGAGAAAACAAAGCATTTTTGTTTGTCAGTGTCACATGCTTTGATATTGGTACCAACACAGCAGTGTGCAAGAAGTGTGCATGGATCCAAATCCACGAATCCACATGGCAATTAGCATCAAGATTCTGCAATGTCTCCCAATCAAACTGAGTATCTGCAGTTTAGTCCCCTTTCAATATTGCAGAGTGGACTAACATCTCCTGACATCCTTCTCTCCCCTAATCCCCACCCCTAAAGAATATCACTTTTTATTTTCTGCAGAATCAAAGACAACACTGAGATGTTGTCTTTGAATCAAAGACAATGCTGAGATGTTGAGGGAGATTGACATGCACAAGAATTCCAGAGTGTGTGAGCTCCAGGAGGTAAACTGACAAAACTCTGAACAGCGATGCTCGCTCATGCTGTGGAATATTTCTACTTTTCTTGAATTTAGGTATATTAATATTGTCTTGAATATTCCTAGATACAGTCTGTGGGCTCAGGAGTTGTGTTGACTCCTCCTGGTTTCCATTTATTCCTGTTAGTGTTTGGCACCTATGAAGGGCTCAATCAACCCCCATCAGGGGTTGACATCAACAAGGGAATATTAATAAACCTAAATTCAAGAAAAGTAAAAAGAATACTAACAGCATCTGGTAGAGAGTTAGGGAGTGGAAGGAAGTGCCCACCGATGGCTCTGCTTCTAACTCCAGGCACATTGCAGGAGTCTCTTCCCCACCTGGACCTTGCTGGGATCTCTCTGGAAAATAAGGGAGCACTAGACAGGATGGTCCCTAGGACCCCTCCCAGGTCTGATAGTCTGTGGGTGAAACAAGGTTCCCACAGCAGGAATCTGGGAGCCAGGCCACACTAATAAGTCTGTCCGTCCATGTAGAGATCATCCGGAATAGCGGAGGGGCCAAGAAGTAACAGTATGCCTGCCCAATTTGCATAATAATCAGAAAGGACTACAGCCACTCAAAGCATTGCCACTTTAGAATGTTTCATTCACCACGGAATGTGCTTTCTTCTCCTTGTTCAAAATGCTAATCAGAATGCTTGAATTAAAGAATTTTTTTTCTATGTCCAGTCAGGAGCAGACATAAAATCCTAGATTTTGAAAAATCTAACTTTTCTAAATTTTTAATCAAAAACCTTGAAAAGAGGACAGGAGGACACCTCTGGAAGAGAGAGACACAGCATTGAGCCCTTTGTATATGCCAAACACTAACACAAATAAATGGAAACCAAGAGGGGTCAATACCACCCCTGACCTCACACAGCTAATATCTAGGAAATTAGACAGATAAATACCCAGGCCCTAAAGTAAAGATTAGACGATGGTAAAGAATGAGAAGGACATCTGCCCTTAGAACTGACACTGTAGTGAGGGTGACATCCATCCAGCCTGAAAATGTTCACTTTATGGACCTCTGGCCATAGGAAAGTCCACTGTTACAAGCAGAAAAATGAAGGACGATTTGTCCACAAACAATAAGATCTTTGAAAACTGAATTGAACTTCAGTTATCTTATTCCTAAACTGAGAAATAGTATTCCCTGGCTCATATAGCTTTTTAATTCAATGAAGGTTTAGGAAAGGAAGCACCTACTAGAAATCTAGAGTAAGCTATCTGATGTGATACATGTATGAACACCATAATAAGATTCAATGAGGAAGGGGGAAAGTGAAATTGGGGTCCCACCTCCATGAGAACAATGATCACCTCTGAAATTATAGAGGCTTAATTAGGTTACATAATTAAGTACCTATCATCTTTTTTCAGGGGACCATAAAATGCTCCTTGTACAAAACTGTCTCACTATGATTCCTAAGGCATCTTTGGAGGAGAAGAGAAATAGCAAAGGTACTATAGTTCTCCATAAGTAGATGGAGCCTAGTCCAGCTTGAAGCTTAGATAGACTCCTCTCCTCCCAGCCATCTGCAGCCAGTTTCAGTTTTACAGATTGCAGTGATCTAGGACCACTGTCGAGACTCACCAGTCTCCAAGATCATCAAACTCAGTGGTGTCTGCAAATACACTGAGTCAGTGGAACTATGTTTATTGAGTACCAAATGCATGCCAGGCCCAGAATTGACCTCTGGTAGAGCAAGGTGTGCAGAACTTGGCTTGTCTGCTCACCAACTTTAGGGAAGTCAGATGTAATCAAGGAAAATTCAATATGGAATGTCCTAGAACCAATTCCATCCAAGGCAGTCGGAGATGGTGTTACAGAAGAGATGCTATTTGGATTCACCAAGCAGAGAAGGGGGTAAGGATATGTCAGGCAGAAGGAATATCTTTAGCAAAGGCTCAGAAGGGTAAAGGAGCATGGGAACCTGCTCAGTTTCCTGCTTGAAAAAACAGCCAGTCTGGAGGCAGGGAGGGCAGGGGATAAGGCTAGAGATGTGGACAAGAACCAAGTCTTATTGCTGCCATGTGTGCCAAGGCAAGGAGCCTGGCCTCCATCCAGTTGCCAGGGGAGCCATTGAGCTTCCACAGAAGTGACATGGTCAGATTCATCTTTAAGGGCACTCCCTCTGGGGCACCATGAAGGCAGATTGGCAGGGGAAAGACTGAAGGCGAGGAGGAAGGTTACGAGGAGTTTTATTGCTGTTTTTGTATGAAGCATCTGTTCTAAAAGGAAAAATAAAGGAGTTAAGTCATGTGGCCGTGTAACTTTCCATGTGTGCTACTGCAGGGGATGATTAGCACAAGGTGAGTGAGGATCAGAACACAGTGCTGAGTGAGAGGCAGGTAGCACAGATTGGTGTTCTTAGAGGGCTAAAGACCCAACAGATATCCCAGCTTTTCAGTGCAACAGTTGAATGACACTGGGAAACTCAGCCAAGAGGGATTATTGGGCAGAGCCTCAGTTTCCTCATGTGTAACATGGCAGTCATGGTGCCAGTCTGGTCAGTTTGCTGTGAATAAGAAATGCACACAAGGTCCCTGGCAGAGCCTCAGGCACAGAACAGGCCCTCCGTGAGTGGTAGCCACCATTATTACAGTGGAAAAGTCTTCTGCCAAGAATGCTCTCAGAAGTCAGAAAGGATTCATTCACCAAGACAGAAGCTTTCTCTGCTAAGCACCAGTAACCAAAGCAAACAAGAGCAGTGGGGACGAACCCAAAGTTGTTACCTATCTGGGAGGCTCAGGTGTCCCTTTGATGGAAAGCACAAACCAGCCTGAATCAAACAAGCCCATACACACCACCAGAGCTGCGTGTTCTCAGCAGCCCTGGGCACATTCCCACGTAACCTGGTTTGACAAGCTGCACTGGCCCAGTGCCCAGCTTCCAATCAGAATCTATGAGGCCCAGAGATTATTTGACAATTTCTGTCTCTGTCTAGGAGAACAGCTATGGTGCAGAATGGAAGCATCAACATATGTGTTAAGCACATGTGTATTACCCTTTCATTCCTGTCTCACGTAGAAGGTAAATCACTTCTTCTAGACGGCAACAGCTTTTGCCATCAATACAGCTAATTCACTATCTGGGAACAGTTCTGGCTCCAGAATTAGGATTCAAGGCAGCAGATTTTCTGATACTCCCAGCTCTGACAGGATTGAGTTTCCTGCTGCAAACCACTTGCTTGGAAAGTGAAGGCACTGATGAAGACATTGCTCAGTCCCAGTTATCAGCTCTTCCTCTCCTATCTGCTCACTCTCATCCTCTCACTGGCAAATGTTCTGGAAACTTCTCATGCTCCCTTTCCAACAACACCTCTTCCCTTCTACCACTATTTGTTGCACCGAGTACCCAACACCCATTGTTGCTTCTCACCTGGTGGTCACCTCTGAGACTCTGAAAAGCCCTTTCTGCCTTCTCTATGACACTGAAATTTTCTCTGCAGGTCACCAGTAGCCTTTTGAAACCCAACAAGGCCTCACCCTACTTGGCCCCCTTCACTATTTTACACTTTGACCACCCTCTACTTCCAGAAAGCTGCCCCTCCGTGGTTCCTAACACTCCTCCCACTCTCCTGGCTCCCCCCAGTTCGCACTGGCTGACTCCTCTTCCTCTGTCTACCTCTGGGCATGGGCTTTCTGGAGCTTTCTTTCCAGGGCCTCTTCTCTTTTTTCATTCCATATTCCTCTTCCTAGAAGATGACACAGTTGCTCCTGTTCCAGATACCTCTTATTCCCACAAGAAACTCTCTCTCTCTCTCTTTCTCTTTCTCTCTCCCTTGAGTCCAGAACTACAAAGCCAGCCCCCTGGTGGAACCCATCCCTGCTCATCCCACAATGGCCTCACACACAGTTGTCCCAGTCCAAACTCTCATCTTCCCCATCCAAACCTGCTCATCTGCCTGTGTTTGCTGCCTTGTTGGTGGCCTCATCACCTTCTCCACCCAAGGGAGAAAGCTCAGGAAGTCTTGAATCCTCCTTCTATTTCACCCTTATCCTTACTGCTCCATCCTCCACCAAAACCTCTCAACCTCTTGCTTGGCATTTTGCCATCACTTCATAACCAGTCTCGCTGCTTGCTTCCCCTGCCATTTCAGGTTCCTCATCACTGCTGTACAGAGAATATTACCTATCAGGGATCAAAAATACTCACCACCCCAAATGCCACTCCTTGGGGTGGCACCCAACACTCCCCCACAGGTAGTGAGAACATACATTTGGGGTCTGTCTCTCCTACTGAATTGTCAATTTCTTAACAGCTACAACCATGTCTCAGTGGCTGAGTGTCAGCCACCCCAACCCATAGTAGGAGCTCAATACACACTTGAAGAAATGAACAAACCTTCAGGCAGTCAACAGTCCCCAGTTTATCCAGCCTTGCTCTCTGACATAAAAATGCCTTTCTCTGGTTATTTTATAATTTAAAGGCCATAAAGCAATTGTAAAATACACCTGAGCATCCCAACATTTCTAAGACTAATGAATGCCCCATCTTAACTTTCCATCGTATTTAGTTGTTTCTAACTGTCTATTTATCCACATCAAACAAAAAGTCTCCTTGTTATGGGTTATGGCTAACAAAAATAATTTTATCATTTTTTAAACTTTGATTTAGTTTGTGTCACCTGTTGGGGTCCAACCAGAAAAACAAGAAATTACTCTATTTAATACAAAGGGAATTTGGTAAAAATAATTGATTACACAGATAATGGAGAAGCTGAGATGTTTAGGCAGATAATGGTGAGGTAACCTAAGAAGCAGGAAGCTGCTAGATAGACAGAGAAGACAGGCTAGACAGACAAGGGAGAGCCTAGGCCAGTCACTCAGTGGAAGCTGGAAGTCTGGCAGTGGCAGATTTACCATGAAGCTAATGAGGCTTGAGCTTGCCATCCAGGGTCCCTTCTAAGACCCTGGATCTAATTTCATACTCACAATTTTGTATCATTTTTATTTAAAGCGGTCCCCAAACTTATATAAGCTATGAGTCATAAAACCTGGATCCACCATGAACCATAGAGGAAATGTTACCACTCCTGGAGATGTTGTCCAAGGCTGCGAGAGGCAGAGAGAAATCCCCTGGCTTTTCCTTTCTGTCCACCTTCCAATTTCTTGCCAGTACTTCCCATTGGCCAAACAAATCCAGACAGAAGCCAACTAGCATGGGGGCCTAGGAAACACAGACTGCAGGTCATCCTCCCTGTGCTATGAAGTAAAGCAGGGAGGGGCGAGGGGTAGATCTAAGAACAAACAAACCAAGGACTGGCATATCAGCCTCACTGAATCTCCCTTTGGTGCCCAGTGCTAGGACTGAAAGCACACAAAGATATGAGGCTGTCTGCAGGGAAAGGTGAACTTGCTCTCCTTCTTCCAAGATTTTCCACAGAGCAGCATCATCCCAGTGTACGCAAAACATACTTGTATCTGCCTCCCAGCCCTGCAGTCTCTGAAACTCAATCTTGATATTGTCCTAAAGGCAGTCAGTCTTGGGTAGGCCAAGTCACACTAACCAAATTTATAGAAACTTGAGACATAAGCCCTAAAACCAGTATGCCTATTAATAAAAAGAAATATTCCTGTAGCATGGAGTAACATGCTCATGTTAATAAAAACAGTTCAATTCTCTTGCTCACGATACCACACAATTATTGAATGCTAACTCCTTTGTGGGTACTCCTAATGTGGATACAGATGAATAATACCCAGCCCCTCTAGAGGCCAGTAATGAATTTATAGTAACACAGTAGGCAGATCTAGACTGAAAAGAAATGATAATCCTTATTGAGTATGAATCCACAGACAGGCAAGTTAAAGTGATTTGAATGTTTAATACCATCAAACACTGACAGATTCAGATGCTGGTCTTTACTATAGATAAAGACTTGGCAGGAAGATTGTAAGTGGTTGTTTTCTTGTCAGGGCGCAGCCTCCCCTGGAAAACGCTCAAATATGTCTCACTGACTCACTTTTTCTATGTCCTACACTGACCACCCCTTTGCTGATGGGCACATGCATGTAATGCCATCCATTTGGTCACAGCCAAGGCCAACAAGCCTGGGAACCATTCACTCACACCGAGGCAGGGCTTCTGAATCATTCTTGCCCTTTGAAAATCTCGTAAAAGCTTTAGACTCTTGCTGAAATGCATTTACACTTTCAGAAAGTCCTTTGATATAGTTGCCTCCAGTTCTTTCTCTAGAGCATCATTTTTCAACCACAGCACCACTGACATTTTGGGATGAATAATTCTTTGTTGTGGAGGTCTGTGCCCTGCGCTGTAAGATGTTTAGCAGCATCCTGGCCTCTACACACTAGATGACAGTAGCCCACCCATCACCAAGCTATGACAACCAAAAACATCTCTAGACATTGCCAAATATCCCTGGGGTGGGGGATGAGGCGGATAGGGAAAACCTGCCCCAGTTAAGAACCAGTGCTCCAGAGAGCCATTGGCCACTTCCATTCTTCCTCCATGAGTGTCGCATGAAGGGTCCAGCCCTAAGAGTAACCAGGTGACCTCCCTCTAGGATTGAGGCTATTGGTCAGCTCAGCAGATGAATTAGCTTCAAAATGAAGAATGTCGCCTGGCATGGTGATGCACGCCTATAGTCCCAGCTACTCCAGAGGCTGAGGCAGGAGGATTGCTTGAGGCCAGGAGTTCAAGCCCAGCCTGGGCAACATAGTGAGACCCCCTGCCCACCACCATCTCTATTTTTTAAAAAAAGAAAGAAAATGAAGAATGTTTTAAAGTTTCCACCTTCTAATTGTACCAAAGTATAAAATAAATGTCTACATGTGGATCAGGGTTGGGAGAGAACAGAAAAACATGTGGTCATGTGATCAGGATGGGGCGATTTTAAGTTTGGTTTTTTTGTTGTTTTCATCATTTGGGGAGAAAACAACGCAACACTACTAGAGTGCACGTGCTTACAACACATTATGTGACTATATCCATTAGCCCACTAACCTTGAGTCCACCTGAAGCTGCCTGTGATCATTAGCCAGCCGTGTTTCCAGTATAGCTGGCATTATTGTCAGTCTCTTGTAAAGGACTGGGACCTGCAGCCTATGCCAATTCTCAAGGTTACCTGTGGTCCTTAAAATACGGCAAATAAGTCTTCATTGCCTCCCCGCTTGCTCACTCCCATCAAACATATTCTGAGGATTCACTGTGGGCCAGACACTGTACTGTATGTATATCAAATCATTTAAAGCTTACAACAAACTAGAAAAACAGGTATTACTGTCCCCACTTTAAAGAGAAAAGAACTGAGTATCCCAGAGGTTTAATTAGTCACTTAGTATCACACAGTCAGTAAACGACAGACCTGGAATTAAAGCCCAGCTCTTCTGACACTAAGGCCACTGATCTTTTCCTGTTCCTGTTGTGTGTTTGTTCGATTGCAAATTTTAGCTAGGACTATTCAAGATAAAAAAGAAATGGCCTCTGTGATGTGTATGAAAATCAAGGCAAACAGCTCAGTTTTTCATTTCATTGGGTAAGTGCATCAAAACAGATACTTGACATCAAACCAATAATACTCCTGATTGATGTGACATTTAAAAAAATATATGAATCCATTAAGAGCAGTGTTTGGCTATCATTTTCAAATTCCCAGAATCTTCCCATAACGGAGGCAGCTACATGCAGTGCTGAGGAAAAGGCAGAAGCCCAGGAATTCTGCTTGGAGGGCTGTCCTCCCCATCTCCACAGCAGTAACTTCAAGCTGGCTCTGAGCAAGAAAACACTCATTAGCCTTTAGTTACCAATACAAACTGACGGCCTCTTTATTCTGCCCACACAACTCCTGAGGAAGTCTGGGACAAGGATGGAGAGACCAGATTGATGGGGCTACTCCAAAACACAAATAATGTATTTCCTCCCAGATATGAAAACAACACTTGAAGCCAGAGTGTAATAATAGGTTTTCCCAACATGGTTGCTTTCATGGAGAATTACGCCTGTGCCCTAATTACACTTCTAAGAATACCAAGTCTGGATTTCTTCTTTCCTTCCCTTCTTCTCTTGCCTTCCCTTCCTTCCTTCTTCCCTCCTCCAACTATCACATCCTGACCTCCTCCTCTGCACCAACCCCTATGCTGGGACCTGGGGATACTGACATGAATGAATCCCAAACACTGTCTCTTCTTAGACTCTAGTGGGGGATACTGGCAAATAAACAATCCCATGAGAGTGTGACCAGCACTAGAATGGTATTGTGCCATTTCTCCCCTCAAAAAGATGGAAACACTCAAAGTGATATGGGGAAATCATTAATCTGTTTGAAACATGGGAGGTCAGGGTCAAAGAGACATCTCAGAAGGTATGACATTTGTGTACAACACTGCAAATTCGGGGTCTCAAAACTTGTTAGGATAGCATGCCTTTCATGGGATCTTTGAATTCTAAATGGTGTGAAATCTTAAGAAAAAGAGATGAGAACAAAGCTAGTTTCTTTTTTCCTTAGCAAGAAGGATGAGTAGAGATAAGGAGCCTGATTAATAAGTGCTGCTTTTCTTATTCTTCACTAAATCTATTAATATTTTATTGTGATTTTATTTAGAAATTACTTTTGCACACATTGTCTCATTTTTGCTTTCCAATGACCCCATGAAGTAGGTACTATCATCTCCATTTTAATGGTGAGAAAATCAAAGCTCAGAGAGGTAAGTGGCTCTCTCAAGGGCTCACAGCTAGCAGAAGGAAGAATGGGTCTCTCACATCTACCTCTGTCTGCTTGCAAAACAGTGTTCTTCCCTCTAGACTACAATGCCTCTATGCGTGTCATGAGTCCTGGGAAACAATCAGTGTTATTCAACAAGTAGTCTCCCAGGCATCCCACGTGGAGTGGAAGGTGTGTTTGGGAGGCTCTAGGGTGTTGGGAAGACAGTAAAGTGGGTTTTAATGGAAAAGACTGTTCTACTTATAGCTGCTCAAAAAAAAAAATGATTCACTCTTCAGGCCTGACATGTTTTAAGAGACAGACATGCCTGTAAATTTGGCCAGACTCGTGGGTGCCAGATAATAATTGACAAAGACCCTAGGGCTTGGTGATCAAGCCAGGACTTCCTCATGTTCCTCACTGGGCTCTCCAGGGGCCAAGCACAGTGCATAATTAAGTCAGATGGCTGTAGAAGGGAAGAGATGGGTCATTTTCCCTACAGAGAGTTTTTTTCTTGGCAAGATGTAGAATGACACACTTCAGGCAGCAGGAAGATCATTTCCATAAAAGTCTGCAGGGAGGGAGGGAAATCGCAAAGTTACTGAAAGACAAACAAAGCCCAAATACCATAAACAGAGTATGGAGTTCTTAACCAGAGGCACAATTATCTCTTACCTCAAACTTGGACAGGACTCAAGTGAGCATTATAAGAGATTTTCTCATGCACATGAGTAATTGCCCCACTCATTAAAACGTTATAGATGAGCCTCACTTGGAAATCAGCAAAGTGTGAATTCCAGTGCAGGACCCAGAGAAGACTCAAAGACACCCCAGGAAGTCCTAGCAGAGAGTTTCAAGGCAGCCCAGCAAACTTCTAGGAGGCAAACAATGGTCATAGTGAGATGAGCCAAAGACAACGAGGTATCACCCAATATGCACACCAGTATCACACATGCCCATGAATATAAATAATGGCCATATGTCTACAACAATGAGGGAAAATGCTTTTCCAATCTCACTTATAGTTCAACCACTTAGGACCCTTTCTTCTTGAACCAAAGTCAGTACCTGTTAAAAATAAAGAACCTGTGGGATGGATAACAATATCAACTTAATCTCATCAAGGTGTGATTCATGTAGGATTTAATGGCATGACAAACAACCACACTGATGTCTTTAACCCATAAGCTTTGAGGTGCCATCTTTCAATCATAGTCATTCTCATGATATTTTGAGGCTGTTGAGTCACCTAAGAAAAACACAAATATGAATTTTAGGTCTTAGAAGGTCTAGTCCAGTACCTCAGTTGATCATGTATGAGCTGACCCTGGAATTTGAAATAATCATATTTGGATTTTATCTCTACATATCCTGAAGACACTGTGACTTGGCTGATAATAGTAACATTCACTAAGATAAGTAATTTAGGAGAAAGAGTAGCATGGAGAGAGGGAAACAAAAATGCTGAATTTTATATTAGATCTGATGGGCTGGAAGCACCTATGAGACATTTCCAAGCAGCAGGTATTCTGTAGTCAATTTATTACCAACAGAAACAAAAAGAACATGCTCAACAATTAGAGAAGATATTTACTTTGCTTTCATATGTGAAATGTGGTACTTGATTTTTCCTTCCTTATTGTTATTAATGTCATTTGTCTTCACATATAGTAAGTATACTTCTCTGTACTGCAGCACAAAGGTTTTTGAGTTGGGGCAAGCATTCTCCCTGGAAAAGTTATGGCATGTGACACATTGAGACTCACTTTTTCTTCAAAGGGCTGAGCAAGGGAAATGTTACAGGAAGAGGGCATGTCTCCATGGGATTTGATGGGAAGAAAGACATCCATCCAATCACCTTATATGAAGGACTGATGACCTTGACCTACTGTGATGACCCATCTGAATGTATGCCAGGTACATATGACAATGATACTCCTTAAAATATAACAGGATCTCCCACAAGTGACACAAAACTTCCAGATCATGGCTGGTTCTTCTATTTTGTTTTCTATAATGTTTATTTTTTCTGATCATAAAGTAACATTGTCAATTACAGTATACATGGAAAACACACAAAAAAAGAAGAAAACAAAAATTACCTTCAACTGTATCAGAGGTAACCATTTTTAGTAAGTGTCTGTATTTTATCACTGTTTCTACCCATTATAAATTAATGTATTTGCCATTTTATCCTTTTTTTCTCCTTAGAATTATATATTGAGCATTATCCCATGACATTAAATATTTTAATAACATAATTTTATACTGGCTGAGTATTCCATAATTTAACCAATTCTGCATCCATGGACATTCGGTTTGTCTCTAGTGTTTTTTTTTTTTTTTTTTTAGTACAAGTAACAAAACAAAAAATTCTTCCTACTTAAATCTGGTGTGCCCCTGAATTTGTCAGACCTAGACAGGATGGTATACACAAAAGGGGTTTCATGAAAAGAGTATTTACTAAGGAATTGGAGGGTTAAAGGAAACCAGCAGAGAGAGAGCACAAGGGCTGGATGGATGTGTCCATTGAGTTCAGCCTTTCAAGTACAGAGCAGGGAGGACTGGAGATTCAGATGGAGAATATCCAGCTCAACACCTTTGCTGGTCCCCTTTCTAAGTTAGAGACATAAAGACTGTGAAGATTTAGAACATACACTGTGTAGCCAATATCACTGAAATTTCACCGTCTGAGTTCCAGATAGGTGCAAAGCAGCCCAGCTTGCCTAAGTCTGTGCCAAATTCAGAACTGGGTCATCCCCTCCTCCAAGTCTTATTCTGCCGCAGCCACTGAGGAGCCTTCTACTACTTGGTCCCTGAGCCAGTGCCGACCTGGGCAGCCAGACTATTAGTATACTCACAAAGTTCTGGAATTAGGCTTGCTGCCTAGGCCAGTTATACAATGCATCTACAAGGCAATCCCTATCACAATCATTACACAATTATTCAACCTAGATGACTGAGCTTCTTCCCTGGTTCCCAGTTTTTGGTCTTTATTCATTGTTACAGAGAGAAGCCCTGCTCTGAACACCAGCTAGTGGTGTGAGCCTTGACACCCTGCCCAATTTGGACCAGCATCATCTTCCCAGAGGCTGGTCCCTGCTTCCTTCCCAAACACTTAGCAAGAGACCTGCCCTAAAGCCAACAGACCACCTATAACTATAGCTGTGCTCATTCCTGAATAGAATCACTACTTGCTAAAAGTACTTGCTATCTCTTGCTAAATAGACTTAGCAAAAATAAAATTAGATTCCATTAAATTTAAATTTTAAAAATGGTTGCTGTCATGTTCTGCCACCAGGTTGAATACCCTGGGCTGTCAAGTCTGGCCCAGATGGAAGCAAGTCTAAAACATTTTTAAGGCACCATGTTTTGGGTCAGCCCTACAGTCTGGTTATGATTCTAACCATAATACAGCCTGAATTGTCTCTCCACTGAGTTTCCATTATGGCTTGTAGTCGATTGTGCAATAACTGGTTAAGCCCTAAGCTTTACTAACTGTGAGAAAAGGCAATAAAATTCCAGGTAGGTTGGCTGCTGCCTTTTGGTAATGACATCACCTTTTTCCTATGGTCTCTGACCCTCAAGTCCAACACTGGGTTTCGATGTTCTGCTTAGGACCAGGCAAACAATTCAGAAAATTATCTTCTCTAATGTAGAGAAATATTTCATTTTTCTTGTCTGATCTATAGAAATGAACTCTTTTGTTGCATCCTTGGCCATGAAATATGCCTCCTGTATTATTGTGGGAAGTTCGTCTTGCTGGGGTCTCCAGCCTGAGTGCCTTTGAAGTCAGCAACATCAGAATTTAATTCCAACCAGGTCCTCTAGGTCCTTTGCATGCTTTGGTGCTTTATAAATTGTATTAAAGGTTAATTTGAGTTCTTGCAGTCCAAGAGACAGTGTTCTGTGTGCCTCTATTTCTTTGTCTCTTTATTTCCAACAGTACAAGCTCGAGTCCTGTCTTTGTTTTGTCAGGTGGGTCCCATTAAAATCTTGTATTAAACTTTGCCTCTTTTGAAGTTCCAGATCTCATCCATCTGTTCTGTTTTTTTTAATGACTTCATTTAGAATTTTTTTCAAAGTTAATGGAAATGTTTGAGGAATGGAGAGTCTGGTTAATTGATCTTTCAGTTAACTGAGGGTTATTGCTAACCAATATTTTCAGATTTTTGCATTTCATCTTATTTCAAATGGCCCTTCAATTTGTTTCATCTGCTAATCTCCCAGTCTGCAGATTT
Organism: Homo sapiens; assembly: GCF_000001405.40. Classification (NCBI taxonomy): domain Eukaryota; kingdom Metazoa; phylum Chordata; class Mammalia; order Primates; family Hominidae; genus Homo; species Homo sapiens. The sequence continues at coordinate 108,613,458 of NC_000009.12, forward strand.
TCCCCTTTCTTAAATCTTATTTTTAATCCCTTATCCTGCTCCTACACTTGGGACTGGATGCTCAGAAAGTAGGCTCCAGGTGGACTGATTGAGGAAGGTAAGCTATACCAGAAATGCAGAGGAGGAAAAACCCTAGAGAGAAAATATATGCCCAAATTCATAAAGTGAACCTGATCATCATGGGCCATATATAAGCATCGAATCTAAACATACAAGAGTAGGATCATTTTTTCAAAAATAGCAAGAGTTTAAGGCTAAAGAACACTGGATCATAGAGAAAGTAGGCTGGAAATGAGCAAAGAAGATTCCAGACTATCACTCACAACAATGATGGGTGTTTGACCATCCTTAGCAGATATTTCTCAAAACTTTTCTGTCAAAAAATAAATAAATAAATAAAACAAAACAAAACTTCACACTCTTTCTGGATGTACTGAGAAATATTCCGTTTCTCACAAATTTTAAGCACTACATTTTACCATGGAATATACTTTATTCTTTAAAAGAAAAAGGTCAGTATCATCATTTCTGTTTAAATACAAATGTTCAACTATCCATAAAAGAAGTATCTCCGGTTTGTGTGTCACATGCATGTATTTATGCACCTGAAGGCAACTTAGGGCCTAGATCTTTTGTTTTTTCTTATTTTCTTAAGTAATCTCATTATTTAGTCTTCAAGTCTTATATATTAAAGGAAATGATGACTAATAACAAGATGGTTTGCCCTTTGGCTTCCTTTACACGCTTGAACATCACATTTCATTGACCAAGATGAAGATGGCAGGACCCAAAGTTCCCACACAGGTGAGGCAGGTGAAGTAGAACTAGTTCCAGCAATGCTGCATCTGGGAGTTGGGTGGAAAGTGCCATCATGCCCAATTCAAGAAAATAATTTACCTAACACAATGAGACCTCTAGATCATACTAAACATGAACAAAAGTGTATTCCACCCTAGATTTGGGGTGACATAATACAAAAATAACAATCCCAAGATCATATTGTCTAGGAGATGCTTAAAATATTATGGAAGAAATGCCAAGGTATGGTAAAAATGGGGGAATTCATATTTAGTTCCAACGCCAGCAAGAGTAATTTCCAACCAAAGACATTTTGAGCCTCCATGGGATCATAACACAGAGATAATCCAGCCACCGAAGAAAAAAATAATTGACAGCAAGAAGACACAAGCAAACATCATGAGAACATGCAAGGCTAACAAGATAAAATGATTAAGAATCTAAATTATCCAGACCAAAATAGGCGACGCGAACCAACTTGGGACATAAAGGAGGAAAACCCAGAAGAAGCCAGAGTGATCTTCTAAGGAACTTCAAAGCAGAATTAAATGCGTTTTGGAACCTCTAGGTTCTTTGAAATATATTGGTTGTACTGTATATTTAGGAATTGTCCTTATATTGAGCTAAGGGTTATCATCAACAAATCTTTTAGTCATCTTCACAAAGCACCCCTCTGAATATCACTATATATAGATACTTGAATGGACACAGATATTGAATCTGGTTATGATCAAGATTCTGCTGCTCAGAAAACAAAACTACCTAAGGAACACTCATAGAACATTGTATTAACAAGATGCTTCTTTATATATTAGCCTAATAGATTGTTTCAAGAGAGAAAATCAAATGGGAATAAATATCCCATGTTTCAGATGCTATGGGCAGTTTGAAGACCACATTCTCTCTTCTATTCTTCCTAGATTCCTGGGAAATACAAGCAGGTGATCCTGATCTTAGTAAAGTAGTTGTAACCTGTGTGTACTTGTCCACAAACATGCACATAAGTGTGGTCACATCTCTATGCTCCCCACTGACTGCTTGAGATCCATGTGCACTGTCCAGTACTAGTCCCAGCACCCAACGACCACAGAGCCCCCAACCACCACATCCCCTTTTTACCCCAGAGATCAGCCCCAAGGGATTGGGCAATCTTTTCATTGAGACACTCAAAAACAGGATCAGATTATATCTCCTTTTGTAGACACCCTTGTGAGAAAGGCTACTTCTGAACAATATTTTCCTAGTAATTGTAACAACAACTCTTCAAGAGTGATTACTTGCAATGACTTGGTAGAGCAAAAAATACAAACCTAATCTCCCGAAAAACCTACTCTACAAAGAATTATGATTATGTCACTCAGCTTAAAAATCTTCAATGTCACCTCACTGTCTACAGAATATGGTTCAAGATCTTCAGCTTAGCCACAGATCTTTTTATAGCCCTAGCTTATCTTTCCAGTGATAAAGTCTGCCACTTTAGTCATGAGAAATCACCACTTCAGTCATGCCAAACTTCTCATAGATCCTCAGAAAAGAAGAAGCTTCCTCATACCTTTATGTTTTTCTACTTTGTGTTCCTTCTTAATAAAATGCTCCACCACCATCACTGCCATCTCTTGCCTCTTTTCCGCCTGACAAATATCTACTCATCCTTTCAGGCTGAGCTAAACATCGGCTCAGGAAGCCTTTCCTAATCACTGGAGGCAGGGACAGTGGCTACCGGACATCCAACTGTTATACACCTTGGCACTGGATTTGCTCCACTTGTTGTAAGCACCACAAGGTTTTTAGTATTGTGTAACAAGACCTTAACAGAGTATCGGATACACTGACTATGTTATATTAGTACCCGGAGAAGTGGAAAGATTCTAAAAATCATAACATAAAAAAAGAAGTGAAGGAAGTGGGCTTGAAGAAGACTCAAGGAAGACATAGTAGCTCTTAGTCATATTAAAAATAACCGGCTGGGCGCGGTGGCTCACGCCTGTAATCCCAGCACTTTGGGAGGCCGAGGCGGGTGGATCATGAGGTCAGGAGATCGAGACCATCCTGGCTAACAAGGTGAAACCCCGTCTCTACTAAAAATACAAAAAATTAGCCGGGCGCGGTGGCGGGCGCCTGTAGTCCCAGCTACTCGGGAGGCTGAGGCAGGAGAATGGCGTGAACCCGGGAAGCGGAGCTTGCAGTGAGCCGAGATTGCGCCACTGCAGTCCGCAGTCCGGCCTGGGCGACAGAGCGAGACTCCGTCTCAAAAAAAAAAAAATAAAAAAAATAACCTTAGCTAATTACTATTTGGGTGTCTGGTATGTGTTAGGCGTGGTGCTAACTACTTTAAAACATCATTATTTAATTCCTCATGAGACCCCTGTGAAAGAGATGTTTATCGTCCTCATACCCACCTCAGAGAAGTAAAGGAAACTACCCAAGATCACAAAGCTTATCAGTGGCAAAGCCAGTGTTCAATGCCAGTCTTCCTGCTTTGAAAGTCTAGTTCCTTCACACTGTAGCATCCTAAACCACAGAAAAAAAGCAGCCTTAGCATCACTGGCCTCAGCCTGCTTGTCCTGCCTTGTAATTAGCCAGCTCTGTGATCCTAGGCTAGTCATTGTCCTCTTCATCTGCATCTCTTGACCCTTCCTTTCTTAAAATCCTCTCAGCCTATATCCTACCCATCACAAGTGTTACTTCTTCTTCCTCCTGCGTACGTTTCAAATTCGACCATTCCTCTCCATTTCTATCATCAAAACCCTAACAAGCCACCTTCTTCTCTCACTTAAACTTGTGCAGTTAATTCTTAACTCACCCCTGGTGTCCTTATACCCACTCTAACTGGCCTCCCACCCAAGATTTGCACTACAGCCAGATTGAAATTTTAAAACACAAGCTTATCATTGCTTCCTATTTATTCTCAGGATAAAGATCGAATCCTTAAGACAGCACACAAGGCCTTTGCCCCACTCCAGTTTCATTCTACCTCTCTCCTCACGGTTCCCTGATCTTCAGCCTTTCAGTTTCCAAATTCCCTCTCTCCTTATACCCTCTGCACATGTTCTTCCTCAGCCTGAAAGGTTCTTGCCTTCTGCTGTGGTTTGGTTGTTTGTCCCCTCCAAATCTCATGTTGATCCCCAATGTTGGGGGTGTGGCATAATGGGAGGTGTTTGGGTCACAGGGCCAGATCTCATAAATAATGTTCTCCCTGTGGATGGGGCAGGGTGGTGAATGAGTTATCACTACAATAGTCCCCAGGAGAACTGGTTGTTAAAAGGAGCGTGGCATCTCCCCCCTCTCTCTTGCTTTCTCTCTCTCCATGTGATCTGTACACACACCAGCTCCCCTTTGCCTTCCACCATGAGGGGAAGCAGCCTGAGGCCCTCATCAGATGCCTAGTCTTGACCCTTCCAGCCAGCAGAACCATGAGCTAAATAAACCACCTTTCTTTATAAATTACCCAGCCTCAGGTATTCCTTTATAGCAATACCAAATGGACTAAGACAACTCCCTTTGTCAACTCTTCAGCAATTCTTTACCCTTTCAGCCATCTCAGGCATGGCTTCCTTGAGGACACCTTCCCTAAGCCCCAGATCAGATAGGCTATATTAGACTTACTCATCATTCCAGTCTTGTTTTTCACCATAGCACTTATCAGTGTGTTGATAATGACATATTTCTGTGATTAGTTAATCAGTATCTGTCTGACTTCCTCCTAGGCTATAACCTCCATGACAGCAGAGTCCATGTCCACTTTTATCCCTCTTTGTCCCCAGCACATGATATGGGGCTTGGCAAAGAGTAAATGCATAATAAATATTTGTTAAATCAATGTTGGAAGACTATACATCCACTTCTTTATCTGAACGATGAGGGGACCTGACCATGTGATCTCTGAGTTTCCTCTAGCCCTTAGCCTTAACAGCCATCTCCTTAATACACTAAATCACATTTTCTGTTATCCCAGAAGACCTAGCCATACCAATAAGCAGATAAACTGTAGTTTAGGAGAAGGCAGTGCTTTGCCTTGCAATGGAAGCAGTCTCTCTAGAGGGTAACAGAACTGATCAAGCAACAGTGACTCAATCCTCTGCCAGGAGTACTGTAATAATAATTCCCATGTCAGGTGAATGACAATAAATGATCTCAACACCCCTCCCAATTCTTCAAGTCTGTGATTCTGTACCTGTGTAAAATAACAAAATCCAACTATAAATTCCAACCAGGTCATTAAATACTAAGACAATTTGTGCTCAAATGCATAAAATGCATATATACTGAGATTTTAATCCTAAAGGACATTGACACATTACATTTAATATATATTGAGCTACCTTGGGCACTTAGTAAAAATACAGATTCCTAGGCTCCAAATCTGGTAATTCTGATCAGTAATTCTGGTTACTTTTAACAAGAGATTTCAGGTGATTCCAATGAATTTAGAAAACTTTATTTATTTATTTATTTATTTATTTGAGATGGAGTCTTGCTCTGTCACCCAGGCTGGAGTGCAATGGCACGATCTAGGCTCACTGCAACCTCCGCCTCCCGAGTTCAAGCGATTCTCCTGCCTCAGCCTTCCAAGTAGCTGGGACTACAGGCACGCACTACCATGCCCTGGCTAGTTTTTTGTATTTTTAGTAGAGATGGGGTTTCACCATGTTAGCCCGGATGTTCTCGATCTCCCGACCTCGTGATCTGCCTGCCTCAGCCTCTCAAAGTGCTGGGATTACAGGTGTGAGCCACCACGCCCGGCCAGAAAGCTTTTGTATGAAGCAAAGAGCCTTGGACTTGGAGTTAGAAGACCTGAGTTCCAACTGGAGTCAATGAGTAAGTCACCACAGGATGCCAACAAGTCATGTGACTTTTCTAAGCCTCATAACTCTGGCATTATCTCAGAAAAGAGAAACACTACTTTTAAATGGCCTGATGTAGGGTTACATGGAAGCTGATGCTTAATGGTAGCATATGCTGCATTGATCCTAACCTCACTACCTCTGCAAAGGATTCTAAAGGTCTTGTCTCAAAAACCTACAATGAATCTATTTAATGTTTGGCCTCCTTCAGGGAATGGAGGCATATTTCGCTTCCCTCAAAAATGATGAGAATTTTGGCAATGATAAACTCAGCCACCTCAGTGACCAACTGTCAAAACAAGGTTTTGGGATTTCAAAAGCTTCTCCGCACAAATGAGCCTCTTAGAACAGTTGTGGGATTATGAATGATATCCATCTAAGGTAAAAACCTGCCCCTATTTTCCCCTCCTTTCACTCTTATTCTGTTCAAGATTCTACCACTTTTGGAAAATGCATTTAAGAAGCATTACTATTATTGTTTTCTGCTTCCATCCTGGAAATTTATAGATGCGATATATTTTGGGTGTTAGAAGGGAATTGGAAGTTAGCATTTTTCTTGAAAAGCCTAGACACTAGGAATGCAAACTCACAGTCTGGCCTAGTGTTCATTCATTCTCTAGAGCTTTCACTAACCTCCAGACACTTTGCTAGTTCTGCAGATGGAGAAGTAAATTCCACATGGTCCTTGCCTTCAAGAGGTTTATACTCTAGCATGGCTTCATTCACTGGAACTCTGTGGAATAACAGAAATATCTTGTGTCTGCTTTTTCCAACATGATAGTCACCGGCCATGGCTGGCTATTGAACATTGGGAATGTGGCTGAGAAACTGAATCTTTAATGTTAGTTAATATTTATATATTTATTTATTTACTATATTTTTTTAGATGGAGTTCCGCTCTTAATGCCCAGGCTGGAGTGCAGTGGTGCAATCTCGGCTCACCACAACCTCCGCCTCCTGGGTTCAAGTAATTCTCCTGCCTCAGCCTCCCTAGTAGCTGGGATTACAGGCATACACCACCACACCTGGCTAATTTTGTATTTTTAGTAGAGACAGGTTTCTCCATGTTGGTCAACCTGGTGATCTGCCCACCTCAGCCTCCCAAAGTGTTGGGATTACAGGCGTGAGCCACCAATAGCTACATATGGCTGATGGCTACCATGCAGCACAGTTCTACAATAAAAGGAAGAAGGAAAAGGAGGAGGAGGGGAAGGAAATGGAGAAGGAGGAAAGGAGGAGAAGGAGGAGGAGATAAGAAGGAAAGAGGATAGGGGGAGGAGGAGAAGAGGAGGAAGAGAAAGAGAAGCAGAAAGAGGAAAGAGAGGAAGAAGAAGAAGAGAAAGAATAGAGTATGGTGAGTATGATAGTAAGTGCATACACAATGAGCCATCAATTATCAATCGTGTGATTACTAACTTTTCATTGAAATGTTTGAGGGGCAGGGTGGAGGTGTTTAGAAAAAAACTTCAGAGTGAAGACTTTATTTGAAGGGTGAGAGGAGCTCACCAGTTGAAGAATGGGGAGGAGATTTTTGGGGAGGAGCCACAAGTTGTACAACCCCACAGCACCTGAAAAGTACACAGTAGGTTTTTAGCCTGGTGGTTTGGCTTGATTGAAGCACCAGATGCTTGGGAAGGAGGCAGAAAGAGGAGAGAGGCTTAATAAAGGAACAGGAGTGAGGCTGGGGCCAAATCATAAAGGGCCCAATGTATAGCTCTGAGGGATTTGGACTTTTGTCCATAGGCAAAACATTTCTCTCGGGTACATTCTAAGAGTTTTAAGTGGTGGTTGATATGCCTGTCGCTTGTTTGTTTTCCCAGGGATGGGAATGAAAGCTGGTGTTTCCATTGTCTTAAACTAACTTCCTGCTTCAGCTCCATGCATGTATTGCTCATTGCAAAACATTCCTGGTTTCTATTTTCACACAGCCTCAGAAAAACATCATATGAAAGTTAAGTTTAATTCAGTTGAAGTCTCCCTTTACTCAGTCCAAACAGCTACTTCAACCCAGTCATCCAGGTTAGGAGTGACCTTATTTTTCTGGTAGACACCAACACCAACTTGCCAGGAGGTACCAAAAAGGCTCCATCTGCTCAAAAATAAAGTACTGTTCCAGATCTTTGTGTAGAACTGAAGCAAATTTCTACATGGTTCAGTCAAAAACTGCGCTACTCTGGAATGACCTGGGAAAAGGATGGAGAGGAACAGTCAATGTTCCGTGATGCACGGAAGTGCTGCTGTCTCTTGGAAGGCACTTGATAATCACTGTTAAAGTCCCTTCCTTGTGGGCCAGCACTGTCACAATGACCACAAAAATCACCCTTCACTGAGCGTCTGTTCTAAGCCAAGACAGTGTGCTTAGCACTTTGCCTGTGCTATTCCATTTCATCCTTGCAACACTCTGTAAGGTAGGTATTTTATCCCTAGTTCACATGTAGATAAAGTGAGCTCAGAGATGCTGTATAGCATGTTGCTTCCCAGAGTCAATAGCTAGTAACTGACGGTGCCAAGCTCAAACCTAGAGGAAGCCACCTGAGAGTTACGCTACTGAGAGAGCACTGCCAAGGGACACTGGTGCAGCAATCAAGTCAGAAGGCCTTCCCATTTCCTCTGTCCCTGCCTGATGATGCCAACAAATCCCATGACACTTCAGTCTCTGTTACTTCACCTATAACATGGAGGTAGTTAGACCTTCGCTACAATCTCTGAAATGTACAGAAAAAGCTTTGAAATTTTACCTTAAGCAGGAGCTTATTCAGTTATCAAATGAACACGTATTGAGCACCTACAATTTTATAGAGCCCTCAGCTAGGAGCTAAGGATACAAAAGAAATCTTAAGATCTCAAGAAACATGCCATTTAGCAATTAAAAGTCAAAATGTTTACAACATGCCCCTCACCCAGACAGAAATAATTTCCATTTACAAGGAATTCTGTAAGGGAGAGAGGGAGTAACTCATCTGGGTTTCCCACCCCAGCATTACAATCTTTAGGGTTTTACGCAGAGGAGCATATCAAGTACAAAAACCTGTCTTGAGAACTCTCCACTTAACTTCCTTGTTAAGTTAACCACACTCTTCACTCCTGTAAAACATATGGAAGAGGACACCCAAAGCAAACAGAAGGAGTGGCCAGCAGAACCACCAGCAGCTAGCAGTCAGTCTGTTACCAGCTTATAAGATTCATCTGCAATGGTACCCAAATATGTTCATGCCCATTGTACTTATGCTACAATGACATGATTTAAATATTATGGAATCCAGTGAAATGAATGCAAAAACCGTTGCTGCTACAAAATTAATTTGAATACTTAGAAAAAACTCAGTAAGGATGAATCACAATGTAGATGCTTTGGAAATAGGTATGAGATGACTGTAAATAATTGAAAGTCTGAAAAAATATGAAAGTCTACTAAGATACTGTGCCCAAGTTTCTTCATAGATGTTTTGAAGTTCTTATTCCACTTTAAAGAAAGCAGAACTTGGAACTGTAGATTGCACATCATGGCTGCGGTTTATGAAAGAAGAATGACTACAGTCAGTGAATCATACCCAAAGAAAAGCTTTGGCCTAACATCAAAAGATTGGCAAAGTCATAGATAAGTATGTGCTCTACATTAAGATAAATGTTGATGGTATGTGTGTATCCCTTTTTCCCCACTTTAACCAACTTTCCAACAATCCAACCAACTATTGGTCCCAATCTGACCTGATAAGAGGGCTTCCTTCCACTGCATTATAAGAGCAGAGTTATTCTGTATTTTTTTACATTATAATTTTAGGGAGATGGTAAGATACTTGTTGAGCATGGCCAAGCCCACGCTCTGGAATGAGCTACATTTGGTTACTCTTTGATGGGACAAGCCAAGCACTCCCACTAAGGGAGCCTTCACCCACACTGGCTGCAGGGACAGTCTCTATGCACAGCAGGTCCAGATGCTCTTTAGTGTCTTAATCTGACTGTGCCTCTCATGTGATTCAATCTGAGTTGGGATGTGTGCTTTTTATTGTTAGGACTTTCATTTCTAGGTCTCCTCTTGGCTTATACTTTTGAGCAAATGATTGATTCTTCATCAATTGATTTCTATGGAGATGTCACTTCCCTCCAACTTGATGTGAAGAATCCTGGCAGCAAGTCTTGCTCTAGTGATCCCTAATGAGCAATGACCTGTTTCTAACTGGCAAATATTAAACTATTTCATAGCTTTTCATGTCCATGTACAATGAAAGACTAGTTACTGGTTACCTACTGAGCAATGAAAGATTGCTAAATTTGGTATTAATATTTTTTAAAATAGCACATTGTTAAAATGTACTGAATTCATCAATTCAGTGGTTACCCAAAAAATCTGGCTATTTCTACAAGACACAAAGCTCTTACTATGTGTATATAATCGCAGATGATTGGCATTCTAGCAAATTTTAGGGAAAAAAATGCATTGCTCGCAGAGCTTCGTCATTGGGATCTTAGGTTGACTATGGTCTTAGTTGCCTATGCTCTTGTTTTAATTAACAGACCCATAGAAGTACTGTTAGGCTCTATTTCTGCTGATTGATTCTTGAGAAACCGACTACATTGTTGCCATTAGGACTATTATCAAAAGGTTTTTACTGTTGGTATCCAACACTTTTGAGAACCACTGCTCTGCTTGTTAATCAGAATGGTTGGGTGAAGCAACAGCTCTGTCTTACTGTCCTGAGAATGTTACATTATTCACAAACCCTTTATCAGCTTTCGTCTCTCTGCCCTGATCAGTGTGCTCTCTGCTTCAGATGGTATGTTGGAACTAAATCCCCTTTGGGCTGAAATAGTCACTTCCTACTCAGAATCTACATTGAAACAAATTCCCATTTACATCTTTGTGATATTTCCTGGGTCTCACCACTAAAATCTTCCCAGGGGCTATTGCACTTAATCACATCATGCCCAATATGGCATGATCCATGCATGCATCAACAAAAATTGCACTGCCTTGCAAAATATTCGAATTAGGATTAATTTTTCCTTCTTTCTGGAGACGGATATTCTTATTTAGACAAAAACTCAAAAACACTTTCCATGCCTCTGGGCTCCCTCCATCCAGTCCATGTCCACTCAACTACCAGATGTGATCATTTCACATTACTACTATGAATTAAAAAGTAGAAAAGGAGATAACTAATGAATCGAGTAACCTTTCTTCTATGTCTACCCATTGCAAATAGATTAAAATTTAAACATCTTTAGTCCAGTATGCATGCCCTCCATAGTGGTTAACCCAACCAAGTTTTCTATTTTCTCCCCACCCTCTTTCTTATAACCTTCATCTCAATAAAGTTGAACTGTTCCTGGCACCCGATTCTAAGATGTCTTGCCTCACTTACGGTGATCTACCTGCCTGACAGCCTTTTCCCAGGCTCTGTGTGAGTTCACATCCTACCACATCTTCCAAGTGCAAAAGCTACTTTCTATTTAAAAAAAAAAAAAAAAAAAAAAAAAACAGAACTTTCCCAACTTACCCTAAGGAGGAAGTGGTCTCCCCATCCCGGAACCCCACTTAGGCATTCCCTGACTACTCCCTTAAACTCTGCATTTTCAACCTTGCATCTTGTTCATTGCATTTGTCTTCTGGACTGTAAGCTTCTTGGTGGCTGGTCTGTGTGGTTTTCATCTTCCTATTTTCCTGCTCTTGTACCCTTCACTGGGCCTTGCAAGAAGTAGTTAATAAATGAAAAAATGAACGTATATGTGAATGAATAAATGAATGGATCTGACATACACATAACCACATGGTTCTCTCCTCCTATAGCTTCATTTCTGGACCCTTCTCCTAGATGAACTGGCCTTGCTAAGAGTACCCCAGTCAGGGCTTACCAGGTTAGCAGGGAGTCTTTTGCTTGCTTTTGAGGCAGAAAAGTGCAGCCTTTGTTGCAGGGCAGAAATATAACATCACAAAAAAAAAGCACCAAGGAAATTCCTTCCACTTCCACCTGCGGATTAAGAAAGACTTAGGATCCGATCTGGTGAAAAAGAAAAGATGTAGGATTTTAAATTGGCCTCAGGCCCTCACACTTACAAAAAGTGAGCATATAATTTGTATTCCAAACTTTTGAGAGTGAAATTAGAGTTTATTAATGATTACTCTGGGACAATAGGTGTGACCTAGGACTGTCATGGGCTAAAAGGATGATATGTGATCTGAAATGAGCTATACTTGGTTACTCTGTCTATGATAGGACAAGCCCAGCCCATGGATATGTTTTATCATCTGTAACATGGGGATAGTGATAACTAACCCCAGAGATTTTCCATAGGATGAAATATGACCATGAAAGTGAAGCATCCAGTGCTTGCAAACAAATGGTATTTAATAACTGATAGCTCCCTCCCTTTACTAAGATAAGGTTCTTAGTAAAGCACCTTATCTTACATATCACTTCTTATATTCATTGGCCTAGGTAATCCTTTCAATGAATCTTCAAAGTAACCAAAGTACCCTGGGGCTGGGGCCAGGCACAGTGGTTCACGCCTGCAATTTCAGCACTTTGGGAAGCCAAGGTTGGTGGATCACTTAAGGCCAGGAGTTCGAGACCAGCCTGGCCAACATGGTAAAACCCTGTCTCTACTAAAAAATAGAAAAAATAGCCAGATGTGGTGGTGCACGACTGGAATCCCAGCTACTCAGGAGGCTGAGGCACGAGAATCACTTGAACCTGGGAGGCAGAGGTTGCAGAGAGCCAAGATTGTGCCACTGCACTCCAGCCTGGGTGACAGAGTGAGACTCTAGCTAAAAAAAAAAAAAAAAAAAAAAGGTAACCAATGGGGAAATTATCATCTCCTTTTACTAAGAAGCACACTAACACCCAGAGAGGTTCAATAAGGCTCCACAGATAAAATCTGATGGAGCTAGGACTTAAACCCAGGCACATCTGTCTCCAAACTGAACCACTTTCTAATGCAACACCCAGGCTTTATGAGCTTCTACAGAAGGGACTTTAAGTCTGGCTGGACATCTTAAATCATGTGCTTAAATCATGGCACAGCAGAGCAGAGAGCTCAGATGAGGGAAACTGGGAGTACACATGGCAGTACACACTCTTCTCAGTACCAGAGAAGGCAAAGATTCTAGCCTAGACACGCCAGCTCCATCAGCCTCACTTTTCCCAGGAGGAGAGTTTCTTGGATCTATCATGGTCTCACACTCCACCTCAGAGTGGTGGGTACATTTCAGCAGAGGATGGGAAGACAAGCAGAATTCACCATAGTAATTTAGATTAATTAGGAGCCCAAGATCAATCAGGGAGTGGTAATGATCTGGGGGCAGTTTTCTGGTAGGTTTAACAAGCATGTACAAACACCAGTTATGTGTACATATCCATAAGCAGCCTGGCTGAACGTCAACAGCCTGCTTCTGTTACCAAATGAGACAAAACAATTAGCAAAGGCAGGCACTATTCCTTCTGTTCATGCTTCAGTTCCGAATATCAGTGGTCATTTGTCTGGTTCACACATTATTCATTTACCTTTGTTTTTATGTGAAAGTATTAGTTGATCTGGACTTCCCTATGAGCAATGCAAAGCTGACTAAAGTTCAAACCATGTTATCAATGAACATTTCCTACTTCACAGAGAATATGAAACACTTTGAACATTAGTGCCTCCTCCTCTGAACTTAAATATAACAGCGGTAGATATCCCAGAGTTCAGCGCGGCACCAGCCCTTCCGCCACGGCCGCCTCTGGAGAGCAGCAACCATGGCTCTAGGCTACCCTATGGCCATGGGCCTCTTCAAGGGCCACAAGGTGACCAAGAACGTGAGCAAACCCAGGCACAGCAGCCGCCGCAGGCGTCTGACCAAACACACCAAGTTCGTGTGGGACATGATTCGGGAGGTGTGTGGCTTTGCCCCGTACAAGCGGCGTGCCATGGAGCTACTGAAGGTCTCCAAGGACAAACAGGCCCTCAAATTTATCAAGAAAAGGGTGGGGATGCACATCCGCGCCAAGAGGAAGCAGGAGGAGCTGAGCAACGTACTGGCCGCCATGAGGAAAGCTGCTGCCAAGAAAGACTGAGCCCCCTTCCCCTGCCCTCTCCCTGAAATAAAGAATAGCTTGACAGAAAGAAAAAAAAATTATATATATATAAAACAGCACCCATTCCTTTTGATCTCCTTCCCTCACATGTCCTTCCTCACTTCCAGAGCTAGCTTGTCACCCTATGGACCTGATCCTTTCCCATCTGTCTTTTTCCAGGACTGTGTTCCATCAGCCATGCCCTCTCATTCCTGTCATCAATTACTTCCACTCTGGCTTCTTCTCCTCAGCCTGCAAACAAGCTCAAGTATTGGAAATCCTTTAAAAAAAAAAAAGAAAATAAATAAAAACCTTATGTTCCCCTTCCAGTTTTTCCCTTGCAAAATGTATCGAAATTACATTGAAACGTATTGAAAAAGTAATCTGCACCTGTTGTCTTGACTGCCTCAATTCCCTTTAGCCCTCAGCCCATCACAATACAAATCCCCTAAGCCTCCATTTAAACATCACACTGGGGTCACCAGTAGCTGATAATGAAAACTAATACCTTACTAGTGATCATGAGTAAACTTGTCAAACAACACACTGGCCTACTTCTTTCCCTCCTTCCCCCAAGCATCAAGCCAAAAACATGGAGGTCATCCTCAGGGCTTTCTTCTCCTCATCCCCCTACTGCCGATCAATTACTAAATCTTCTATGAAAAAAGCCCTAGAAGTAAAATTAAGACCTCAGGTCCTAAGCTTGGCCTTGCTACCAACTTGCTTTATGACTGTAGATTAGCCAATGCCACATCTAAGTCTCAGAACCCTCATCTGGATGGATAATTAAGAGTAGTGGAACTAGACCCTACATTTGGGTATGATCCACCTAAGTCACTTGTGTACCAGGTACCACTTGTCTATTGAGTGGACAAGCATTGTTTACCTTAAATTTTAATCTCATTTTCCTCCAGACATTGTCCCTCTCACTTCTCCCTACAATTCTTTTTCATCATTGATAGCACAGCTGAATCCATTCATCATGCTCTCTACAACCCCACTTCTGAATATTCCCAAGAACTGAGGTTTCCATCTTATAAAAACCTGTTTTCATTAACAGTTCAATTACCAATGTATTACTGAGTCCTTGTTCTGCTGTGGACGAGGAGCAGTTTGTCAAAAGAGAACAAAATGCAAAGGAAGTGAGAGTTGATGACACCCAATAATGAAGAAAGCAAACAACTTTAGAAACTACATTCAATAGAGAACAGGCACCAAGCTGCAGCTGGGCCAAGGTCAAGGTGCTGGCCACTCATCTCCTTACCTAGCTGGAAAGAAGAGAAATGGACAACAAGAAACCAGTTCCATTGAGATAAGCTTCAGTCTGTCATGCCAGACCTTGGACTTGGTGCCAAGTTCTGTGATCCAGGGAATATAAACATGAAAAGATACAATCCTTGTTATCAAAGCCCTTGTAGCCAGAAGGCTGACAATCCATCTTTCCTTCTGGAAGAAGTTAGCAAGAGTTAGTGTGTTGGAACAGAAGAGACAAGGGTTTTGGTCCCAAGCTGACCTAGTTTTGAGTTCTGATAACTCACTTCATTAGTTATGGGACCTGAGGCAAGTTATTTCATCCCTCTGAGCCTCACTTTTGCCACCTGCGAGATTGAGAACTTATAGGATTA
This sequence comes from Homo sapiens, assembly GCF_000001405.40. NCBI lineage: Eukaryota > Metazoa > Chordata > Mammalia > Primates > Hominidae > Homo > Homo sapiens. Next base: position 108,628,776 of record NC_000009.12, read on the forward strand.
TTAAGAGGGCTAGAGTTTAAATTTTTTTTAAAAAAAGTTCTAGCACACTTCTTGTCACACAATAAGAGCTATAAAAAATGATAACAATAATGCCGATAGGAACATGCACTAGGCTCTTGTCACATGCTAGATGTGTGAGATTTTGAGATTAAGTCATGTTGCCTCTCTGATTCACTGTATCTTTAGCTTAAAAATGAGCTAGTAGGATCTAGCTCATAGGATACTATACAAATCAAATTATATAATGCCCATAAAATTATCCCCTAAGATATAAAATACTGAGGCCCTACAATATACTATTATTAGAGACAAAGAGGGTTGGAATAAAATAATTACAATTTCACAGACCCTTGGATCATTTTCTCTTCTAAACAAAGGTTTATGTTCACTTTTAAACAAGCATTTATATGCCACTTGATATGGTTTGGCTCAGTGTCCCCACCAACTCTCACCTTGAACTGTAATAATCCCTATGCATCATGGGAGGGACCCGGTGGGAGGTAATTGAATCATGGGGGTGGGTCTTTCCCATGCTGTTCTCATGACAGTGAATAAGTCTCATGAGAACTGATGGGTTTATGAAAGGAAGTTCCCCTGCACATACTTTCTTACTTGCCACCATGTAAGATGTGCCTTTGATTTTCCTTCGCTTTCTCGCATGATTGTGAGGCCTCCCCAGCCATGTGGAACTGTAAGTCCATTAAACCTCTTTCCTTTATAAATTACCCAGTCTCAGGTATGTCTTTACTAGCAGCATGAGAATGAACTAACACAGTAAACTGGTACCAGTAGAGTAGGGTGCTGCTGTAAACATACCCAGAAATGTAGAAGTGACTTTAGAACTGGGTAACAGGCAGAGGTTGAAACAGTTTGGAGGGCTCAGAAGAAGACAGGAAAATGTGGTAAAGTTTGGAACTTCCCAGAGACTTCTTGAATAGTTTTAACCCAAATGCTGATACTGATATGGACAACGAAGTCCAGGTTGAGGTGGTCTCAGATGGAGAAGAGGGACTTGTTGGGAACTGGAGCAAAGGTTACTCTTGTTATGCTTTAGCAAAGACACTGGAGGCATTTTGCCCCTGCCCTAGAGATCTGTGGAACTTTGAACTTGAGAGAGATGAATTTGGGCATCTGGAGGAAGAAATTTCTAAGCAGCAAAGCATTCAAGAGGTGACTGGGTGCTGTTAAAAACATTCAATTTTATGTACTAACAAAGATTTGGTTTGGAATTGGAACTTATATTTAAAAGAGAAGCAGAGCATAAAATTTAGTTCAGAAAATTTGCAGCCTGACAATGGAATAGAAACGAAAAACCCATTTTCTGTGGAGAAATTGAAGCCTGCTGCAGAAATTTGCATAAGTAACAAGGAGCCAAATATTAATCACCAAAACAATGGGGAAAATGTCTCCAAGGCATGTCAGAGACCTTTGAGGGAGCCTCTCCCATCACTGGAGGTAAAAATGGTGTCATGAGCCAGGCCCAGAGGCCCCCTGGTCTGTGCAGCCTAAGGACTTGGTGCCCTGCATCCCAGCTGTTCCAGCCATGGCTAAAATGGGCCAAGGCACAGCTTGGGCTGTGGCTGCAGAGGATGCAAGCCCCAAGCCTTCCACGTGGTGTTGAGCCTGTAGGTGCACAGAAGTCAATAATTGAGGTTTGGGGACCTCTGCCTAGATTTCAGAGGATGTATAGAAATGCCTAGATGTCTCGGCAGAAGTTTGCTGCAGGGGCAGGGCCCTCATGGAGAACCTCTGCAAAGGCAGTGTGGAAGGAAAATGTGGGGTCAGAGCCCCCACACACAGTCCCCACTGGGGCACTGCCTAGTGGAGTTGTGAGAAGAAGGCCACCATCCTCCAGACCCCGGAATGATAAATTCACCAACAACTTGCATCATGCACCTGGAAAAGCTGCAGACACTCAACACCAGCCTGTGAAAGCAGCCAGGAGGGAGGCTGTACCCTGCAAAGCCACAGGGGTGCAGCTACTCAAGACCATGAGAACCCACCTTTGCATCAGCGTGACCTGGATGTGAGACATGGAATCAAAGGAGATTATTTTGGAGATTTGACTGCCCCACTGGATTTCAGACTTGCATGGGGCCTGTAGCCCCTTTGTTTTGGCCAATTTCTCCAATTTGGAACAGGTGTATTTCACCAATGCCTGTACCCCCATTGTATCTAGAAAGAAACTAACTTGCTTTTGATTTTACAGGCTCATAGGTGGAAGGGACCTGCCTTGTCTCACATGACACTTTGGACTGTGGGCTTTTGAGTTAATACCGAAATTAGTTAGGACTTTGGGGGACTTTTGGGAAGGCATGATTGGTTTTGAAATGTGAGGACATGAGATTTGGGAGGGGCCAGTGACAAAATGATATGGTTTGGCTCTATATGCCCACCCAAATCTCACCTTGAATTGTAATAATCCCCACAGGTCATGGGAGGGACCCAGTGGGAGGTAATTGAATCATAGGGGTGGGTTTTTTCAGTGCTGTTCTCATGATAGTGAATACATCTCATGAGATCTGATGGTTTTATAAAGGGGAGATCCCCTGAACACGCTCTCTTACCTGCCATCATGTAAGACATGGCTTTGCTCTTCCTTCACCTTCCATCATGATTGTGAGGCCTCCCCAGCCATATGGAACTATGAGTCCATTAAACCTCTTTCTTTTATAAATTACCCAGGATCAGGTATGTTTTCATTAGCAGCAAGAGAATAGACTAATACACTACTTAATATGTGCCAGTCACCATCCTAAGTGCTTCATAATAATCATCCTCATCTTCATAACAATTGTTTGAGGATAGGTAGTTTTATTATCCTCATTTTAAGATGGGGAAACAGAAGCTCAAAGAAGCTAATCATTCACCCAAAGTCACACAGATGGCAGGCAATCTTACACACCATGTTTCACTGACCACAGAAATGTCACTAAAAATTAAACGATGCCTACAGTGACATGTTTAAATTGGGAGACTCTAAACAAACTTATCTTAAGAGCCAGCTAGCTAAATGGCTCTGCTCTAGGCCTCAGTTCCCTTCCCTATAAAATTAGAGAGAAATTGTGATATAGTGGTCTTTGAAGATGAAATCACACAAACCAGTATTTCCATCAGAGCTTCATTATTTTAATGAGGCAGTTTCCAATACACTGCCCTGTTGTCACTACTCATTCTTATAAACTATTTGGTGAAGATAGAGGGCACTTTGACAAGTACAATGATGACTGGCAGAAAAATACCATAGGCACAGGCAGAGGACATAAGTTCCTCTAATGTAGATAAAGGGTGGAATGATTTAGCTGTATGAAAGCAGCTGAGTGACGCAGTGGGCACAGCTTCATCATCCCCATTAAGGGAAGGAAGAGCTGCCCAGCCTTCAATCCCCATAAAGCCACCTGCTGCTGACAATATTACTCAACTAAGACACCCTTCAAGAAGTCCTCATGTCTGTACCGGGGTCCAGACCTATTTTGTCCCCCTCTACTGTTCTAAGGATTCTGTTCCCATATCTTCCTACCCACCAAGTGCACAGAATTATCACAACCATGTCACAACCAGCCTACATTGTCTATGCTTGAGGAAGGGAAATGTCCACTTCCAGGTGCATTGGTCTTACCTGAATTCTCTTCATAAGGTAGGCAGGGAATGAGTTCTATCTTCCAGCTAAGGAAACTAGCATCTTCAAAATCGAGTAACCAGGAAGATGGACCAGCAACATATGGTGGGAAAGCACAGTCCACGTCTCCCAACAGGTCAGAGTCAGATCCTGCCTGCTCATTGAGTGACCGTAAGAGCTTAGAAAGATAACTGGTGAACGTTATTTCCATGAACTTGGGTCCTTACTTGCAAAATGTGAAGAATATCACCCTTTATTCACTGGGACTCTGTGAAGATTGAGATAATGTATATAAAACCTCTAGCATTGTGTCCAGGACATAGTAAGCCTCCACAAAAATATTATTTCCCTCTTCATTTCTTTTCCCAAATCATGTTATTTGGGGAACAGTTGAAGGAGTATTTGGGCTTTTAGTTTGGAAAAAATGAAGTCTCAGAAAACAGCAGAAAGATGGTGAGCAGAGGAGAAGATAGTCTCAAGAATTGTTCTAGGTAGTCCTCAAAGACAAGAATAAAATTGGATGCACATAAGTTCTGAGTTAGGGGATGAGAAGGATGGAGGTGACGTAAAATTTAGTTCACCATAACAGAGAACATTCTAGTATTTGGCTGCTGTGAAAGTTTTCTGAGGAAACCAATTTTCATCTACAAGTTATGATCTTATGAATGATTCTGTTCATTGGAATTGACAAAAAGCTTGATCATTTCAGCCACGGTGGCTCACACCTGTAATCCCAGCACTTTTGGAGGCCAAGGCAGGCAGATTACCTGAGGTCAGAAGTTTGGGATCAGCCTGGCCAACTCAGCAAAACCCTGTCTCTACTAAAAACACAAAAGTTAGCCAGGTATGGTGGCAGGTGCCTATAGTCCCAGCTACTTGAGAGGCTGAAGCAGGAAGGCAGAGGTTGCAGTGAGCCAAGATTGCACCACTACCTGATAGAATGAGACTCAGTCTCAAAACAACAACAAAAACCAACTTGATCATTTCAAAAGGGCAACTTAAAACTCTTCTGCAAGCGTAACAGACACTAAGAATCTACCCAGAGTTACAGTATAAGCCTGCAGATAATCTCTGTTCCAAATCCCCCCACATAGGATTAATTTTTTTTTTGAGACGGATTCTTACTCTGTCACCCAGGCCAGAATGTGGTGACACAATCTCGGCTCACTGCAACCTCCACCTCCTGGGTTCAAGCAGTTCTCCTGCTTCAGTCTCCCAAGTTGCTGGAATTACGGGTGCATGCCACCACGCCTGGCTAATTTTTGTATTTTCAGTAGAAATGGGGTTTCACCATGTTGGCCAGGCTGGTCTCAAACTGACCTCCAGTGATCTGCCTGCCTCAGCCTCCCAAATTGCTGGGAATTAGGTGTGAGCCACCATACCCAGCCCACATAGGATTATTCTAATTAAAGGTCATGGCTTTCCTTTTAAGTCATGATTCCCAGGAGTCATTCTAGAGTCCGGAGTGGCCTCTTCATTTCCCCAGACCAATGCATCATTTGGTGCTTATTAAATAGTGAATAAATGAATGAAGCAAATGACTAAATGAATGATAACTGGTTTCTATCACTTGGAATACATATTTGGTGCATGGTGTTTCTGTCTATTTTCATCATTTGATTGCAAGCATCCTTGACAAAGATGACAGTCACCTCCCAAAATCTGTTGTTTTCCCCCTCCTTAGTAAGAAAATCCCAAACTCCTGAATTTATTCAGAGCAACCATGTACACAGTTAAAGGACTGTATTTCCCAGCCTCCTTAAAAGGTGGATGTGGCCTTTTTACTAAGGCTGACCTATGAGATTTAAGTACTATGTGGTACTTCAGGAAGTGTCCTTAAGAGGAAGGGAAGGGTCCTCCGGTCTTCCCTTCTTCTCACTGCCCGGATTGTAACAGGTGGAGCTCCAGCCACCATCTCAGGCTGTGAGAACAAGGCCACGCCCTCGGGATGGAAATGTTATAACCTGGATGGAGTCCAAGTCCCTGATGACTCTGTGAAGCTGCTGTTGCAAGCACAGGACAACCTACTCCCAGACTGCATTTATGTAAGAAAATAAACCCTTGGATGTTTAAGCTGTTTTAGTAGGGACTCTGCTAATCCCAAGGGACCCTAATCCTAAAACCCACTTTGGTTTTTCTGGTTGTAACAACCAAATCCCAGTGACTCACAGTGCTGCCCCTAACACGTAAGTCTGGACAGACAGACAACCTCCCCTGAATAATTAGTAGCTGAATACATTAATCACAAAGCCGATGTTTTCTGCAAGACTGCCCTTTGACTTTTATTACTTTATAAAATATTTTTCTCTAACAAAGCCTGCCCGTTAACCCTCCTCTGACCAACAGCTGCTGTGCCCCTTTTAGAACAATGCTCAGCGTCATGTCTGCCATTCTGCCCAGTGACGCCTCTCCCCTATTTACCCACCTCAGCCAGTGCTTCTAGTTGGAAAATTTCACAAATACCAGTTCACACTTGCTTCTGATTCTAGGGCCCAAAAATGCCACAGTTCTTGAATGGAGAGTCATCATGACAGTGACTCAACCCAAACTTGAAAGCGAACTTCCACCACCACAGGATTAAACTTGATGGGAATTTGGGGTGTTGGCCTGACATACCAACCCCAGGAACGTGACTCTTTACTCAAGCCTCATCACTAACATCACACATAAGATGCCAAAATAATTTCATTATGTTCCCAGCTATCTATGGTATAATCATGACATTTCAGAAAATGCCTGTCCTATATCCCGGTGCTTAACTTTGTTTTTACATTGAAGCCACAAAAGACATTTCACGTGTGGGGCACTGCTCGAGCCTCTGGATCCCCACGTGATTCATAGGTATGATTTCTCACTTGGGTAGAAATCCATATAAGGTCATCTTTGCTTCCTAAAAATCAGAAAACTCTGTCGCTCTCATGAAACCACTGAAGAACAATTCTGGCTCTAGTTCCCACATTCCATCTGGTTATGTGTGTGCCTGCCTGGTGGCCTCCCTCAACTCTGTCCCCATCGACAATTCTGCCAGCCCCTCACATCCAGACCATAAAAGCCTTCAGAGAAGAGACGCACCTTTTTCTGACTCTATGATGTGTGCATAGTAGGAATTCGACTCACCTTTATTTAATTCAAGTTTTTTACTTAAGAATATTACTAAGAGATTAACCTAATTATAAGATATATATTATATGTATATGAATATAAAATTAATCTAAAGTACTAGGAAATCTCTGAGGTGTAAGCTTCCAGAAAAATCCCACCTCAGTTTGGGAAGAATACTATATACATGTACTCACTCTCCTGCACACACAAGGAAACGCATCCATGGATTTCATTTAGTCTTTTTCTTCCTTTTACATTTTTTTCTTCCACTTACATTTTCCTTTTTCACCTCCCTTGTGCTTCCATAATTCTTATCACCAGCCAAGTGAAGGTTATTCGTAAGCTACAGTCAGATAAAAACAAGAGTGAGCCCTCCTTAGACCCCTTTCCTGGGAAGGGCAGCACATACTCAAGGCATCAGGATAAGGGAGCTTGTTGGGTCACACGCAGTTCAGCCTTCCTCCTTGCAAGCTGATGAAGGAGGCTTTTATTCCTGAAGGACTTTTAAAAACAAAAGAGGAACTCGAGAGAAAAGAACCCCATCCTGTAGAATGAATTGTATACAGTTCATTATGTCCTTAAACATAAATACCACAAACAAGCTACAAATAATTTACCAGCCAAGCCACACTGTGGCTCTGGTATTAACTACCAATCCCTGGTATGAAGCCCTTAGACAGCCCTGGTTTTGCTCCTCCTCCTTCTGTGGAGTTCTGCTTCTTATCTGCTGCCCCTCCACTTTGCCCCCTGCAGGTTTACTTCCAGAGACTTTGCCTCCTTACAGGAGAGTTGGCAGAAGTCCTACAGAAAATTCTTCATCTGTCCATGGCCATACCACCCTGAATCTCATCCGATCTTGGGAGCTAAGCAGGGTCTGGCCTGGTTAGTACTTGGATAGGAGAAAATTATCCATCTCCTGTCAGCAGATTTCTTTGTAGTTCAGACTCTTAAAAAATAACTCAGCTCTTCAGCTATAGCATTTTCTGGGCTCTTTGATATTATCTCTCCCTGCATCACAACCTGGAAATTACTCCAGGCAGTAAACCGGAACATTCACAGGGCTCATCTCATTTGTTTCCTATCTCTTAGGGATCAAAGAGACTTCAATGCCTGATGTCCAGTGTCATGAAACTGCTGTTTCATATATTTTGTCTGGTTCGGGAGGTTCTTTTAAGCAGGTGCATAAATCCAGTCCCTTTACTCTCTCTTGGATTAAAGCAGAAGGCCTGGGTTCACTTTTAAAACCAAATTGCAAATAGATAAAACAAGACAAACTAGATGTTGGATGGATCAATCGATAAATAGATCGATGGATACATAGATAGATCTGACATGAGATAAACTCACTCAGATATCTGTAGAACAGATTTTGGTATTAATTTGGGGAAATAATTACTAGGTCACTTTTTTTGCTTGACACCGAATTTCTCTTTAAATACAACAAAGCAACACCTGTTTAACGAAGTAAATCATCCTTAAGTCTTTTCTAGTTAAAGGCAGATACCCAAACATTTTTCCAAGCAAAGAAAGTCATGCACATCCATCCTTGGACATCCAAGTCCAAAATGTGCCAACATCCACTGTGAGGGATTGTCTGGGCTATTCATTCTCCTCCTTCTCTTTCAGTTGTTTCCCATGCTTCTCCTGGATATTCCCCTTCCTTAGCAGAGAATAACCCCTCTGAGATTGTTTTTAAGGACGTGTTTTGTGCTTCTTGGTTTTGTTTCTGTTTTGTTTCCCTTTCCAGTTTTTTCTTGGGCAAACATTTCTTACTGTCCTCCTTTTGCTTGTGTTCTGGTTCTTTTTGAGCCACATAACATGTTGTTAATCATGAAATCTCTAATTTACATCAGCAAGTAGGAACATCTTATGTTCTGTGGATCCTATTGTCTCGGCTCTCCTTTTCCCATGTCTTGCTGCCTTAGAAAGTTCTTCTCCAGGAAGTAACCCTCATTAGATGGGCTCAAAGGGAGTCGTGAAAGGTGCACAGCATGGTATGACTAGACCAAAAGGCAGCAGGGATCCCTGGGTAGGCCTTTGCTGCTTTCCTTTGAATCACCAAATGTCAGCATTTAAATCTGTCCTAATTATTTCCTTCTCTGTTTGCTGCTGCAGCGACCCTTGCAAATGCAAGAGACAAAACAGATACGTTTCACTTAGCTGCCTGCTAGACCCACAGACAGCTCTTCGACATGCCTTCACTCTTTCGGTAAAAGGTGTTACACTACTCCCCAACTTTCAGAGGAAAGAGATTTAAAGGGTTGGCCAACAGTCCTGGTTTGCCAGGGACTGAATGGATTCCCAGGAATTGGGATTTTTAGTTTTAAAACAAGTCTTCCTTATACACAAGAGCAAAGATCTCTCTAGGATCTATTATTAGAAGTAAAATTTCTGGTAATGAAGAAATGTACATATCTTGAATTTTACAAATTTTGTGTCCACCAGTATGTCTGTGGGTATTACACATGCTTAACAGCATGTGTAAGATACTAATTTGCCACATCCTTGCTGCCACTTTACACTATAGATAGAAAATAGTGTATCATGTATGATTTAAATGTGAATCTCCTCACTACTAGTGAGGTTGGGCACATTTTCATAGGTTTATCAGAATGGGTTTCCTCTTCTATAAACTGCTATCCATATCCTATTTACTCATATTTTTTATGAATTGTCTTCTGTTTATTGATTTGTTAATGTTATTAATCTGTGCATTAAACCTTTGATTATGTGAGTTGAAAAAATGAAGGAATAAATAAAACCAGTCAGTCCTGTGCAAACTAGGATGAGCTGATCACCCACCCTAGAGCTTCCTGGTTGAATATTATGGCATTTCTGGTTCACCTTAACAATGATTTCCAGCTACAGAAGAAGGATAATCAATGCAAAAAATTAACCACAATCACGTTCAAAGGTAAAGATTCCCAATCACTGATTTCTCTAAGTACTGAAAACCGGACTGCATAGTAGGGCAGTTTGGGAAACATTCTAGATGTCTTTAAACACTTTTACTTGTTTTTCAAAATATTTCACAGTGTGAAAAGTATTTTCCTGCTTTATTACTATTACTATTATATTTTCAAGCATTACTCCTATTTTAAGACACAAATTTTGGAGCCACTTTATTGGCCAATGCGATGGAATACCTAAAAAATATTGTCTGGGTTACAAGCACTTTGTTTTATACCAAAAATGTCATAAATCCATTGTGTAGAAAAATACCAACATGCATACATATTCGTTAGAAAAATACCAACATATAAACATACATATTATATTCAGGTACAGACACATTAATGATTATTTCTACGTCCACAAACTAGAAAGAAAGAAATGTTGGCAGAGTTTATTTTCCGACAAGTGGGATGGCAGACTATGCTCTTTTTTAGTTGTTTGCATTTCTAAGCTTATAAGTATGAATAAAAACAAAGGTCAATAAAAAAGAAAAGGACCTGGAATTCAGAATTTTGTGAGGTTAGAAATTCAATTTTCCCTATTACAATTTTTATAATTCCTTTTCGTGCAATTATGCTTACCCTTTTACTTGGCTATGACTTTATTTTTGTGGAGCATGTAGAAGATATTTAATTTATTTCAACGAATCCCCTATGTTTGCCAATTAAGTTCTTCCAACAAATCCTCTATTACTGGTTACTTAACATTTCTAATGAATGGCCTATTATCAGATATATAGCTATTTCATTCTCTCCTTGTCACAAAAAGAAGGAAGCCCAAGAACTACAAAATCACCCTTGTAATGTACCAATACTGGACTTATCTGGGGAAAAAAAAAATGATGATTGTAAACTTTTCATTTTTTTACCAAATCATCATTCCAGCCACATCACTGTGTGGCTGACTCTCTTCATCAAATGGCTTTGGCCAAAATGTTTTCAGCCCTATCACCCAGAATCCTGACGTTCGAGTTTCACGTTCACTTTGGGGAGGATCATAGAGACCAGGATAAAAGAGCTAGAAGAAGCAAAGAATACGGAGCAATGTTGAGACGCCTGTCACTTTAAAGCTGTCTGTGTTTCCTGAGAACATTCGGAGGTATGAAGGACTACTACCATTACAGAAAAGTCTCCACAACCTCATTCTCCTCCTCCCTCCCTCTCCTCTCCCTTTCCAGACAACAGCCCAGAATAAACAGCCACCATTATGTCCCGACAGCCTGAAAACTTAGAACACCTTCTCCTCACTTCATTATGTTAAAGTTTCTATATTCTAAATATCCTCCTTCATACTGCAGTGTCTGTTCTACCAGTTATGAAGCTTTCAGCTGCCAGTTACCCTGACTCAAACAGACTCAGGAAATAGCTTAAGAGATATGGAAACCAATTACTTCACTTAAGAAAGTCCAGAGATCAAGCAAGCTTCTCAGAGTTCCTCGATTCTATGAAACAGCAGAGCCATCAGGAACTCAGATTTTTCTGTCTTCCCACTCTTCAGCCTCCATGTACAAGCTTCGTGTTCAGACAGCTGTTTGCATGGTTGGAAAGTGGCTGCCAACAGCAACCAAGAAAACACATTTCCTTATTCACGCCCAAGCAAAGACAGAAAGGAAGCTGCTCTCCCAACCATAAAATATAAGCCTTCCATCTAGTCTTATTTGACCAATTTAAGATACACCTTCCACCCAGAACCAAAAACAGTTGCCAGGAAAATTCCATGTGCTGATGGGCCTAGACTCAGAGTAACTAAACTTCACCCCCTACAGCTGGAAATGAGGCTTCTGAATAAAATAAGGGTTCTCTTAGGAAAGGAGAAGGAAAGGCCTGCTGAGTAGATAACCCACAAGTCCAGTATACCCATGCTGCAATTCCCTCCTACAATCCCTTCATTCCATATTGATTAAATTACCCAACTAGTTGCTACCTCTCCGCCTCTCTGTGTTTTGTCATTGAATTATAGTATGGTGGTGAAGAGTTCCAAAATTCCAAGGCCATGCTTCACCCCCACAGTTCTGCCTTTTTCTTCCTCTGCAAAGAAGCTTTATGAGCTTCAGGACATTATTTGATCTTTCTGTGCTTATCCCTACAGCTGTAAAATGGGATAGTCATAATCCCTATTTCATGGGGCTGTTATAGTAATTCCAAAAGACAGTCCATGAAGTACCTGTCATATAGTAATGGCTTAGTAAATGTTAGCTTCTCTTATTAATATTAGTAAGTTAATTGAACTTTAAAAAGTGATTGACCTTTCCAGTGGTTCTGAAAGCATACTCCCCACCATCAGTAAACATCAGTGTTACCTGGGAACCTATTAAAAATACAAATGTTGAGGTTCCCCAGCAGACCAACTGAATCAGAAACTCTGGACATGGGGTCCAGAGTTAACAAGCAATCTGGGATTTAACAAGCCTTTCAGTGATCCTGAGGCACACTCAAGTTTGGGAACCAAGGCTCTACCTCAACTCACCTCCAGTCAAACTACACCAGTCACTATTCCAAGAAAATGCTTCAAAATCATTAGCCAAGATACTTTTCTCTTGTTCTTTCCTCTCCCCGGGATGTTCCCACTACATCCCTATGGTCAAAGCTCAACCCAAATGCTACCTCAAACCACTATCTCTTCTATCTGGGATGCTTTTCCCCTAAATCTTTGCAGGACTGGGTCCTTCTCATTTCCAAGGTCTCAGATCAAATGACACCCCTTCCCAGAGACCACCGAGTCTTTCTCTGTCAAATCACACTGTTTTATTCTTTCTTATTACAGCATTTATCACTATATATACTTGTTATTTGTTTGTTTACTGATTTCCTGCCTCCACCCACTAACACATAAAAATTGCAAAGGCACAGACCTGGTCTATTCACCATAATATAGATCCTTAGCACCTAGAATAGCCTTGAAAATGGTAGACATCCAATAAATATTTGTTGCATGAAGGAATTGATGAAAGCACAGTGAGCTTTTTGTAACACCAACATAAAGGCCAACTGAGCTATATCATGCTTCTCACATGATACAAATCATAATATTATGATTCTAATTAGTAGACTCAGTCTTTACTCTGATGTCATAGAATGACAGCTCCAAGTGGTATAGAAGGCAAGAGGCCCCAGTTCTTCCCCCACCCCATTAGCGGATAGGAAGCCAGCCCTACAATTGTGTTCACTCTTATTTGTAAACTATTCAAGCCTTTCCCCATGGTCTTAGTGGTTTATTTAATTGCCTGACAACTCAGAAAGTTCTGCCTCCACATTGAGCCCTATTTCCTGACATCCTGATGTTTCTGGAGATGGAGATCAATTTTTCAATTTCTACCTCTTGATAATTCTTTATGAATGTAATGTAAGTAATGAAGTCAATCCTCAGCTTTCTCTTTTTTTCCTGTGGAGACCTGTCCAGATTGTTTCCATTATTTATAAAATAAAGAAATTCAAACTGGGAGCAAGGATAAGAAGGATTCAGAACATTTCTTTCTTTTTAAATTAGAGGTGCTTGTGAGCTCTGCTGCAGTGACAAGAGGTGAAAATATTCCCAACTAGGGGCAACTCCCCACTTAGCCACTTATGAGCTGCGTACTTGGAACAAGTTGTTTAGCCTTTTTGATCCTCACTTTGATCCCTCTAAAATGGGACTTGTTACTCCTCAAGATTTTTGCAGCTATCATGTGAGAAAACATACATGAAGGTGAGTAAAATGTAAAGTGCTTTCTGAGCATAAGTCATTATTTAAAAGGAGAGTGCTTTTCATTGCTCTTTAAAAAGCCAATAGATGCAAAGGTCATTATTGACTCTATTTTGTACAAAAAAAGAAAAGGTAGCAACTGTGAGAACACTAACTCATCCCCATTAGCTCTTTCCAGGTTCCACCTATGATAAAAGCAGTGCCCATGCTCACAGTCTCCTTCAGTTCATTGTCAAGACACTGCATGCTATTTGCTGACCTTCACTGGAAAGTGGTTGCATCTGATTTCCTGAAAAGAGTTCTCTCACAAATCAAGGGGAATCAGAATGAAGACTGTTAGTTGCAAACAGTAGACTCTTCTGTTAATAAAAGAGGTTCTTCTTCATGGTAAATGTAGTGGCCATAAGAACACACTACTACAGGGAGCACAACTGACCAAGGGTCCCTGGCGCAAAGGCTGGGCTCTGAAATCCATCACCTCTTCATGCTGAGGCCTGAGGCTCATCCCAGCCTCAGGGTCATCCCGGCCAATGACTGAGCTCCACGAGGATCCCTAGGCCTCCCCATTCCTGAAAGATCCAAGATGCAGGACTCCTCTACTGGTTGACTTTGGTTCAGGGTTGTGACCTCTTGCCAAACCGTCCCAGATTGAAGACTCTTGCGCCCAACTTTCCTACCTGTTGTTCCTACCTCTCCATTTAGGTTATACCTTCACCAAGGGCTGATAGCCTTCCCCAGCACCCATCCCTTTTTCTCTCCTAAGTATTCCCCCTAATAAAATCCTTGGCATCTCTTACAGGTTATCCAGATAACCCCGTAAACAAAGCAAAAAAGAAAACATCCACTTTTTGAAGAACTTTTGCATGTACAATTACATCTAACCGTTACGAATATACAATAAATTACACAAAAGGGAAACCCTAGTCCCAACTGTTTGGATGAGGAAATCAGTTAAGTAACTTAGCCAAGATTAATTACTTTGGTATTTTAGTAACTTCTCCATTTCATAGTCTTCCATGCTCAGTCTTCAGGGGAAAAGGAAAAAAAAAAAAAAACTTACAATTTGCTTTCTCTTTTTATTATTATGTATCTGTTATGAACAACAATAACACAATTTATTAAGCAGGTGCTGTGTAAGTGCTTTGCATATAATCAATTTTTAATTTAACCCTCACAATAACTCAGAGAAGGAGGTGATATCCCTTTTTTACACGTAAGGAAGCAGCTTTATGAAGTAATGGGCCCAAGGTCACTCGCCTACTAACTAAAGGAGCTAGGACCAGCACCATGACTCCTAATCTAGTGCAATTGACATTAAAAATAATTATGTCACAGCCGGGCGCAGTGGTTCATGCCTGTAATCCCAGTACTTTGGGAGGCCGAGGCAGGAGGATCACCTGAGGTCAGGATTTCGAGACCAGCCTGACCAACATGGTGAAACCCCTGTCTCTACTAAAAAATAATAATAAAAAAATTAGCCAGGCCTGGTGGCAGGTGCCTGCAGTCCCAGCTACTTGGTAGGCTGAGGCAGGAGAATCACTTGAACCTAGGAGGCAGAGGTTGCAGTGAGCTGAGATCACGCCACTGTACTCCAGCATAGGCAACAGAGCGAGACTCCATCTCAAAATAATAACTCAAATACGCAGAGCATTTTACTACACACTTCTGCATCCATTAGGAAGTGGGATGGGTGCTCACCAGTGACCCCCACCCCACACACACTCTTCTTTGGAATAAACTAGAGCTAGGGAAAGGAACAAGGCTGATAGGAACTGACATGGCATAGGCAAGGATGAGGATGACTCATCTCCTCCCAACTGCTTTAACTCAGGTTGCAGAAAGGTCGCTTGTGGCCATGTGTACTCCAAGGGATCTTATTTTAAAGAAAGCGTGAAAAGCAAGTTTTTCTTTAAGAGATTTCCACAAATACTTTTCCAAATAATTCTTTTAAAATGATTAGGAGACAAAACTCAGCTCCCTACCACCTACCAGCCATACAATGGGGAAGAAAGCATTTGTCACCTAAGGTTCTCCCTGATCCATTTCTTGGCCACCTTCACAGCTTCCTGTCCCCTAATGCTCTGTTTCTCTTTCTGCTTCAAACCAACAGCATCCATACTGTGCTGCCATGCTTTGGCCGTGCAGTTTACTATCTGGTTCAACCTCCTCCCATTCCTCTGGCTAACTCTTCCTCATTTCTCAAGAACTCAACTCAGCCACCATATACTTCAGGAAGTCTTGCTCAGCACCCAAGCTGAAAACACCCAGAAGACACCCCTCCTCTTCTTGCTCCCCACAATCCCAATGTCTAGAGCATCTCAACATTTACCTTACTGTGTTGAGTTAATCTCACACTAGAGACAAACAGAATCATCTCCTTAAAACACCAACCATAGCACATCACTCTGCCCCACAGGAGGTTTCAAGAAGCATCTTCTGCAGGTAAGAGAAGAGCCAGGCTCTGTGATGTGGTATTCAAGGTCCTAAATGGCCTGGTCCTTGCCCTTCTCTCCAAACTGTCACTTTTGCCCTTGCTTACTGTCATACCACTGTCCACGTTCGGATTCATTCACATGCCAAACCCCTTCACACCCAAAGACGTATTTATCTCCTCAGCTCTTAGCAGAGTTGTTCCTTTTAAATCTCCAGTCTTTGCTTGAATGCTGTCTTCTTAGAGATGCCCTCTAGTACCACCACTAGAACTATCATTATTCCCTCTCACTGTTCCCTAATTCTATTATTTTATTTTATTTTTCTTTTTATTTTATTTTCAAGACTGGGTCTCACTATGTTGTCCAGGGCTCAAACTTCTCAGCTCAAGCAATCCTCCCTTCTCAGCTTCCCAAGTAGCTGGGATGACAGAATCATCTGCTTAAAACACCAACCATACCACACCACTCTGCCCCACACCCCACCACTCTGCCCCGCACCCAGCTCCTAGTCCCTTTCTTCATTGTGGTTTTGGAATTTTATAATTGATGTATTTGTTTGTTATTTAAATCTTTAATTTGGTAGGAAGCATATTCTTAAGTCCTTGTGCTCCTTGAGAGCAAGGATTCAGGATTATTAAATTGTACCCCTCTGGGGGGCCTGGTGATCTAGTGTGTCCTCAAATTTGCTGAATAAATGAATGAAGAAGCAAAGTTGAGGCAAGACGTTCAAAGACAGGGAGTCATAGAATGACAGATATTTGTAGAAATTAAATATTACTGTTAGTTTCCATAATGACCTATGTTGAAGGAACTCTGAGTGTGTTATAAATTAATTTGAGCTCTATTCACAGGAAGAACTCATTATCTCTGACTTGTAAGCAAAGAAAGTTAAGCCAAGTGAAGTGACTTTTCCAAAAGCAATATAATGAGCTAAATAGGGATCTTGGTCTTGACTCTGAATAAATGTATTTTATACCCTGTCTCATTCCCAGAGGATTTGAGGTGGCTTTGAAAGACACAGACAGTTACACAATTTAGAATGTCCACAAAAACAAAACAAGCCAGTTGCTCAGGAGAAGCATGACTATTCCTGGTACAAGGTCTGAAAGAAACTTCTCCCCTGGGTCCTCACAAATGGTAGCAAACCACATCCTCAATCATCCTCCTGGACGTGCAGCAGCGGGGCTCGCAGGGTTGTTTGCTAGCATTCCGCAGTGTGGGCTGATGGCGCAAGGCCAAGGCTCAGATCCGTGGAGCAATTCTCCAAGGAGCCAAATCAAGACAGCCCAGGTGTGCAGTTCTCTGATGATCTGTCTTAATCCAAAAAGAACATCTGGAGATTCTGGAGGAATCATTTAACAGCACACTCTTCACGCTGGGCTCTATGAATTTTATTTCTCACACTAAAACCTCTAATAAGCATTAAGTAATGGTGAATTGAAAAGGACAAGCATCCGGAACACAGTCGATGTTGAGGGACTATGGAGAGCTCCATATGATGTATCTGTCAGATGACCTGAAAAAGGCTATATTAGCTAGTGTGCTGGTTGGGCTGCTATAACAAAGAGACCCCAAAATACAATGGCCTAGATATAACTGAAGTTTATTTCTCATGTTAATAGGTCAAGTGTAGGAGGGTCATCAAAGGCAAGTGGGCAGCTCTACTCCACAAGGTCATGTAAGGGTCCAGGTTGACAGTGTGCCTCTGCCATCCTCAACATGCAGCTTCCTCTGAATCCAAGGAAGCATCTCTGGCTGTCACCATTTTAGAGCCAATAGAATTAAATACAGAGCATGAAAGGCCAATAGCTTCCTTATAAAAATGTGATCTTAAAGTTGCACACATCAATTCTGTTTGCATCCCATTGATCAAAATTTAGTGACACGACCAGACCTAGCTGCAAGGAAGACTGAGAAATGAAATCTCTTACCTTGGTAGCCTCATACCCACCTATAATTTAAGGGTGTTATATTACTACCAGGAAGAATGATAGAGTAGATAAGGGAGACCATAAGAATCTGTCATAGGGAATTGATACCTACTTAAAGAAAATTCTACCTGGAGAAAAGGCCAACCCACCCCTAGCCAAGTGAAGTAAAGGCAGACACCTATTCCAGGTTCAAGTTTGCTACATTCACTTGTTATCGCCAGTACCAGACAATGAAGGATCAAGACCCCCAAGTTCTATGTCATATGCGTGGTTATGCTCATTTTAGGGGGGAAAAATTTTACAGCTGTTTTCAAGTGCCAACAGTGACTGTTAAAGAATAGTACCCCCATATAATACCAAATATTAAGAAATGCCAATTCCCTGTGAACACTCCAGATTGTTGCAAAATGTATGAAGGTAAATTAATCAAGTAACAGATGAATAGGATTCTTAACTCTAGGCTGTGTAAATGCTGAAGGGCTTTTACCAAAACCCAGGAAATTTACCTTGGAATAGTTGATCTTAGGCCCTTCTTTCTGGATGCCATTAGATGACAGCATCAGTTTGTCTACTGAGGCATTCTTATTTTGAAACAAAAAACATGAGGTCACCACAGTGTTACTCTGTCAAGTAGGGTAGAGAGTATACGTTCATCTTATCCAAATGGGATTTTGCATTATTATCATGCACGTTTATAAAAATGGTGCATCAGGATACCTCACTTACGCCATGGAAAATCATCTCTTCCCTCAAGGGACTGCTACTATCTCTGCTGACTTCCATGGTAATATTAAGGTTTAGATTCTATGTGAGCATTAGTCTACATGGGATATAGATTTTCTTCCCAAAGAAATTTATGTCTGTGGACTGAAAATTTATGAAAAAGTCAATAAAAGCTATGACTCTTGGTTTGCTCTAATTCTCTCTACAAGGTGGCAAAGAATCTAATGGCCAACAGTGCTTAAAGCTGGCATACTCCTCATGTAATAGATTTGGTCTAAGAAATCCATATGTGCACTTTGTCAGAAGCAAACAGATACTTATTCTAGACATCAGGTTGGCAAACATCCAAATGTATAGTTTGGGAAAAGTAGGTGAGAAAAGTAGAGAGTCCATAGTAAATATGGAGTGGACTACATACTATCAGTAGGCATGCTTTCAAGAACTAGAATGAACAGCCGACAGCAACCCTGAGTAATTTTCCTTAAATGTCAATCAGTCTCCTTCCAACCGTGGTCATCCCAAACGGGATGTCTTCATATGTATACATGTGTGTGCATATGCATGTGTATGTAGGTGTAAGGAATGATGCACCCAACAGAGCTAGGTTCTAGTCAGGCACAATTTGATAAGGGGAGACAGAAAGGAGAAATAATACCTATTGAGTATCCCTATGCGTCAGAACGATACTATGTCATTTATCTTTGTTTTGTTTTGGGGTTTGGAAAGGGGTTGTTTTTGATTTTTTGGGTTTTTTTTTTTTTAAGTTTTTCCACAAAGCAACCTTCTACTCTATTATCCTGGTTTTCATATTTACTTCTCATAAGAACCATGGGAGGCAGGGATTATGATCACTGTACTAGAAATAAGGAACCTAAATCATAGCAAAAAGGAAATGACCTGCCCAAGGTCATGCAGTTCATGGAGAAACTGAGATTGAACTCAATCTGACTGCACAACGCATGCTCTTTCAAATACACCCCACTGCTGAGCTTTGATTCTGCTTACTCCCCACTTACTGTGGGCACCACAGTTCTGACTATAAATGGTGCATGGGTCTACCTAGTTCAGGTAGTGGTACCTGAAGGGACTTTAATTCTATGAGGGCTTTGCTAGAATTTAGCTTTCACAGGAATAAAGATTGGGTCTGTTTTATTTGCGACTATAAGATAGAACCTAAAATAGAGCATGCGCTCTCCAAACGGTTTGTTTTCTAACGAATGAAGGAATGAATGAGCATGGTTACTTCTTTATAACAAGGAGGCTATGCTATTTTCAGAGAATTTTCAGTGACTCTACCTATAATTTTTTAGATCTCAGCTTGGATCTCTTTAATATACAAAGCCTTTCTGCAATGTGTTTCACAGAAATCCACAAGTGTCCTTTTTATTATTATTGTTATTCCTGATAAACTGTCCTATATTGAGCATGTACTATGTTCCTAGTATTGTTCTACGTACTTACATGCATTATCTCATTTAGTATCACAATAACCCTACAAAGGAGATACTTATTTTATTCATGAGAAAGCTCAGGTTTTGAATGATTCAGTAAGTTGACCAAATGTTTCATAGAAGTTGGCCCAAAATTGCCTAATTCCAAAAACCAGTGGTGGACCTAGTAAATTTGACATCTGAAACAGATCATTTTATGAAACGTTCCCTCTATACAATAAAATTACTTTTAATAATTACCACTGAATAATTATTTTCTTTATTCTTTAGCTTTAAAACAATTAACAATTCAAAAGAAGGATAAATTTCCATTTTAAGCATATTAGGCAAAACAGTAGAATATTTCAGATATGGACCAAAACTTGTACGTAATACACAAAAATATTACACCTCACAGTGAACACTCTGTCTCACTGTTGCAAATTTCCAGCACAAATACAACCTCCAAATGGTCGTGTAGACTAAAACAATTGATGTAGCTTAGATTTTGCTTCTTTATCCTTATAATAACTGTGCTGTCATTATTTATTTCCAACCTTCTGTTTAAACAACAGAATAGGTAGTGCTACAGGCGTTAGAGACATAAAGCACATCTGAAACAACCACGAAAGATTCCAAAACGTTATGAACTTACCCTCAAAACCAATGCATGTAGCTGAGTCCTTGTGTCCTGAACACCAACTGTATAACTAGGAGTTCTCCAAATTAACCTTCATGTAGAAAACAATGGACATAAAAGCCTAAGATATAAAACTGTGCTAATATGAAGCTTGTATATTATTAACAGTCATCGTAGTAGTTGTTTAAAACTTAGAACAAGAAAAGATTTTCTCATGGAGTGTTTTATCATTGGCATTGAGATTTTTGAGTGCATGGTGATAATAAAAAGCAGACTGACTTTTAGTCTGTTTTATTATTGCTTTTAAATCCTCTACAGACCACGCACCTCATCCTCACCGGCACCTCAGGTTGACCCCTCCATCAGCATCACCCCTGCCCTTGGTAAATCACTGCCAAGGGATGTTCTTGGTCTCCCTGTCCTGTTTGCTTTCACTATCTATGCCTTGAGCTCCTTTTTATGAGTCCTTAAACATGTGCAAATCTCAAAATGGAAGGAAAACTAATTTCTCTCCAAATTAAGCCCTATAAAGACCTTCTTGCTATTAGAAAAAAAGAATAATTGCTGGCCTCAGCCATCTTGAAGATCCACCACAAAAAAAGCTGCCTCATTGTAGCAGCTAGAGTGAAAAATTGTCTGTTCTGCTGCCTAGTTGTTTCACGCCTTCTTACCTGTGAGATACAAGCATAAACTAGAATGATCTGGAAAAGTAGCAAAATCATTATATTCACTTTTTATATAATGTAAAACAAAATCATCATTCATGTACTTTGCTAACGACTGAACAGTACCCCTGAATCCGTCTGAAAATACAGCTTAACATAAAATATTAAATGGACCACAAATTCAAGCTAAGATGGAAAAAGTAGGAATAAAAAGGGATTTAGACTGATGTAGAGTAATCAGGAGGATTTTGTGGGGAAAAAATAGTTTTGCTTTAATTATGTTTGCATATTATATGGTATCATATATCCAATATCACATATGTTAGAGAAAATTCCTAGTGTTTATATGGTCTCAAGTAATATCTCATAAATGAATGAATTTATAAAATAAATATTATTTACACGGAGTCAGAATATTTTGTCATCTGTAACTCTTTCTTCTAATATGACTCACCTAAATTGCAGCCCAATTATAATATTAGTCTTCAGGGAAATTTAATCTCTTGACAATCTTCTTTACTAATCTTCATTAATCCCCACAGTAAACTGAGATTAGTTAATAGATCATTAACTTGCCTATTTTGAAAATGGCAATATTGAAACATGGTGATGGGGAGTCATGCCCTTGAGTGCCTCAGGGTGGGTGACAAGAAAGGAGGTGAGGGCGGATCCCTAAGACTTGCTGTCACCAACTAGGAATGGAGCTCAGGGAGGAGTCAGGAATCTCAGGTGTGAAAAGCACCTCCAAGCGCATCCAATATCATGTCCCCACCAGAGCCTTCAGCCTCCATCAGCAACACCTCTGAGAACAGTGAGCTTACCACCTCTTGAGTTGGATCATCCTACTTTTGGACATCTGTAACTAATTTTCTTTAAGTCTTCTTTATGTCAAGCTAAACTCTGTTGCTTTACATCTTCTACTCATTGTCCCAAAAACAAACAGAACATGTCTAGTCTTTCTTCCACCTGAGCTATCTACAAAAATATGAAGGCAGTTGACTGACCCATTTCTTTCAACTCTTCCTAGGGTGCTTTAGTCTCAGATCTACTCACCACCCTAGCCACCAGCCTTGTCATAACTTGCCCATCAGGAGGGAAACTTTAGTGGTTAAAGGCACATCTCCTATAAAACTGGACATCAGACGTCCGAGAATCTCTGCTCTAGATCTTCCCAGCCAAGCCAACTTGCAAATCATTTTCTAGCAACCAAAGTGATCTTGTGTAAGGTTACACTGATTTAGACCATGTCCTGGAGAACATAAAATATAAAGTGGCTCTTCAGCCAGGGAAGAAGGAAGCTCTGGTCAGAGGCCACCACCTTATTAAAGAGAAGAGAAGAGTATTTTTCTCTAAAAATCATTTTGCATATCTATTTATTATAATACATAAATATTGTATTTATGTATTATACAAGTGATGTGTATAAAAATTAAAATGAAAAAACACCCTGAATTTCATCAGCCAAAATACTTTTTTCATTTTTCTATTTTTCCCACCAATTACTGCCCACGTGCATAAATATATTTACATTTTATAATCATAATATAAATATAATTTTGGATTCAGCATGTTAAATCTAACATTATACGTTTTATCCATCTTGTTTCATGGTCTTTACATATCATAATGGAAGCATAACGTCTCTCAGAAAAGATAGATAATAATTTACTTCATTATCTGTTATAAGGCTTTTAAAGTCATTTCCAAAATGTTCTTATCATAAACAGCAGTGCTACAAACTTCCTAATGCTTATAGCTTTGTTATTCTCAAGAATAATTTTCTTGAAACAAAGTACCACTGTCCTCATTTTACTGATTACTAATCAAAAAGGATAAGCATTGTTATGGCTCAAAAATATTCTGAAAATGAAAATTAGTTTTTAAATGGACCTGTTAGCCCTGTAAGGTCAGAATCTCTATCATTTACTGGGGTTCTACCACACATAGACTCTGTCCTGAGGGAATTAAGAGAACAGTTCAATTTAACATTCAGTGAAAACTAAGAGGAAAATGTTGCTTTACCCATGTGGGAGAGAAGAGGAAACAGGTTTACAGAAATGACATAATTTGTATGAGGTCACTAAGCTAGAAACATTGAGAGACAATATCATCAATTTAGGGTTGAGGATTTGAACTCAGGTTTTTGTTTGTTTGTTTGTTTGTTTTTCGTTTTTTTGTTTTTTTGTTTTTAAGAGACAGGGTCTCACTCTGTCACCCAGGCTGGAGTGCAGTGGCATGATGATAGCTCACTGCAGACTTGAACTCCTGGTCTCAAGTGATTCTTCCACCTCAGCCTCCCAAGAAGATAGGACTCCAGGTGTGCACCACACACCTGGCTAATTTTTTAAATTTTTGTAGAGATGACTTCTTGCTATACTGACCAGGCTGATCTCCAACTCCTAGGCTCAAGTGATCCTCCCACTTCAGCCTCCCAGAGTGCTGGGATTACAGGCATGAGCCACCACGCTAGGCCTGAACCCAAGTCTTTCTGGCTTTAAAACCCACACTGTTAACCACTGTTCTAAACTGTCTTCGTGGGTGAACTGCCACTCATCAGAAAATCCAGGAATGATAGAAATAACCATCAGTCCTGCAGCTGGAGAGGGAATAGCAGGACAAATACCTTGTACCTCACAGGAGTCAATAAAAAGTGATTCAACTGAAGAGGGTGGGAGTTCTGGCTCTTTGGACCTCTTTGGTCCCTTCCAACCTGAAGCTTCTCTAGTCCTTGCTTCTTGTATTTCCAATCTATAATTTAATAGGATTGTCTTTTTGGTAATTCTACATCCAGTAGGCAAGGTTTAAATCTGGTGTTTTGGAATTGAGATGCAGGATAGAAACGGAAAAGCCCAGGCAGAGACAGGAGATGTGCTGTCCAGGAGGAGACATCCCCCTCCTACCTGCTTTCCTTCCCCACCAAATCCACTG
This sequence comes from Homo sapiens, assembly GCF_000001405.40. NCBI lineage: Eukaryota > Metazoa > Chordata > Mammalia > Primates > Hominidae > Homo > Homo sapiens. The sequence continues at coordinate 108,652,882 of NC_000009.12, forward strand.
GCTGACACAGGGTGCATTCAGATTGCAGGGGAAGAGGAGGCCGATGGATGAGGTGGGGACAGAGGGAAACGAAATGCCTGTGTGTTTGCTTAAACCCATATTAAACTAACCAGGTATGCAATGTCTTTGCATAACCCTCTTACTAATAAACACATGAGCAACTAGATTGCATCTGGAATTTTGCAAAATAAAATAGAGACAGTCCCTGCCCTCAAGGGACTCCTGGTCTGAATTCCACACAAAAAAAATGCAAAATTGGGCTATGGAGGCAAGCCTGGCCAGGGAGACAAGGCGATGACCAGAGGAGGTCACCTGGGAAGGAAAGTTTGGGAATCCCCAAACTTAAATTGGAGCCCTAGCTCTGATTCCCATCAGTGAAATAAGACTAATTATAATCACCAGGCAAGACTGTGGTGCATGAGCATTAGGTGAAATAAGTATAGAAAAAGGGCTCTGTAAATTATGAGGAAATATGTGAATATAAGCCAAAATAAGACTTGAGGATTGGAAGTAGAATTCCCATGAACATGTCCTCTTTACTCTGTGGATTGATAATCCTCACACCTTCCCTTAGCTCCATTGTTAATTCTTTATTAATATTCATTGAGTAGCTGCCCACTACCTGCCACCCACATGTACATGCATTAACTTTAATCCTCCCAAAAAACTGCCAGGTAACCACCATAATTCTCAATATACAGATAAGAAAACATGGCTCTGATGAAGATAATAGATTCATAACTCATTTTGCTCATTTCATCATCTTTTCATAATTAGTCTGTTTTTTGCATTTTTTATATACCTCTATGAGAACGTTGACTTTGGGTATCAAGATGCCAGTCCAATTCAATAATTTACTTTATTTCAGTACTTCATTGGTTCAACCAATATTTACCAAGTGCTTAATCAGGTGCTAGGGATGGTGCTAGGTGCAGCAGGTATCATGTTATGCAGAAAAGAGAAGGTCTTTGCTCTTTCAGAGCTCACATTCTAGATGGAGAAGACAGATAATAAATGAGGAAACAAATACATCAACATGATACTATCAGGCAGTGACAGGTGCGATGAAGAAAATTTAAATGAATACTTGAATCATGACTAAGAGAATGAAGTTGTCATTTCCCTTACTAAAAAGTTTATATTTCCCTCAACAAAACTTAAAATGGAGTGTATATGATGCCATTCATCTCAGTTCTTCTGCTAAAGACAAATGATCCAAGGGCCAAGGTAAATGCTTCCTGTTACTGAGATAGAGTGACATGTTACTGAAAAGGAATTATGCACATCAGAAGTGCACAATTGCATCCAACAATCCTCTTTAAGACATTCTTAGTCATTTGCACCTCCTGTCAGGTGGACCACCAGCCTGAGGCTATGGAGTAAAATGGAGACAATTCGCAAAGTGTTCCTGTCTCCAAGTTCTATAGCTGCAGTGTAGTTAAATCCCACATCGCTGAGTATGATGGGGTCTATAACCTGCATGTTTCATGTAAGGAACACAGCCATGTAGGTAGCACTACTGTCAGAAATACAACTGGGGCACTCCGAGCCAGTATGAGAGGGAGACAAATATCATGCAAGATCATCTTAGGGAAGTGTCCATACTCATACCAATTCTTGGCTAAGTCTTCTTGGTTTATTACCACTGAAAATTTGTTTGGTTTAGTTGATTATGCTGTGAAGCATAATATGTACTACAATTTTCTGTGGCTTTCTAACGATCAAGATAAATTCCAAAACATCAAGTGTAGCTCCTAGGCTATGACATACGCAAATCTTCCTGATATGTTGCCAACAGAATGCCTAAGATAATGTGATTACTGTCTTTGAAGAGAATAATTCAACTTGTTTTTTCTTTAAAAAAATTACTCTCAATAAATAACCCTCCCTGAGAGTTTACTACTCCCTGGGTGGGGAAGTAAAATAGCAAGAGCAGAGTCTTTGGAGCTTAGGAAATCTAGGTTGAGACATATCTCTGCTATTTCCTGGGTGAGTCATCTTCTATAAGCTACTTATCTTCTTTGAGACTCTGTTTCCTCATCTATAAAATGGGGATAAGAATGCCCATCAAGCAGCATTTTTGTAAAGATTAAATAAAGGAATGGGCATTCACATATATCATAAAAAACAAAACCCTGGCCTGGCACAGTGGCTCAATCCTGTAATTCTAGCACCTTGGGAGGCTGAGGTGGGTGGATTGCTTGAGGATAGGAGTTCAAGACCAACCTGACCAACATGGTGAAACCCCATCTCTACTAAAAATACAAAATTAGCTTGGCGTGACAGCACACGCCTGTAGTCCATGCTACTCAGGAGGCTGAAGCAGGAGAATCACTTGAACCTTGGAGGCGGAGGTTGCAGTGAGCTAAGTTCGTGCCACTGCTCTCCAGCCTGGGCGACAGAGCGAGACTCCATCTCAAAACAAACAAACAAAGCAAAACTTCATCTAACTGGTTATGGTTACTAGAGGGGAGCCCTGCTGCAGACAGGATAAGGTAAGTGGGAATCAGAAAGCCTCCACAGGTATCTGTAAACTTTTTTTCAACCTGAAAAAGCAGGTCATTTAGGCCTTCTAGCAGGAAAGAGAGCACAGTCTCTGAGCTCTGCTATGTTGAGCCTCTCAACTTTAAGTTAGGTGCTATGTGAATCATCATAAGCACTGAGCAAATATTTCACTCATCTACTCATTCATTCATTCATTCATTTTTTTCCATCCATTATTATATATTTATACACTCATTCAATAAGTCTACTCTGAGCCTAATACTGTATCAGGAACAGTTCAAGGGCTGGGTTCACAGTTCAATAGGGGAGGCACACGAGTAACTCGGTGATTGCAGTATTGTGCACTGTGACTAGGTCAATAACAGCAATGACAATGATAATGATAAGAGTTAACTCTGTTGGCCAGGGTCCTGGCTCTAACAGCAGATACTGACTCTGGGTAATTTCAGCAGAAAAAAAAAAAATTATTGGGGAAAAATACGTTCACAGAACTGCTGGGAAGCTTGGAGAACCAGACGGAGAAAATGAGCAGAAACTAAGAGTCCACACAGCTGGACCACAACCGAAATTGCACCACAGGGAAGATCTGGTGAGGACACTGTGGCTGGTCCTTCTTTTGTGGCTGCTCCGGAAGAGAGGCTGTCCTTGCTGCTGCCAAATTCAACAGAACAAACCCCTCCAGGGTGCAGCGAGATGTGAAACGAACTCACTGAGGCAGGGGAATCTGATGAGCAAAACCCACACTCTCATTCTCAGTGCAGAGAAAAAGCCACATCTGGCCTTTCGGCTTTGATGGTGGAAAAAAGTGTGACTGCCTTCCAGGACTCAGCCTCCAAATATCAGGATGGGTTTCTGGTGCCAGGCAGCCAAAGGTTTACTGAATGCCTCCCATGTGCCAGACACTGCACTAAACAACTTGCCTACACTGTCTCATCTGACCCTCACAGTAGTCTTCAAAGATGGATGCTTTGCTACCTAACTTTACTGAAAAACAGACTTGGCAAAAGGAAGAAACTTGCACAAGTTTGTACAGCTAGTAAGTGGCAAAGCCCTAACTGATGCCATTTTTGATAACTGAACTGCACTACACTACAAAGAAGGAAAGAAATGCAAAGATCCTCAAGAGCATAGACAAGAAGGCTCTGGATCAGACAGGGAGTGAAGGAAGACCCCACGGAGGAAGAGAGGTGGCCACGAGATGGAATTGATGAAGAGCTGGTTAGATATTGCAGGGCAGTGTGTGGGAATTGAGAGTAGGGGCCCTGGGGCTTAGGAAATCCCAAAGAGATGAAACAACAAACATATGAAGCGAGAAAGTGGCATGAAACTAACTCAGATTTCTTACGACCAAAGGTCTTTTGTTCATGCAATACGGTTGGAGAAAGGAATGCAAAAAGACAGGGTGTGAATGGGAACGACAGTGCCCCAACCTCAGGCACATGTTTGTGCCTGGCATAGAATCCCAGAAGAGATTCCAGGGCATTTCAAATTATAACAATTTCCCATATCTCATCTCAGGCATCAGAGAGTGACACTGGCATTCTTTAATTCCTTTGTCTTCACTGAAAAAGTAGACAGAATGAAGTAAGCAGAACATCCTGATAACTTTCAGCACCATCCTCCTGGGCCAATCCCATCCTCCTACCCCCTAGAATCTACAGAGTGGGGAGTTTTCCAGGAGCAGCAGGAATTCCAAAAAGGGAGTGCTCCACTTGTAATCCTAAGTACTGGATGATGAGCCAAGTGTTTATTGAGAGTAATCAGTGACCACCTCTTGATAAGTCTGGCTAAGGTCAGGATTCACGGAAACCTTCTTGCCCCGGGCAAGATCAGCAAGGAGCCTGCTGACAGGATCCTTGTTCACTTAGCCTAGGCCATTGTACCAAAATCTCACTCCTCATTAGTGCTGGTGTCAACTCAGTGGGCAGGTATGGCTAGGTCAAGAGAACCTTGTCAGATTAAATTTTCAAGCGCTTCACTTTTTTCTAAAGATAAACATGTATGTTTTTAATTTCATGTAGAGTTGTATATTAACAACTGAAATGTCCTGAAAACCCCATTCTTTCCTTCTATTTAGCATCAAGACACATACACATTCAGCCCAAGTTTTAGCAGAACATACAGCCACTCCACCAGAAACACATTTTACAGATTCACTGGCAGCTAGGTATGCCTAGGTAACTAAGTTTTCTCCATCTTAGGCAGGTAATAAGTGACAACCTCTGGTTACTTTCTTCAGAGCAAATTGCTTGCCTTCCATTCATTCTCTTTTTTCCTTAACCAAGGGCTGGAACATGTATATGATATTGACTAGTCAGTGACTATGCAGATGAGGAGAACATTCTGGAAGATGGTGGAGCATCAATAGAGAAGGAACCTGTGTCCCAGAATGACTTCAAGAAGCTACCCACCTCTCTTGTACCATTTATCTACCATGGGACTGTTATTTAACAGTAATTCAAATATGGTAATTTTATTTAATCCACTGTGTATTTGGGTTACTGTATAGCAGCTTAGCTTTTCCCTAACTATATAGGATTGATCTGAGGGTAATGACAGAAAGTAGGTGTTTTTTGAAGACAGACCTAGGTTCCAATACCAGCTTTCCCACTAACTAATCATCTACAGTCAGCTAGCCACTCTGGGTCTCATTTTTTTTCACATGAAAAATGGGTAAATAATAAGAAATTTTAAGGCTGTTAAAAGGATTATAAATAATGAACCTCATACAGTGCTGGTATACAAAAGTGCTAAAGTGCTAAAATTGCTACTTGTTTTTAAAAGAGACAGGGCCTCACACTGTCACCCAGGCTGGAGTGCAGTAGTGTGATCATGGTTCACTGCAGCCTGGAACTCTTGGGTTCAAGTGATCCTCCCACCTCAGGCTCCCAAGTAGCTGGAACTACAGGCACATGCCACCATGCTGGGCTAATTTTTAAATTTTTCCTAGAGAGAGGGTCTTACTATGTAGCCCAGGCTGATCTTAAACTCCTGGCCTCAAGCGATCCTTCTGCCTCAGCCTCCTAAACTGCTGGGATTACAGGGGTGAGCCACCGTTCCTAGACTACTGCAAATAGCACAGTGCCCTGTGGCATCCAACTTGGAACCCTCTGACTATGTTAGAATTCTCAGGCTCCAATAGCCTATGAACAGTGATATGGTTTGGATCTGTGTCCCCACCCAAATCTTATGTCAAATTGTAATTCTCAATGTTGTATGGAGGTGGGGCCTGGTGGGAGATAATTAGATCATGCGGGTGGATTTCTCCTTTGGTACTGTCCTCATGATAGTGAGTGACTTCTCATGAGATATGGTTGTTTAAAAGTGTGTAGCTCCAGCCATGTAAGATGAGTCTGCTTCCCCTTTGCCTTCTGCCATGATTCTAAGTTTCCTCAGGCCTCCACAGAAGATAAGTAGATGCCAGCATCATGCATCCTGTGCTGCCTGCAAAATCATAAGCCAATTAAACCTCTTTTCTTTATAAATTACCCAGTCTCAGGTATTTCTTTATAGCAATTTGAGAACAGAGTAATACAGAAAATTGGTAATGAGGAGTGGGCATTGCTATAAAAATATCTGAAAATGTACGAGCAGCTTTGGAACTGGGTAACAGGCAGAGGGTGAAAGAGTATGGAAGGCTCAGAAGAAGACAGGAAGACAAGGGAAACTTGTCTTTGGAACTTCCTATAGACTTTTTAAATTGTCACCAAAATGCCGAGAGTGATATGGACAATGAAGTCCAGGCTGAGGAGGTCTCAGATGGAAATGAGGAACTTATTGGGAACTGGAGCAAAGGTTGCTTTTGTTATGCATTAGCAAAGAGGTTGGCTGCATTGTGCCCCTGCTCTAGGGATCTGTGGAACTTTGAACTTGAGAGTGATGATTTAGGGTATCTGGTAGGAGAAATTTCTAAGCAGCAAAGTGTTCAAGATGTGGCCTGGCTGCTTCTAACAACCTATGCTTATATGTGTGAGCAAAGAAATGACCCCAAATTGGAACTTATATATAAAAGAGAAGTAGAGCATAAAAGTTTAGAAAATTTGCAGCCTGGCCATGTGGTAGAAAAGAAAAGTCCATTTTCAGAGGAGGAACTCAAGCAGGCTGTAGAAATTTGCATAAATAAGGAGCCAGCTGCTAATATCCAAAACGATGGGGAAAGGCCTCAAAAGCATTACAGGAACCTTTGTTGCAGACCCTCCCCTCACAGGCCTGGAGGCTTAGCAGGACTGAATGGTTTCCTGGGCCAGGCCCAGGGCCCTGCTGCCCTGTCCAGCCTTGGGACACTGCTGCCTGCATTCTAGCTACTCCAGCACCAGCTGTGGCTAAAAGGGGCCCAGGTACAATTTGGGCTACTGCTTCAGAGAGTGCAAGCCATGAGCCTTGGCAGCTTTCATGTGGTTTTAAGCCTGCGGGTGCACAGAATGCAAAGTTGAGGGTTGCGATCCTCCACCTAGATTTCAGAGGATGTGTGGAAAAGCCTGGATGTCCAAGCAGAAGCCTGCTGCAGGGGTGGAGCCCTCATGGAAAACCTCTACTAGGGCAGTGCAGAGGGGAAAAGTGTAATTTGAACGCTCACACGCAGTCTCTACTGAGGCACTGCCTAGTGGAGCTTTGAGAAGAGGGCCACCATCCCTCAGACCCCAGAATGGTAAATCCACTGATAGCTTGCACCCTGAACCTGAAAAAGCTGCAGGCTCTCAACACTGGCCCTTGAGAGCAGCTAAGGGGCTGAAACCTGAAAAGCCACAGGGGTGGAGCTGCCCAAGGCCTTGGGAGCCCACCCATTGCATCAGTGTGCCCTGGATGTGAGACATGGAGTCAAAGGAGATTATTTTGGAGCTTTATGATTTAATGACTGCCCTGCTGGGTTTTGAACTTGCATGGGGCCGGTAGCCCCTTTCTTTTGGCCAACTTCTCCCTTTTGTAATGGTAGTATTTACCCAGTGCCTACAACCCCATTATATCTCAAAAGTAACTAACTTGCTTTTGATTTTACAGGCTCATAGGCAGAAGAGAACAGCCTTGTCTCAGAGGAGACTTTGGACTGTGGACTTTTGAGTTAATCCTGGAATGAGTGAAGACTTTCAGGGACTGTTGAGAAGGGATGATTGTATTTTTCAATGTGAGAAGGCCATGAGATTTTGGAGGGGCTGAGGCAGAATGATAGGGTTTAGATCTGCGTCCCCACCCAAATCTCACGTCAAATTGTAATTCTCAGTATTGGAGGTGGGGCCTGGTAGAAGGTGATTGGCTCATGGGGGCAGATTTCCCCTTTGCTACTGTCCTCATGATAGTGAGTAAGTTCTCATGAGATCTAATTGTTTAAAAGTGTGTAGCACCCCCTGGCAACCTTTTGCTCCTGTGATAGCCACGTAAGTAAGCCTGCTTCCCCTTCACCTTCAGCCATGATTGTAAGTTTCCTCAGGCCTCCCCAGAAGCTGAGCAGATGGCCAGCTGCATGCTTCCTGTACAGCCCGCACAACTGTGAGACAATTAAACCTCTTTTCCTTATAAATCATCCAGTCTCAGATATTTCTTTATAGCAATGTGAGAAAGACTAATACACAGAGTCAAGTTCATCTGATGAAACATGAACTCAATCAGCTGACATAAATTTCATTAAGCTTTTGAACAGCCTTTCAATTTGATGTTTGCCTCTCTGCAAATAGAATGTGAGGGACACCTCCCAACCTAAGAAGAAGATGGGTCTGAGACCACTGTGCCCCTGAGGGTGCAAGCACTGTGCCTGCAGTCCATGTTTTAGTCAGGAACTGCACCTTTCACTTCTGTGGTGTGACTGAGGCCAGTTCACCAGATATGGCTGTCTAGGTCTCGTTTAGGTGACAAACTTGGTTCAGATAAGAGGTCACATGGAAAGACTTTATCATTAGCTCTATTGCCCTCTTACATTTTTGCCAAGAATTTTCCATATTTGCAGCCAGGAGGCAGCAGTCACACCCTAAGATACTAGCAGCACACCCAGGCCAATTTGTCCATTCTATTCATGAAACTCAAAGCTCCAAACACTGTCAGTGATGATGAGAAGTGTACATTCTCATTTCTGGAGAGTCCTTCAAATATCCTTGTACCATCTGAAGCATGGGCACTGAAAAATCCTCTTGTGGGCTGTTTTCCCCCCTCACCCGCCCACCCGGCCCCCAAGAGAGGCAACTGACTCTTCCATCTGGAGTCCTACGTCTATCAGTTAGAACAAACTCTCTTCAGCACATAAATTCCAAGTAACAACCTGACTAAAACTAGATTTTTCCTTAGACCTCAGAGAAGCCAGTTGCTTCTACTCATATAAGAGGTTGGATATAAGAGTTCATTGTTTGCCATTGGTACTCCGGAGTGAATTTATGCTGCATACATGGTCAACATTTTAAGTCAAACTTCCTCATGCTCATGGCTAGAAAATTTATACATAAAAAGATCCCTAATTCCAGCTTGTCCAAAGGTCTTCCATGGAACTGTACAGGGTAGGTGGGTGGACTTCATGCTGGCAGTAGAAGAAGTTAGCTCCAGGCACTTCCCAAGGTCACCTGGTGAGTCGATGGTAAAACCATGGTCTCACAGCTCTCCAACCAAAGTGCCCAGCATGCAAGGCATGGCTGCTACTCCGGATGACAGGCCATCTGTCATGTTTCTCCTTGGCTTATCCATTTTCAAGGGCCAAAACCATGACAGCATTCATACCAACGCCTCATTGATGGTGGCAAGCACCCCACAAGGTCTTCCACGCAAAGGGTGAGAAATGTCAGTTCCCATGAAAGGAGAAACTGCACAAAACCCAACCACACAGAATCATGTATGCCATGAGGTCAGAGGCCAGGAAGGTATGCATTCTCTGTGGAACGTCTGAACTTGCCAGATCTTGGAGAAGTTGGACTTCTCCCAAGGAGAGTTTTGCCCCAACTCTTGATAACTGTCAGCATGTCTCACAAAAACAGGAACTCCCAAGATAGAGAAGCCAAGCAGCTGGGAACCATTAAGAATAAAACTTGAGCTGCTGAATAAAGCTGGAGACTGGGTGATTCTTCTTCTCTGAACTACAACCTGCAAACTTTGAGAACGGAGCATCATTTATTGTGGGCCTGCTCTGGGCCTGGCTCTTAGCAAACTTGAGTTTATGGAGGGAGCACAACGTAGTGCAAGGTTTCTCAATGGAGACACTACTGACGTTTTGGACCGAATGAATGCTTGTTGTGGGAGCCTGTCCTGTGCATTGTCAGATGGCTAGCAGCAACCCTAGCCTCTGCTCTATAAATGCCAGTAGCACCTCCTCCCAACAGTTACAATAAAAATTGTCTCCAGGCATTGTGAAATGTCCCCTGGGAGGCAAAATCATCCTCAGTTGAGAACCACTACTGCAGTGGCTAAAAGTACAGACTCTGAAGTCAAACAGCCAGAGTTCAAATCCTGACTACCCATTTATCAAGTGACCTTACATTAACTTCTCTCTTCCTTTGGGGTCTTAACTGAAAATATAGTCAATGTTAATACCCACTCATAGGGTGGTTTTGAGGATTAAATGAGACATACTCATGAAGCACACAGAATCAAGCCTGGCATATGGAGAGTCCGTGTTCAGATAGATATTATCATCCTCATTTTTCCGAAAGGGAAAGTGACAACTCAGAGAAGTGAGTAAGAGATCCCCAGCTAGGATGCGACCATAGGTCTGTATAATTCCTAATGAGTTCAGCAGCCATTGAGTGAGCTGTTGTCATGCATCAGGCCCTGCTTTGAGCTCTGTGGCTAAAGAGGAAACAAGAGACAATCCCTGTGCTTAAGGAACTCCAAATCCAGCGAAGGAGGCAGGCATGTGGCCTGGTTTCAGTAATGCCTATTGCAAGCTATGATAGGGAGAAGCTAGGTGCTGTGTGTGCAGAGATGAGGTCTCTGCCCTAGTCCAGGTCCTGGAGCAGAGGACACCCAAATGAGGTCCTGAAAGACTCCAAAGCTCTTTCCACTTCAGCACACTGCTTATTTCAACAGACAAATGACAGACAGCTTTCAGCAATGACTGCAAAACTGCCCCAATACATGAGATCTGCAGTAAGTCTAAACAGGGACACCAGCCTCCAAGTATTGCTGGAAAGGAAAGAAATCACAGAGTTTCATGGAGACTGAGTCAGAGCTCTTCATTCAAAAGCACTTGACGGGTGGGTGGGTAGCTGTCCCATGCCTGGAGTCAATGCATTCTTCAGCAGTGTGGTGAGAGAGTTAGCACAGCCAGATCACCAGCACTGGGCTCTTTGCTAAATTTCAAAGACAAATTAAACCTTACTCAGCATGAATAGGCAGTGATAATGAATAACTAAAGCCAAGTGGCCACAACAGCAGGTCCTTTTCCTTAAAGAACCCGATGGCATAAGAAGGGACAATGATCCTAAAAGAGAAACAAAAGGGTTTCACAAGCAGAGATATTTTAATAGCCCTATATTTCACTTAACAAGCTGAATGCTGAAGGCACACATTCATATTTCCACTGGTTGTGTTAAATACCTGCATCATGGCTATGTCATCCTGCACCTGTACAGAACCCCAATCGTTTGGACCTGTCCTGTATGACAGGCCCAGGCCCCTGCTAAGAAGGTGGCAAGTGGCAAATCCCATGGCAGTTCTTTGGGAACAACATGCACTGCCACCTCTTTTCATCAATCTCAGATAGGGAAGAAGACCCCATAGGCTGATGCTGCTCAAACTGTGGCCCTTCAAAATGCAAATACTTGGGCTCCACCCCAGATCTACTGCATCAGTCTTAGGGGGTAGGAATCCATGTTTTAACAAGCTCTGCACATGATTCTTAGGTTAAAGTTTAAGAGCCACCCCCAAAGGTCATCCTTCCTTCGCTATCCTTTTCATTAACCTTGCTACTAGTTGCTGTGTGTATACTAGAGAATAAACCTGACATGATTTTTTCTCTTTAAGAATTTAAATTCTCCCCTGGGGAACAATGAGAGTTGGTGGCCATTATTTGATGAGAAACCCACGAGGGAGTTACTCCTATTTCTAACAGATACACAAGTTGAGTCATACCACATCATAAATGTGAGCAGAGCAAATACACGGCAGGCTCCGGAATGACACTGGCTGAAAAAAAATGACAGAAACAATAAATGAGAACTACAATCCCTGCTCTGCATTTTTATAGGCCCCTTGCTGACCCTGCCCTTGCACTCTGCACTCAGTTGCTTATTTTACATTTCTATTTCTCCTACCAGGAGTCTGAGTCCCTTGAGACAGGGCCAGGTCCCAGCATGGTACCTGGAATTCACTCAATATTTGCCAAATGAGTAAAGAAAGGGATAAACCCCAGCTAGCCTAGGAGGTTGTCCAATGCCCTCAGTGTCCTAAGAACCCCTTCGACAGTCCACAGCCTACCCCTGGGCTAGGAAAGGACTCCCCTGCCCTTCAATAACATGCTTGTCAGCAAATATTCTGCCAGCAGGACCCTAAAGGTCTAGAAGAGCCTCTTTTAGGGAAGTCACATCTTTCTAGAAGCACCTCCCTATATGTTGGAGGACAGCAGGAGGGGCTGAGAAGAACGAACAGGAGAGACAGGAAAGTGCTGTCCCCAACACAACCTGCCTGGAAAACAGGAGCATTAACCAGCTGACACTAACAATGAGCAGCTGAGATCTCCAGTTGCAACTCCACTCAACTGGAAAGCCTTAAGCAAGCTGATAGTGGCATGTTTTTGCCTCATTTAGACATTTGATGGACTTAAGCCAGACTGTGTTCTTACTTGGGAAGGAGAAGACTAAAACATGAAAACATAGTCTTCATGCTGAAATTACATTATCCAAACCAAGGTCAAAATAGGGATTTCATATTACTTTTCAGCTCTCAAGTAATAAGCACCCCACTAAACACATATATTTACCGTTGGGGCTTTGTTCATGTACCTTCTTTTTATAAGAATGTGACATATGAAAGTAGAAGCTTTGGGATATAATGAGAGTAAAGACAGTTCAGGGCTGCAGGAGGACTCTGAGAGAAGATAACTTGGAAAGAGCTGACAGGGCCTCCCTGGCTGAGGCCACCAATGTGCAGCTGCTGACAAAGGGGTCTCCCTGCTTTGTGTCTTGTGCTCTGGTAGGATTCTCCTCTGGCTTACAGAGTAGACTAGAAACTAATGCCAGCCTTACTCATGGGTTGGGTGTGATGAGAGAACTTGAGTGTTCATTCTTACCCTCAGTGCACAGAAGCTTCTAAAATGAAGCATAAGTGAAAGGCTTAGGGTCTCCCTCACCATGTGCAGAAGGAAGGGAGAGAAAAGGCAGGAAGGGTCCATCAGCCCAATCCCCCAGTACAGGAAACCCTGAGCTAATCTAACCAGTACAGGAACCCCTGCGCTGAGCCCACAGCAGGGCTGCTCAGGGCAACTCTGAGAATCATGGGGCCAAGCTGGAGATGCAGAAAGCCCCAGGCAGCTCCTCTAGAAGGGGCCTCCAGCTCTGGGGACTTGGGTCTCTAAGGGGGACCTGCAGGCCTCCTGGGCCCAGAGCAGGTGCATGAGACCCTCTTGCCTACCCAACACCAGCCTCCACCCGGTTTCTCCTTGTGAAATGGTTATAATAGTTTCCACCTCACAATGCCACAGAAAGACTAAAGGTGCTCAGAATAGAGCCCACAGCATATGACAAGCACTGACTTCAGGGATGTTTTTTAAATGACGAACACAGCTCTGGTGCACTGTGATGAGAAGGGAGGCCCTTGGCTCACATGACAACACTCGGGGACCTGGCTCATCTACCACCCCTGGAGGTGTCCAGTCCCTGGTCTCTGCTGCATGGATGCTGGCTACATTGTGCACATTTAGAATGAGGCTTGATTTTGAACAAAGTAGGCCCTCAGGAGGTGTGTGCTACTACTTCCTTTACAAATAAATGGTGCCTGAGCCTCCTAAAGCCAGAAACGTGGGATTGGAGAATGACCAAGCAAAGCAGCTCAGTCATAGTGTTTCCAAACAGATTTCATAACAAGATTATGTCTAAGGTTTAAGCCTGGCAACTGCAGGCCTGTTCTTCAGATTGTGAAACCAATATTCAAATAGCTGATGAGGTGGATTCCCAATCAAATGACACAAGGTTCCACTGAAGATGCCGACCATAGATATGTCATGGACACTTCATTATGTTTCACTCAACAGAAAGGCATGGACCATTTAAGATAACGCTGCTTACAGAGCACCAATTCCAAGTGCCTGGGACATAGTAGACACTCAATAAATATTTGTTAAACAAATGGATGAAAAGAAAGTTACCACTGGACTTTCCAAAGTGAATGAGAAAGAACTACAAGATAAAGGCTCAGGGTTTATCTAGCTAGCCCAGTCCTTTCATTCTGCAGGTGTGAAAAGTGACACTCAGAGAGGCAAAGTCATATTCCTAAAGACTTGGTACTTGCTATGGGTTGAATTGCGCCCTGCCAAAATTCATATATTGAAGTCCCAATCCCCAGCATCCCAGGATGAGATGTTATTTGGAGGTAGTCTTCACAGAGGTAATGAAGTTAGAATGAGGTCATTAGGGTGGACCCTAATCCAATATGAAAAGTATCTTTATAAAAAGGGGAAATTTGGAGACAGATGCACGGGTAGAACACCATGTGCAGGGCCAGGGGCAGTGGCACACACCTGTAATCCCAGCACTTTGGGAGGCAGAGGCGGGTGGATCACCTGAGGTCAGGAGTTCAAGACCAGCCTGACCAACATGGTAAAACCCCATCTCTACCAAAAATACAACAAAATTAGCAGGGCATGGTGGTGCACACCTGTAATGCCAGCTACTCAGGAGGCTGAGGCAGGAGAATCATTTGAACCCGGGAGCCAGAGGTTGCGGTGAGCTGAGCTCGTGCCATTGCACTCCAGCCTGGGCAACAGAGCAAGACTCCGTATCAAAAAAAAAAAAAAAAAAAAAAAAAACACCATGTGCAAATGAAGGAAGAGATAAATCCGGATGATGCTTCTACGGGCCAAGGACCATCCGAAGTTGCCAGCCACCCACGAGAACCTAGACTAGAGGCAGGGAACAGATTCTCTCAGAGACTCTAGAAAGAACCAACCTCACCAATCTTTTGATCTCAGACTTCCAGTCTCCAGCAATGTGAGACAATAAATGTCTCTCATTTAAGCCGCCCAGTTTGTGGGAATTTGTTACAGCAGCCTCTGGATGCAAATACAGCACTCTCTCTGCTACATACCCAACAGCTCTGAAGAGGACACCATCTCAGTTGACTTTTAATGGGAAAGCCTAATATTAGACCACTTACAGGATGGTCAGAAGGTCAAATGAATTACAGGCTAGGGGATTTGATGATTCATTTTTTGGACTAATCTTTACTGCATGCACATAAAGTGCCACCATAAGCATGTCTCCGTCCCTGCCATTGGTGAGCGCACACGTAAGCCACAGACTCAATAGCGAGCATCCTAAATATGGCACTGTAGCAGCTCAGAAAACTCTACAAGCAGCCATGTGGGAGCCCATACTCTGGGAGAGTCAGGAAAGATTTCACAGAAAATGGAACATTTGGGAGGGTCTTAAGAGACGATAAGGAGTTTCCCAAGCAGAAAAGGTGGATGAGGACATTCTGAGAAACCAAAACCCCATATGTGAAAGTCTAGAGTTGCCCTGGCAGGGGCACCCTAAGGGGACATGGGACTCATGGATTGAGAGGAGGCAGGAAAAGCTGTGAAGCACTGAGTTTGTTACAGGTTATAGTCCTGTGTGCACAGGTAACATGGGCAATGGGGTGATTTGGTCATGATCATTCTGAAGAGGGTGGTCTAGAGGAGAGAGCCTAGGGGCCAGGATACCAAGCAGCGAGAGGCTCTTGTCACCATCCTGGTGAAGGATGACAAGGGTCTGAACCAGAGAAGTGGCAGAAGGGACAGATGGATCCCCAAGACATTTCTGAGGTCAAATTAGTAGACTGTGTC
This sequence comes from Homo sapiens, assembly GCF_000001405.40. Taxonomy (NCBI): domain Eukaryota; kingdom Metazoa; phylum Chordata; class Mammalia; order Primates; family Hominidae; genus Homo; species Homo sapiens. The sequence goes on from NC_000009.12 coordinate 108,668,336, forward strand.
AACTCGGTCTCCATAGGATGTAAGGCAGCCCCAGGGAAATGACTCACCTACAAGGGATGGTCCCAATGTCTTCTTCTTGCCTTGAGGAAAGAAAATAGTTTCCCTCGACCCCCACCCCCATCCTAAGATCTCACATGCTTCCTAATGAATGTAGATGGAAACTAAAGAGGATGTCCTGAGGACAAAGATGTAATGGGGCAACATTTCTTTTAAAAGCTTGTGTACACCCAGCTGGGTAAGCTGCCCACAATGGCAGGTGGTGGTCACCCAAGCCTCTCTACCACTCCAAAAGGGGGCAACCTTGGGCCTGCAGAAAGAAGTAGAATGTCAAAACTCCAGGCAAGGGAGACAGGCCCATGAAGGGGTCATGGGGGTTCAGGAGGGCGTAGAGTCCTCACAATTATACCCCAATCTGTCCTGGCCCTGTTTTAGTCCAGGCTGCCAGCATAGGACCCAGTGGCCTTGATACCCTCCCATCAGCTGCTCACCCAGCTCACCCTAGACCCCTCCCAGAAAGGGCGAGCAACTCCTCCACAGCAGCCCAGTGATCACTAGACAGCTCTTACCATTCAAAAGCCTTCCTTATACAGAGTCCAATATGCCTCCTTGTTCTACCTCCAAGTGCCACAGGAAAAAGGTTTAATTCCACCCCTGCTCAACTCCCATCAGGCATCTGAGAACTCTTCTCCTGGTAGAAGCCCTCCAATACCCCAGCCTCTCCCCACAGTGTGATTTTACATTTACCCACACTCGGTTCATGTTCCTCTGAACTCATGCCAAGGCCAGAATCACTTCCTGCTTAATCTCTTGAGATTTTTATGTTGGAAGGAATCTTATTCCAAAGACTTCAAAAACAAAATTCCCTCCCTGCGTGTCACTACACCTCTGTGCATTCCAAAGACATCTCTGGTCTTTGGGGATAAAATGCACAAACGTTGTAGAGTAGAAGACAGGGGCAGCCACGAGGAAGAGGAAAAATGGTGTGTGTTGACAAAGCACAATACACACGGTTGAATGGGGTTGACTCCCTTTTCGTTCACTCTGATTCTTCCAGGTGCATATCCAAGGGTGTTGCTGGCATTATTCGGGAAGTTTGAAAAACAGTGAATTAGACCCTGGTGCTGGGGTCACCACAACTAGAGGTTCTGTCCTTTCATACAGAGATTTGCTTTGTTTAGCAGGAGGGCACTGAGTGTTCTGGACCCTGGGGGGAAACATTCGCAGGTGGTACGTAAGACAATCCAACAAGGAGAGGGTGAAATTATTAGGATTTTTACTTCTGATTTATTTCATACTTTTAAATTCCTATTTTTTGCATGCACTACATGTATTAGTCCATTATACAATTTATAATAAATATATACATATTAGAGATGCGTGCTCAATGTATTTTTACTGAGATGTTTGTATAATGAAAAAGATTTAAAGAATGCTGCTCCAGATGACACTCAGTTCCCCCACACGTGCCTTCTACTGGCACTGGGGTGGTCAGGTAAGAGTATGACCACCCCAATGGTCATGGCAAGGTATCAACACTGATGCAGGAGTAGTTATTCTGCACCAAACCCACTGACTGCTGGCAGATGCATTAAGAAGAGAGTGTTACTTAAGCTGTATTAATGGTAGTAGTGTATCTAGAATGAGGGATGGGACAGTGCCATTCACCCTTACTTGTCCAGACCACACCTAGATGATTGTGTTCCATGCTGGAAGTTATCTTTTAAGAGATGACCCCAAAACTGAGCCTTTTAGAGGACAGTGACAAAAGACATCAAGGACACTTGAAAGCCTGTCAGTAGAGGAATGCTAGATGGGAGTGGAGGTGTCCAGCCTGGCTGGGAGGTAGCGTACGTAAGAGCCAGCTTCAGATTTCCCATCTTGGGAAGTGAAAATAGACACCCTTTATGGGATCCAAGAGTTAGAACCAATGGGTAGAATTACAGGTAAGAAAATTCAGGCACAACCTACAGAAGAACTTTCTGGCAGAGTCACCTCAAGAGAAGAACTGAGTTTCCCATCATTACAGATGTGCAAACGGAGGCAGGGTGAGTACTTGTTGAAGGGGCAGCAGAGCACACTTCGTCTCCAGATGGGTGTTTGATCAGGAACACAAGTTCCCAACAAAGTTAATGCACGGACAACTAGTGGTCGTAGGGTGATTTTTAGGTGGTAAATGAATATGTTTTATTTTAATAGTTGTATGGAGATCTCACAAATATGCTTGATTCAGATGAGGCTGAAGCTTCTTACATGGGGAAATTGAGGTAAAGAAATTCATCAAGTAAAAAGACAATAGAAGGAGAATGCAGATGTGGCAAAATTCAGGAACGACCAAAGACAAGGAAACTATGGGGATGAAGGCCCCTCCTTGCCTTGAGAGTCCAAGATTCTTGGATCTTCAGTACTCACCCTCCAACCCAACATCACTTTTGACTTGTGCTCTTCTTTCTCCAGGAAAGCACAGGCTCCAAACCTAGAGAGTCCCCAGGGCCTTTGTGTTCTTCTGGCCTCCAGAAACACCCAGGTTGGGCACATTCCTCTTCCCCAGCCAAATGCACCTGTCCTGGACACTGAACAACCTGCTTCCCTTTTCTGAGACAAGATGAAATTGATAAATGGACCCCTCATTAATCCTGGGCTACCCCTCCCCACCTGCATCTCAGGGAATGCAAGCTTACTTGAGCAGTGGCCTCCTTGAACTCAAAGATAGAACTCCAGGCTCAAAGTTCAGCATTAAGGTACGAGTTTTGAAGGAAATATTTTTACTCGGGTAGGATCTAGGAGCCCTTGCCCCCAAATTGTGCATTTATAATGATATTAGGTGTTTAGCTCTTCACAGCTTACAAAGCATTTCCCACGCCCACTGTCCACTGCCCACCTGATCCTCACAACATTGTAAGACGCAGTAAAGTGGGTCTTACAATGACTATTCTCATTTGGAGACAAGGAAATTAAGACTCAGAGAGGCTGCCTAACTTGCTCAAGGCCACACAGCTTTCAAACCCACACCCAAATTCCCTCATTCCAAATCCCAGACTCAATTCACTGTACGACACTGCCCTCCAGTGTCCCAGAGGAGGGACTCTTGCCCATCTACAAAGGTAACAAGAGCGGCTGTTGTCCCCAGATTCTCAAAAAGACAAGCGCTCATTTCAGTTTTTACTGTCTAGATTGTGATGTAGGTGGTTAGCCTCAAAATGAGGCACATAAATCACTTCTGCTCCTCAAGGAGCAGAGAAGTCTCCTCTCTGTTTAAAATATGTGGTGAGTACCTGCCTGTCTCCTGGGATGATTCTAAATGGAATAATGTAAGCAAAAGGGTCTGGCATACAGCAGGGGCTCAATCATTGCAGGCTGGGTCTGTTGGCACACCTCACTTTTCTGTCTGAGGTCATGAGTAGAAACAGAGGTTTGAAACAACCAGCTGAACATTTTATAAACTAAACTAGAATTGAAGCCCCAGATTCCCATGTCATGTGTCTCTGTTTGAAACCTAAGTGCATGCCACTTCTTGTTTGGCCTGCAGGAATTTTGCAAAATGAATCATTTCAGCAAAATGCATCTTCATATTAGGGAAGACAGAAACCCAGGAATGTGGGGGGGAAAGGCAATAAAACAAATACTATTAAATTCCACTGACTCTTAGTACGCAAGGCGTCTTCAGCACGTTTTCACCATATGGTGCAGATTTTCCAAGATGGTCCTCATTTCAGAAGTTCTGTGCCTCGCTCAGACCATGTGGTGGACACTGTGCCAGGCCATGTGACTCAAGTTTGCATTAGGAAAAGATGGTCAGTGTAAATGTGTGCCAGACCCTGCTTAGGCATACACAAGTGAAGGAGGCATGGTCTCAGCCCTTTGAGGTGTTCAGTCTCAAAGAGAAGGCAGTGGAAAAAGGATGGACTAGGATGAAAAGTGACATGGTGGGGCGAGTGACCACAGGATATTTCTAATGCAGAGAAAACCAGAAAGTCAGAGAAGGTTTCCCAAGTAAGGGGCGTTCAAGTTGGATCCTGAAAGTTGACTAGGAAATTGCCCAAGGAGAAGAGGTCAAGTGTACCTATCTGTGTTCCATTCTGCCTGTAGTCCTTCACCCACCTGCCTCAAACCTTCCACTCCTTGTCTGGATCTGGTGGTTCACCTTTCCCACCCATCCCCGTAAGATGGCCCAACCTCCCTTTCTTCGCCTCTGATCCTCATCCAGCCCAGCCCAGTTCCCTGCTCCACATCTTCCCTTTACCATGAATCACAAGGCCCACTCAGAGCTTCCTTCTCCCTGAAAGACTTGAAATGATATATTTACCTAAGACTCTCCCTCCACCTCCAGTGTTCTCTGTCCTCATAGGACAGCAAAGTGAGGAAAATGCCAGACCCAACAGAGGACGGAGAGCGTGGAGGTGCAACAGGGATGTGATTCATAACTCAACAGAGATGAGTGAGAAAGGCTGTGGTGGGTGTGGGAGCAGCCAAGGCACAAAGAGGAGGAGAAGGATTAGTTGAACCAAGCCAAGCTCAGCCTTAAAGATCCTGGTTTGGTTTGTTCCCAAAATAGGGTTGAGCTTATGGCTGGTTCTTACTTGTTAGCAACCAGTTCACCCGTGCCTTCTCTTAAGTCCCTGTTCATTAATCTTCTTAAAGAAAGTGACTTGATTCTGTCAGGGTTGCTGGCTGCATATCAAAAACCTGTTCTTCCACTAAGAGGTTGCAGAGGCAAAGTACATGCATAGAAATCTTCACAGAGAACCTCCATATAGAATAGAAAATCGTTCTGCCTGTCCACTAGTGTGAGGCGCATGCTGGTGAAGATTTGTATGCTTAAGTGCCAAGAAGCTGCATTTACTTATCCATTCACTCACTCATTCATTTATTCATTTACTTTAAAATATGTATTGACTGTGATCCAGACATGAGCTAGGTATTGTGAATATGAGCAACAATGAACAAGTTAGGCGTGGTGTCTACCCTCTTAGGTTGATGAGAAAGTTAGTTGGACACATACACAAATAACTGCAATACATTGGAATCAGTGGTACAATAAAGACCCTAAGAGCATGCTTTGGGAATTACCAAAGAGATTAAAGACATTTTCACAGAGAAAGTAATACTTGAGGTTCTCTCCGAGGTTAGGGACTGTGTCTTACTCATCACTGCGTCCCCCATCGCATAGCACAGGGTTTTGCTCATAGGAGGTGCTCATAGATGCGTGCCAAATAAGTAATCAAGATCTCAAAGAACGAGTAGGAGTCACTACACAGAATGGAGAAAGGAGGTGCATTACAGGAAAAGGTTACCGTGAAGAAAGGCCCAGAGCATGGGCCTCTGGGGAAGGACAAGTATTTCAGTATGGGTGTGGCGCTGTGAACAGCAGGAGATGAGGCTGGAGAAGGAAGCTGGCTCAGTATGCCATGCAAAGAAGTTCACATTCTGTCCTGGGAACAAAGGATAAATTTATTAGTGGGGGCTTGCCATGGGTGGATCCATGTAGACATACTTTCTCAATTGAAGTTGAAGACTTTTTCTAATTTTTTTTGAGACACAGCAGAGTCTTGCTCTGTCACCCAAGCTGGAGTGCAGTGATGTGATCATAATTCACTACAGGACTACTTGACGTCCTGGGCTCAAGAGATCCTCCTGGCTCAGCCTTCCAGAAACTTTTTTTTAATAGCGAAAGTGTTCATCTTGGTAGCTCGTGGGCCCAGGCAGTTAAGTGAATGCATAAGGATTTCACAGTCCAACCAGGTGTCTGCCCAGAGACCTGGTCTCTCCTACCTGGAGGCCCCTTTACAGCTGAGAACCCAGATCTTCCACTTTGTTCTTCAAGGGTATTAGAAATGCCCCTACAGACTGGCTGCTGCTGCTCTGGATCTCAGGGTGGACAGCAAATGCACAGAGCAAGAAGGGAAGGCAGCAGAACCTCAGGGATGTGTGGACACTCCCAGGCACCTCACTGAGCCCCAGCACTCCGAGGCAGTAACTGCAAGTCAACGTTTTCTAGCGCTTTGGCCATGAAACAAATAGCATTCCATTGCTGGATTTTCTGTCTCTTCCTTATTTTGTTCTTTTTTTGACAACACTCAGCATGTTAATAGGTGTGTCAATATTCTAAACCTGGGTTCAATCCTAGCTCTCCAACTCACTAATGAAGAGACAATAATCGAGTCACTTAAAGTTTCTGACTCTGTTATGTCATCCACAAATGATAATGTATCCACAAGGCTGCACTGAGAGGTCTCTAGCCTCTCTCAAAGGGCCTCGTTGCTTTGTAGGCACCTGACACACCTGATTGCCCCTCTGGCCTCCTCACCTGTCCTGGTAGAGAATAATGTTGAGCCTGGTTTACCATGCTCAGTGTTGCCTCCCTTGTAACCTCAGGTGGCATGTGCCCTAGAAGGAAGACCTCATTGCTGTTTGCTTTAAAAATTGTAATGTATCATTTCCTGGTAACTGGGTATGACTAATCAATAATCAAGAAATAGACACAGAATCAAGTCTTGGTTCCTTAGCCTGGTGCACAGGGGCCCCCATATTCAACCTCTGCCCTTCCTGAAAGAATCAGCTCTCACTCCATGACCGTCCCATACGTACAAACCTATGGCTTGTGGCCACTGCATGGACCAGTGGGTTGTGCTGTTTCATCGCGCTGTGCTGTTGCCCAGGAATGCCTTTTCCATATCCCTTCAGCTAGACTGATTCACTCATCTTTCAACTCTCAGCCTAAGTGTCATCTTCTCCATGAAGAGAACTCCTGTACTGGAATGGCAACCCTTCCCTCTGCTCCTTCCTCACCTTTTGCTCTGTGCATCCCATCATATACTGCATCATGCAGAAACTCTCCAGCTTTAAATCTGTCTCCCCAAATGGCCTCGAAGACCCTTAAGAATAGAAACCATGACTTAGGTGGTATCTTCTCCAGGGGCAAAGTGGGCATCCAGCAGACAGTTGTTGAAGGGATCTGACAATGCTGAGAGTCCTGGAAGATTGTTTCCATGAGTTATTGTGTTAACAAACACCTAGTTTCCAAAGGTGACTCCCTCCCCAAGAACCATGTCTACCTGCATAGCTCTCCTATGCTTCAATCTGGCTGGCCCTTGAACTCCCTTTGGACCAAGAGAATGCAGAGGTAGTACTTGTCCATGACTTCCAAGGCCAGGTTATAAGAAGCCTTGCAGCTTCCACGTGGGCTTCTTGCAACACTCACTCTGGGGCAGTGGTTCCTGACTCAAAGCAATTTTCCTTCCCAAGAATATCTGGCAATGTCTGGAGACAATTTTGGTTATCACACCTGGTTGTAGGGAGGGAGGTGAGAGGCCCTTTTTATAGTGTCTAGTTGATAGAGGTCAGAGAGGCTGCTAAACATTCCACAATGCATGCAACAGACCCCTGTCTCGTGCCCTACAACACAATGGGCCAAAATGTCAACAGTGCTGAGATCGAGAAATTCTGTTCTAAGGGAAGCTAAATACCATGGAATAAGTCTTACTCCCTTCAGAAGAAGGAAATCTAGGCCAGTTGCATGGAGAGACAGAGGCCTGGCCAGCCTTGAATTATTGCATCTTTGAAGCAGATGCCAACTCAGAAGCCAACCACTTAAGTATTCAAATGACTCTAGCCCCAGCCACCATCAGACAACAGCTATATGAGATCCCAAAAGAGAACTTCTCAAGTCAACCCACAGAAGTGTGAAAGGCAGTAACAAATGGTTTTAGGCCACTACATTTTGGGGGGATTTGTTACACAGCAATAGATAACCAAAGCACCCAGATTGTGATGTCTCTAGGGTTCTTGCCTTTCCCACACGTCACATTTTTATTCTTTCATTTTGTTTTGTTTTGCTTTGCTTTGTTTTAACAGAGTCTCACTCTGTTGCTCAGGCTGGAGTGCAGCAGTGTGATCACAGCTCACTGCAGCCTCGACCTCCCAAGGCTCAGGTGATCCTCCTGCCTCAGCCCCCCAAGTAGCTGGGACTATAGACACACACCACCATGCCTGCTAATTTTTGTATTTTTAATAGAGATGGGGTTTCACATGTTGCCCAGGCTGGTCTCGAACTCCTGGGTTCAAGCCATCCACCCACCCCAGGCCTCCCAAAGTGCAGGGATTACAGGCATGAGCCACCACACCCGGCCTCATTTTCATTGTTTTATTTCTCTTCCTCCTCTCCTGAAGTCTGGGATGGCAAGTTTTTTTTTAATGCAAATCGGTCAGCTGGTTTCCTAGGTGCTTTAGACATATGCAAATTCCCTGATAGTTTCCTTGGTCCTACCAGTGGGGGAAGGAGGAATCTTGCAGCATTTTATAAAAGAGGAGCTGGGGCTATTTTCATTTCATTGCTGGGAAAACAGAGATGGTAAATGCCAGATTGCTACTGTAGTTTGCCCATGTAACAGGCCTCAGGAACTGCACTTTTCGTGGTGAGAAGGTTCGGCCAGAGAAACAGGGGTGAGCTTTGGCTAAGAATTCCAGTCAGAACAAGGGGAATCTCATGTATACTGTCAGGCCACACCATGGTGTCCTTGGCTTCCAAAATGACACTAATTTGTCACCTAACTCAATTCAATTCAGCAAGCCTTTCTTGAACACCTGCTGCTCAGAAATTAAGCTGATCTCCATTGGAAGACTCAAAGATGAAATTGTCTTAATTCCTGCATAAGACAGTTAATATTTTAGTCAGAGAGACTACTATCTCAACAGCAAGCCTATAAAACAGGACGAAATGAAACTGATGCTAAAGTGAAATGGAAGCAAGTGAAGGGTCTGTGAGTTTGCGTGATGGACACTCATTCAATCCATACCATTTGTCAAGCACCTGCTATATTCTAGGCACTGTACCGCAACAGAAATCCAAGGGTCACAGGTTTGCAGCTCAACTTAAAGTTATAAATCATACTTCTTTCAGACACAGCACATAGTCCTGAACACTCACATAAACAAATGTTGAGTGATGCATTCTAAGAATTAAAAAAAGACAAGTTTATTTTAGTCTGTATATTGAGACTTCTTTTCAGCTTTATTGAGGTATAATTGACAAATCAAAATTGTGTATATTCAAGATGTACAAGCTAATTAGCATATCCATCACCCCACACCATTACCTCTGTATGTGTGTATGAAAATACTTAAGATCTACCCTCTTAGCAAATTTCCGTTATATAATACATTATGATTAACTGTAGTCACCACACTCTACATTAGGTCTCCAGAACTTATTTATCCTATAACTGAAAGTTTGCAACCCCTGACCAACATCTCCGGGGGGAAATACCTGCCACGCCTGGCAAAGCCTCGTAACCACCCTTCTATTCTTGGTCTCTATGAGTTCACCTTTTAAAGATTCCACATGTAAGTGAGGTTAGGCGATATGGTCTTTTCGTGTCTGGCTTATTTCACTTAGTATAATGCCCTCTGAGAAGGACTAATAAATATCACATGATTCACTGTATTTTTTAAAATTAAGAAGTAAGGGAAAAAATGTTTTCATAAAAGAGGGGAAATTCAGCATGTGAAAATGTTAATTTCACATCTGTGCTCCTCATCTTCCCAAATGTGTAGTTAGGCAAGATGCCTTAAGCCATGCTTTCAAAATGGGAGACGGGTTCCCCTTCAGGAACTTGAGGGTAGCCAAAGGGTATGAGGAGTGTTCCCATCAGGATGGGCTAGGTCACATGGTGACAATGAACAACCTGACCCTCAGTGGCTGTCAAAAACAACACTTGCGGGCCGGGCATGGTGGCTCATGCCTGTATTCCCAGAACTTTGGGAGGCCGAGGCGGGTGGATCATGAGGTCAGGAGATCGAGACCATCCTGGCTAGCACAGTGAAATCCCATCTCTACTAAAAATACAAAAAAAAAAAAAAAATTAGCCAGGCATGGTGGCAGGTGCCTGTAGTCCCAGCTACTCGGGAGGCTGAGGCAGGAGAATGGCATGAACCCGGGAGGTGGAGGTTGCAGTGAGCCGAGATCACGCCATTGCACTCCAGCCTGGGCGACAGAGCGAGACTCTGTCTCAAAAAAATAATAATAATAAATAAAAACAGCATTTGCCTCTTGTTCACTCAACCTGTCCAACACAGTTTAAGAGAAGAACTCAGCTCCTCAGAGTCACTCAGGGATCCAGCTGATGAAGGCTTCCTCTCAGCCACGCCTCTGCCTCACCACAGCAAGGAAATGTGGCAAACTGCACATTGGCCAGAATTTATATACTTTCCTTGGCCAAAACTAGTTACACAGTCACAGTCACCCTTGACTTCAAGGGGACAAGGACACACAGTCCTACTATATATGCCTGGAAGGAGGAAGAATCAGAAATATTGGATGAACAGCACTAATTAACAACACAAGAAGTCACAGCATCAGTTTGGAGGGGTACCTTCCTAGAGCATCAATTTTACTTGAATGTTGATCATTCAAAACACTGATTTAATAGTAAAACAAGCATAGATACGTAACATGCTCAAGTTCAAAATATGTGGAGATTTTTAAGTTAAAATACAAGATTTGAGAGGAATTTCAGGTTTCTGGATTCTTAGGACTATATTCTATAAATTCCCTTCAGTCACTATACTTTGCTAATTTTAGTGGTGCCTTGGTGGGGGGAAATTAAGCAGCACTGGTTTAGGGTAAATATTGCATTTAAGTGGCATGGAATAAATACATGCTCCTGGACACTCCCGATAAGTAGTGGGTAATGTTCTAAATCTCCTGACAGGTGAGACAGAAAATAAAACATAGTAACATCACTTGCATTTTCTTTCGGTCAACAAACATATACATGGACAGAGTCCAGTGTCTTTCCGGGATTGCCTTGCATGGACAATGAGGCCATCTCCAACTGCCATTTATGAGAGAATACAAATGCAATTCTTGCATCAAGTGCTATTGACCAAAGGGGTCACATCAAACCTGGGTCCATGAAATTCAGTTGCTTTCTGTGCATCAAACCTAATTCAGGGGTGAAATTGGGGGAATCTTAAAAGACTGATAATAGTAATATTTGTTCTACTAAGTAATGTAGAAGTTCTACATTCTACATTAAATGGAAGAGCGCTTATTATGTGCCAAGCGCTATTCTAAGACATTTCTATGTAATAACCTAATTATATCCTCAAAGCCACCCTATGTGGTGAGTGCTATTACTCCCATTTTACTTTTTAATTTTTTTTTTTTCTTGAGATAGGAGTCTTGCTCTGTCATCCAGGCTGGACTGCAGTGGCACGATCTCAGCTCACTGTGACCTTGCAACCTCCGCCTCCCAGGTTCAAGTGATTATCCTGCCTCAGCCTCCCGAGTAGCTGGGACTACAGGCATGCCCCACCACGCCCAACTAATTTTTTTGTATTTTTAGTAGAGACAGGGTCTTGCCATGTTGGCCAGTCTTGTCTCCAACTCCTGGCATCAAAAATTTACAGACTTTTAGAGTATCTTTTAAATTTTTACACTTTTTGCAATTTTAAAAATTTTTAGAGGCTTTTTCAATTTTTATTCATTTATTTATTTATTTTTGTAGAGATAGTATCTCACTGTGTTGCCCTGGCTGGTCTCAAACTCCTGGCCTCAAACAATCCTCCCACCTCAGCCTCCTAAAGTGCTAGGATTACAGGCATGAGCCACTGCACTTGGCCTACAGAAACAATTAATATGCCCAAAGTTATAAAGTGTGTAAGTGATGGAGACAAAGTTCTAACTCGGGCAGTCTGACTTAGAATCATTACTCTTAAGCATCAGGCTATTCCACCTCAACTTGATCAATTATGGTCCATTGTGCATCTTATGTGTTTATCAAGCTCTAGAAAACTGCTAGAACTCACTCAGTTCCTTTTTAAGTTACCCAAGGAGGTATGGGGCAGACAGTCTGTGCCACTGAATAAAGCCCAGTCAATGGCCCCTCCTTCTTCCCGTAACTAGGGAGGCTGCACCTCTTCTGAGGACATTTCTAGACCACATTCTTCTCTGGCCCACACCCAAGGCAGCCCAAGGCAGGGCTGGCATGGGCACCCAGAGGCCAGTGTGATTTTTCTGAAGGGAGATTTGCATTTTCTCCAATTCACTTCCCAGTGATTAATGGAGACCCCCAAAGTTCCACATTCTACATTAAATGGAAGAGATGACTTCAGCATGGAAACATTTCAGGAGATGTAATACCAGCTAACCGCCCTTCCCGTGAAAGAACTGAGGAAAGTGAACTTCATATAGCTCTAGGAGTATTCCTTACTTTTAAAAGAAGCAAAGAGAAACTTTAATTGGAGCTACTGGAAGAGGCTAGCTTCAAATATTTTTCTTCTATTTGGGAAACACTGACCAAATGTGTCGTACAATATCCCCACCACTATCACCACTACCGCCACCATCCCAGCCCCCCAAAACACTCAGGAACTATACCAGAACATGTGCTGGCCCCATACGGTTTGGGTCTATTCAACCCAAACCTGATGGTTGGTTCATGGGGTTGAAGAAACCTAACACGGATAGTGGTGACAGTCAGCACTGAGTCAGGAAAGACCAGAGAGACCTTTAGTGTAGGTTTAGGCCCTCTCAGAGGCAGGTAATGTCCATTTTCCCACTGGAAAGACAACTGGGTATGGAAACAGCAAATCCAAGCCGGGATTTACACACTCAGCAACCCATGGGCCAGGCTAGTAAAGGAAAAGTGTGACTAGGGCCTCGAGTTAGACCTCAGCAGTGGAAGAACTGTAAGGAACCTGTCTGAAGGCATCCCTATTCCATACTCTCTTTCTCTGCTAACAACAGGCAGCCCAAGCTAAACATGGGTTGAGGCAGAACTGAGCTGTGAGCTGTCTGTTGGTGACCTCTGATGCTGCGTTCCACTTCAGGGACCATCACTTACAGCTATGGGACGGGGGCAGGTCATGGAGCATCTCTGATGCTTGATTTCCTTATCACTCAAGGAAGAGAATCATCTCAACATCGATGGAGTCATCTGAGGAATTAAATAATGAAATAAGGCTCCCCATAGCCATGCAAGTTTGAGCTCCTTGAGGGTGGTGACTTTTCCACCACTGGCTTTTGACATCAGGTCTGGCACACTGTAGGTTACTAAGTGAGTTCTGAATGACATAATGAATGAATGAAATGAATGCCGCTTGTGCACCAAACATTGTACTAGTTGCTCTATAACTACTGTATCTTATTAGAAAATAAAGGGGCTCAAATACAATCCCATTGGCCACACACCCAAGTCTTCTAAGATTATTCCTTGTCCCTTTTTTCGCCTCACCATGCAACTGATTCTTTAAAATGGGAGTGGAATTTTAGGCAGGAATTGACTAAGTGGGAGTGGTATTGGGATCGTGGCTTGTTTCCATTAGCTTTATCCAAAGGGCCTTTCCTCTCTTTGTCCCCATTTCATTGCTCATGTCACTCACTTATTCATTTGTTTACCTGTAGTTTCCTGAGCCCCTACTCTGTGCCAGATCCCATGGAGTCAGTGCCCTGGGTCCCTGCCCTGGAGAAGCTCACCTTTGAGGGTGCTGCATCTGTGGGGCTCCAGACAAGAACGCACAGCCCACGCCAAGCCTCCAAATTACAGCAATGTTCTAAGGAGCAGCTGGGATTTTATTTTTCATTTCCTCAGCACACCAGTCTCTCCACATTTAGTTGATACGCTCTAAAGAACAGGCCCTGACACCTGGGGGTATGTTTTCGAAAAATGTGTGGACCATATGCATACCTAACATGCAGCAGGGCCATGGAGAAATTGGTACAACGCCGCTTGGCACGAGCCAGCACTTTTTTTTTTTTAATTCCTTAACATCTTGCCTACAAATTACATCCTTAAGCACTTCAGAGAGTTGAATCACCCCCAAATGCTTATAGCTTATTTCATTACGCTTTATTTGGGGCTTTAAAGGAGGGAGACCAGAGAATGTAAGGAACAGTTTAACAGCATCAGGGCTGATTAGGTTGAAGAGCATTCAAAGAAATTTATTTCTATATTCTTTTTGTTACCAAGATCATGTGTTTCGCTGAAAGCAATCCTGTGACTAACCTCTCACGAGCCCATTAGCCATTGTTTGGCTGCCTCTTATTAATTTTTAAAAAGGAAAACAGGACAGAGTTAGTGAGCATTCCTAAGGCTGAAGCCAGGGTCAAGCAGGCTCTGTTCTAGGAATGAGGAAATTCAGCTTCCAGCCACTCTATTACTTCTAAGCAGTGTAACCTCGGCAAACCACTGTACTTCTCTGGGCTTCTGCTGTCACCTTTGTTGAAATGCAACAGCAGTGATGATGTCCATCTCCATAGAGTTGTACTGGCTACAAAGCCCTGACACATGCATTGTCTTGGGGGCATCCTGTCAGCCATGTGAGCTGTGTGGCCAAAAGCAAGTTAACTGACCTCTCTGCGTTTCAATTTCCTTGTAAAATGGGGATAAGAACAGAAGAGCAAGTGGGAGGCTCAAATGAGGCAAGGGATCTCAAATTTCTTTTTAAAAAGTTGTGTAAACATTTAGACTCAAGTCTCCCCTTGGCCCCACCTCCCTCTCCATGATCTCCAACATTTCCCCCAGCTTCCCTAAATGAACAAATGCATACTATAGGTAAGAACAGTGCATGCTGTGCAAGGGAAGTTTCCAGAAGAGTCTCTTAGCAGCCACTTCCAGCCAAATTGCTTTCCTCAATCCCTCCTGTATAGAAGCAGCCATGTCGAATCATGCAAATGTTGTCATTATTTTCATCGTCATCATTCACTGTATGATAGACCCCATTATTCTGAATTCTCATGATTCCATGATTTAAAGATTATCTTTTGATGATAACCACAGGAGGCTCTAACTCAGGTGGATTGTAATAGGACATAGTATTCCAACAAATAGCTAACATCTGCACCGTGATTTCCAAGAAGCTTTCACAAGGCATTCACTATTTCAGCCACCTAACAGCCCTCTGTTGTAACTAATTTTATGTCCATTTTACAGATAATGAAACTGAAGCTCAGAGAGGTGAAGTGACTTGCCCCAAGCAACACAGTAAGTGGCAGATGGCAGATGGGACCCAGGTTTTCAGATTCTAGATCTGGTAACTTTCCACCCCCATTCTGCCTCTAGCGTGGGACAGAGAGGGTCACGTGGTAAAGAAACCTGCCCTGCCCTAGCTCTGCTTCCCACTGCCCCGCCAACCACCACCACCCCCCGACCGGCAACCCTCATTTGGGGTGGGGGATCCCCACAGCTAGCATTTTGCTTCCCTTCCTGGGAAAAACAAGAGACAGAAGAAAGTGGGAAAGTTCTAGACAGAAGGTTTCTGCCTATCCCTCATTTTTTTTTTCTTCTGACCACTAAACACAGCTTTTTGGCCTACACTGCCAGAATGGCTCCAACATTTATACATATGAAAGCTTTTTGCTTCTTACTTTTTTTTAAGGATGGTATGTTTCTCTTTAGGCAAATTCTGAAGCTAGGCCCAAGGCCGTTTACTCTTCACTGTCAGACACACAACTCAACTGGATTTCTCAGTTTCCAAAGCTCAATGACCACACCTTGGAAAAACACACGTAAAAGCTCCTGCATTGTTTTACATATTGCTATCAGGAACCAGTTGCTATTAGGATGATGGAAAAACCATTTTAAACAATACCGCATACAAAGAAAGGAAGGCGTTAACTCTTTTGAGTCCACCCCCTGTGTAGCCCCTGTAAGAGGCTATCAGTCCTTACAGTATAAGAGAAAGAGACCAGGCTGGGCAAGGTGGCTCACGCCTGTAATCCCAGCACTTTGGGAGGCCAAGGCGGGCAGATCACTTGAGGTCAGGAGTTTAAGACCAGCCTGGCCAACTTGGTGAAACCCCATCTCTACTAAAACTACAAAAATTAGCCGGGCATGGTGGCAGGCGCCTGTAATCCCAGCTACTCAGGAGGCTGCGGCAGAAGAACTGCTTGAACCCGGGAGGCAGAGGTTGCAGTGAACCGAGATTGTGCCACTGCACTCCAGCTTGGGCGATAAGAGTGAGACTCCGACTCAAAAAAAAAAAAAAAAAAGAGAAAGAGACCATCACCCCCTTCTCCATATGGAGAATGAGACTCAGAGAGGCTGACCAGCTTGCCCAGGGGTCCACAGGAAGAGGAGTGCAGGGTTTAAAGCCTGACCTGATTGAATCCAAAACCTAAGCTTTTAGTTGCAATATGCGCATGTGCACCAGCTATGCACCCTGAGTCACGTGCTTCCCCCAAAGGCATCTCCACTTCTAGCTGGTTATACCTAAGAGCAGAAGAAAGGACTCTGTTTCCTGCTAAAGGCGGTTTATGTAAACTGAGAATTAGGCAGGAGGGATGGGAGAGGTCAAGGAAACCACAGAAATCTCACTAGATCTAGCCACAAATCCCACCTGGAAGGTAAAGGAGAGGTTAAACTGAACAGGAGGAGAATGGAGTGAGGAGAAGCCCCAGGAATGGCTTCTCTCCAACCCCTCTGAGAAGCAGTCATCATCCCCATTGCAAGTTCTGCTGCCCAGCTAGAAAGGGGCACAGTGGACACAGGTTCTATCCACCCAGATTCCTCCAGGCTCTGCCCACCTTCCCCATCTAAGCATGAACCTAGCCTCATCCCACTGCCCTAACTTTAAACCCCACTAGATTCTAGTTACCAGATATAGAACTGGAAAACCTGGGTCCCATCTGCAATCTGCCACTTACTGTGTGGCTTGGGGAAAGTCACCTGACCCCAGAGAGCTCCTCCCCACTCCCTGCCCAGTAATCCATGGGCATATGTCAAGAGATGTTAATTTAGTTGGTTTTTTTTCCAATGTTCTCACCCACAGCAATGCCCTGGGAAGCATCCTGTGCTTCCTACAGCCCTTCCTCTGACAATGAGATTTATGAAAAGATGCCTGTCATGGAAATATATCCTCTCAATTTATAAAAAGTATCATTGTTTTACTATGTTTTGCAAAATATATCAACATTGCACTTTTTAAGTACTTACTCTGTTCCAGGTATTATGTTTTTAGGTATAATTTAAATTCTTTGGTAAATGTTTTATTCTTATTTCCATTCTACAGATGAGGTCAATGAGTGTCACACAGATTAAGTGACTTGTCTAAAGTTGTCCAGGTAATACCAAGATTCTACCCCAAGTCTTCCAGATGTGATGTCCATGTTCTTTTTAATGCCCCCTATGCCATTTCTGGAGTCAGCCGAGAGGGAGGAAACTTAAATACATGGCACTGAATAATTTTGCAGACTTATGCAAATGATCATTGTATTAGTCTGGGTTATCTCACCAGCAGATACCAGGACAAGATGAAAGGTGCCAGAAATGTGTTACAGGAAACATCCGCAAGAAAAAAAAATGGCAAGAGAGTCAGGGAAACATGGAAGAGCCATAAGCACATCAGATATCAGATCACAATGCAGATCTGATCCTGACTGAAGAGAAAAGGGAAGGAAGGAGAGAGGGAATACTGGGTAGAAGTATCTCAGATGCCATTCAGGCCTAAGAAAAGTTTGACCAGGCCATTTCAGGGAGTCCTCAGGCCAAAGCAGCACATCAAGGCATTTCCCATCACCCAGAAACAGGCTCCGTTTAGTATCTATACCAAGCTGAGTCACTGGCTAAGAGAAACCTGTGTAAAGTATGGCTTCAGCATGAATGCAGTGATGAACTTCAGAGAAGCTGGGCCCTTGGTTGATCACATTCCTATAGTCAGAGAGGCTCCTTCTCATGGCTGCCATGATAATTTTCTACAGAATCATGTAAAATATTTAGAACTCTTTCGAAACACTTGTGGTTTCATTCATAAATCTGGTTAGACATTTTGCCATTTTTGGAAATATAAAAATAGCCAATATAATAAAATAAAGCCCTTATAAGAGACATGGATTCATCACAGAAGACAATTCAAGATATCCTGTATATGAAAAAACCCAACTCTGATAAGAATACAGAATGTAGATGATAATAGAGTTCTGTGATGGGTGGATGTCTCCTTTCCCATCCTAACCAGCTCAAATGGAGTATTCCTGTTTCTGATGTGCCTGAAGGGCTAGTTCATCAAACAAATTGTGAAGGATCATTATAGCAGACAGACCCTAGGGTGACCCCCAATCCTTGGTGTTCACACTCTTTGATACCCTTCCTGAGTGTGAAGGGGCCCTGTGACTTTCTTCTCACCAATAGAATAAGGCAAAAGCTATGAGATGTCACTCCCGTGATTATATTATGGTGTAAGACTCTGTCTACTTTGTCAAGGCCAGCAGGGTCACGCATGCTTCCTGCTGCCCTTGACAAAGCCAGCTGCTATACTGTGAACTGCCTACGGAGAGGGTCATGTGGTAGGAAACTTGGACAGCCTAGAGAAGTGAAGCTTTTGGTTCCCCTAAGCCAGAAGGAAACAAATTCTGCCAACAATCCAATGAGCTTAGAAGCGAATTCTTCCCCAGTTGAGCCTCCTGATGAGAATTCAGCCCAACTGACAGCTTGATTGCTCCTTTATGAGACCCTGAACAGAGGAACCAGGGCCAGACAGCTGACCCACATAAACTGTAAGATAATACATGCATGTTTTCTAAACCACTAAGTTTTATGGTAATTTGTTACACAGCAACACATAACTAACACAGATGTAAATATGCTTTGTTTTGGGCACTGTTCTAAGCACAGCAGTCATATTAAGCTTGGTTTGGCTAAGAACTCAGTCCTAAGTAGGGATATTGGGAGGTGAACTAGTTAAACAGAGATGATAGTTATACCTAAACTACAATATAATTTACAAAGTGATAGACTTATAAACAAATTTCTGAGGGCATGTTGCCACAGAAGCAATTATTTCTACCTAGGGAGTTAGGAAAGGCATTACAGACACAACATCTAAACTGAGAAGGAAGTTCTAACACAGTGAAATCATTTCACATTCACAGGAAGTACTACACTGTGGGTTAAAATAATAGCATTCTTGACACAATGGATATTTGTTTTTAATGTCCACTGAAACTCTAAGAGAAACAGTTTCTTCATCATGAAAGAATGTCATAATTAAGAATATTTTTATATTGGACTTTTTACTCTGCATCCCCAGCTTAGCAAAAGACACACCTGTACCTCTCCTCCTACATAGAGTGTGAAAGAATTGCTTGCGTGCAAAACACAGAGAAATGAAACAGCTGTTGGCGACGTCACTGAGGAGGGTTTCCTTCACCCAACTGCCTGTCTCCATGGCAACTGTCAGCCACAGGCTGCAAACAGTTACCTCGGTTGCATTACACATCCCTACAAACTCCCACAAAGGGAATCCTTGTTGATCTCTTAGTCTCCATGGTATCTGTTTCTGCCATGATCTTTGACGTTCTCTAAGCGTGTGTGTACATGCATGTATGTATATTAATGTGTGCACTGAAGCTTAGCGCATGCTGCCCTTTGCTCTTGATGGGAGCCAAAACATGCTTGAGGAGTGACTAGTGTAATCTTTGTGATGAAAATGATATAGTAATCCTTGCCCCAGTGAAAGGTCTGTGGTTGCTCATAGGATCAGCTGAAAAATTCCTTCAGATTGACTGATGGGAATGCAGTATGACTGAGTCTCCCTAGAGAAGAGTACATCTGCAGGCACTAAAACTACTCTTAAATTTTGGACTTGACAGAAAAATAACTCATAACGGGTCAGTTTTGCTCAGTTTCCAAAGGCAGTCACCTTTGGAATGGAAAGTAGTGTGCATATGCACGACATTTACTCTAAATGACTAACATTTACAGCCTTGAGGGTGCAGCCGTCTCATCCAGAAGACCAGAAGACTGAACAAGAGTGTCATCATTGGAAACATTTCTAAATGTTACAGTTGTATTTCTATTTGGATGCTGGGGAATCAGCACCATTACAATTTGGGAGCCATCAGTGTTTCTCAAACTTTGAATACAAATGGCTCTGCGGGTCTTGTGAAAATGCAGGTTCTGATTCAGTGTGTGAGGCTGGATATTCTGCACTTGTAACATGCCCCCAGGTGATGCTAACGATGCTGATCCAGGGGCCACCGAGCTGTGAGGCTCTAAGGAGTTTTCACTGTGATTGGGGCATACAAAGATTACAGTAAGGAATCTCAGTAATGACACAATTTATGTAGAACACCACACACAGCCCCTTGCATGGAACAAGTACTTGATAAATGTTGTTTCCCTCCTTTGCAAAATGTTTCCATCCTCATTAGTTCATTGGACTGTCGCACAACCTTTCTAGGTAGTTGAGGCAGAAACTGGGCATAACCTCCATTTTAAAGATAAGAAAACTGAATTTTAGGGAGGTGAAAAATTTGCTCAAATTTATGGAGCTAATGGGGCAAAGTCAGGAATTGAACCTTTGTCCTCTAATTTCCAGACCTGTGTTCTTTCCATCCCATCATACTGAGACTTCATATCCACATTAGGAATGTCACCTAATTGATTCAAGATGAAGACCATCCCGTTTTATTTTTGAAACCCAGAAAAAACCCTGAAATCAAAACCTGGCACAGACACTACTCCCAAAAAAGCTCTATAGGCCAATCTCAAAAACATAGAAGCAAAAATCCTAAATAAAATATTATCAAATCAAACCCAGCCGTGTATTTGAAGAATAATACAGAATGACTAAGTAGAGTTTATTCCAGGAATGTAGGATAGTTTAATATGAGGAACTATATTAACATAATTCATCACATCAACAGGTCAAAGGAGAAAAACCACATGATCACTGCAAAAGATGCCAAAAAGACATCTGATAAAATCCAATCATTCAAGATAAAAAAAAAAAAAAAACTGGGAATTGAAATCTACTTCTTTAACATGAGAAAGAAAAACTATCTGAAAGCAACACCCAGTAATCTGCTTAACTGTGAAACACCAGGAAGAACTGCCAACCCTCACTCGTATTTTTTTCACCTTGTTTTAGAAGTTTTAATCAATGCAATAAGACAGGAAAAATAAATAAGTGACAGAAATAGTTTAAAGGAGGAAATCAGATTATAATTATTTTCAGATGCTAAGATTTCTCTCCTAGAAAAATCCCAGGGAATTTATTTTAGAAGTACTGAAAAGAGTTCAATGGGATCAGCAAGATCAGTAATGACTAGTTAGAAAACAGTATTTTGAAAAGACTCCATTTAAACTAAGGAAACAAAATCACTGAAATATCTACGAACAAACTTAGAAAGTAATATTCAATGAACTTAAGAATTTTACAGTGAAGCATAAAGGAAGGATTGAATAAATGGAGAGAAATTCCATGCTTCTGGATGAGGAGTCAGGCTGTGTAAAGCCGGTCAGCCTTCACATTAATTTACAGACGTACTTCTTTTTGAATCAAAATTACAATGATATTGTTGGAACTTGAGAAAATAATTCTTAAGTTCAGCTATAATAGAAAAATGAATGTGTGAGAACTGTCAAGAAAATATTGAAACAGAAAGATACATGAATAAATTTGCTCTACCAGATTTTAACATGTACTATAAAGCTACAATAAAATATTGCTGTAAAGGTGCCAGAAGAGAAAGATAGATCAAAGTAGCAGAAAAGAAAGCTCAGAGAGGGCCCCAAGTAGAACTACTTAAGAATTTATTAAATGACAAAAATAACATTTATGTTCCATGGAAAATTTTGTTGAACTAATGGATTAGCTATGTGAAAGTGAATTAAGTCACACGTTTGGCTTACTTCATAGACCAAAATAAGCTACAGTTGGATTCAAGAGTCAATGTTTTTAAAGAAATCATAAATAGAATACATATTTTTGATGTATTTATCTGTATGTCTGTGTGTATATATATAGCATTTGTAATCTATATATACACAGATATCATAAATAGAATATATATTTTTAGAATATACACATTGTAAATATAATAAATAGTATATTTATTTATACATGTATATATATATACACACACACACAGACACTCACACACATAAGGTCTCCTTAACAAAGTCAGAAAACTTAAGGAGAAATACTGATACACAGAACTATCAGAAAATAAAGAGCATTTGTACTGAAGAGAAAAAACAGTGACAAACTAGAAAACTTAAAACATATATGATAGGTAAGGAATTAATATCTTTAATATATTTAGAAGATTTTATAGTGCAATGAGAAAAGGAATAGCCCTACCTTATAAAAATGGGAAAACTATATGGAACCAATTCCCAAAACAATAAATATAGTCAGTAAATTATATGAACAAATGTTCAACTCTATTATTAATCAAAACCATTCAAATTAAAAGTTTAAGATGAGGTATGTTTTCCTTAAAGTTGGCAAAGACTATAACTCATTGAAGGCGTTTAGAAATTGACACTCTTGTTCACTGCTAAGAACATAATAATTAGTACGCACTTTTTGAAAGGCAATCAGCAGTGTATCTCACAAGTCTTGAGATATGGGTAGTCTTACACCAAGCAGTTCCATCTCTACAGATTACCCCTCAAAATTTCATGAAATACGAGATATATGTAAGTAAGTACAAGATATATGTAGGAGCATATTATAGTGTTATTTATAATAAAATCTATTAATGCTTTAAAACAGAGAATTAAATAAGTCAATTATGGTAAAATCTATTCAATGGACTGCAATGAAGCCACTGAGTCATTGAATTAGCCTATTTACTGATGTGAGAAAGTGTTCAGAATATATGACTAAGGCTTTTAAAAGTGAGGTATGGCCAGGCATGGTGGCTCACGCCTGTAATCCCAGCACTTTGGGAGGCCAAGGCGGGTGGATCACTTGAGATCAGGAGTTCACGAACAGCCTGGCCAACATAGTGAAACCCCGTCTCTACTAAAAATACAAAAATTAGCCGGGCGTGGTGGTGCACGCCTGTAATCCCAGCTACTTAGGAGGCTGAGGCAGGAGAATTGCTTGAACCCAGGAAGTGGAGGTTGCAGTGAGCCAAGATCACGTCACTGCACTCCAGCCTGGGCAACAGAGCAAGACTCCATCTCAAAAAAAAAAAAAAAGGTGAGGTATTAAATAACAGTATGCACTGTTTGATAGTATTTTGACAAAATACAGACACACAGGAAAAAACTGAAACGTTTATAGTGATTATCTTAAAGTCATTGAATAGTAAGTGATCTGTTTATTTTTCCATTTGTTTTCCTGCGTTCTGACATTCTGGAACACCAAGCATGAATTGCTTTTGTAATAACCACAAAAATTGTATGCTCGCACATGCATCTTGTTTTAAAGAGACAACCAGGAGTGACCATTTCATTCTGAGGAGAAGAGTGACACAAGCTAAGTTGAGCATAGGAAAATTTGTTCTCACTGCTGGGAGTGTGTTAGGCCAAAGGAGTGAACACTTGAAAAGAAGATGCACTGTGAATTCTGCTAGTGCAATTGCAGAGTAAGATATTTAGGGCACAGCCCAGAGAAGGCTACCAGGTTGAAGCAGGTGAGATCCGGGAAGCCAGTTGAAGGTGAATCATCAGGAAGAAGTGGTAGAGAAATAAAGATGTTGCCGCCTGTGGGGAGTGAGGGTGGGGTAAGCCCTAAGGACAAAGGGCTGGTGATGTCAGTGTAGCCACAAGGAAGCAGGTGGGCAGGAATGCAGAAACAGATCATCTTTGTGTGGACGCAGCCGCAGAAGTGGACCCTGAACGTGACGACGGGCAGGGCAGAAGCTTTGCTTGGGATGGAGGTTCACAGTTTCTCTAGAACACTTCCTCTCATGTGAATTTTTTTTTTTTTTTTTGCCATTTAAAAAATTATGAATAGCCTTTACTTTTTGAGAGCAGTTTTAGGTTGACAGAAAAAAATTGTACAAAAAATATGGGGGCACCAGGCGCAGTGGCTCACTCCTGTAATCCCAACACTTTGGGAGGCCAAGGGGGGGTGCTGATCACTTGAGTCCAGGAGTTCAAGACCAGCCTAGGCAACATAGGGAGACCCCCATCTCTATAAAAAAATACACAAAAAAATTAGCCAGGCGTGGTGACACACACCTGTGGTACTAGCTCCTCGGGAGGATCACCTGAGCCCGGGAGGCAGAGGTTGCAGTGAGCTGAGATCATGCCACTGCAACTTCAGCCTGGGCAACAGAGACCCCCATCTCAATAATAAATAAATAAATAGCCAGTCAGTCAGCATTCATTTTAAAGGTACCCACTGGATGCAAAATATTACCCCAAAACCCAGTTCCAAACCTAAGCTCAAGGCCCTCCACCAGTCCCTTCACATAAGATAGTTTTTCTCATGAATGTTGAGGAACTAGAATCCTTCAAGTACCGCAGGTGAAACTATTTGGTGTCCTTGGTAAATTTTTTTTATATTCTTGACTTGAAGTGGCAGCAAAATGTACTCAGAAGATGATGAGATGCTGGTTCCAAAAGCTGGAATTTGAATCTTAACTTTGTCCTGGTTATTTACTATGTAAACTGATGATAATAATAACCTTGGCTCATAGGTTTGCTGTAAACAGGTAAAGTGAAAGAAAGCCTAACACATAGTAGGCATTCAGTAAATACTCTTTTCCTTGCATTAATACAGCATCTCAAGTTTTAGAATATCTGCCACAGGCAAGATTCCAGATGTGCAAAGCACGTTAATGACCTCAGATTTCATTTTACAAGATTTGTATCTGGACCTTGGGTAGTAACTTCGGTAGAGAAGGTGTTAGATTTTATTTTCTCACCTAATTTCTTTTGCATATATGTCCTTCAAAAGCCAAATTGCTAGTTAAAAAGCAACTCCTTCTAGAGGCTTGCTTCGTATCATATGACAATGAGAGAGCTTGAGAATAAAGTTCAAACCTATTTTAGCTAGCGATGAGTTTGAGGGATTTGTCAGTTGCCTAAACAAGAACATCAGGAAAACTGACGGCCTGTTAGTGATGCACAGCCCAGCCTTTCAGCCAGGTTAGGAACAAAAGCATTGGCCGTAAGGACCTAATTTACCACTGGAAAAGAAAGCAAATATGTTACTAATGAAAGAATAAATCACTTTCAGAAAAGCAATGACTTCATTTTCTCTCAGGGGTGCTGAATATAATATTTTTCCTGTAAACTGTACCCATAAGGCAGTTCATGAGCATCCTAGGGGAGAGGCCAGATGCAATTCTCCACAGGCCTGGAGCACTGTTCTGTTAGCAGAGCAGCAAATGCCTCAGTGACCTGAAATTCAGAGCCCTGTCTGTGGGCAGAGGAGGCTGTCCATCCTGGTGGAGCATAGCTTGGAGAACAGCTGTCCTCTGGACCTTCAACATCTTCTAACTGTAACAAGAACTAGCCCAAATACAGATGAGCACACATCATGCTGTGCGTGGTCTTCTGAGGAAATACATCTCCTCTGTGGAGTGATTAAGCCACAAACTCCATAGAGGTCAGGAGTGAGCAAGGAGAGGGAGGGAAATGATTAGGGGGAAAGGGAGGAAGGCAGCTGGATGTTGGGATGGAGAGAGCTAGACGCATGAGAAGATCCAACAGTAGGAGAAGCTATACAAAGGACAAATGAGTTGTGCTGAAACTGCTAGAGGGATCTGGTTGTGAGGGGAATGGTGTGAGACAGCCAAGGGCAATGGGGAGAACGTGGGATATGGCGGCAGAAGACCACCCACACATCCTAGTGGCTGTGTTACCTTGAAAAACTCACTGGACTTCTCTGAGCCTGTGCTTCCTCCTATGTAAAACAAGGATGTTGATCATCCATCACAAAGCTGGAATAAACACTAAAAGAGATGATATATGCTAAACCAAAAAGCCTGTATGAATGTTAGCTGCTTAATCATTACAGAGTGGCATTCATTCTTTCATTAAACATTCACTGGGTGTTTTCTATAGGCCAAACCCTGTGCTTAGTGGATGACACAAAGATGAATTGTTCAAAAGTAACAAGACAAAAGCCCTGCCATTTAGGAGCTCCAAATCTAGAGGAACAGACAGAGAAGGAAACACTGTGGAAACGCTATCATGCAGGGAGCAGCAAATCTCTTCTGTTAAGGACAAGATAGTAAATATTTTAGGTAGGCACTGTCTCATCTACTCTGCGGGTGTAGTCAAAGAGCAGCCACAGGCAATATGTAAAGGAATGAACGTGGCCGTGTTCCAAAGGAAGAGGGGTGGGGGCAAGTCCAGAAAGGGAGGTAGGCCTGGATTTTGCAGAGCTCTAGAGGCTATGTTAAGTCTTAGATTTTATCCTAAGAGGATTCAGCTAAATAACAGTTCCCCTGTGCACAGTGGCACTGCCCAAAGCCTGTTCCTGAGGAATGTAGGATGTTTAAGAAGGGCGTTAGAAAGTTTCCTGTGTGCCTGTAGTCCCAGCTACTCGGGAGGCTTAGGCAGGAGAATTGCGTGAACCCGGGAGGCAGAGGTGGCAGTGAGCCGAGATTGCGCCACTGCACTCTAGCCTGGGCGACACAGCAAGACTCCGTCTCCAAAAAAAAAAAGTTTCCTGTGCCACAGGGAGAGGAACATCACACACTGGGGCCTGTAGGGAGGTTGGGGGCAAGGGGAGGGAGAGCTTAGGACAAATACCTAATGCATGCAGGGCTTAAAGCCTAGATGGTGGGTTGATAGGTGCAGCAAACCAGCATGGCACATGTATACCTATGTAACAAATCTACACATTCTGCACATGTATCCCAGAACTTAAAGTAAAAATAAAAATAAAAAAAAGAAAGTTTCCTGTGCTGGCCGGGTATGGTAGCTCAAACCTGTAATCCCAGCACTTTGGGAGGCTGAGGCAGGAGGATCACTTGAGGTCAGGAGTTCAAGACCAGAATGGCCAACATGGTGAAACCCCATCTCTACTAAAAATTAGCTGGGGTTGGTGGCACACACCTGTAATCCCAGCTACTTGGGAGGCTGAGGCAGGAGAATTGCTTGAACCCGGGAGGCAGAGGTTGCAGGGAGCAGAGATCGTGCCACTGCACTCCAGCCTGGGCAACAGAGCGAGACCCCATCTCAAACAAAAAAAAAGACAAAAAAGTTTCCTGTGCCCTCTGAATCCCATTCTTGGGTATTCTCAATGCATATCAGCATATTAAAGACTCTCAGAGTTCTCCAAGAAAAGAAATCCATTTAGTTTTATTAAACTTTTCACATTTACTTGACTAGAGAAATCTTTTTCTCAAAGAACACGTAACACAAGCCCCTGTGTTGCATGGTGTGTGCAATTTGGGAAACACTAGCCCATGGTTCAAAAGCAAACTCTTCAGGAGCACGTTCATAGCCATGATCTGCCTCCTGACTCCCTCTCCAGCCTCCCTGCCAGCTATTCTTAAACACTCGGGACTCTACCAACACCAAGCCACTGGTGGCTCCCTAAATACACTCTGCTATCTATCTCATGCCTCCTTGTAATTACATGATCAATTCAATGTGCCCAGAATGTTCTTCCTTGTCCACCTGCTGAACTCCTTGATCTTAATAGTCCAGCTCAAGAAGTTCTCCTTTGTGAGATCCCGAACACCACCTCTCTCTGAACCCATTCTGCCTTACACAAGACACACACGTATGCACATGTGCACACACACACACATACACAGGGCACTATTCCCTTCTCCATATCACTTTGTTGCTAAATTCTGTCACAATTCATATTGTATTATATTGTAAATATTCATCTACCTGTTTGTATCTGCATTACAAGACCATTCCGGTGTCTGGCCAGTACCAGATACTCCATAGATGATGTTTAAATGGATAAATTCATTCATTGATTTATTAATTTCATCTGTGAGAAAAGCACACTATGAGTTCTCCCCTTTTTGAAGTGCTAATCTCTCCCATTCTCCTGTGGGAAGGTAAATGTTATTTAATTGGGGTAAATCCAAAGTAATACGAGAAGACATTTCTAGTCTTTGACTCTATGTTAAAAGCCACAGGCTTCACTAACTTCATGTACAGCACATGCAGTTACAACATTTTAGTGAACTGAACTCCCTTGCTATTTTTGTGATCATTTAGCTGCATTGAAAGATCATCACTGAAAACAGTGTCAGGTGTGTCCCTGCCTTCCTGCTGTGTGGTACCGAGGTCAGACTGAAGAGCAATAGGAAGTACGTCTCATGATTACCTAGGCCAGAGGATCTCAAGCTTGAGCGTGCATCAGAATCACCAGCAGGGCTTGTTCAAACACAGATTGCTGGGCCCCACCCTACAGTGGCTGATTCAGTAGGTCTGGGGTGGGGCCTGAGAATTTGCATTTCTGACAGTTCCCAGAAGCAGTTGATGCTACTGGTCCAAGGACCACTCTTTGAGAACTACTGATCTGTGGTTCCCTGACTGCTTCCCAATGCCAGAACTATATTAGAATGTAATTGCTCCTTATTACTGCTCTCGGGGAGATGGCAAAGACAACCAGCACTAAACTTGGATTCCAAGGATCAGTACTGCCATTCTGCCTTCCAGCAGTGTGACAACTGGCAAATCAAGGAACCTCAGAATGCCTTATCCTCTTCCACCAAAAAATGGCAATTCTTTGTCACTGTGTACCCTTACAGGTTTGCTGTGTGTATGTGAATACGATGGAATAAAAAATGACTTACAAGTGCCTTTATATCCTGGAAAGCACTAAAAGAATAAGAAATTTGATTGAAAGAGATAAAACAAACACATCTGAGTGGTATAATAAAAAGTTTAAGGTATCTGGAATGGTAGAGTAATTTAGGGGAAGAGTTCAGAGACAAATCTCTCCATATTAATAAAAAAAAGTTTTCAGACATTAACAGGTAACAATAGAATTTGACTTTAACCGTTTATGTGTTTTGCTGAGCAGACACAGGGAAAATGTCTCCCTGATTAGGAAAACATGGCGATGTTGTTTTATTAACAGTATTAATCTAAAATAAAAGATGCAATATATACATTTTTAACTAAGTTAACTTTATTGTACCTGATCTCACATACTGGCTATTACACATTTCTAAATGCTGTTTTTGTTGATATCTTGCACAACTTAATATATGATAGTTATGCATTTATTGAACCAAACTTTGTCAAAAGAGAAAGGCATTGGATTTCCAAAGCTTAAGACAGGCTTTTTATCCAATTTAAAGTCTACCATTTATTGACATGAAGAAAAAACTGACTACTTATGGTTTCTCCTTAGTTATCTTATATTGCATTCTTAAACTTTTTTGGTTTGCGATAATTGTAGATTCACATGCAGTTATAAGAAATAATAGAGAGAGAGTTCATGTACCCTTTATCCCATTTCCCCAGTGGTAGCATCTTGCAAAACTACAAAAACTTTAGTAAATATCAAAAGCAAGGCCTTGGCCTTGATATAATCCACTGATCTTATTCAGATTTCATTTTATTTGTACTTGTATGTGTGTTATTTAGTTCTATCCATTTTTATCACATGTGTAGGTTCATGCATCCCCAACAGTCAAGATACATAACTTCATCTTAAGGATTCCTTGTGTTGCTTTATAACCACACCCAACTTCCCCCATCTCTCTTTCCTAACCCCCAACAATCAGCAGTGTGTTCTGTACCGCCATAATTGTATCAGTTCAAGAAAGGTATAGAAATAGAGTCACGCAGTATATAACCTTTTGGGATTTCATTCACCATCATTCCCTTGAGATTCATCCAAGAGAATATATTTATGAATAACATCCCATAGGGAATATATTTATGAATAATATCCCATAGTATAGACATACCATGGAATTTGTTTAACCACTCACTCATTGAATAGAAAAAAAAATTTAAGGCATGGAGGCAAGAAAATTCAAATGGTATCCAAGAAACATTGTACATGTTTTTTAACTATCCTGCATTCTTCCAAAAATTATTTAAGGCAGAGACAAATAGAACCATTTGCGTTAGAGTAATGGGTTCATCTAGAGCAGGTGTTCACAAACTTGTTCTATGAAAAGCCAAATAGTACATATTCTGGGTTCTGTAAGCTATATAATCTCTTTCACAAGTATTCATCTCTGCTACACAAAAAGCCACCATAGATAACATTCTAATAAATAGGGGTAGCTGTGTCCCAATAAAACTTTATTTACAAAAACAGGTCCAGGACATCTCTGGATTTAGAGAAATGATGAAAGAAAAAGTTGACCAGGCAAGTTGAAATTAAATTGTGAAGAGCCTTGAATACCAAGTCATTGAGTTTAGACTTTGGTAAGCATTTAGATATCCCCAGAGATTTTTCTGAGCAGATATTTGGCGAGAAAGGAATGTTTTCATTTTGGAAGATTAATCTGGAAGTAACAGATAAAATGAATTCATGGTATGAGCAAGAGAAAATGGAAAAGGGAGATGACTACAGGGATTATCTAAGCTAAAAATAAAAAGGGCCTGAACTCGGCTAATATTGGACATAAGAGGAAAGCATAGAAATAAAATTTAAAGAAAGAATTGATAGGCCAGTCATAGTGGCTCATGACTATACTCCCAACACTTTGGGAGGCCAAGGCAAGAGGATCATTTGAGCTCAGAAGTTCAAGACTAGCCTGGCCAAATGCTGAAACTCAGTCTCTACAAAAAATTTAAAACAAAACATTAGCTGAATGTGGTAGTGCATGTCTATAGTCCTACCTACTAGGGAGGCTAAGGCTGTAGGACTGCTTGAGCCGAAAAGGTTGAGGCTGCAGTGAGTCATGCTCATACCACTGCACTCCATCCTGGGCAACAGAGCAAGACCCAGTTAGGAAGAAAGAAAAGAAGAGAAGAGAAGGTGGATGGGGAGGGAATGGAAGAGAAAGAGAAAGGGAAAGAAAAAGAAAGGGAAGGGAAGGAAGGGAAAGGAGAAGAAAGAGAAGGGAAAGGGGAAGGCAAAGGGGAAGGGAAAGGGGGATGGAGGGGAAGGGAGGGGAAGGCAGGGCAAGGGAGGGGAAGGCAGGGCAAGGCAGGGTAGGGCAGGGAAGGGCAGGGAAGGGAAGAAAGGAAAGGATTGGGAAATTTACTGAATACCATGGCAAGGAAGACAGAAAAAGCAAAAATATCTCAGAGTTTTAATTAAGCACAAGCATTGCAATGAAGCTAACCTGAGTTTGAACTGTTTGTTCCACCATTTAATTGTGCAAGTTATGAAATCTCAGTGTTGGCTTTCTCATCTGTAAAAGGAGTAAGAATAGTACCTTCCTCACAGTGCAGTTGGACAGATCGAATGAAGTAATGCAGGTAAAGCCTTTAGCACAATAACTGGTATATACATAGCAATTGTTTATTAAACAGTAGTGATCATAACATTAATTATACCCAAAGATTCCTCTCCAATCTTCAATGTTCTGGTAACGCTCTCATTTTTTCACTTTAAATACCATGAACATTGCATGATTAGTTTATTTAACTAATCTCACATTGTTGGACATCTTCCTATGTGAAATAATGCACATTTAAGCCATTTTGAGCGGAAGCGATTGTTATTGTTGCTTGTTGTTTGTTGTTTACAACCAAAGTTATCTGCAGTCCTTACTGATCCATAATTTGGTATCAAGAGTGGAATACTGTAAGAAATTGACCCTAATGGTTAAATTGGCTAACTAGCAGAGAAAGTGTCCTAGGCTGAGATGACCCAATTACCTCAGGCTAAGAAGTTGGTGACTCTTGTTATATTGCCATGAAACTTTTTCTTAACCTCTCATCTGTAATACCTTAGGATCTTGACTCTGTGCCTTCAGAGAGCACAGCATTCGGAGAATGGCAGGAGCAACTTAGGATGTTGACATGGGTAGCCTAAATTGTATCTGTCGTCAGTAGCCTAAATTCTATTTGTCGTCAGTACGATTCTGTAAGAAAGGGACAATCTTAACTGAGGTAGGTTCATCTGAATGCCAAAAGAGAAGAAAATACAGCTTTGCTAGAAGTTCTTTCTGCCTGTGGCCTGCAATGCAGTCCCATAAGTTGATTTAAATGTGCATTATTTCATATAGCAAGAATAGTTGAGGTGGGGCAGTTCCTGTGTTGGTTAATTCCACCTTTGTATACGAGGCTTATCGTCTGATCCTATTTCTCATTTCATGACTTGCCTATTTATGTCCTGTGCCCATCTTAATTGTGATACTTACCTTTTTTTTCATTTGAAAAAACTCTTTATTTATTATAAATTTCAACCATTTTTATATCATTTATGTTGAAAACATTACCCAGTTTGACAGCTTCCTTTCAATTCTGTAGTTTTTTTCCTTTGAAGTTTTTATGTTTAGCTTATTTACTAAAAGTCCATCTCTATCTCAGACGGAATAACCATATCCTTTTATATTTTCTTCTAGAACATTTAAGGTTTAACTTGTACAGAAATATTTAAATTAATTCATCTGAAATTTAGGTATGAGTTGTGAGGCAGGAATTTATCTTTCTAAATGGTAGCTAGTGATCCTCAAATGCCTTATAAGGTATATCATCTCTCCTCTGGATTTAAGTGCAGCCAGTGGTACGCACGAACTTATTGTATATAAGTGATTTGGCTTCTCGAGTTCCTATTCCACCTCACTCATATATAACCTTATTCATGGGCCATTGTCACACTGTTTTAATTACCACAGCATGATAGTTTATTTAGTATCTGGCAGAAAATTTTCCTACACATTTCTCTTTTTGAGAAAACTCTTGGCTGATCTGATTTTTTTCTCTCAGATAATCATTGCATTTGCTTTTGTCAAGTTGCCCCCAAAGTTCTATTCGAATTTGGATTGGAATGGAAATAAATGATGACATTAATTTTGGAGAGAACTGTAATTTGTGTAGCATTGAGTCTTCCCACCCCAAAATATCTTTGTCATCCCAATTATCAAGTTTTCTTTAAAGACCCACTGAGAAGTTTTATAGTTGTTTTCTTTATATGGAATCACATACGTATCTTAGTTGCCAGAGTTTGTGGTTGTTATTGATAGTCTTATAATGTTATCGTCATTACTGTTACTATCATGAATGAGATATTTGCCATTATTCTCTTGTTGTCTATATTTTGTATGGCCATCTTATTGAACTCATTTATTAGGACTCTTAAATTTTTTAGTTGATTTTTGTTGGTTCTGCAGCTAGGCAATTTTACCCTCTGCAGCTAGTATTTCCAATATTTTATCTGTTTTTCCTCACTTTATTATGTTGACCAGAACTAAATTTCCAGGAACATGTAACATAATAGCAATAAAAACCATCTTGATCTTGCTGTTGACTTTAATGCAAATGCTTCAAATATTAGATTGAACCATATGAAACTGACACTTTTCCAGGCTAAAACAAGGAAAAAAAAAAAAGATCAGGTATCAGTAATTTCAAAGTTTTCAAACTTTTATTTGGCCATTAAGTAAAATATTGAAATTTGATTCCAAGTAGGATCTCATTATTAGTTAAACAGATATTTTTGAGCACCTATGGTAGACAGGCACGGAGTTAAGCCACGGATATATAACTCTCGAACAAGACAAGCATAGTTTCTGCTGTCTCAGAGTTAAAGTAACACTACTGTAGGAGAAAGCAGACCATACTTCAGCTAACAACAACAAATCAAACTAATTAAAATGGTGAAAAGAACTCAGATTACTATGTGCTAGAGATCCCAGCTGGGCACCTTCAGAGAGGGTAGTCAGGGTCGTACTTCCTGATCAGAGACATCGAAGCTGAGCCTGAAGGCTGAGATGGAACCAGCCATGCGATGAGCTGTGGGGACACACTCCTGCAGGGATGAGTGAGGGGTGGGCTCTGAAGTGCAACATGGCCACTGAGTTCTGGGGTCTGTCAGGTGGCCAGGGTCAGCGGAATGCCACAAAGTAGGTCCCCAAGCCACAGGCCATGTCTGAGGTGGGGACTGGGTGGGGGAAGAGCCATGTTTTGAACTGGCCATGGATGAAGATTTTGGTTTGAATTGGGCTTTTAATAGTAGTTGAGCATCCCTAGTCCAAAAATCTAAAATCCAAAACACTCCAAATCTGAAGCTTTTAGAGCACCAATATGAGATAGCTAGCTCTCCTCTCCTTTGCTTTCTGATGGTTCAACATACACAAACTTGGTTCCATCCACAAAATTATTTAAAAATATCTATACAATGACCTTCAGGCTCTGTGTATAAGGTACATATAAAATATAAATGAATTTGAATTTCATGTTTAGACTTGGGTGCCATCCCTAAGATATCTCATTATGCATATGCAAATATTCCAAAATCCAGAAAAACTTTGAAATCAGGAACACTTCTGGTCTTAAGCATTTTGGAAAGGGATACTCATCCTGTCCTTGAAAACAAGGTATGGCTCATGGCTGAAGGTGACCAGCAAGTGATGGGTTCTGTCCCCAGCTGTTCCCATGGGGTAGAAGAAGGAGCACTAACAGTATACCTTTGGAGGCCCTGGCAGGAGAAAAATAAAACCATTTTCTAATTATACCAAACCAGTGCCACAAGCTGAAGACCGAAGTTAAAGACAGATTTGGGAAAGCAATGAATTTTACTTTGGAAACCAAGAGGAAGCAATAATACTTTTTGAGCAAAGAGGCTTACTTGGTTCCCCAAAATCAGAGGAGTTGTGGGACCTTAAGGCAGAGTCAAGGCCAGGGATTTACCTCTCTGTGGTTCTGATCTGTGGCTGGGCCTGCACTATTGGTGCATTCTTCTGTGAAAGCCAGCAGAAAGCCCCACTGAAACGTGATGAACTTTCACAGATGCCCCTAGGCCCTATTTTCCCAGACAGTGACTCAACATCTGTCCCACTAGCTGGTCGTATTTAAGAAAAGATGACCAAGTTGCGTCTGATGCTGGCTAGAAGATCAGGTGGCAGAGAAGGGTCAGAGATGAATCCAGCCAGGCCTATAAAGATTATGGAAGATTCTGGGGGAGGAATGGTCCAGATGACAGTGGATGCACACGCAGGTAGGCAAGGCACAGGCAAAGCATTGTGTCCACAGACGTAAGGCTCAGTGGATGGTGGGAATACAAGGTGAACACACATATGGGTGTTCCAGTAAGGGGCAGAGTGTCATGAGAGGCAGAGACAGGAAAGCCAGGCTGGACCAGTTGATACCATGTGTCAGAAATGGCCACAGGTGGTCAACAGACCCCTGTCCCTGGGAGGCAACTAGGTCCCAGGTGGGACTAAGGCTCAGACCTCACAAAAGGCCTATTGGACCAAACATTTGATTGGAACAAGAGTGTGGGACAAAAAAGGTCTCCATGGGGCTGGGGCTGCATACTCGAGTTCAGAAGGATCTAGGGCCGAGCAGAGGCCAGCTGGAAGAGTGGAGGTCACTGAGTCCTGCCTGGGAGAAGGTGGCGAAGCAGAGGCAGGGCAAGGACATCCTGATGACAGCAGCGTCAGACCTCACCCTTTCTCTCTCCTTGAGGAAGCTCTCTGCCCACTCCTGGCCTTTCCCTGAGTACGCCCAGGCATGTCAAAACCCTGATGTGAGCGACTGGAAACATAACCTGCTACTTGTCTGCAACGATGTAATAGAAGAACCAGGAAACACGCTTAGTGTCATAAGAGAGGTTCAACAACTATTACTTACGGCATTGTCTGTCACCAGACCAGCAGACCACTGACTGTCATGGTAACAACAATCAAAACAACGATTCCTGCTCTCCTGAAGTCATGTTAATGACGATTATGTTACACAAAAGACTAACTAAACCCACAGTGCATTATAAACAGAGTTGCTAGTATCCAACCTTAATGATGGAGAAAAATCACTTGGGATGGGACAAAGTACATTTCTCAGGGTACGAGTGCAGTTCGAGCCAAAAACTGCAGGAGGGAATCTCAGCTCAGCTTGAAATCACTGCTTCATCCAGGTCTCCTTTTTTTCCTCTCCCTCCAGTTTTTAGGAAGAGATACCTTCATGAAATTGTATGCATTTGTTTATCAACCCAGATATGCACATCCCTATCTCTACTGGTAAACTGGGCAGAATTTAATGATTATTATGAAATATTAGCATTTGGAGTAGGTCTGATAATTTTCTTTTATGTCATCAAGGCAATATATAATGGAAACTTACCTCCCTGAAGCAGGATTCTCCTTTCCAAATGCCTGATGCAAATGTGAAACACAGTCTTCCCTCTGCCTTCTTGAGTCTCCCCGTCCCACGCTCCCTCCCACAGGCTGAGCAGCAGCTCCTGGGTTCTAGGCCCACTGCCACCACCCACTGGTAGGCAAGCCAAGTCCCACCTACCCCCACCCCACCCTGGATTTCCTGTCTCTCCAGGGTCACCAGGCAAGATCACAGTGACCCTGGGATGGGGGACAGAGCACAAGTTCACCCATATCTCTTCTTCTTTCAAAGCCTGTTCCCTTCCTGCCCCCGCCCATCCAGGTCTCAAAACAAGAGATCAGTCTCTTGTCCACTATTCCAGCATCTTCCTCACCCACCATACCCACCCCTAACATCAGTTTGGCCAGCGCAGGAACAGATTTTTCAGTGGACTCATTAAAGAGATCAGCACACAGAGAAACCAGCTTCAGTTTTCTTTTCCACTCTGACTCATCACTGGGCCAAAGACCAATTTCCTCCAGTTCCCACATCTCACTTCAGATTTGCATGGGAAGTCTAATCAGTTGTTGATTAGGCTAGGGTGATTAAATTAACCACCCTGTGGTCAAGTATCCACCCCAAAAGCAGTCAGCTCTGATCAATGGTGGGCATCACCTGGCACCAAATGGCCGTCCAGTCCAACCAAGGAGCCTTTCCCAGGAATGGGGATGCAGTGGGGTTCTCAGGAAACTAGATTCTCCCCTGGGCTCTAACAACTTAACCTTTGGTTGACACTTCTTCCATTGTGTTTCTGTGTTCTTGACTTGAGCAGGGAGATGGTATCATTTAGAGAGTTGTAATGAAGTGCCTACTCTTAGGCAGCAACACCATTTTCTGGCTGTAAAACCAAGAGCAATAACTTAACCTCCCTGAGCTTCCATTTTTTTCAACTGTAAAATGAGTCTTTCTCATGGGATTGTCATGACGATTAAAAAACAAAAAAGAAGATCATGCATGTAAACCACTCAGCATGGGGCCTGGTATGTAGTCAATGCAAAATTAATCTTGGTTGTTTTCACCATCATCATCATTATCTTCATTTAGTCAGGAAGGCTATTTCGGAGCTTCAAGTCAAGCACCCAAATTTATTTCCAGCCAGGCCCAGTCTCCCTTGTCCCATTTATTAAACTAAATGTAATCAGTTGGTCATGAATTGAAACACTTACTGTTGTTACTACTTGATGGAACAAAGCCAGTTCTCACTAAATTCCACCTGAAACTAGATAGGGCAGAGACATGGAAGGACACTGCTTGAGACTGGAGAAAGAGACTCCTTCTCTATCCTTGTTCCCCCTGGGTGCTGCAGTAGGATTCCTCAGAATGATGTGAGAGAACTCAATAAACCAGCAGAGATGGAATTCTAAAGGTAAATCTGATCTTGTGTCAAGAAGTCCACTTGGAAAGAAAATACTCCCTAAGAGTAGAAAGATGTTTCAGAGGGCTCATCAATAAACCTGTAAAAAAGAAGAGGCTCCTTATTGTGACTTTGTGGGTTTTGATGATATCGCAAAGCAATCCAACCATTGGTCTGCTCAGGTGGCACCCTAAACACCAAGTGATTGAGAAAGAAACCCATGACCGAGGTTACCAGGCA
The DNA here is from genome assembly GCF_000001405.40 of Homo sapiens. Taxonomy (NCBI): domain Eukaryota; kingdom Metazoa; phylum Chordata; class Mammalia; order Primates; family Hominidae; genus Homo; species Homo sapiens. Next base: position 108,705,824 of record NC_000009.12, read on the forward strand.
CCTTCCTTTAGCAGCCCCCTGTGGCAAGAACTTTGTCTGGAGATGGAATTGAATAACTTCAAAGGAGCTTACAATCTAAATCAGAGCAGGATCACTGTGGGGTGAGCACAGGAAGACAAGTAGGCAAGGCTTCTACTCCAGATCTTGGAGAATTGATTTTGAGTCCTGGCTCTGCCATGTACCAGCTCAGAGACCCTGGGCAAACAACTCAATTTCTACGTAACGGGAGAGAATTGAATAAAATCAATAATGTTCAAGCGCCTCCACCACGCCCTGTAGTCTCTCTGTATAAATTCAGAAGCCACTGCAGGTTTTGGGGAAAAATTGTATAAGGAGTCCTAGCAGGGGTAAGCCTCTGGTTCCCACCACCATCACAATCCCTTCTGCTAGACAATCTCTGCCCTTTTGCTTTAGATGTCACCGTTTCAGATTGTTTTTTTCATTTTTTTTCTAGGCAAAAAAAGGAGAAGATCCCAAATGCATTCCAGTTCTGGCAGTCTATGATTTGAGCATGGAGAATTATGGGGTTGCTTCAAGAAGAGGCTGGAAAGAAGGATTAGCACAAGACCACAAGATCACAAAAAGCCTTGCCCGCTATGCTCAGGCACTTGAACTTTAGCTGTAGGAAGCCACAAAAGGGAGATAATATAAGCAGGTCACTGGGCTAGCAAAGCACCCTGAAGAGTTGAATGAATGAAAAATGCATGAGAGGGGAGAGGAGTCCAAAGACAAAATTATTCCATCAGTCCCCGAGCAGGAGGTAAGAAAAATGGATGGACAGTTGGAAAGGTGTGAGGGGATAGCCTTCACTAGTCATCAACTTCCATTCTATTGTGTTTTCTTTTGTTTTTCTTTGTCTTATCATTCCATTCCCATCTTCACAAAGCAGAATAAAAATGACTCTCTTCACTGTCCATCAATGTTGTTGATCTATTCCCTCACACCAGAGAAGCACAATGGCACCACAGCAAAGGGCATGTGATCTTCAGCTAATTAATAAAGGCCCTGACATTGTTCCCCCACCAGATCATGGCAATGGTTGGCCGCCTGTCCTAGAAGGATCCACACTTCCCGGTGACCCAGACATCCCAAGCTCCCAAATTAAGCATCTGCACCTCCTTAATCAGCTTCAAAGAGGGACTTTCAGAATGCCACTGTTCCAGCAACTTCCTCAGCCACCATACCTGCTCCACCATCAGCTCAGCCAGGCAAGAATTCCCACAGGTTTTTCAGTGGACTATAGTTAAAGATGAAAAAGTCACATCCAGACCTCTGATTTATGACGTGGCATGAACTCAACACTTTTCTCATATTCTTGAGTCCGACAAAAATGAGCAAACACAGATATATAAAACTGGGACTGAGAAAATATTGGGTGCCTCTCAAAACACCTACATAGGACACTCCTTGACTATCCTGCAACCTGGGGTGGTGGGCTCAGTGACAAGCAGGGCACTGTTCCCTTGACTGTGGCTAAGGACACGTTTCTGAAAAGAGTTGCCAGCCCACATCACTGGTACCTGACTTCACTCTCAACCTTTCCTCCAAGCTGCTTAACCCTGGGTGTGTGTGTACATATGCAACTCCTCTACCAAGAACACCCTTCCCCCAACCTTTTTTTAGATGTTCATAAATTCAGATCATTTTTTTGTCAATCGAACAGAGGAATGAGTGAATGACAGCTGTTTCTTGCAAGCCAGCATCTTGAAGTCAACTTTGCCTCATATAACAGCAACAAAATATTGGATTCAGAGAAGTGAAATGCAGAATTTTCAATAATCAGTAAGTCCAACCCATTTACTTTGAATTTGAAGAAGTAGACCCAAAGAGAGGAAATGCTTACTCTGAAGTTGCCCAAGAATAACAAATGCTAAAAGTTATTGATTGCCAGGGGGGCTAGGGGCTGTGCTAAATGCTTCACACACATCATCACGCTTAATCCTCACAATAATCCTTTGAGCTAGATGCTATTACTAGCTTCATTTTATATGAGAAAACTGAGATGGGAAATGACTAGTCCAAGTTATATAGTCTTGACGGTATCAGATAAAATTCTGGAGGTGGGGATGTAACGCCTAGGGGAGGGACTAAAGAGAAGTTGCAGTAGAAGGCTCTCCAAGTGTCTGTGCCTCAGTTGCTACATCTGTGAATTCAGAATAATTATATCTTGTTTCTAGAATAGCTATGAGATTTTATAGGAAATAATGCATGTAAAACTATTTGGTAAGCTGCAAAGCACTATACAAATGAATGAGAAAAATATGTTTTTTAAAAATGAAAAGAGGATTTATTGGGTTTTTCTGTTTAAAAGAATAAAATAACATGTACTTCTGTTTTAAAAGGAATTAAAATGGTATAGAAAAAAATAGAAGAAAAGAAATATTATCCAAAGTTCTACTATCCAGAGATAATTAGCAATTTAATGCTAAGACTTCAGGAAATCACTCTGAGTGTGTTTATGTGTGTGTGTGTGCCTGTAAGTATTAAGAAATGATATATTATCATGCTCTCTTGTGACCTGTTCTTTTTTCACTCAAGTTATACATGTTGAAAAATCAAGAAAACTTCGGAAAGCCATTCTTCTGAGTTTAGCTCACCCTATGAAAAGAGCCAGAATAGTTTATTTATTGTCCTCTTTTTGACTGGTGAAACTGGTCCTAAGAGGCAGCGTCATCACCTATAGTGGTACAGACTGTGCCCTGCTTAGAATCCAGGGAGACACATGGGAGCTGAAAGCCAGCCTGTTCCAGTCCCTGGCGCAGCCACAACACGCAGGGGAGGGGGCCCTTGTGGGGTTGCACAAAGGCGCCATGTGTCCTGGCCTCTGAGCAGGGCTGACGTTAGCCACGGAGACCCTGAAGCCAGAGGGCCCACTACTGAACAACGCTGGAGCCACTGAGGGCAAGCAGAGTGGTGCCTTCCATCTGCTGTTTCTGTGCCAGATCTATGCCCCGTGCCCCAGAGCACACGGTCAAACCCATGGCATGCACACAGCAGCCTCTGAGAATCTGTGCCAAGTTCTGCTCTATGCATGGAGGGCTTGTGGTGGTTTCATTCTTTTCCCCTAAGCAAATTTTAGGAAAATATTCAAGTGACAGGAAATTAAGCAAAGCTTTGGCGCAAATGCTGCCCGAGAACCAGAAGCTCCAAGTCCAGTTTCCCGAAAAGGCTGGCTTTGGGGTTCTCTATATTTACCCAAAGCTTCCACTCAATGTGTCTAAAGCAGTTGCGGGGTGAATGAGTTTTCTATGTCTGCATAACAAATTACCCCAAGATTTAGCTACTGAGAATGACAAGCATTTCTTATCTCAAAGTTTCTCTGGGTCAAGAATCCAGCTGCATAGACCTTCAATGTAAATTTAAAAAGAAAAAGACAAAAAAGAATCCAGGTGTAGTTTAGCAAGGTGTCTCTAGTGCAAGGTCACACATAAGATTGTGGTCAAACTGTCAGCCAGGACTGCAGTCATCTCAAGGTTCAACTCAGGCTGGAGAATCCCCTTCTAAGCTCACCCACCTGGCTGTCAGCAAGCTTCAGTCCTTCACCACCTGGGCCTCTCTGTAGTGCTGCCTCATAAGCTAGCAGCTGCTTCCCTCAGCACCAGGAAGGAGAGAGAGAAAGAAAAGAGAAGGGAAGGGAGGTGAGAGAAGGGGGTGGGGAGAAAAGAGGCTAAAGTCTTTTCCCAACCCAAATCAGGAGTGACACCACATCACTGTTGCTCTATCCTATTCTTCCGAAGTGAATCACTAGCTCCAGCCCAGACTCAAGAGATGAGAATTACAGAAAAGCACCAATCTCCATCATCCTTCCTAGAACATGGATATAATGGCTAGAGTTCTGGCAGCCATCTTGGCCCATGAAGATCAGAACCACAACCTAGGGATAGTGGATCACACAACAGGAAGGAGGAGCCACAGTCCCTGGTGATTCTCCCACATCATCATTGCCTTTTACTTAAAAGAATAAAACCTTTAAGTGTTAAAGCCACTTCTGAGTTGCCTTCACATTCAGATGAGTCTCACTGCAGCCGATCTAAGTTGTTGGCACTAACCCCAATAGGGTTCAGGTTCAGGTTCACCCAGCGTTTCTTTCTTTTACAGATGGCACAACTAGACTCAGAGAGGTAAAGTTATTCACCCATCATCACTCAGCTAGAGACTGGTAGGAATAAGACCCCAGCTCCTGGTCTCCACATCTACCCAAACCAGTTCTGAGTGTCTCCAAAGCTTGTTGAACATTCAAGGCTCTGTTTGGGATGTTCCTGGCAGCTGGCAAAGTTCTGACTCCCCCAGGCTATGTATTTGTACCAGAACATTCCCTGCTCTGTTTCTCTGCTTACCAAGTAAACAAGCGAAACAGAAGAGGGAAAATATTTTGGATGAATTGATGCTTTGCAGTTCAAAAACTTTTGTCTTATGCACACTCAAGCCTGTAGCCATGGAAACCCTCATTTCATTTCCTCAGACTGTCTCTTTGTGCACCATTCCTTCTTTTGGAGCTCAGAAGTTAGCAGCAACCATGGATTAAATATGTTCTGTAGAGCAGCAAGGTGGTATGATATTGCAAAGGATGTTGGTATACAAGTCTATAACATGGAAGTGATGTTTTCATTACAGAGTTGTCTCAGATGGCTTGACTCTTCAGAAAGAGCCTTTCAGCCTCCTTGCCAGAAGAATTGTCAGCAGAGTCACTCAAGACAGAATCATCGCAGCTGCAATGTTAATAAACATTTTGTGCTGCAGGAGACGTGCTTGGTGTCCTTGCCCTACCACATTCCTTGCCCCAGGCAGCCTGCACTGCATTTGGCCTCTGCCAAAGGGCTAAGCCTAAGCCACCATATTTGAACTATGTGATGCTGCTTCCATGGTCTCAGGGGGTTGGACCATGGCTGGTCACCAGGCCCAGAGGAAGCCAACGTGTCAGTTAAGAAACTTTCTTTTGAGAATTTGAAGTAAGAGACACAGAGACTGTCCTTAATCAATGGCAACCAAACTAAAAGGCCATGCAGCATTAGAACTGAAACAGACCTTTTTGACTTCGTACGGAATAATAATAAGAGAAAGCCCGTACAAAGAAGGTGGAGCCTGACTCAGAGAAAACCTGAAAAGAATCCACATGGTTCCAAAGAGAGAAAGAGAAAGAGAAAGCAGCAGCCTCGATTTTCAATGGCTTCCCAGTTTCCAGCCCCAGTTCCCACCAGGTGAGGCTGTGCTCCATTTCTAAGTGTGGTCTCAGGGCTCTTTTAGATGCTAGGGTCCAAATGGCTTTCTGCTCCTTGACACAATGATGCACCATCCAGCTTACAAATCATTTCCACCTCCATTGTCTTGATTGCTTTTTCTCATGCCTGGAAGACAAGAGACCAGGAATGATGACCCTCGCTCATCTTTTACCAATAGGAAAACTGAGGCCCAGAGAACAGAGGTAACTTTTCCAAGATTATTCACCCAACTAGCTGTAAGGGAAAAAACCTGAACTCGGGCCTTCTGACTCACGCTCTGATATTTTATCCACCTATATCAATGTGATCAAGAAAAACAAAAATTCTGAGTGAATGGGCCTGAAACACCCATGATTTCCTCAGGCACTTAAGGTTTCAAAAAGACGCAAGTGGATGTGGATTCTCAAGGTGAGAGGGACAAACCAGATCACTGAGGCCTATTTTGTTTTAATTATTGCCTTGTCTCTCTTTAAATCATGAACTGCAAACTCTAATGTCTATAAAGGCAGGCAAGTAAAGAAAGAGAGGGAAACAAACAAGTGTATGACAATTGGGAGTGGCAGAGACTGGGCCAAACTGCAGAGCTAATGCCCAGCTTGAAAGAGTCCACCACTCTTCAGCTCTGGACATGTGGGAATGCATTTCCTACACTGACAGATCTTCTCACATTTTATGAAAGGTTGGAACTCTGACCTTTTATGTGAAATTTCCTCATTTTTTTTTTGAGACAGGGTCTCACTCTGTTGCCCAGACTAGAGTGCAGTGGCACAGTCATGGCTCACTGCAGCCCTGAACACCTGGGCTCAAGCAATCCTCCCACCTCAGCCTCATGAATAACTGGGACTACAGCCACATGCCACCATGCCAGGCTAACTTTTTAAAGTTTTTTGCAGAGATGGGGTCTCCCTATGTTGCCCAGGCTGGTCTTGAAATCCTGAGCTTAAGCAATCCTCCCACCTTGTCCTCCCAAAGTGCTGGTATTAGAGGCATGAGCCACCACACACAGCCCTAATTGTTAAAACATATACTGACCAAACAAATTACATCTGCTGGCTGGATGCTACCCTCATACCAGCAATTTGCCCCCTCTTTTCTGGATTGCAAGCACTGAGGCCAGAGTCATGTGCTATTCATCTTTCTACCTCTAATAGCAAGCACAGAGGGGGTACTCAGGTGATCTGACTGATTAAATGGATTGGATAAAAAATCATCATTCTGGTCTTTATTCAAATGACATCTCCTCAGAGAGGTCTTCCCCTCACCACCTGTGGTTATCCTTCAATATCATCTTCCTATATTTTTCTATATAAAAAAAACCCCTGACTTTTACCTAGATGTGTGACTACCTGAAATAAAGAAAATACTTTCCAGCCTCTCTAGATACGGCCATATGACAAAGTCCTGGCCAGGTGGATGAAGATAGAGGTAGTGTGTGCAACTTCCAGGAAATATCCCCCAAGAGAGCTGTGCCCTTGTCCCTTCCTTCTCTCCCTCCTGCTGACTAGGATGCAGATGTGATGGCCAGAGCTGGAACAGCCATATGGGGTCATAATACACAAAGCACATATTGAAGATGGTGGAACAAGGGATAAAAGGAGCTAGGTTGCTCTGAAGAGAGCAGCGAATCTCCCAGTACAGCACTGGAGCTCTGCTAAGGGACAAACTGCCTCCTCAAGTGGGACCCTGACCCCCGTGCCTCCTGACTGGGAGACACCTCATACAGGAGAGCTCCAGCTGGCATCTGGAGGGTGCCCCTCTGGGATGAAGCTTCCAGAGGAAGGAACAGGCAGCAACCTTTGCTGTTCTGCAGCCTCCACTGGTGACACCCAGGCCAACAGGGTCTGAAGAGGGCCTCCAGAAAACTCCAGCAGACCTGTGGCAGAGGGGCCTGTTAGAAGGAAAACTAACAACCAGAAAGGAACAGCATCAACATCAACAAAAATGATGTCCACACAGAAAGCCCATCTGAAAGTCACCAACATCAAAGACCAAAGGTAGATGAATGCACAAAGATGATGAAAAAGCAGTGCAAAAAGGCTGAAAATTCCAAAAACCAGAATGCCTCTTCTCCAAAGGGTCACAACTCCTCGCCAGCAAGGGAACAAAACTGGACAGAGAATGAGTTTGACAAATTGACAGAAGTAGGCTTCAGAAGGTGGGTAATAACAAACTCATCACTCCTCCAAGCTAAAGGAGGATGTTCTAACCCAATGCAAGGAAGCTAAGAACCTTGAAAAAAGGTTAGAGGAATTGCTAACTAGAATAACCAGGTTAGAGAAGAACATAAATGACCTGATGGAATTGAAAAACACAGCATGAGAACTTCATGAAACATACACAAGTATCAATAGCCAAATAGATCAAGCAGAAGAAATGATATCAGAGATTAAGATCAACTTAATGAAATAAAGAGTGAAGACAAGATTAGAGAAAAAAGGGTTTTGAGAAGATGGCCAAATAGGAACAGCTCCAGTCTGCAGCTCCCAGCGTGATCAATACAGAAGACGAGTGATTTCTGCATTCCCAACTGAGGTACCTGGCTCATCTCATTGGGACTGGTTGGACAGTGGGTGCAGCCCACAGAGGGTGAGCTGAAGCAGGGCTGGACGTCACCTCACCTGGGAAGCACAAGGGGTCAGGGGATTTCCCTTTCCTAGCCAAGGGAAGCCATGACAGACTGCACCTGGAAAAACGGGGCACTTCCACCCAAATACTGTGCTTTTCCAATGGTCTTAAAAACCAGCAGACAAGGTGATTCTCTCCCATGCCCGGCTCAGCGGGTCCCACACCCACGGAGCCTTGCTCACTTATAGCGCAGCAGTCTAAGATCGATCTGTGAGGCGGCAGCCTGGCTGGGGGAGGGGCATCTGCCATTGCTGAGGCTTGAATAGGTAAACAAAGCAGCCAGGAAGCTCGAACTGGGCAGAGCCTACCGCAGCTCAACAAGGCCTACTGCCTCTAGACTCCACCTCTGTGGGCAGGGCATAGCTGAACAAAATGCAGCAGACAACTTCTGCAGACTTAAACATCCCTGCCTGACAGCTCTGAAGAGAGCAGTGGTTCTCCCAACATGGTGTTTGAGCTCTGAGAACAGACAGACTTCCTCCTCAAGTGGGTCCCTGACCCCCGTGTAGCCTAACTGGGAGACATCTCCCAGTAGGGACCAACAGAAACTTCATATAGGCGGCTGCCCCTCTGGGATGAAGCTTCCACAGGAAGGATCAAGGAGCAATATTTGCTGTTCTGCAGCCTCTGCTGGTGATACCCAGGCAAACAGCATCTGGAATGGACCTCCAGCAACTCCAACAGACCTGCAGCTGAGGGACCTGACTGTTAGAAGGAAAACTAACAAACAGAAAGGAATAGCATCAACATCAACAAAAAGGTCATCTACACCAAAACCCCATGTGTAGGTCACCAACATCAAAGACCAAAGGTAGATAAAACTACAAAGATGGGAAGTAACCAGAGCAGAAAAGCTGAAAATTCTAAAAATCAGAGTGCCTCTTATCCTCCAAAGGATCACAGCTCCACGCCAGCAACGGAACAAAACTGGAAGGAGAATGACTTTGACGAGTTGACAGAAGGAGGCTTCAGAAATTCAGTAATAACAAACTTCTCTGAGCGAAAGGAGGATGTTCAAACCCATAGCAAGGAAGCTAAAAACCTTGAAAAAAGATTAGACAAATGGCTAATTAGAATAAACAGTGTAGAGAAGACCTTCAACGACCTGAGGGAGCTGAAAACCATGGCACAAGAACTTTGTGACGCATGCACAAGCTTCAATAGCTGATTCGATCAAGTGGAAGAAAGGGTATCAGTGATTGAAGATCAAATTAATGAAATAAAGTGAGAAAACAAGGTTAGAGAAATAAAGAGTAAAAAGAAATGAACAAAGCCTTCAAGAAATATGAGACTATGTGAAAAGACCAAATCTACATTTGATTGGTGTACCTGAAAGTGATGGGGAGAATGGAACCAAGTTGGAAAACACTCTGCAAGATATTATCCAGGAGAACTTCCCCAACCTAGCAAGTCAAGCCAACATTCAAATTCAGGAAATACAGAGACCACCACAAAGATACTCCTCAAGAAGAGCAACCCCAACACACAAAACTGTCAGATTCACCAAGGTTGAAATGAAGGAAAAAGTGTTAAGGGCAGCCAGAGAGAAAGGTCGAGTTACCCACGAAGGGAAGCCCATCAGACTAACAGCGGATCTCTCAGAAGAAGCCCTACAAGCCAGAAGAGAATGGGGACCAATATTCAACATTCTTAAAGAAAGAACTTTCAACCCAGAATTTCATATCCAGCCAAACTAAGCTTCATAAGTGAAAGAGAAATAAAATCCTTTATAGACAAGCAAATGCTGAGAGATTTTGTCACCACCAGGCCTGCCCTAAAAGAGCTCCTGAATGAAGCACTAAACATGGAAAGAAACAACTGGTACCAGCCATTGCAAAAACATGCCAAATTGTAAAGACTATCGATGCTATGAAGAAACTGCATCAATTAACAGGCAAAATAACCAGCAAACATCATAATGACAGGATCAAATTCACACACAACAATATTAAACTTAAATGCAAATGGGCTAAATGCCCCAATTAAAAGACTGGCAAATTGGATAAAGAGTCCTATCAGTGTGCTGTATTCAGGAGACCCATCTCACATGCAAAGACACACATAGGCTCAAAATAAAGGGATGGAGGGATATTTACCAAGCAAATGGAAAGCAAAAAAAAGGCAGGGGTTGCAATCCTAGTCTCTGATAAAACAGACTTTAAACCAACAAAGATCAAAAAAGACAAAGCCATTATATAAAGGTAAAGGGATCAATGCAACAAGAAGAGCTAACTATCCCAAATATGTATGCACCCAATACAGGAGCACCCAGATTTGTAAAGCAAGTTATTAAAGACCTACAAAGTGACTTGGACTCCTACAAAATAATAGTGGGAGACTTTAACACCCCACTGTCAATACTACACAGATCAACGAGACAGAAAATTAACAAGAATATTCAGAACTTGAACTCAGCTCTGGACCAAGTGGACCTAATAGACATCTACCGAACTCTCCACCCCACATCAACAGAATACACATTCTTCTCAGCACCACATCACACTTATTCCAAAATTGACCACATAATTGGAAGTAAAACACTCCGCAGCAAATGCAAAAGAATGGAAATCATAACAAAGTCTCTCAGACCATAGTGCAATCAAATTAGAACTCAGGATTAAGAAACTCACTCGAAACCACACAACTACATAGAAACTGAACAACCTGCTCCTGAATGACTACTGGGTAAATAACAAAATTAAGGCAGAAATAAATAAGTTCTTTGAAACCAATGAGAACAAAGACACAATGTACCAGAATCTCTGGGACACAGCTAAAGCAGTGTTTAAGGGAAATTTTACAGCACTAAATGCCCACAGAAGAAAGCAGGAAAGATCTAAAATCAACACCCTAACACCACAATTGAAAAAACTAGAGAAGCAGGAGCAAACAAATTCAAAAGCTAGCAGAAGATAAGAAACAACTAAGATCAGAGCAGAACTGAAGGAGATAAAGACACAAAAAAGCCCTTCAAAAACATCAATGAATCCAGGAGCTTGTTTTTTTGAAAAGATCAACAAAATAGATAGACCGCTAGCCAAACTAAAAAGAAGAAAAGAGAGAAGAATCAAATAGACACAATAAAAAAATGATAAAGGGGATATCACCACCAATCCCACAGAAATACAAACTACCATCAGAGAATACCATAAACACCTCTACACAAATAAACTAGAAAATCCAGAAGAAATGGATAAATTCCTGGACACATACACCCTCCTAAGACTAAACCAGGAGAAAGCTGAATCCGTGAATAGACCCATAGCAAGTTCTGAAACTGAGGCAGTAATAGCTTACCAACCAAAAAAAAAGCCCAGGACCAGACGGATTCATAGCCTAATTCTACCATCAGAGGTACACGGAGGAGATGGTACCATTCCTTCTGAAACTATTCCAAACAATAGAAAAAGAGGGACTCCTCCCTAACTCATTTTATGAGGCCAGCATCATCCCGATACCAAAACCTGGCAGAGACACAACAAAAAAAGAAAATTTCAGGCCAATATCCCTGATGAACATCAATGTGAAAATCCTCAATAAAATACTGGCAAACCAAATCCAGCAGCACATCAAAAAGCTTATCCACCATAATCAAGTTGGCTTCATCCCTGGAATGCAAGGCTGGTTGAACATATGCAAATTAATAAATGTAATCCATCACATAAACATAACTAATGACACAAAACACATGATTATCTCAATAGATGCAGAAAAGGCCTTTGACAAAATTCAACACTCCTTCATGCTAAAAGCTCTCTATAAACTAGGTATTCATGGAATGTATCTCAAAATAATAAGAGCTATTTATGACAAACCCACAGACAATATCATACTGAATGGGCAAAACCTGGAAGGATTCCCTTTGAAAACTGGCACACGACAAGGATGCCCTCTCTCACCACACATATTCAACATAGTATTGGAAGTTCTGGCCAGGGCAATTAGGCAGGAGAAGGAAATAAAGGGTATTCAGTTAGGAAAAGAGGAAATCAAATTGTCTCTGTTTGCACATGACATGATTGTATATTTGGAAAACCCCAGAGTCTCAGCCCCAAATTACCTTAAGCTGATAAGCAATTACAGCAAAGTCTCAGGATATAAAATCAATGTGCAAAAATCACAAGCATTCCTATACACCAATAATAGATGAACAGAGAGCCAAATCATCAGTGAACTCCCATTCATGATTGGTACAAAGAGAATAAAATACACAGGAATACAAATTACAAGGGATAGGAAGGACCTCTTCAAAGAGAACTACAAACCACTGCTCAAGAAAATAGGAGAGCACACAAACAAATGGAAAACCATTCCATGCTCATGGATAGGAAGAATCAATACCATGAAAATGGCCATACTGCCCAAAGTAATTTATAGATTCAATGCTATCCCCATCAAACTGCCACTGACTTTCTTCACAGAATTAGAAAAAACTACTTTAAATTTCATATGGAACCAAAAAAGAGCCCATATAGCCAAGACAATCCTAAGCAAAAAAAACAAAAGCTGGAGGTATCACACTTCCTGACTTCAAACTATACTACAAGGCTACAGTAACCAAGACAGCATGGTACTGGTACCAAAACAGACATAAAGACCAATGGAACAGAACAGAGGCCTCAGAAATAACACCACACATCTACAACCATCTGATCTTTGACAAATCTGACAAGAACAAGCAATGGGGAAAGGATTCCCTATTTAATAAATGGTGTTGGGAAAACTGGCTAGCCATATGCAGAAAACTGAAACTTGACCCCTTCCTTACACCTTATACAGAAATTAACTCAAGGTGGATTAAAGACTTAAACGTTAAGACCTAAAACCGTAAAAACCTAGGCAATACCATTCAGGACACAGGCATGGGCAAAGACTTCATGACTAAAACACCAAAAGCAATGGCAACAAAAGCCAAAATTGACAAATGGGATCTAATTAAAGAGCTTCTGCACAACAAAAGAAACTATCATCAGAGTGAACAGGAAACCTACAGAATGCGAGAAAATTTTTGCAATCTATCCATCTGACAAAGGGCTAATACCCAGAATCTACAAAGAACTTCAACAAATTTACAAGAAAAAAACAACCCCATCAAAAAGAGAGCGAAGGATATGAATGGACACTTCTCAAAAGAAGACATTTATGTGGCCAACAAACATATGAAATAAAGCTCATCATCACTGGTCATTAGAGAAATGCAAATCAAAACCGCAATGAAATACCATCTCACACCAGTTAGAATGGCAATCATTAAAAAGTCAGGAAACAACAGATGCTAGAGAGGATGTGGAGAAAGAGGAATGCTTTTACACTGTTGGTGGGAGTGTAAATTAGTTCAACCATTGTGGAAGACGGTGTGGTGATTCCTTAAGGATCTAGAACCAGAATATCATTTGACCCAGCAATCCCATTACTGGGTATATACCCAAAGGATTATAAATCATTCTAGTATAAAGACATACGCACACATATGTTTACTGCAGCACTGTTCACAATAGCAAAGGCTTGGAAACAACCCAAATGCCCATCGATGATAGACTGGATAAAGAAAATGTGGCACATATACACCATGTAATACTATGCAGTCATAAAAAAGGATGAGTTCATGTCCTTTGCAGGGACATGGATGAAGCTGGAAACCATCATTCTCAGCAAACACAAGAACAGAAAACCAAACAGTGCATGTTCTCACTCATAAGTGGGAGCTGAACAATGAGAACACATGGACATAGGGAGGGGAACATCACACACCAGGGCCTGTTAGGGGGGTGGGGGGCTAGGGGAGGGATAGCATTAGGAGAAATACCTAATGTTGATGACGGGTTGATGGGTGCAGCAAATCACCATGGCACATGTATACCTATGTAACAAAACTGCACGTTCTGCACATGTATCCCAGAACTTTAGTGTAATTTAAAAAGTTTTTTTAAAAAAAGGAGCTGGGTCTCTGATAATTTCAGAGCTACTTTAGCAGCAATAGACTGCTTGATTTTGCCTGAGAAAAAATATGTAATTCTAGCTGGTTCATTCTGCTGTCTGGGGGAAGGTTCTAAAAGAGCAAATTCTCATATTCTATCCTCTCATCTGGCTGTATTTTTATTACCACTTACACTTAACATAATAACATCTATTTCTTTGTTTAACTTGTTAATTATGTTTGTTCCCTATTAGATCATAAGCACCATGAGGTCAGGGACTTTGTTTTGCTCACAGTTATTTCTTAGAAGAGTGTCTAGCATATAGAAGGTACTTAAAAAATATTTGTTGAACATGTAGTGAAGTGGACTACATTGGTTTAAAAGTGAAAACTGAATTGACAACCTATACCCTGTTTCATACCAGCCATCATCAGCCAAATTTGCTCAATGCTTTCAACAAATTACCCCAAAGCTTTTGATCAAATGCAAATGAGCCAGGGCAAAAGAGGGAAAAACACTTAAGCAATCCAAAGGACTTGTCCCAAATTTACAAAGATCACAGGAAAGGAAAACAAAATCTGAAAATACATTTCCACTTCCAAAGGCAGCACTTGGACACAGTGGCCCTATTTGTGCTCAGTGACAGCCAGATCCCAGGTCCAGGCAGGGCTCAGGGCACTGCAGCATGAGGAATCTCATGCATTCAGTCTGGCATTGCTGGGGAGTGTTGGATTCAAAGCTGGATTCTAAATAATGTGTTTTTTTTTTTAATTGTTCAAGCCTCATTCTTAAAGGGAAGTGCTCCCTCTGCCATAAGAGGATAAGCCTGTGCCCAGAAAGTGAAGCCACCAAGCAACACCTATCCTGGCCAAGTGGAAGCCCAAAAGACTTGACTCAGACCACCGTGGAAGGTGGCAAGGCCCAAGGCACTGCAGGGCTCCTTCTCAAAGCAGTAGCAACAATTTTCCTAATTAACAGAGGAGGCCTCAGGGACCGGGAGAACCCCAGAAGAGGTAGGAAGCCCAGTTTAAAAGACTCCAAACTCACAATGCTGGCTGTACGTCCCAGGCCTGGAACTGGGGGCCCAAGCCAAGCCAGGACCTTTTCTAAAAGAACACTTGGAGTAGGGCATGGGGGGGATGGGGAAAAGAAAGGTGGAGTGTGCTAAAATGCCACAGTAACTCTCAGAATAAACACCTGGCAGAATACCTCCACATCTGGAGCACATCAGAAGACTGCAATTACATTTGGCCAGGCCAAGTGCTCCACAGCTGCTACAGGGTAAAGGCAGGTAATTAAAAACAGCAAGTTGCCATGGTACAAAATTGGTCGCTGCTGAACAATTTGTGTGTTTGTCTTCAGAGCTAAAGTACTAGAATGAGTTATGTCTTTAGAGGGACAGGAAAGTGATTTCTCAAGACACCTAAATGGAGAGGAAATACAGGATAAAGGGAACTTATGAAGCACCTCCCCTGTGCCAGGTGCCACAAATGCACTTTTTTTTTTAATCCCCACCACCATCCTATAAATAGGAATTATTTTCCCCCTTCTCCAGACAAGGAGACAGAAGACCAGTGACATGCCAGAGCCAAGTGGCTCAGTCAACCTCCAACCAAGATCTGACTCCAGAGCTGTTCTCTTTTCCTTCTACCATCACCTCCCTGGTACGGGCCTGAAAATGCAAGTGTCATCAGGTGACAATGAGGCACAGGGAAAAGAATGTCAATGAGCCTGTAGACACGGGAAGACGCGGGCCCTCCAAGTTGTTTTCTGCAAGACGGCAATCATTTAACATACAGACACACACAAGTATAAATTCCATTAATAATCATCTGCTAAAGAAAGAGGCTTTGAGGCTTCATGAATATCAGCAAATGGCTCTTTGATTAAAAGGTGAAGGAAGGCTTTAGAAGGTGGTATTTCATTGCACATTTGTGTGAGGGGCAGGGCCAAGAAGGAGCTTTGCCATTCAAGATCAGAGTGGGTGTCTGGTTGAAGAGAGGGATGATGTTCAAGGTCAGCCTCAGAAGCACAGGGGTGAAGATGACTCACAATTCCACTGACTGATCTCTCTGGCTGCACCTCACCCACCAGATCATCAGGCCCTTACTCTCTTCAGTGGGCTAGATGGTGGCCTCCAAAAAGATGTGTCCATGTCAAACCCCCAGGAACAGTAAGTGTTGCCTTCTTTGGAAAAAGGAAGGAACTTTGCAGATGGAACTAAGAATGTTGAGATAAGATCATCCTGCATTATCTGGGTGGGCCCAGAATCCAATGACAAGTGTCCTTTTAAGAAAAACAGTGAGGCTGGGCACAGTGGCTAATGCCTGTAATCCCAGCACTTTGGGAGGCCAAGGCAGGTATATCACCTGAGGTCAGGAGTTCAAGACCAGCCTGGCCAACATGACGAAACCCCATCTCTACTAAAAATACAAAAATTAGATGAGCATGGCGGTGCATGTCTGTAATCCCAGCTACTCGGGAGGCTGAGGTGGGAGAATCACTTGCACCCAGGAGGCGGAGTTTGCAGTGAACCCAGATGGCACCACTGTACTTCAGTCTGGGTGACAGAGTGAGACTTTGTCTCAAAAAAAAAAGAAAAGAAAACAGTGGAGTAGAATGGGAGTCACCAGGGGTGGGGGAAGGGGGAGATGGAGCATCGCTGTTCAACAGATATAAAGTTTCCACCATGCAAGATGAGTGAGTTCTCCAGATCTGCCATACAACATTATGCTTATAGTTAACTATACTGTACTGTACATTTAAAAATGTGTTAAGAGGGTAGATCTCATGTCATCTGTTCCTACCACAAGAAAGAAAGTGGGAGAGAGAGGAGAAGGAAAGAAACAGGCAGCGGGAGATTTGAAACACAAAGAGGAGAAGGCCAAGAGAAGATGAAGGCAGAGACTGGAGTGAAGCAGCCACTAGGCACGCCAACGGCCTCCAGGAGCTGGAAGAGGCAAGGAACACGTGGTCCCCTAGAGGCCTCGGAGGGAGAGCAGCCCTGCCAACACCTTGATTCATACTTCTGGCGTACAGAACCGTGAGAAAATACATTTCTGCTGTTTTAAGCCACCCAGTTTGTGGCAATTTGTTACATCAGGAAATTAATAGACCCTATCTTTCAAAGTTTCCACTCTGTCTCCATGGAGCAGGCAGACCTTATGTGGGCACACAAGCAAGCCTTGCCTACCCCCACCCAGTGCCCACTGGTTTCTTTTGCCTCTGTTATGCCATCCTTTGTCGGCTCTTGGGCTTCTGCTGGGTGGCAAGTCATGTGACCGTGCCTCCTGCCCCCATGCCATCAGCACCCACCGGCAAGAGCACAGTGAGTCACAGCAGAGGCCCTGTCCCCTGATGTCCCTAAAACCACCGAGACTTCATGTTATACAGCTATATGCCGCTGCTAATAATGCTGCAACTCTCAGTCTCCATCATAGCTCCTGATGCTACCACCTAATGAATATGCTGGTGCCACCTGCCGTGGAGGAGCTTCAGGAAAATCCCGCACTGGGCTCTGAAACAGCTGGCACCAGTCTTGCCAGGATTTTTTCTCCTTATGGACACAGGGAGAGCTAAACAATCCAAGGTAACCCCCCTTCCCTCCAAGGTATCTGCAAGTCTGCATTAAAAGAAAGGAGACACTGCCCACTAAACCCCACACCTAGACCTCGTTTGCTTTCATAGGGTGTTGTTTGCGCTTCTGAAATATTTGTTGCCATAAATAGATTAAAGAGAAAATTGTCTCTATGTCCCAAATAAAGCAAAAATAAATATAATTGAATTTCACTTTGGGTGCACAATTTCTGTACCAAAGCAAATTATGATAAGGGTCAGAAGAAGTCCCTCTCTTTGCCAGAGGGGCAGCTTTGGCCAAGAGAGTTTCAATGGTGAGGACAATCCCTCTGTCTTGATCCATACCCATCAGCTCTGAGGCCCAAGACCATTCAAACAATGGAAGACACCCGCTGTCAAGCAGGCTCCACCAAAATATTGCTTAAGCATTACATTTAGTAGTGAATAAAACCTGGATGAAACTCTTTACCAAGCTCTGTCTCCTGTGGCCCAAAGTTATTATCCCATCAACATTAAGAAAAGCAAAATGGTCAGGCCCAGAGAAAGGTGGTATTTCTAAGTTGAGCAGTGCCTGAAAAGATGCTCCAGCTGATGACCCTGCCTCTACCCACTGACATCAGCCACTCAGCCAAGACCCTTTCAGAGATAGCCAGAGCCCTGTGCTGTCCCCTGCCAGGCAGGAGAACCCTCTCTCCCACTTTCATGACAAATTCATGACACCGGTGCTAAAGCTGTATGACCCTGGACTCAGCATCCTAGAATGACTTTAAATTTAAAAAAAAAAAAGAACGATTTTTACACACAGCAACCTTTCTTCTCAATACAAAGACATGAGTTCCTAAGAGCTGAAGCACAGGAGAAATACAGGGAGAGGCAGGGTCAGAGTTGCACCTGCCCTTGAGACCTGGGACTTTGCTATTGGATCAAGTTCATATGCCTAACTCCCTCCCACAGGATGAATTTTTTATAAGAGGCTCCATGGTGGGTGACAAAAATAAGATTCCTGTTGGCACACCCCACCAGCATTCTTTCCAGGTTTGAATCTAGTGGGGCCAAGTTGAAGTTGAGTCACTTGCTACGCAAGTTCTGAACAGTCCCATATGGCCTCTACATGAAAATAGGAAACTCATCCTCGATTCTGAGAGCCCCGTTCTTCTAACTGAAGGTAATGAGAGGTTGTATTTATTAAGCACCTATGACACACCACCTGTGTCATAGACATTACCTCATTTTGTCATTCCCAGCCCTAGAGGATGGGTTTTATTATTCCTGTTTCACCCAATTCTGCTGTGACCTATCTGCCTATTGGGGACAAGATCGTAGGCAGCCTGAAACAGAACAGGAAAATTATTATGACCAATAGTCATTAGCTGCTATAACAAGTCCTGGGCAGGGTGTGTCACAGGCTAGAAGTTTTTATTCTTTCTCAACACATGAAGCCCACAAATTAAAGGGCACCCAGTCCTGACCATAACGTCAGCATCCGCTTCCCTGTACCATTTTCTTTAATAACCAAGCTATTTGTCCTGAGGAGAGAACTCTTTGAATCCAACACAAAAGCTGAGACTAGCACGTTCTATGAGCATTAAGGACTCAGCAGCCGGGTGACTGATGGGGTGAGGAGTAGGGATGGGGGATGGTAAGCGACAAGTCATTGATGTTGAAAGTTTAGCAGGGCTTTGCAGCAAGAACTCAACTGAAATAATACTCACGGTCCTGGGTATTTGTTTAAGTCTGATGCAATTCCAGTAAGGATGCAGAAAGTCAGAAGTGACTATCATTCCCACAGTAACAACACGACAAAGTCAAGTAAGCTGCAAGATCATAGCTTTAAAAAAAACCTATCAGAGAAGTGATGGCATAAAGAAACCCAAGCAAACTTAATTCCAGAAAGTGGCAAACTTCCCAGGAGAGAAGAGAAAGGTTCACCATAGTTAGGGAAAAGAGAAAGCAGCTGAACCTTCAATAAACTCTTAATACCTGGGTGTAGGTTGCAGTGATGGATCAGAATTCCAGAGTAAGTCTGCCCCCATCAACCCACTCATTCCCACAGGCCTTCCCCAAGTGTATCAGGATATACCAAGGGCTTGGGCAGGGCAGGAGAGCTGAGAAAGATTCCCTTGAGGTACATAAATACTTCCCCTGGAAAAAGGTGGGAGCCTACTATGCCTAAGGGTAGGGCCAGGAGAACCGAGGAAAATCCTTTTGAGATACTCCAGGACTTCACAGAATGCTCAGCAATGACCTTCAAAAACCGGGCAAGCAAAAGAACTGAGAGAATTCTCCACCAGGCCCGCCAGGCCCTCCAGGCCTTTACAAAGTGCATTCCAGTGGGCATTTGAAGACTGGGGTCAGGACAGCAGGATGGAGATAGATCTCTCAAGGAGCAGAAACCAGCGGCAGAAGAGAAGAAGGAATACATATTAAAGGTAATGAAAAGGAAAATTTTACATACATATACATAGACATCTTTGTGTCTTTGAAAGACTAAGGCAGAAATAATAATGTATTATGGGATTTATAGCATAATTAAAAGTAAAGTATATGATAAAAGTACAAAGATTGAAAAGGGGAAGATTGCATTATATTGTTGTCAAGTTCCTATGTTGTTTATGAAGAGGTATAATATTATTTGAAGGTGGTTTGCTATAAAGTAAAAGTGAATACTGTAATCTTCAAAGGAGTAGTTCTCAATCAGGGGCACTTTTGCCCTCCAGGGGACATTTGGCAATGTCTGGATATTTTTGCTTGTTACAACTGGGGAGAGGAGGTGCTACTGTCATCTAGTGAGGAGAGACCAGGGATGAAGCTAAATATTGTACCATGCACATCACCGCACCCCATGGCAAAGAATTACATAGCAATAGTGCCAAGATTGAAAAATTCTTCTCTAGAGAAACCACTAAAAAAACACAAGGACATATAGGGCAAAAGATGATAGAGGCAATAAAATGGAACGCTTAAAAATACTCAGTTCACCCAGAAGAAAGCAGGAAAGAAAAAACAAAGGGACAAATAAAAAATAACTGCCAAGATTGTGGATTTCAACTAACCATATCAATGATTGCATTAAATGTACATAGATGAAACCCACCAATTAAAACGCAAAGATAATCAGACTAGATTTAAAAAGCCCAATTATATGCTGTTTTTGAGAAATATGCTTTTAAATATACTAACACAGACAGGTTGAAAGTAAAGTTGAAAAAAAGACAAACTTTGCAAACATTACACATAGGAAAGCTGGTGTGACCATATCAATCACAAAAACATAAACATGAAAAATACTATCAAAACTACCAGGTCCAATGTTCACTATTTGGTACACTAGTGAACATTAGAAGCCCAATCCCCACCAGCATGCAATATAAACATGTAACAAACATGCACATGAACCCCTTGAATCTAAAATAAAATAAATTTTTAAAAAATAAGTACTATCAAATACTAAAAGAACATTTCATGACCATCAGAGTTAATTCATCAAGGATACACAATTCCAAATATGCATGTACCTAGGTGCACAACTTAAATTACATAAATGAAAAATTTACAGAACTAAAGGGGGAAATAGACAAATCCACAATCACAGCTGGAAATTTTAACATTCTTCTCTCCATAAGTCATGTAAGCTGTAGATAAAAATTAATAAAGACATAGAAGATTTGAGCAACACTACCAAACAAATACTTACAGAACACTGTATGTCACGTTGCCGAATATACCTTGTTTTTAAGTGCATATGGACCACTCACCAGACTTGACCATGTGCTGGGCCATGAAATAAGCCTCAATGAATTGCAAAGAATTGAAATCATACAGAGGATGTTCTCTGGCCACAGTGGAATTAACTAAAAAATCAGTAACAACAAGCTATCTAGAAAATTCCCCCAAAATATTTGGAAACTAAGCAATACATTCTAAATCTCTCTTAAGTTTAAAAAGGAGTCATACAAAATATTTTAAACTAAATGATAATGAAAACATGACATAAATGTGTGGGATGCAGCATATAATATTTTTTCTAATACTATTCTTATATTAGAAAAAAAGATAAAGTGAAAATCAGTAATCTACTCTTGCATATTAAGAAGCTAGAGCCCCTCAGTCAGGTCTCGTCCTGGATGCTGGGTCTGATTGGAGCTCACTGAGAAAGGTTATGGGGACCCAGCCATGGAATATGAAGAGCAGTAAGCCGGAGGCAGGCAGGGCATTTGTGAGCACATCCAAGAGGAAAAGCTATAAAGACGTATACTTGGGGTGGAGGAGGCAGAGCAAGATGGCCAAATAGAAGCCTTCACCAATCATCCTCCCCACAGGAACACCAAGCCAAACAATTATCCACACAAAAACAAGTTCCTAAGAACCAAAAGTCAAGTGAGTGGTCACAGTACCCGGTTTTAACTTCATATCACTGAAAAAGGAACTGATGAGGGCCTTGAATTGCCAACATCACCCCTCCTCCATCCCCCATCAGGGGCCATGTGTTGCAGAGACAGAATCTTTGCACTTGTGGGAGGGAAAGCACAGTGATTGCTGGACTTTGCATTGGAACTTAGTGCTGTCCTGTCACAGAAAGCAACACCAGGCAGAACTCAGCTGGCGCCCAAAGAGGAAGCATTTAGACCAGCCCTAGCAAGAGGGGAACTGCCCATCATAGCAGTCAGAACCTGAGTTCCAACAGGGAACTCAGTGGGCTAAAGTGCCCTGGCATCCTAAATAAACTTGAAAGGCACTCTAGACCACAAGGACTGCAATTCTTGGACAAATCATGGTGCTGTGCTGGGCTCAGAGCCAGTGGACTTGGAGGGCACACAGCCTAGTGAGACAGCAGCTGGGGCAGCCAAGGGAGTGCTTGTGCTACCCTTCCCCCAACCCAGATAGTGTACCTCACAGCTCCGAGACAGATTTCTTCTTTCCACTTGAGGGGAGAGAGGGAAGAGGAAACAGGACTTTGTCTTGCCACTTGGAAACCAGCTCAGTCACAATAAAACAGGGTACCAGGCAGAGTCCTGAGGCCCCCACTTCAGGCCCTAGCTCCCAGATGTCATTTCTAGATAAACCCTGGGCCACAAAGGAACCTGCCCTCTTGAATGGAAGGACCTAGTCCTGGCAGGATGTATCACCTGCTGCCTAAAAGGCCCTTGCACCTTGAATAATCAGCAGTGATACCCAGGCAGCAATCACCATGAACCTTGGGTGAGAATCTGAGACATGCTGGTTTAGATGTAACCCAGCCCATTATCAGCTATAGCAACTACAAGAAGAGACTCCTTCTGCTTCAGAAAAGCAAACAGAAAAGTAAAGGGAACTTTGTCTTGCAGCTTAGGTACCAGCTCTGCCTCAGTGGGGTGGAGAACTAAGTGGATTCTTAGGGTCCCCAATTCTAGGCCTTGACTCTTAGACAGTATTTCTGGACCTGTCCTGGGCCAGAGGGGATCCTACTGCCCTGAAAGGAGAGTCAGGAGAGTCACAGGTGTGGCAGCATTCACCAGAGCTGACTGAAGAGTTTTGGGCCTTGAGTGAACATCAGTGGTAGCCAGGGAGTACTCCCCACAGGCCTGGGGCAGTGGTGGCCATGGAGAGAGATTCCTATGTTTATCGAAAGGGGAGAGAAGAATGGGGAGGACTTGGTCTTGAGACGTGAGTGCCAGCTCAGCCACAGTAGAATAAAGCACCAGATAGATTCCTAAGGTTTCCAACTCCAGGCCCTGGCTCCTGGACGGCATCTCTGGACCTGCCCAGGGCCAGGGGAAACTGGCCACCCTGAAAGAAAGGATACAAGCCTGGCTGGCTTGGCCACCTGCTCAGTGCAGAGCTCTAGGGCCTTGAGTGAACATAGGCAGTAGCTAGGCAGTGATTACCATGACCCTTGGGTGAGGCTTAATACTGGCAGGGTAGAAACAAGCCCAGAATGCAAAAACTACAGTGAATACCTAACTTTTCAATGCCCCAGACACTGACAAACATCCACAAGCATCAGGATCATTTCGGAAAACATAAGCTCACCAAACAAACTAAATAAGGCACCAGGGATAAATCCTGGGAGACAGAGATATGTGACCTTTCAGACAGAGAATTCAAAATAGCTGTTGTGAGGAAACTTAACAAAATTCAATGTAACACAGAAAAGGAATTCAGAATCTTATCAGATAAAATTTTTGAAGAGATTGAAATAATTAACAGTTAATCAAGCAGAAATTATGGAATTGAAAAAATGCAATTGAAGGCTGAGGCAGGAGGTTCACTTGAGCCCAGGAGTTTAAAACCAGCCTTGGCAATATAGGGAAACCTAGTCACTACAAAAAAAGTTTTTAAATTATCCAGGCATTGTGGCATATGCCTATAGTCCCAGCTACTCAGGAGGCTGAGGTGGGAGAATCTCTTGAGCAGGGGAGATTGAGGCTTCAGTGAGCCATGAATGTACCACTGCACTCCAGCCTAGACAACAGAGCAAGACCCTGTCTCAAAACAAAAGAAAAAGAAAAATGTTATTGACATACCAAAGAATACATCAGAGTGTCTTACCAGCAGAACTGATCAAACAGAAGAAATAATTTGTGAGCTCAAAGATAGGCTATTTGAAAATACACAGTTAGCTGGGCGTGGTGGCTCACGCCTGTAATCCCATCACTTTGGGAAGCTGAGGCAGGTGGATCACTTGAGATCAAGAGTTCAAGCCTGGCCAACGTGGTGAAACCCTGTCTCTACTAAAAACACAAAAATTAGCCATGCATGGTGGCACATGCTTGTAGTCCCAGCTACTCGGGAGGCCGAGACAGGAAGATCGCTTGAATCTGGGAGGCAGAGGTTGCAGTGAACTGAGATGGTGCCACTACACTACAGCCTGGGTAACAGAGTGAGACTCAGTCTCAAAAAAAAAAAAAAAAAAAAGAAAGAAAGAAAGAAGAAAATACACAGTCAGAGGAGACAAAAGAAAAATAAAAAAGAAGAAAGCATACTTACAGGATCTAGAAAATAGCTCTAAAAAGGCAAGTCTAAGAGTTACTGCCCTTTAAAAGGAGGTAGAGGGTGCAGCATGGTAGCTCACACCTGTACTCCCAGCACTTTGGGAGACCAAGGTGGGCAGTTCATCTGAGGTCAGGAGTTCGGGATCAGCCTGGCCAACATGGCAAAACCCCATCTCTACTAAAAAATATAAAAATTAGCCAGGCATGAGGCACGCATCTGTAGTTCCAGCTAATTGGGAGGTTGAGGTGGTAGAATCACTTGAACCTGAGAGGTGGAGGTTGCAGTGAGCCAAGATCGTACCACTGCTGTCCAGCCTGGGTGACACAGCAAGACTCCAAAAAAAATTTTTTTTAATGGAGGTAGAAAGTTTATTCAAAGAAATAAAAACAGAGAATTTCCCAAACCTAAAGAAAGATATCAATATTCAAGCACAAGAACATTATAGAACATCAGGCACATTTAACCCAAATAAGACTACCTCAAGATAGTTAAAACTCCCAGAGGACAATGATAAAGAAAGGATTTTAAAACTACAAGAGAAAGAAACAAATAGCATACAATGAAGCTCCAATACATCTGGCAGCAGAGTTCTCAGTGGAAACCTTATAGGCCAGAAGAGAGTGGCATGACGTATTTAAAGTGCTAAAGGCAAAACAAACAAAAACAAACCTTATATCCTAGAATATTATATCCAGTGAAAATATCCTTCAGAAAGAGTTTTCCAGACAAACAGAAGCTGAGGGATTTTATCAGTACCAGAACATTTCTACAAGAAATGCTAAAGAGAGTTCTTCAACCTGAAAGAAAAGGATATCAATGAGAAATATCATCCAAAGGTGCAAAACTTAGTGGTAATTATGGGGTTGAGTAGAAATCTTGATGTCTATCTTGAGTAGAAAGATTAAAAGATGAACTAATCAAAAATAATAACTACAACAACTTTTCAAGACATAGCTAGTATAATAAGATATAAATAAAAACAACAAAAAGTTTAAAAGTTGGGGGATGAAGTTAAATGTAAAGTTTTTATTAGTTTTCTCTTTGCTTGTTGGTTTATTTAATCAGTGTTAAGTTGTCATCAGCTTACAATAATGAGTTATAAGATATTATTTGCAAGCCTCATGGTAACCTCAAATCAAAAAACATACAACAGATACACACAAAACAAAAAGCAAAAAATTAAAACATATCACCAGAGAAAATCACCTTCACTAAAAGGAAGACAGGAAGGAAAGAAAGAAGGAAGAGACGACCACAAAGCAATCAGAAAACAAATAACAAAATGGCAGAATAAGTTCTTACATATCAATAATAACATTGAATATAAATGGACTAAACTCTTCAATCAAAAGACAGTGGCTGAATGAATAAAAAAGCAAGACCCAATAATCTGTTGCCTACAAGAACCACACTTCACCTATATATACACACACACAGACTGAAAATAAAGAGATGGAAAAAGATATTCCATGCAAATGGAACCCAAAAAACAGGAGTAGCTATACTTATATCAGACAAAATATATTTCAAGATTAAAAACTCTAAAAAGAGACATAGTCATTGTATAATGATAAAGGGGTCAATTCAGCAAGAAGATATAACAATTGTAAATATATATACATGCACTACTGGAACACCAAGATATATAAAGAAAATATTATTAGAGTTAACAAGAGATAGAACCCAGTACAATAATAGCTGGAAACTTCAGCACCCCACTTTCAGCATTGGACAGATCATCCAGACAGATAATCAACAAAGAAACATCAGACTTAATCTGCATTACAGACCAAATGGACCTAATATTTACAGACCATTTGATCCCAGCCACAGAATACACATTCTTCTCCTCAGCACATAGATTATTCTCAAGAATAGAACATAAGTTAGGCCACAAAATAAGTCTTAAAACATTCAGAATAATTGAAATCATATAAAGTATCTGCTGTGATCACAATGGAATATAATGAGAAATCAAAAATAAGGAATTTGGGAAACTATAGAAACACTTAGAAATTAGGGCCGGGCGCGGTGGCTCACGCCTGTAATCCCAGCACTTTGGGAGGCCGAGGCGGGCGGATCACGAAGTCAGGAGATCGAGACCATCCCGGCTAAAACGGTGAAACCCCGTCTCTACTAAAAATACAAAAAATTAGCCGGGCGTAGTGGCGGGCGCCTGTAGTCCCAGCTACTTGGGAGGCTGAGGCAGGAGAATGGCGTGAACCCGGGAGGCGGAGCTTGCAGTGAGCCGAGATCCCGCCACTGCACTCCAGCCTGGGCGACAGAGCGAGACTCCGTCTCAAAAAAAAAAAAAAAAAAAAAAAAAAAAGAAATTAAAGTATATGCTTGTTTTTCTGAGGTTTGTCAAAGATCAGATAGTTGTAGATATGCGGCGTTATTTCTGAGGGTTCTGTTCTGTTCCATTGATCTATATCTCTGTTTTGGTACCAGTACCATGCTGTTTTGGTTGCTGTAGCCTTGTAGTATAGTTTGAAGTCAAGTAGCGTGATGCCTCCAGCTTTGTTCTTTTTGCTTAGGATTGACTTGGCGATGCGGGCTCTTTTTTGGTTCCATGTGAACTTTAAAGTAGTTTTTTCCAATTCAGTGAAGAAAGTCATTGGTAGCTTGATGGGGATGGCATTAAATCTATAAATTACCTTGGGCAGTATGGCCATTTTCACGATATTGATTCTTCCTACCCATGAGCATGGAATGGTCTTCCATTTGTTTGTATCCTCTTTTATTTCCTTGAGCAGTGGTTTGTAGTTCTCCTTGAAGAGGTCCTTCACATCCCTTGTAAGTTGGATTCCTAGGTATTTTATTCTGTTTGAAGCAATTGTGAATGGGAGTTCACTCATGATTTGGCTCTCTGTTTGTCTGTTATTGGTGTATAAGAATGCTTCTGATTTTTGTACATTGATTTTGTATCCTGAGACTTTGCTGAAGTTGCTTATCAGCTTAAGGAGATTTTGGGCTGAGACAATGGGGTTTTCCAGATATACAATCATGTCATCTGCAAACAGGGACAATTTGACTTCCTCTTTTCCTAACTGAATACCCTTTATTTCCTTCTCCTGCCTAATTGCCCTGGCCAGAACTTCCAATACTATGTTGAATAGGAGTGGTGAGAGAGGGCATCCCTGTCTTGTGCCAGTTTTCAAAGGGAATGCTTCCAGTTTTTGCCCATTCAGTATGATATTGGCTGTGGGTTTGTCATAGATAGCTCTTATAGAGACACGTCCCATCAATACCTAATTTATTGAGAGTTTTTAGCATGAAGGGTTGTTGAATTTTGTCAAAGGCCTTTTCTGCATCTATTGAGATAATCATGTGGTTTTTGTCTTTGGTTCTGTTTATATGCTGGATTACATTTATTGATTTGCATATATTGAACCAGCCTTGCATCCCAGGGATGAAGCCCACTTCAGCCTTGCATCCCAGGGATGAAGCCCACAAGCAATGGGGAAACGATTCCCTATTTAATAAATGGTGCTGGGAAAACTAGCTAGCCATATATAGAAAGCTGAAACTGGATCCCTTCCTTACACCTTACACAAAAATTAATTCGAGATGGATTAAAGACTTAAACATTAGACCTAAAACCATAAAAACCCTAGAAGAAAACCTAGGCATTACCATTCAGGACATAGGCATGGGCAAGGACTTCATGTCTAAAACACCAAAAGCAATGGCAACAAAAGCCAAAATTGACAAATGGGATCTCATTAAACTGAAGAGCTTCTGCACAGCAAAAGAAACTACCATCAGAGTGAACAGGCAACCTACAAAATGGGAGAAAATTTTCGCAACCTACTCATCTGACAAAGGGCTAATATCCAGAATCTACAATGAACTCAAACAAATTTACAAGAAAAAAACAAACAGCCCCATCAAAAAGTGGGCGAAGGATATGAACAGACACTTCTCAAAAGAAGACATTTATGTAGCCAAAAGACACGTGAAAAAATGCTCATCATCACTGGCCATCAGAGAAATGCAAATCAAAACCACAATGACATACCATCTCACACCAGTTAGAATGGCAATCATTAAAAAGTCAGGAAACAACAGGTGCTGGAGAGGATGTGGAGAAATAGGAACACTTTTACACTGTTGGTGGGACTGTAAACTAGTTCAACCATTGTGGAAGTCAGTGTGGCGATTCCTCAGGTATCTAGAACTAGAAATACCATTTGACCCAGCCATCCCATTACTGGGTATATACCCAAAGGATTATAAATCATGCTGCTATAAAGACACATGCACACGTATGTTTATTGTGGCACTATTCATAATAGCAAAGACTTGGAACCAACCCAGATGTCCAACAATGATAGACTGGATTAAGAAAATGTGGCACATATACACCATGAAATACTATGCAGCCATAAAAAATGATGAGTTCATGTCCTTTGTAGGGACATGGATGAAATTGGAAATCATCATTCTCAGTAAACTATCGCAAGGACAAAAAACCAAACACCGCACACTGTCACTCATAGATGGGAATTGAACAATGAGAACACATGGACACAGGAAGGGGAACATCACACTCTGGGGACTGTTGTGTGGTGGGGGGAGGGGGGAGGGATAGCATTAGGAGATATACCTAATGCTAAAGGACGAGTTAATGGGTGCAGCACACCAGCATGGCACATGTATACATATGTAACTAACATGCACATTGTGCACATGTACCTTAAAACTTAAAGTATAATAATAATAATAATAAAAAGAAATTAAACTATATGCTCCTGCATGACCAGTGAGTCAATGTAGAAATTAAAGAAGGAAATTCAAAATTTTTCTTGAAACAAATAATGGAAACACACATACCAAAACCTACTGGATACAGCAAAAGCAGTAGTAAGAAGTTTATAGCTATAAGCACCTACATCAAAAAAGAAAACTCAAACAACCTAATGATGCATCTTAACAAACTAGAAAAGCAAAAGCAAAACAAACCCCAAATTACAAGAAATAATAAATATCAACAGAATTAAATGAAATAAATGAAGAAAACCATAGAAAATATGAAAGAAACAAAAACTTGGCTTTTGGAAAAATAAATAAAATTGACAAACCTTTAACCAGACTAGGAAAGAAAGAGAAAAGACACAAATAAAATCAGAGATGAAAAAGGAGATATTACAACTATGATACTGCAGAAATTCAAAGGATCATTAGAGGGTATTATCAGCAACTATATCCCAGTAAATTGGAAAACCTAGAAGAAGTAGATAAGCTCCTAGACACATGCAACCTACCAAGATTGAATCATGAAGAAATTAAAAACCTGGACAGACCAATAAGAGGGTATTGAAGCCATAATAAAAAATATCCCAGTCAAGAAAGCCTGGAACTTGATGGCTTCACTGATGAATTTTATCAAACATTTAAAGAAGAACTAATACCAATCCTACCCAAAATATTCCAAAAAACAGAGTAGAGAATACTTTCAAACTCATTCTATAAGGCCAGTATGAGCCTGATACCAAAACCAAACAAAAACACATGAAAAAGAGAAAACTACAGTCTAATATCCCTAATGAAAACTGTTGCAAGAAATCCTCAACAAAATATTAGCAAACCAAATTCAGCAACACGTTAAAGACGATCACTCATTATGACCAAATAGGATTTATCCCAGAGATGCAAAGCTGATTCAACATACACAAATCAATCAATGTGATACATCGTATCATCAGAATGAGGGACAAAAACTATACGATCATGTCAATTGATGCTGAAAAAGCATTTGATACAATTCAACATCACTTCATGATTAAAAAAAAACTGGGCATAGAAGGAACACACCTCAACACAACAAAAGCCATATATGACAGACCCACAGCTAGTATCATATTGAATGAGAAAAACTGAAAGCCTTTCCTCTAAGATCTAGAACATGACAAGGATGCTAATTTTCACTACTGTTATTCATCATATTACTACAAGTCCCAGCTAGAGCAATCACACAAGAGAAAGAAAAGCCATCCAAGTTAGAAAGGAATAAGTCAAATTATCTTTGCTTGCAGATGATATGATCTTATACTTGAAAAAAATCTAGACTTCACAAAAAAACTATTAGAACTGATAAATTTAGTAAAGTTGCCGGATACAAAATCAACACACAAAAATCAGTAGCAGTTCTACATGCCAACAGCAATCAATCTGAAAAAGAAGTCAAGAAAGTTATCCTATTTAAGAAATGAAAGAGCTCTACAATGAAAACTATAAAACATTGATAAAAGAAATTGAAGAGGACACAAAAAAATGGAAAGATATTCCATGTTCATGGATTGACAAAATCAATATTGTTAAAATGTCCATACTACCTAAAGCAATCTACAGATTCAAAGCAATCTCTATCAAAATACCAATGACATTATCCACAGAAAAAGAAAAAAAAAATCATAAAATGTATGTGGATCCACAAAAGACCCAGAATAACCAAAGCTATCCTTAGCAAAAAGAACAAAACTGGAGGAATCACATTACCTGACTTCAAATTATACTACAGAGCTATGGTAACCAAAACAGCATGGTACTAGCATAAAAACAGACACATAGACCAACAGAACAGAATTTAAAAACCCAAAAACAAATTGATATACCTACAGTAAACTCCTTTTCAACAAGGTTGCCAAGAACATACACTGGACAAAGAACAATCACCTCAATAAATGGTGCTGGGAAAACTGGATATCCATATGCAGAAGAATAAAAATAGACACCTATGTCTTACCATATATAAAAATCAAATCAAAATGGATTAAAGACTTAAATCTAAGACCTCAAACCATGAAACTACAAAAATACAACATTAGAAACATTAGGGAAACTCTCCATGACTTTGAACTATGGAAAGATTATTTGAGTAATATCCCACAAGCATAGGCAAGCAAAGCAAAAATGAACAAATGGGATCATATCAAGTTAAAAAGCTTCTGCACACCAAAGGAAACAATCAGCAAAGTGAACACACAACCAACAGAATGGGAGAAAATATTTGCAAACTATCCATCTAACAAGGGATTAATAACCAGAATATATAAGGAGCTCAAATAACCATACGGGGAAAAAAATCTAATACTCCGATTTAAAAAGGGCAAAAGATCCGAATAGAAATTTCTCAAAAGACGACATACAAATGGCAAACAATTATATGAAAAGACATAAAAATGGCAAACAATCATATGAAAAGGTCTCAGCATTATTGATCATCAGAGAAATGCAAGTCAAAACTATAATGAGATATCATCTCACCCCAGTTAAAGTCCTTCTATCCAAAAGACAGGCAATAACAAATGCTGGTGAGTATGTGGAGAAGAAAGAACCCTCGTACACTGGCACCATGTAAGACGTGCCTTTGATCCTCCTTTGCCTTCTGTCATGATTGTTAGGCCTCACCAGCCTCCCCTGGTAGTATGTGGAACTGTGAATCCATTAAACCTCTTTTTCTTTATAAATTATGCAGTCACAGGTATGTCTTTATTAGTAGCATAAGAACAGAGTATTACAATTTAAAAATAACTAAAAGAGTTAATTAGATTGTTTGTAACAGAAAGGTTAAATGCTTGAGGTGATGGATGCCCCATTTACCCTGATGTGATTATTACACATTTTATGCCTATATCAAAATATCTCATGTACCCCATAAATATATACACCTACTATGTATGCACAAACATTAAAATTTAAAAAGAAACTAGAAAAAAATCAAAGTACTACGTAGAAGAAAGGAAATGAAAATAAGAGCAGAATTAATCAAATAGAAAGTGGACAAAGAGAAAATTTAAAAGTCAATAGTTGGTTCTTTGATTAGACAATAAAACTGATGGCCGGGCACAGTGGCCCATGCCTATAATCCCAGCACTTTGGGAGGCTGAGGCAGGCGGATCACGAGGTCAGGGGATGGAGACCATCCTGGCTAACATAGTGAAACCCCCCATCTCTACTAAAAATACAAAAATTAGCTGGCTGTGGTGGCAGGCACCTGTAGTCCCAGCTACTCAGAAGGCTGAGACAGAGGAATTGCTTGAACCCGCGAGGTGGAGGTTGCAGTGAGCTGAGACCAAGCCACTGCACTCCAGCCTGGGTGACAGAGTGAGACGCCATCTCAAAAAAAAATTGATAAAATGCTAACAAGATTAATAACTAAAAAAGAAAGAAAACATAAATTACCAACATAAGAAATGAAGGAATGGACATATGGGATATTATAGACAACTTTATGCTAACAAATTTGAAAAACTAAGATAAATGAACAAAACTGACACAAAAAGAATTAGAAAAGCAATTGCTCCGTATCTACTTTTTGTATTTGATTCATTATCAAAAAACCTGCTAACAAAGAAAACTCCAGGTCCAGATAGCTTCACCAGTAAATTATCTCAACAACTTAAAGAAAATATAATACCAAATTTATACAAACTCTTTTAGAAAATAGAAGGGAATACTTTCTCAACCTATTTTTTGAAGCCAGCATTACCTAATATCAAAACCAAATAACACGTAACAAGAAAATTACTCACGATTATATATTGAAAATGCTCAACAAAATATTAGCAATATATAAAAAGGATAACACATCAAGACCAGTGAGATTTACCCCAGAAATG
Source organism: Homo sapiens (assembly GCF_000001405.40). NCBI lineage: Eukaryota > Metazoa > Chordata > Mammalia > Primates > Hominidae > Homo > Homo sapiens. The sequence continues at coordinate 108,738,758 of NC_000009.12, forward strand.
CAGGCTTAGTTTAGTATTAGTGAATCCATCAACTCAATTAATTCACCACATTCTCAGAATAAGAAAGAAAATTCATGTGGTTAACTCAATAGATGAGAAAAAAGTATTTGACAAAATTTAACACTCATACAAAAAAATTGAAGTGAGAAAAAGGGAAACTTCTTCAATCTGATCAAGAGATTCTACAAAAAACTTACTGCTAATATCATATTTAATGATGAAATGTTCTTCTAATAAGAATAGGAGCAAAGAAAAATGTTACCACCACTTTCATTAAACATATTATTGGATATCTACCTGGTACAATAAGGCTCAATAAGAAATAAACAGCACACAAACTGGAAAGGAAGTAGTAAAACTGTAATCATAGATGAAATTACTATGTGTGTAGAAAACCCTGCAGAACCTAAAAAATATTATTAAGTTTTCAGGATACAAAGTCAACATATAAAAATCAGTTATATTTCTATATCACAACAACAAATAATTGAAAATGAAAATTTTAAAACTAACACTATTTACAGTAACAATTTTTAAAACATCAAATATTCAGGAAGAGGCTGGGCACAGTGGCTCATGCCTGTAATCCCAGCACTTTGGGAGGCCGAGGTGGGTGAAACACAAGGTCAGGCGATCGAGACCATCCTGGCTAACACGGTGAAACCCTGTCTCTACTAAAAATACAAAAAATTAGCCAGGCGTGGTGGCGGGTGCCGATAGTCCCAGCTACTCAGGAGGCTGAGGCAGGAGAATGGCGTGAACCCAGGAGGCAGAGCTTGCAGTGGGCTGAGACCCCGCCACTGCATTCCAGCCTGGGCAACAGAGCAAGACTCCGTCTCAAAAAAAAAAAAAAATCCAGGGAATAAATCTAATGATAAATGGGCAAGACTTCTACACTGAAAACTACAACACACTGCTTAGAATAATTAAAGACTTCAGTACATGGGGATGCAGATCAGATTCATGGATTCAAGGCCATAGTGTTAGGTATCCATTCTACCAAATTAACTTAAGAGTTAAAAAGATAGCTCAACCAAAATCCAAGCTGACAAGGTAATTCTGAAATCTACATGGAAGATAAAATTATTATTTTTTTTTTTTTGAGACAGAGTTTCGCTCTTGTTGCCCAGACAGGGGTACAATGATGCAATCTCAGCTCACCGCAACCTCTGCCTCCCAGGCTCAAGTGATTCTCCTGCCTCAGCCCTCCCTAGTAGCTGGGGTTACAGGCATGCACCACAATGCCCGGCTAATTTTGTATTTTTAGCAGACATGGGGTTTCTCCATGTTGATCAGGCTGGTCTCGAACTCCCGACCTCAGGTGATCCGCCCGCCCTGGCCTCCCAAAGTGCTGGGATTACAGGTGTGAGCCACTGCACCCGGCCGGAAGATAAAATTCTTAGAATGGCCAAAACAAACTACCTTGAGAAAGGAAAGCAAATTTGGAGGATTTACACTATCTGATTTCAAGGCTCGCTAAAAATCTACAGTAATCAAAACAGTGTAATCTTCACAGGAAGACAAACAGAACAATGGAGCAAAATATAGAGTTCAGAAATAGATCCACACATACACAGCAGTTATTTTTTTTTAACTGAGATACTAAGTCGATTTAATGAGAAAAGGTTTTTTTCACCAAGGCATATAAATTTAATAAAATCAAACTATGACAAGTTCTACACTAGATGGATAAACTTGTTGCTGTGGGAGCCCAGGGAAGCTGAGTGATTAATTCTTCAATGAGAAAAGCTGGGTTTTTTTTGTGGTTGTTGTTGTTTGTTTTTGTTGTGGAAAAAAATGGTACTGACACCACTGTATATTCCTATGGAAACGATGAAAATACAAAGAACCCTTACAAACCAACAACAACAAAAAACCCCAACCCAATTAAAATGAGCAAAAGACAAACTCTTCACAGAAGTAAACATATAAACGGCCAGTAAGGACAGAGAAAGAAGCCCAACATCCTTAGTCATCAGAGAAATGCAAACTAAAACCATGAGATACTAATTTATACCAACTAAATGGTTTAAAATTTAAAATTTACAATAACAAATACTGGAGAAGAACTCTCACTCATTGCTGGTAGGAGTGTACAACCATTTTGGAGAACTATTTTCCAGTTCTTTGGAAAGTTAAATATATATATCTACCCAAACAATCTAGTAATTCCAGTCCTAGGTGTATAAACAAAATAAATTAAAGTATATATCTACAAAAATATTTATACAAAAATGTTCATAGCAATATTATCAGGCAAAACTGTAAACAACCCAAATGTCCATCCACAGGAGAATAGATAAATAAATTATGGTAGATTCATACCCTGGAATGGTATGAATAGAGGGATGGACTCTAGTGTGAATGGTATGAATAGAGGGAATGGTATGAATAGCAATAGAGGGATGAACTATTGATATATGCAACAAATGGATTAATCTCAAATCATCTTAACCAAAAGGAGACAAGCATAATAGATACTATATTATTCCATTTATATAAGGTCCAAGAACAGGCAAAAAACATCAATGGCAATAGAAATCCAAAAATGGTTTTCCCTGGGGTTGCTGGAAGAGGAGAAAATTGACCAGACTGGGGTATGAGGGTACTTTCTAAGGTAATGGAAATATTCTACATCATGTTTGGGATGATGGTTAAACAATCTATACAATTGTCAAAACTCATCCACCTGAACACTTACATGTGCATTTTGCTATATGTAATTATGAATTATTCATATAATATATATAACCTAAAAAAATAAGTAATTGAAAATGAAAATTTTTAAACCAACGATACTTACAGTAACAACTTTAAAAACATCAAATATCCAGCAATAAATCTAATGAAAAATGTGCAAGACTTCTACACTGAAAACTACAACGCACTGCTTAGAACAATTAAAGACTTCGGTACATGGAGATATAGACCAGGTTCACAGATTCAAGAAGGCTATAGTGTTAGGTTTTCTGTGAAGGGCTGGATAACCTGCACCATTCTTTTCAGAAACATTTCTTCACGGCTTTATCTCCTACCTCTTGCAACTTCTGACCCCTAAATCTCTCTTCCATTCTCATTTCCAGGCCAGGATCTCTAACTGCTTGCAGGGAAACATCACCTGAATGTTCTTGGAAACACAACACATCAAGAATGGAAATAATCATTCCTTATTTATTTATTTATTTATTTAGAGACGGAGCTTGCTCTGTCTCCCAGGCTGGAGTTCAGTGGTATGTGATCTCGGCTCACTGCAACCTCCGACTCTCTGGTTCAAGCGATTCTCCTGCCTCAGCCTCCTGAGTAGCCGAGATTACAGGCACGCACCACCATGTCTGGCTAATTTTTGTATTTTTAGTAGAGACTGGGTTTCACCATGTTGGCCAGGATGGTCTCGATCTCCTGACCTTGTGATCCACCCACCTCCTCCTCCCAAAGTGCTGGGATTACAGGTGTGAGCCACCGCACCCGGCCTCATTCCTCTTACCGATCAAATCTCTCTTATCAAACTTAACACCCAACCTGCTTGACAATCTCCAAATATGGCAGCACTCTCATGCTTCTGTGCTTCTCCCCAGGCAATTCCCTCTGCTTCCCTTTCATCATCCACCTGGCACCCAGCTGTTAAACTCTGACTTGTCTTGCAAGACCCAGGTCAAATATTACCTCTTCTTGACAGCATTTCCCAACATCCACTCCACTACCAGCAGCAGCCATCTTGGAAGATGGGTTGCATCCTTTGCTGCACTCCCACAGTATGTGGCACTGTTTAGGAAATCCGTTATGGTTATCTGTGCACATGTCCGCCTCCCCAACTAGAATGTCAGCTCCTTGAGGGCGGTATTTTTAAGTCAAAATTAATGCAGAAATTAATTCAAATTCATGCAAACTTAATATGACAGGGCCAGTATTATGGAAACGTAGGTCATGCAAGTTTTGGGCCAGATCCTGTCTTTATTTAAAATTTTGACATTTTGTTCATCATGGACTTTTTGCATAAGTGTTACTTTTTTTTAATATTGCATTAAAATATTTATCTTGGGCCAGATGCAGTGGCTCATGCCTGTAATCCCAGCACTTTGGGAGGCCAAGGCGGGAGGATCTCTTGAGGCCAGGAGTTCGAGACCAGCCTGGCTAACATGGTTAAACCCCATCCCTACTAAAAATAAAAAAAAAAAAATTTGCTTGATGTGGTGGTGCATGCCTGGAATCCCAGCGACTCAAGTGGCTGAGGCATGAGAATCACTTGAACCCGGAGGCAGAAGTTGCAGTGAGTCAAGATCGTGCCACTGCACTCCAGAGTGAGGGTCTGTCTGCAAATATATATATCTATATATCTATATATATCTATATATATATATATATATATATATATATAAAAAATACAAATTGTATATATAATATATATTATATAATACTAATTTTTTATATATATAATACAAATTTTTATATATATACAATGTGTTTTATATACATTATATAAAATTTGTATTATATATATGTATATATACATATATGTATGTGTGTATATATACATATATGTATGTGTGTATATATACATATATACATAAGTGTGTGTATGTGTGTGTGTGTGTGTGTGTGTGTATATCTTGATGACTGGATTTGTTGCTGCCCCCTTAGATTTGTAGCTGAGGTGAGTGCCTCACTCCATTCACTCACTCCATTCCCTCTAGTCTTGGCACTGAATTAGTAACCAGCAGTTATAGGAGTCTAATCTGGGTTTCTCTAATTCCAAAACAATACTGCCTCCAAAGATCAAAAAGACCAGACGGTATCCAGCTTCTGAAGGAGTTCACAGTGTGACAACAGACCATGACAAGTAGATGGACAGTTACAACAGAAATGACATCTGCCACCACAGATGTGACTACAGGGGGCTGTGTACAGAAAAGCAAGTGGCTAACCTTGCCTGAACCCATCAAGGAAGAATACACAAAAGAGGAAAGGCTTGAGTATAAAGAATTTCCCTGATGTGGATCTACCCACTCGCCTTGGAGGGCAGCAGCAGCTATAGCAAATTTCAGACAATTGTTTGTCTCTCTGAAAACTAGACTATAATTGTCTTTTACCTTCAGCGTGTTTCCCATTACATTCTGAGCATCTTAGAACAAAGGCTGGGTGGCATTCAGCTGAAGCTCGGTAAGCAGGGGTGGAATGTATGACTGAATGGATGAATGAATGAGGAGGAGTGGCCATACCAGCACCACCTCTGCCTTCTGTGTACAGAGGGAGCAGCAAGGCTGCAGGCACCACGGCACTGCAGAGGGACATTTGTTGACAGACAGCAGGAGAGAGCCACACTAACCTCTCCCGAGAGGCATTCTGACAGACTGATCCCAGGGGCTTGGGCAAGTGCACACACGTGGGCGCACACAAGGCTGCCTTTGAGCAATGTGTGGAATGTGGCCTCTGGATGGCATGTGCTCTAAAGAGCCTCCAGGGTCCACCAGGCAGACAGATGGCACTGGCCTGAGAAAAGTCTAGCTCTGTGTGTCCATAGCAATAAAAATATCATCTGCAGCCACACTGGGCAGGGCTGGAGACACAGCAAGGGAGGAGGTGGCACGGGATGAGGGTGGAAGAAGCAGCTACTGTCAGATCAGACCACAGCAGAGGACAACTGCAGGCGCCACCTCTCCTTCCCAAAGAAGGCAGCCTCTGTTCCTAGAGGATGAGCCTCGTGTCTACGTAATAAATGTGTGACTCGAGCACGTAACTCTTCTTCCCCATCTGTAACTGTGGGTGAAATTTCCCACCTGGTTATGAGGATTAAAACAGGTACAAAAATGCTTCCCTAGTGTTGGCACCCAGTGGGTGCCAAATAAATATCAGCTCTAGTTGTTAACAGATTTTAGAGTAGTTTTAGGTTTACAGCAAAATTGAGAGGAAAACAGATTTTCCATATGCCCCTTGCCCCAACACATGCCTAGCCTCCCATTATCACTATCCCCCACCAAAATGGTACATTTTTTATAACTGATAAACACATATTGACTCATCATTATTATCCAAAGCCCATGGTTTACATTAGGGTTCATTCTTGGTGTTATACATCCTATGGGTTTGGAAAAATGTATAATGACATGCCTCCACCATTACAGTATCATCCAGAGCCGTTTCACTGCCCTAAAAATCCTCTGTGCTACCCATCTTCATCCCTCCCTTCCCCCAAAACTGACAACCACTGACTGCTCCGTAGTTTTACTGCTTCCATACTGCCTCCATAGTTTTGTCTTTTTTTTTTTTTTAAGATGGAGTCTCAGTCTGTCGCCCAGGCTGGAGTGCAGTGGCGCGATATCCGCTCAATGCAAGCTCTGCCTCCCGGATTCACGCCATTCTCCTGCCTCAGCCTCCTGAGTAGCTGGGACTACAGGCGCCCGCCACCGCGCCTGGCTAATTTTTTTTTGTATTTTTAGTAGAGATGGGGTTTCACGTGTTAGCCAGGATGGTCTCGATCTCCTGACCTCATGATCCGCCCGCCTCGGCCTCCCAAAGTGCTGGGATTACAGATGTGAGCCACTGTGTCCGGCCCAGTTTTGTCTTTTTATCAATTCTATTTTGGATCTGCCTTCTCACCCAGAAAAATAAAATACGGCTTCAAACTAATTATCACTGGGGGTTTCTCAGAGGTGAAAATGTTGTGCTACATGGAGAGACACGGCCAATCCACTCATGCTTCTCCTTAACAGAGTCCCAGAATAAAATCCAGCACTGCCAGTTCTGCAAGTGACCAGATCTGTTGACTGTTTCTTCATCCATATAGTGGGGATAATAACAGCGATGGGAATTGACAGCTCTTTGAAAAGCATAAAATGTATCGCAAGTTTGCTCATTCATTTGCTGGTTGGGTCTGTTTTTATGAACCTCTTGTGGGCCAGATACTATGGGCCCATAGCTCACATAGTGCTGCAACAATTCTACAAGGCAGAAACTGAGCTCAGATTGGTAACAGGATGTTCAAGGTACCAAAGGTAATAAGGGACAAAGCTATTTGAACTAGGGTGTGTCTGGCTCCAAAGCCTCAGTTTATTCCATTACTAGCAAGGAATTCATATGTTGAACAAGGCAGCAAGTTCTACGCTCGTAACAGTAAAAAGCAGTAATTTTTCAGCCCTGCCGCAGTGAGTCACAGAGGAGGTGATATTTGAGCTCTGTCTTTATAGTAGGAGCTGTTGGTGCTGCTGGCCTAGCTCTTCTCTACCTGGTGGGCATGCTCATCCCCCAGATGCCTTTCCAGAGAATTGCCTGCAGCAGACAGAAGTCACCTAGCCTGACAGTGCCTGAAAGGTTGTGCACACTCCCCATCCGTCAAAAACCCAAGAGCAACCCTCAGTCAATACCTGGCTGATTCAGAGTAGAAAAGTCTGGTTCCCTGGCTTCCAGCACACTCTGCACACTCCTGAGCTCCCTGTGGGATCAGCGTGAGACCAGGCCACCTGTCAATCAGTGGAAGCAGCTTAAACCATCACTTTGATTGGCATCATCTTTGCCTTATCCTGTGTCCCTCGCTTCCTTACAGGCTTTTCTTCTGTGAGAACTCACTAAGCCATAAGTGTAAGTAACCCCATCCCAGGGCTACTTCTAGGAACCTGACCCAACACAATCTTAGGGATGAGTTGAAATGTCTTTTAATTAAGAAAAACAAGAAGCGCATTCTCATTTTACAAACGTCTTCGATTAAAAAAAAAAAAAAAAACTTGGGTCTGGCACGGTAGTATTTTCAGAGAGAAAAATCAATCAAAACATAATCAAAAATTTCCAAACTTCAAGGTGAAGAGGGGCTCACAGAGTTCTGTAAGAATGGAGGGGTTCAATGAGAGAGATCTAATCAGGATTGTGCTTGAAAAAAATGTTCCTTGTCCTAGTAGGACCAAGGGAGATTAGTTGGATTGGAAGAGAAAGCGTAGAGGTGGGAAAATTGGATGTAAGGTGTTATCCAAATGATGTAATTAGAGTCAGGAAGTATATTGGAAAGGAGCATAATATTTTTGGAAACTGTTAACTAAAATTGTGAAACATTCATAAATAATATTCTTCCAATTTTAATGTGATCTGTTCTTGATGACTGTTTCTCTTTCCACTGAGGGTTTATTCAAGGTCTCAAGGGTAAAAATCATCCTAAATCCAATTCACCTGGGAGCCCCCTGCCTGCCAAGCCCTGTGCTGGGCACTGGTCCCTACCCTTGCTGCACCCATAGTCTGGTGGACTTGAGACCAAGCGACAGCTGCCTCAAGGATTAGAAACAAGCCAGCAATAATCTTTTCCTTTTCATGTCAGCCCTCCCCCGATTTGTAATGATATTTCTCATTTAATGCACTCTTATCCAATGTGTCACTGATTAACAGTGTAATTTTGGCAAGCAGACAGTCCTGAGAACCCAATGTTTGCATAAGGGCTGATGCAATTTAAAGACCATGGGCTCCACCATCAGAAAGACATGGAATCCAATCCCAGCTCTGCCTCTTGGTGGCTGTTTGCCCTAGAACAATGTGTTAACCTCTTTTGAGACTCATTTTCTCATCTAAAAATTAAGGACTATAATATCTACCTATAAAACTCTTTGAAGGAATGAAGTAGGACAGGAGAAGTAGAGTTCTTAGAATACTGCCTGGCTCAAAGTAGGTGCTCAATAAATGGAAACAACTGTATTACCATTATTTAAATCTTGCTGCAGTGATTCCTAAATTTGGACCAAGGGGAGACAAAGATCTCTAGCTGGTGTCCTCATCTGGCCTTTCATCTCTTGATTTGCCAACCGTCTTGTGTTGTTTGAGGGGTGACTGTTGAAAACGAGTATCATGTGCCATGAGAGTTGGCATGTGGTTTCAGAATAATTATGGGTCAGACGGGCCACATGGCATCTGAAAAATGGATAGGAAATATGTATCTTGGCATAATACTCTGAGAAGTGAGCCTTTGTCCCCTCTGCTGTTTTACCTTCAAAGCAAGAAGGTGACATCTGTCCGTGTTCCACCTGCCTGGGATGTCAGAAACAGAGCAAATGGGTAGGGCCCCATACCAGAAGAGCCCAAGCATCTCAGCTGCACTCAGATGCCAGGAATTTGGGGAAAATGGGAGCAATCACCTAACCCCATTGCCCTGCAAGTCCTCCTCCAGGCCTTCTGTAAGGAGAGACAGAAACCAAGCAGGCCATTCCTGTAGCCCCTTTTTCCCATCAGGATTCTAAGGTCTGAGGCTTCAATATCTCTGCCAGTTGAGCTCTAAGAAAGTTGGCATCTGAAATCTCAAGGCCGGGGCCCATCCCCCTCTGCCCCCTTATACTCCCCAAAGTCCTGTTGAGAAAGCTTTTAATATCTCATCAAAAAATCACTTCCACCAGGCGCGGTGGCTCATGCCTGTAATCCCAGCACTTTGGGAGGCCGAGGCGGGTGGATCACTTGAAGTCAGGAGTTCAAGACCAGCCTGACCAACATGGTGAAACCCCATCTCTACTAAAAATACAAAATTAGCCGGCCATGGTGGCACATGCCTGTAATTCCAGCTACTTGGGAGGCTGAGGCAGGAGAATCACTGGAACACAGGAGGCAGACGTTGCAGTGAACCAAGATTGTGCCTTTGTATTCCAGCCTGGGCAACAAGAGCAAAACTCCATCTCAAAAAAAAAAAAAAAAAGAAAGAAAGAAAAGAAACCACACTTCCTTGTACCTTACCTGGACCACAGCAGCCTATGAGGTCTCTCCCAGAGACTTACAGGGAGAAAGCTGGAAACTCCTACCCTATCATTAGAGCCCCCTTTATGAACCTTCTGGGAAGCAGCAAGTATTTATATGTTGATCTGGGCAATGTTAAAGGCAATGGATACATATGTAAGTAAAAAAATTCATCCAGCTATGAAGACTGTATCATTTATGCACTCTACCATATATATGTTATTCCTCATTGGACAAAAGTTTTAACATGCCATTTAAAGCTCTATATGTATACTTGGGAAGAAAAAAAAAACATTTGGAAGAATAAAAGCCAAGGTAACATAAAAATAGGGAAAAAATGAACATTACCCATATAACTTGGTGATTTAGGAAAGAGGGCATTAAACTTGAGTGGCAGGGGAGATGGGAAGACAATCATATGGATGTGAGGAAAACTGGACTCTCACCCAGGCAATTAAAGTGTTTGAAATAAAAAACTAAAATAGTAGACTCTGTACTAGGCCTTGCTGACTGATTCTAGCCTGGACTTTGTTCCTGACTGGTGGGAGGAGACTGTCTTTTTATATTGGGGCAGCAGGATACCATGTGCTTAAAAGACACAGTGGGCAGTGCTTTGTCACTTCCCTGGTCCCCCAGCTTAAGATAATCTGAAAGTACCAGCTTCTGCCATGTATGGGACAATATCCAAGTCTTTCAGCCATACCCAAATTTCAGTGTAGACAGGGCCCATGTGGACATGTTTCAAATACTTCCAAAATATATTATTGGACTCTCAAGATTCCATTTACTGTCATGAATGGAACAGGCCACATTATAAAGAATTAGGTTTCCCATTGAGAGTGGAATGTGAATACTTCAGAGATATTGTTGAGAAGTGGACTCCAGTCCAAGGAAGAATCTCTCTTCTCAAAGAGCTGATGTTTTACGGCCTCCTGATGCTGGGTAAGGAAAGCCATGGAGGGAATTAGAACCACGGTAGGGTAAGGGCCTGACCCTATGTTCCACTGACTGTCATTCCAAAAAACTTTTTTTCAATGCCACAAGGCTAGTTTGAGGCAAACGTTTTGATGCAGGGTAGGCTGGTGAAAAAAAAAAAAAAAAAAAAAAAAAAAAAAAAATATATATATATATATATATATATATATATATATATATTCAGAGAATAAGCTCACATTCCCAAATATTTGCTTGTACCTGAACAGGAACACCAAAATTAATGAAAGGCAGTGTCATGTAGTGGAAAGGGAGTGAGCTGGGAGTTGGGTCTTTTTCAAATCTTGGCTCTGATACCTGTGCTGTTTGACCTTAGCCTGCCTCTTAGCCCTCCCAGGTCATCAGTTTCATCTGCCATAAAATAAGGCAATTACTTTTTTCCAAACGTCAGTCATGTAAGCCCCATCTTCACTATGTTTCCCATGTTGACATATGCCACATTGTGATTTTTGTCACATCTACATGTCATCTGCACTATTTACATTTGTAGTTACAGTTTTCTCACTTCCTCACATTTTTTTCTTGAAATTGACTTTAAAAAGGAAATTTTAGGCTGGGCGCTGTGGCTCATGCCTGTAATCCCAGCACTTCGGGAGGCCGAGGCGGGTGGATCACCTGAGGTCAGGAGTTCGAGAGCAGCCTGGCCAACATGGTGAAACCCTGTCTCTACTAAAAATACGAAAATTAGCTATGCGTGGTGGCACACACCTACAGTCCCAGCTACTTGGGAGGCTGAAGCAGGAGAATCACTTGAACCCAGGAGGCAGAGGTTGCAGTGAGCCAAGATCGTGCCACTACACTCTAGCCTGGGAGACAGAGCAAGAGTGTCTCAAAAAAAAAAAAAAAAAAAGGAAATTTTATAGGATTACTATGGATAGAAATCACTGTCGGTTGTCTGAACAGAGGTAGTCATGAACATAAATAAAATAAAGGAGAATGATGCTTTTAATTATCTCTGGAAAGTGCTGCCTGTTGAGGACTGGCCGCCTGAGATTCACCCTCTCCTTTTGAAGCAGGGAGATTAGTAAATGGTAGCAGTGTTGAGGACATCCCAACATCCACCTGAGATTTTCCTCTTTTCTAATCAAAAAGATTGAAAGACAACTTAAAAGAGAATAACTTCTCACTACAGAACTCAAAGTTAATATCCTACTGTATCACCTAAATTATCTCAATACTCCCGTGGGGTAGGAAACAACTGATAGTATCTAAGGTCTTCTCCCACACTGATATCCCATTTTTGCCTTCCTATAGAGAAAGGACGATCATAATTAGTAGAAAATCTGAGTTACGGACTATTCTGAGAAAAAAATGTCGTTCAATATCCAAACAGAAATGTTGTCAAAACATTTTCCAATTAGAAGGACCTTGAATATACATTAATAAGTAGATAGAAATGATTTGAGATTTGCACGGTCATCATATATTTTAAAATAAACACTTCCAAATGATTTGGCAGTGCCTGAACCATTGTTCATCCTCTTGAGTAACTTAAACACCACCCCCCTAAAATCTTGTTTACACCGTTGATTTGCTTAATGAGGCATTTTGTCAGGCAGTATATAAATTTAACCAGAGCCTATGTCATCAAATTAGCACAGCTTCAAAATCAGTGAAGTTCAAATGACTCATGATATCAGAGATATTATTACAAAAACAAATATCAGTGGATGTTTTGACCATATATTCATTATAATGAATTAGTCGGATTGACACAGCAAAGCCTTCATTATAGGACTCTCCAAGGGAGTTATTTCTTTGGAACCATTTAAATATAATACTTGTCCTAATTGGACAGATATCAAATGAGGGAAAAAGCCTTCAAATATCTCTGAATGATCTTAGATTAATTGATACATGTAGCCTTTCGACTGTAGCAGAATATTCACTAATCTTAGTTTTTTTCTTTCCTAAGTTTTTGCCTTTTTGCTTTTGCTACTTTATGTGATCTTGGGAAAGTTCCTTTCTCTTTCTGGAATTAATATCCACATTTGTTTTTAAAAGGGGTTGGAAGTTGGACTGGAGCAGAAGTTAGCATACTTTTTCTGTGAAAGAGCAGATAGTAAATATTTCCAGCTTCATAGGCCATCTGGTCTGTTACAACTCAGTCATTGTAGCAAGAAAGCAACTGCAGGCAATATGTAAATGAATGAGCCTGGCTGTGTCCCAATAAAACTTTATTTACAAAAACAGATTGTGGGCCAGATTTGGCCCATGGGCCCATAGTTTGCCTTTCTTGGGCTAGAGGATCTCTAACTTCCAGCCCTGACATTGTCTTTGTGTTGAAGGGAAGACACTTGCCCAAAGTCTATCATTTGACAGAGCTGGGATTGAAACCTGGGTCTCTAAATTTAAGTTCACAAATCATTTCCCACAACAGAATACCTGACCAACCAACAAACCTGCAACTACAAGACAGGACATCAAGTGTCTCCACAGAGAATGGAAAGAATTGCTATTACCATGTCAGGCACAATTACTTTAAAATTACTTTAGCAGAAAGTCATTAGATTCCATGATTAAGGTGGCATTAAGTTTTTCCTCTATTGCCAAGAAATGTATCAGACTGGAAGAAAAAACTTGAGAAGGACAGGGGTGGTGGGGGCAGCTTTGGATATTCATAAAAGTCCTACACTGAAACGAAAACTATTTCTTATTCACCCCACATGGGAACAGCACAATATGGTATATAACAAAGCACTTTCATATGTGTTGTTTGATTTAATTGTCACAACATCTCTGTGATGTAGGACTCAAAGGCTCTGAGTAACTACGGTCACTTAGTAACTGACATCAGAGGCAGGAAACAATGGTTTATGCTATGCTTGCATTTCATTCATCCACTCATTCGCTTGTCTATTCATCCATTTAGACAAATATTTGACAGACAATTGACAAGGCAGGGGATAAGCAGTTAAATTAAACCACATTGTTCCTGCCCTCATGCAGCTTACAGTCCAGTGGGGGAAAGAGACAATGAACAAAAAAATAAACCATTAACTAAGTAAGTATCAACAGTACTAAGAAGGTGCTAAGAAGAAAACAAACATGGAGAAAGGATACAGGATTGAGGTGGGAGCTTCCTCAGGTACAGGGGTCAGAAGAGGCTTAGGAAGAAGAGAGTTTGTAGCTGAGCTAGGAAGGTTGGGAAGAAGCCATGGAAAAAGGAGAAGAACTTGATTGGTTCAAGGAATTAAAAAAAAAAAAAAAAGTCTGGGTGTTGGAGTCAAAGAGCTGACATCCAGTTAGGTCATTCCCCAATGTGAGCCCCAGGCTTGCCATCAACAGAATGGAAATGCCAACACCTTCCAGGGATGAAGCCACATTGCTGGGATTCAGGTCCTCTCCTTTTTTAACACGTTAGTCCGTTTTCACATGGCTATAAAAAGACTACCCAAGATTGGGTAATTTATAAAGGAAAGAGGTTTAATTGACTCATAGTTCCATGTGGCTGGGGAGGCCTCAAGAAACTTAAAATCATAACAGAACACAAAGAAAAATCAAGTACCCTTTTCACAAGGTGGTAGGAAAGAGAAAAATGAAGGAGGAACTTCCAAACAGTTACAAAACCATCAGATGTTGTGAGAACTCACCATCACGAGCCAATCACCCCCCCTCTCTCAACACGTGGGGGTTACAAGTTCCTTCCTCGACATGTGGGAATTACAATTTGACATGAGATTTGGGTAGGGACAGAGACCCAAACTATATCACATGAATACAAGACCAGTAGCAAGTTACTTAACTATCTTATGACTCCATTAGCTTGCCTAAAAACCGGCATGATAATAATGATACCTACACCTCACTGGTAGGTGGTGGTAGAGGTTTAATGAGATCACCCTGTAAAGCATTAAGCATAGCGCCTGGTATCCAGTAAGTACTTAATAAACATAGATTGCTGTGGGGATTAGAAAAATAATGAGGAGGAAAGTGAATCTTTTTTAAACTACTCTATGCCCAGACTGTATTAAGTGATTATTTTCATTATCCTCACAGTCCTATGTTACAAGTAAAGGATAAATGTATTCCTAACCCAAAGTCACATTATGATAAATAGTGAGATCAGGATCTAGTTCAGGTCTAGATGATTTCATAGGCCACAATTTACCTGGTCTTTCACTGTTATTCCAAGGAAACATCAGAGGTCCAGTTCTGCCCTACAGAGAAAGCCACCCACCCCGTGCTGGTGCCTGAAGAGCGAAGATTCTGGTGGAGGGGCTACAGTTCTGTTCAGAGTAAACAGGGCAGCCATCTAGGCTTGTGAAAAGGGCTCCCTGTACAAGCAGGATCCAGGATCCATCCATCATCCCAGTCTCCATTGTCCATCCCTGTCTCTATCCATCATCACTATCTTCATCCGTCCATCCCAGTCCCCATCCATCCGTCCCAGTCCCCATCATCCATCCCAGGGTCCATCCATTTATCACAGCTTCTATCCATCTATCACAGTCTCTGTCCATCCATCCCAGTATCTATCCATCATCAGTCTTCATCGATCCATCCCAGTCTCCATCCATCCATCCCAGTCCCCATCATCCATCCCAGTGTCCATCCATTTACCAGTCTCTATCCATCCATCAGTCTCTGTCCATCCATCCCAGTCTCTATTCATTTATCACTGTCTTCATCCATCCATGCAAGTCTCTGTCCATCCATCCCAGTCTCCATTGTCCATCCCAGTGTCTGTCTACTTACCAATCTCTAATCTATCCCTCAGTTTCCATCCATCCTTCCATCCCAGTCTGTATCATCCATCCCAGTCTCTTTCCATTTATCACTGTCTCCATCCACCCAACCCAGTTTCCATAGTCCATCCTAGTCTCTTTCCATCTGGCATAGTCTCTATCCATTTATCCCAGTCTCTGTTCATCCACCACAGTCTCCATCCATCCATCACTGTCTGTCTGTCCTTCACAGTCTCCAACAGATGTCCCCTGTCAGTCAAGTAAGCCAAGCATCTTCCCTTCTAGGGCTTCCTGTGCTATTTAGTCTCCCCCTTCTACAAATAAGGACTCTAAGGCTCAGAGAACTGACATGAACAGCTTGGACATCATACAAAAGGGAAATGGCAAAGTCTGAATTCAAAACCAGATCAACTTGATCCAAAATCTACATCCTTTGACACTTTGTCATGAAGTTTCTCCTTAACGACAGAAAACACTTGGGGTAGTACGTGGCATTTTAGGGACTTCACATTTTAATGAATATGATAGAAGATGAGAGAAGAAGAGAGGAGAGAAGGCAGTAGGATACGGTAGGATAGAACAGAGCAGAAAGTATTTTCCATCACAGAACAAAAATGTGGCTAATAAAGTTATCTGATGAATTATATCAGATTTTTCCCCTTTCCACTTTCCTTTCTAAACTTTAGTTCTACCCATCTACCCCATAAAGGTGCTCCTGTGAACCTCCCTGCATATGCTTAAAGAATTAAGTGAATAGCATTTTCATATCTGTAGAATCTCCAAAGAATTCTATTAAGAGCCACCACTGGCCGGGAGCAGTGGCTCACGCCTGTAATCCCAGCACTTTGGGAGGCCCAGGTAGGTGGATCACCTGAGGTCAGGAATTCAAGACCGGCCTGGCCAACATGGTGAAACTCCATCTCTACTAAAAATGCAAAAAAATTAGCTGGGCATGGTGGTGATACCTGTAATCCCAGCTACTCAGGAGGCTGAGGCAGAAGAACCACTTGAACCTGGGAGGCGGAGGTTGCAGTGAGGCAAGATTGCGCCGCTGCACTCCAGCCTGGATGACAGTGAGACTCCATCTTAAAAAAAAAAAAAAAGCCATCACTTATTGAGTGCCTACTATGAGCCAGGCACTATACAAGGTATTTTCCCAACCTTGTTCATAAAACACCTCTAAAATGGACAACATTAGCCCCATTGTACACAACGAAACAAAGCTCAGAGTAGTTAGGGTTCCACAGTCACAGACAAAAGTCCCGAGTAGAGATCTGTCCCTGGACCTAATTCTAAAACTCCTGTTCTTTGTACTCTGTTCAGCTGTCTGTCAAGAAATCAATGGGGTTCACTTCAGTTAGGGAGTAACTGTGACCTGGTCATGGGGAGGGAAGCAAATCCTCATCAGAAGCCCCTCCAGAGCACCATGGGAGGACCACCTGGGAAAGCTGTACACCAGTGCGACTCCATGTAGTCCCCCAAACGGCAGCAGCAGCATCACCTGGAGGCTGGTTAGAAATCACATTTGTGGACCCCACTCAGACCCACTGAATCAGCAGCACTTCTGAGTCTGTCGGCAAGCTCTCCAGCTGCTCTGATGCCTGCTAAACTTTGCGAACCTCTGCTGAACACAGCCTCGCATTGTGATCAGTGGCAAGAAACAACACTGGCCAACCACAGATTGAGAAAATTAGACATGGAAAAACATGCATCTTCCTCCAAGGACTCAGAGTTCCCTGTGGAATGGGAAACTGAACCCAGAAAGCTTCATTTCAGGTTCTGCTCCACAATTAAGAGTTCCTCCATCCTTGCAGTGTGAAGGAATAGAGGCTAGCAAATTAGAATATTCACTGGCAAAGCTGGCAAATTAGACTATTCACTGGCAAAGCCAGACCTGCTTTAGAAAACTGTGGACCCCAGTGAACCCTCACTGCACCCTCACTGCATCCTCAGTTCATTGTGGATTTTCTATCTGGCACACAGCAGGAGCTCAATAAATACTTCCTGACTCACAACAGTCAGATAGTGAATTTAACCCCTCCACAACTCAGGGCTTGTTTTTTCTTTGTGGTTCTTTATCGCTCATTTGCATGCATTCTCACAGTAGATACTGAAAACAAAAGTTCTCTTCTCAGTTCCCATCTTGGCAGTCCTTTTGCTTTTGAGTTTATCGATTGCCTTGGGACTGATGCGACAAAGTATGGATTACAGATGCTTGAAGAACATTTGTTAACTCCAAGGGAGAATGAAGCTGTGAAATAAAGTAGTTATTTAATCGAATTCTACTACTAATAATGCCTTGCCTTGTTTTTCTTAAATCAACCTAAAACGTGTGGTCAAAAAATATTTGACTTCACTTTATTTTGGAAATATTTAACATTAAAAAGCAATGGCCCATAATCTCGGCACGCTAACAAAATTATTTTCATTTTTGCCCATTCTCTTTCAGGCCCTGTTTTCATAATCATATACAATTTTGCATGGTTGTAATTACACAGAAGCGATATTTAAGTCTTGCTTTTTTTTTTTCCTGGTTAAAGTTCCAGCCTGAATGAATTCATACATTATCTCATGATGATCATTTTCAATTTCTGGACCATGGACACATGTTTTGGCATACCACTTGAGCATGTCACAGTGAGTCAGGAAGCATTTATTGAGCTCTTGCTGTGTGCCAGATGCAATTCTAGGCCCCCAAGGATCTAGTAGTAAATAAGATAAAGTCCCTGCTGTCCAGACTGTAGCAGCCTACAACTATAGGGGATGCCATTTGCATCCTGTGTGAGCCTGTGTAACTCACACTGGGGAATTTCTTCCTTAGGGCAGATTCCTTTCCTTCCTCTAGAGGGCAGGTAAATAGAACTAAAGGCCAGGAGCACGCTGAAGGATGCATGCATCTTCATGGCTGTTGCTACCATAATATTACTACTGATAAAAGAAAAACATCAGTCAAATTAATTTTAAAGGAGTTTAATTGAGGAATGAACAATTCATGAATTGGGCAGCCCCCAGAGTCACAGTAGATTCACAGAGACTCCACCACAGCCACGTGGAGGAAGAAGATTTATAGGCAAAAAAAAGGGAAATGTATAACATACAGAAATCAGCAGTGAAGTACAGAAACAGCTGGATTGGTTACAGGTTGGCACTTGCCTTATTTGAACACAGTTTGAACACTCAGCAGTCTTTGAGTGGCTGAAGTATGGCTGCTGGGATTGGCAAAGACTCAGTGATTGTTACAAGTGCATACTCTTAAGTTAGGTTTTCAATCTTGTCTGACTATTAAGCTAGGTTACAGTTCATCTACAAGCACTCAGATATAAGACTATGGAGTCCTTCTCAGGCCGTATTTAGTTTGCTTTAACACTGCATTTTTCTCCCAAGACATTTTACCAATTTTCACTACTAGCAGAGATAGCAAATGTATCATTTTCAACAGAAACTCATCAGCATTGAGTGCTAACATTTTTTTTCAAACATGTGCCAATTGAATTAGTTTACAACAGTCCCTGGAGACAAGCTATGGATTTAAATACGCTCCCTGGCAGTCTTACTCTTCCCTCAGAGGCTTCTTTCAGTATATGAGATGATACTGTCTGTTGTGGACTGAATGAGTCCCACTCCAAAGTTCTTATGTTGTATTCCTAACCCCCAATGTTATGGTATTAGGAGGTAGCAACTCTGGGAGGTAATCAGGTCATAAGAGTGGAGCTCTCACAAATGGGATTAGTGCCCTTATAAAAAGATACAAAAGAGTTTGTTTCCACTAGGCGTGGTGGCTTATGCCTGTAATCCCAGCACTTTGGGAGGCGGAGGCAGGCAGATCACCTGAAGTCAGGAGGTCAAGACCAGCTTGACCAACATGGAGAAACCCCATCTTTACTAAAAATACAAAATTAGGCAAGCATGGTGATACACGCCTGTAATCCCAGCTACTCGGGAGCCTGAGGCAGAAGAATTGCTTGAACCCAGGAGGTGGAGGTTGTGGTGAGCCAAGACTGTGCCACTGCACTCCAGCCTGGGTGACAAGAGCAAAAGTCCATCTCAAGGGAAAAAAAAAAAAAAAAAAAGACTGTTTCATCTCTCTCTCTCTCTCTCTCTCTGCCCTCCACCATGTAAGGATACAATGAGAAGGTCATCTGCAAACCAGAAAGTGGCCCTCACCAGACACTGGACCTGCCAGTGCCTTGCTCTTGGACTTTCCGCCCTCTAGAACTATGAGAAATGTTTGCATTAAGCCACCTAGTCTATGGTATTCCATTATAGAAGTCCAAACTAACTAAGACAGACACTCTCAGATGATGAATGTGAAACCACCTTTGCAAAAGTTCTATCAGTGAGAAGATTGTAACACTAAGCTAAGCTAAACTAACCCAAACCCCATCTAGCCTTTCCCTTAGTTATTCCTGGGCTACTGGGCCAAGCTAACTCTGAAAGGTACTTAGGCTATAGTTTAAAATGATAACAGGCCTTGCCTAAAACTCAACCACTTTTGTAAAGCTAATGGGAGGCCATCAGGCTGTGCGCAGGAAAGGAGTCTGAATCCTGTTAAGGTGCAGACATTATTCCAGAGATTACAACATATGCAGCTTCCCCAATTACTCCTGCAAATAACAACACTGCTGTAGATTGGCCTTTTGGGATACCTTTCCAGGTTTTTTGCATGTCTGACACCCATGGCTCCACCGGGATAAGCTTCTGTTGTCCCCACCCAGAAGCAATTTGGCCCACAAGAGGACAGTTTTAACCCTCTATGATTTCCTCTCCACCCCCAACCAATCAGCAACAAGCACCTGTTACCTGGCCACCCTCACCCTTTCCTTCAAACCACCTTTGAAAAACCCCTAACCTATGCACGAGATGACTTGAGTACAAAACTCCGTCTCTCATGTGGCATGGCTAGTCTATGTCTCTTAAACTCTTTCTCCACTACAATGCCATGGTCTTTCTTTATCCAATGGGCAAGAGAACCCCTCAGGCAGTTACAAATGTCAGAGTTAAAACAGGACACTGATATAGCTGAATGGTCTTCCTAGAACGTAAGGCAGGAGAAGGGTCTCCCACTAGGGTTTAAGTTTTCTCTGTGGAATAATATGGATCCTCGTGTTGGACATGAAAAGGAAGGAGAAAGAGAGCAGCATCCTCCAAAAACTCTGACCATCCAGGCAGCACCTTGCTCCCCAGGAGGAGCTGGCTCTCTTCTTACCCATCATTGGCTCCCTATCCCCTCAGGAGCCCCCACTCCAAGCTAGACACATCCTCCTTGGGCAGGTCTTTCCTGACCTCCATCCAGAAGGCAGGGCTGGAGGCTCCCCCACCATCCCTCCTTGCTGGAGCAGACCTTGACTGAGGCCCTTTGCTGTAGGAATAGTGAACTTGCCTTTTCTCCTGGGTATTCCCTATCAGACCAAGAAGGCCAGGACCTGTGCTCAGCTGCCTCATGTCCCCAGCAGTGACACGTTCCTGGCTCAGCACAGGTGCTCAGCCAATGTTTGCATAACCCAATGCAGCAGAAGGCTCAGAAAGAGAATAGATACTCTGGGCAAATTGGTAATAGAAGGTAAGTCACCGTCACCAGCCTAATGTGATCCTTGCCAATCTAGTCCTTCAGGAATCCCCAGTGAACTCCAGATTCCTGGTGATACGGGAACTAGAAAGAAATTACTCAGGCAGATAGTGAGGGTAAAAGAGTCCTCGGCAGAATTTCCCTTTTAACAAAAAGCAGCCTCAAAATCCTTTCTTTTCTAACAAAGAGCAGCCTGAAAAATTGAGCTCCAGACATAGATAAGCAAGCTGGAAGCCTGCACAGGTGAATGCTGGCAGCTGTGTCAATAGAAAAGTGCTACCTGGGGGCCAGGCATGTTCAACATGGAGGCACCATCTTCTCTTTTGCCACCACGTGTACTGTAAAGAAACAACATGGCGCCAACCAGGCAGAGAACCATTTGCAAGACAAAAGATTAGGGTGAGGGCAGCCAGAAACTCACACCCTATGCAAATGAAACACCTGGTCCAACCAATCCTTTGCACCCTGTGTAAATCAGACACTGCCTCCTCAGGCTCATCTATAAAACCTCCTACATTTCACAGTGAAAGCAACAACCCACTTCTCCAGGACCCCTCTCTGCTGCAGAGAGCTCTTCTCTTTCGCCCATTAAACTTCCACTCTGAACCTCACTATGTGTCCACGTCCTAGTTTTCCGTGACTGTGACACAACGAATCTTGGGTATCATCTCCAAACAACAACACTGCTTCACTGGGCTCCCTTAACTTCAGGAGCTCAGCAACATCAGCAGGTCATTTAATCCCAACCACTCTCCTTTTATTTTCAGATGTCCTTAATTCAGACTCTGCTGCTATTCACTGAGGTTCTTCAAGTTCTCACATTATTGTGTTCCCTTTTCTAACCCTACCCTAATCCTACATTTCAGAATAGAAAAACGTATTTTACAATTCTTGGGCTTCAGAAGAAATAAAAACAGTCTCATATTTCATGAGCACTTTGCACAGTACTACCTTCGTCTCAATCCTCAAAAACAACCCTGAGCAGTGGGTTATTATTATCCCATTTTACAGGCAGGGGCTAGGTTACCTGCCTGCATTCACACAGCCAGTAATTGGCAGGTAGGATTTAAATCCTGGCAGGCCCTGCCCCAAGTCATGGGCTCTTTCCTCCATATTCTTGCTGCAATCAACATCAAATACCTGACAACTCTCCTTTAGCTTGGTCACTGGCTTCCATGAGAATACCAGTACCTTCTCATGGCATGTTGTCCTGCCCTTAGCAAATGGAAGTAAATGCTAATACTGTCTCAATGTCACAGGACTGTAAAAAAGGAGAATCACAGGCTCTAAAGCCAATTGAAAGTTGTGGAGCCTCTGATGTGTCCTTGTGTTGCTCATCAGAACAGCTTGTTCCAAGGCGTAATGTCTACTTTGAGAAAGCCCCAGCATGGCTCCTAGGGCTAGGCTGCCACAACACTCATAAATCGCAGTGACACTCATGTTTACAACATCTCTGTCTGCTCTTCATAAATGGAATTCACACAATTCAGGTGAGCTGGAGAATTAGGCTTATGAGCATGGCATCTGGATATGAAAGTGAAAAAATGTCCACGCTGGAAAGATATTGGAAATACCCAGCCCAGTACTCTTATTCTACCCATAAAGCAGCTGAAGTTCAAGATCCTAGCCTGACTCTGGCCCTCAGACTGCCCATCTGAGGGAAGGGTGAACTCACTCCTCCACTGAGGTTCATTCTAATCTAACTATCTGTGAGACTAGAGGCCCCACTGAGGCTCAAACCCAGCTCTCTGGCCTGGAAGTGCACTAATCTCTGGACTGGAAGGGAACATGGCAGAAACAATAAACAAAAATGGAGCCAAGCATGCTTCTTCTAAGACAGGAGAAAGAAGGATCCATGGCCCATTTGGGGGCTACAGATGGCTGTCTTTTGTTGCATAAAATAGAATCCATCACGATTGGTTTCACTTTCCTTCCCACAAATAATCCAAACCTTCGGATCAAGACCCAAGACACATGCTGTCAGCCAAGTGTGTTGAGCATACACAGAACAAAGTGAAGGCCAAGCTTTAGGTACTCAGCTCACAAGGAGCTGGTACCCCACGTGGAGAGCAGCAAGAAATAAACAAAAAGGTGCCAACTCTTCACTAGCCGGCTACACTGTCTTAATCTTAATGACAGTGATTTGAATGGAAAAGGAATGCAGGAGCAGGCCATTTATCACTCTTAAATAATAAGTTAAAGTTACAGAGATTGAATTGGGCCAAGACTGGCTTTTAATACCGAGAGGGGGGATAAATCAATTATGGAACTCGCACGCCTCCTAGTGGCATATCTGGATTACTGCTGGGGAGGCTTCCTCTCCCACTTGGAACCATCGGCCCTGCCCCAAGGTTCACCGGGACATGATCAGTCCATATCAACTGAGAGCTTCCTTTAGACCAGGCTCTGGGCTATGTGCCATTGCATAATTAGTATCATTAATGCTCACACTAGGTGACTCTCATTAGACCCATTTTATAGACAATGAAAGAAAAGCTCAAAAAGCTTCCATCACTTGCCCAGACTTACGGTGGAAAGGATTCCAACCAAGATTTGTGGAATTCCCTGTTCAGAGCTCCCTCCCCAACATCACACTGAGTACAGAGTGTTGAGGATACAGAGGTGAATAAGATCCAGAACTGTTGGGCCGTTTGATCTTACCGCGTTCACATATTTTAACTGGGCAGGAAGACTCATATTAAATAACCAGAACGCAAAGTCCTAAGTGCTGTTTGCAAAAGGAGTCCAGTTCATGTGCTCCGGGATCCCAGTCCTCCCGAACCCCGGAGCATCCCTGACTCAGCACCCAGGCCCGGGGAAGCAGGGGGCTGGTGCGTAGGCCACTACATTGTTAGTGAGGCCAACTTGAAGAACCGCCTGCTTCCAGCCTGACACTTATGTAAGAAATGAGGCCCTGGGTTGAATCGCTGTAAAAAAAAAAAAAAAAAACAGACATCATTAACCAGCCTAAACCTTCAAACGCTCCAAGTCAAGGCAGAGTCAAAAGAGAGTTAACAAGCCTTCCAATTTGTCTTTTACAGGGGTTGACTTGTCAGGTCAAGGAAGATACAGGATCCTATGGGAACTCTACACAGCGAAAGTCAGCCTGTTATTTTGGCTTGTTGATAGAACTGGCAGGTTAAGAAATGACTGTGGCCAAAGAAGATGCGGGCATCTATTTTTGCAAGGTACCAGGTTGCCATTTTCTGCTTGGCACTGGCAGCAAACTGTCCCACAAGAGAGAAAAACAGTCACAGATTTCTTCACATGCTGGCCTTTTACATACATAGAATTTATGTGGTAGGGATTTTTTTCTTTTATTGATGTATATAAATACATTTCTATAGAAATAATATCATACTTTACACACTATTTTGCAAACTGCCTTTTTCCACCTATACTGTGAATAGTTTCTCAATTACTTAAATATTCTTCATCTTTGATATCTGAAATTCTAATTTATAGATTTAGCTAATTTTGAAATGTATAACTATTTAAAAATAGAAAATGAAGCTTATATGGCTTCAAATTTTTAAAAATCCCTTTATTCCATTTCTTTCTTTTATTATTATTCTTGGGTTTTTTTCTTTACCTTTTAGCTTCTTCTAAGGAAAACAACACTAAAAAATCCTTAAAGCTAAGGTTTTGTTACATTTTCATCTTTCACATTTAACTCTATGTGTGACATATTTTTCCAAATATTTAACCAGTAGCTCCACATCTTTTATTCACATAATGTAGAGGTTAAGGGTGTGAACTTCGGTGTTAGATCTGGGTTCAAATTCTGATTCAAAATCATACTAACTGGGTGACTTTGGGCTGGGCAGTGACTGTGCCTAAGCTTCATTCCCTTGTCTGTAATAAATGAGTAATGATAGGCCAGGCACGGTGGCTCACGCCTGTAATCCCAGCACTTTGGGAGGCGGATGCGGGCGGAACGCGAGGTCAGAAGATCAAGACCATCCTGGCTAACATGGTGAAACCCCGTCTCTACTAAAAATACAAAAAATTAGCCGGGCGTGGTGGCAGGCGCCTGTAGTCCCAGCTACTCAGGAGTCTGAGGCAGGAGAATGGCGTGAACCCGGAAGGCGGAGTTTGCAGTGAGCTGAGATCGTGCCACTGCACTCCAGCCTGGGCAACAGAGCAAGACTCCACCTCATAAATAAATAAATAAATAAATGAGTAATGATAACTCATGCTTCCCTGGGCTACTACAAGAAGTAAATAAATAATACAGCAATAATATTGCATTATCTTTTGCCTGTCTCATATAAATGTAAATAAATACATTATCGTTTTGTATGGAAAGCCCTTTACGAGAGACAGGCAAAAAGATAATGTTCAATAAATGTTATTAGTATTTCTTCCCTATTAATTCAAACTACAGTTGACCTTGAACAAGAAGGGTTTGAATTGCGGGGGTCCACGTATACGCAGATTTTTTCAATAAGAGTGCGCCCACCTCTCCTGCCTCCCCTTCCACCTCCTCCGTGTCTTCTGCTTCTGCCACTCCTGAGACAAAACCAACCCCTCACTTTCCTCTTCCTCAGCCTACTCAATGCTAAGATGACAAGGATGAAGATCTTTATGATGATCCACTTTCACTTAATGAATAGTAAATATATTTTTTCTTCCTTATTCTTTTTTTTTTTTTTTTTTTTTGAGATGGAATCTCGCTCTTTTGCCCAGGCTGGAGTGCAGTGGTGCAATCTCAGCACACTGCAACCTCCACCTCCCAGGTTCAAGCGATTCTCCCGCCTCAGCCTCCCGAGTAGCTGGGATTACAGGTATGTGCCACCACACCCGGCTTTTTCTTTCTTTCTTTTTTTTTTTTTTAGTAGAGACAGGGTTTCACTGTGTTGGCCAGGCTGGTCTTGAACTCCTGACTTCAAATGATCTGCCCACCTCACCCTCCCAAAGTGCTGGGATTACAGGTGTAAGCCACTGTACCCAGCCTATGACTTTCTTAATTTTCTTCTCTCTAGTTTACTGTAAGAATATAGTATATAATACATATAACATACAAAATATGTGCTGACGGTTTATACTGCCAGGAAGGCTTCCAGTCAACAGTAGGCTACTGGCAGTTAAATTTGGGGAGAGTCAAAAGTTGTACATGGATTTTCGACTACACGGGAGACAGCACCCCCTAAATCCCATGTGTTCAAGGATCAACTGTAATACCTTTATGCCACTCTAGATCTGTATACATCTGTCTTTTTCTGAGGTTTCTCTTTTGCCCCATTGCTTTGTCTAATTACTCTTGTATCAGTAGGACACTGCTTTAATTATTTCAGTGTTAGAATTGGTTTCAATAAAGCTGGGGGTGTTACTCTCCTCTTTACACTTCTTTATGTCCGTTTCTTAGCTTTTCTCATATTTATTCTCCCAAAGAATTTGAGAACCATTTTTTGTCTAGTTTGAAAAAGCTCATGAGAATTTTTATGGAGACACCACTAAAGTTATGCCTTTCTTCTTAATATAAAATCTTCCTATGAAGGAATCATCTACTCAAGTCTTTTTTCAGCCCCTCTGTAACACATTATAGTTTTCATCACACATGGCCTGCACATTTCTCAAGTTTATTCCTTTTCGTTCTCAAGTTTATTCCTTTTCGTTAAGTCTTTTTCTACTTCCATTATGTTTGGAAGCTTCTATCCCTATTAAAGGGATATTATACTAGCCGGTTTTGCTCATATTCTTTCATTTATTCATTCACTCACTCAACAAATATACATATGGAGCATCTATTATGTCCTAAGGGCTTGGTTTTACTCACCCATGAATTACGCACATATACACACCCCACCCTTGTGAAGTTTACACTCTAGTGGGGAAAAATAAGGAGACATAATCAATATGTAGGTAATATAATATTGCACAGGATGTTACCTACAATGTGGGGAAGGCAGTGTAATGGGATTCCGAAGTGTTGAAGGAGGTTGCAATTTTATATAGATTGGTCAGAGTAGTCCCTACTGACATGTCTTTGAGAAAGGCTGCGAGCATATGAACTTTGGTGGAGATGGAGCTGTTGAGGGGAAGAATTCTAAGCAGAGGTTGTAGCCAGTGCAAAGGCCCTGAAGGAAGAGCATGGCCAGTGTCACAGCCATCTTATTGGAAAAACTGTGATTTTTGTATGGCACTTTAAGCATAACACTCAGTACCCATACCAGTACCAAGATTTGAAGAAGGTGCCACTCACAAAGACATCCTTAAACCTCAAACAAATCAGTAGCCTTGGTTTTGGGGTGGGGGGTATGGGGGTGGCAGCACCACCACCCATACCTTGATTAAACTTGTGACTCCAAACCAGAGACCCCTCTCTCAGCCCTCTAACCCAGTATTTCTCAGTATGGATGCTATGGATATTTGGGGCAGGACAGGTCCTTCACTGTGCAGGACTGTCTCATGTACTGTAGAACAATTAGAATCCCTGCCCCCTGCCTGCTAATTGATGTCAATATCCCCTATCATTGTGACATTTGAAGCAACCTCAAACTTATTGCAAATATCTCCAGCCTGAGAACACCATGTGGGGTCATCAGGGACCAGCATTGTAGACAACTTCTTGTATCAGGGTTTTGTGTGCTTATTCATGAAAAGGCATACTATTTTGTGGATTGAATGAGGAGCACTGTGCATTACATAGCAGCCATGTTGGCAGGAAAATCGGCATCTTTTTTTTTTTTTTTTTTTTTAATGAAGTTCAGAGATGTGAAGAAACGTGTGCAAGGTAACACAGTTGAAAAGCGAAGGGATCAGAATAAAAGCCCAGGTCTTCCGGTTCCTTCTACACATATACAATAATGTAACTATCAGCAACTATCAGCAATTCTAAGTTCACCCAGCTCATTTCAGTGTCAGTAAAAGCTTTTGACATAAAGAGGGGTATAATAGGGGGATATGAACTAATCCTATATAATTTAACATTAATAATAGTAGCAGCTTTAACAATAGCTAACAGTTGTTAAGTGTGTTCAAAGTGCCAGATACTGTTCTAAAGAGCTAACCAATATTTCCTGTTTACACTTACTTCTACAATGTAGATATAATATTACCACCCTTTTAAAAATTAGGGAACTAAGTCTTAGAAAAGTAACAGGGTCATGCAGAGAGGAAGGCAGAGGTGGGGTTTGATATCCACAGTTAATCTCTTAACCCAGGGGTCCCCAACCCGTGGGCCACGAACAAGTACCAGTCAGTGGCCTGTTAGGAACCAGGAGGCCCAGCAGGAGGTGAGTGGCAGGAGAGCAAGTGAAGCTTCATCTGTATTTACAGCCACTCCCCACTGCTCACATTACCACCTGAGCTCTGTCTCCTGTCAGGTCAGCAGCTGCATTAGATTCTTACAGGAGTACAAACCCTATTGTGAACTGCGCATGCAAGGGATTCAGGTTGCAGGCTCTTTATGAGAATCTAACACCTGATAATCTGTCACTGTCTCCCATCACCCCCAGATAGGACCATCTAGTTGCAGGAAAACAAGCTCAGGGCTCTCACTGAGTCTACATTATGGTGAGTTGTATAATTATTTCATTATATATTACAAAGTCATAATAATAGAAATAAAGTACACAATAAATGCAATGTACTTGAATCATCTCAAAACCATCCCCCCTGCCCATCAGTGGAAAAAATTATCTTCCACAGAACCGATCCCTGATGCCAAAAGGGTTAGGGACCACTGTCTTAACGGTTAGGTTATACCACCTTCAAATAGTATTTCCTTCTGCTTCTATAGCAGCAATTAATAAATCCTATGGGAATAACCCTGTAGGGGTTCTATATTTTATATCACGCTTTCATATAAAACTCTAATAAGTCCCTTTTTCAAAAGTGTTTCCTTACAGCAAATCAACCAACCTAAACAATGAAATCCCAGAATAGTGTCTAAAAGCTAAATCACCCCTCATTACTATTAGGAAGGTGTTCGACTGAATTTCAAAACACTTTTGAGTCCATAGTTGCCTTTTGGCCACGCTAGCATCAAAGTTATTTTAAAAAGCAAATCAAACGTAAGTCTTTGTATATGTCAAGCCATAAAGGTTTTTTGGGCGTCTAATGGGTTTTGATGAGCACTGTGAGTGAGTTGTACTAGAAATCAATACCACACACTTTATGGTTCCCTGGGAATACCATACACCTGTGTTTTAGACACAAGGGACAAAAAGCTTGCCCACATTCATATTTTGTCAAACACAAGATGTTTGAAAAAGTCTTCAACCACATGGAAACAAGTCTGAATCTACCTCTTTTTCTACTGAGCCATGCAAGACATTTAATAGCTGGAATGCCTCATGAAGTATAAAGTGTTCGAGCGGGAGAGTCACAGAAGAAACAGTTTTGGAATCATTAAGAGCAAAGGGACTTTAAATATCACATAGTCCAAATGTATTCCAACATCTTATACATATGGGAGAATTATTTTTTAAATGACTGAAAAACTTGTTGGCAGCAGAACCGAATATGTTTATTTGTTGATTCATGTATTTGTAATTTTAACCCACTAATGTTTCTCAAAAAATTAGGATCATCAAAACACAAAGATGTCATCTGGTAGAAGGAAAATATATGTATCAAAAGCTCAGAACTAGGTCTGGGCAACACAGTGAGACCCCATTTCTACAAAAAAATACAAAAACTAGCCAAGCATGGTAGTACACACCTGTAGTCCCAGCTACTCATAAGGCTGAGGTGGGAAGATTGCTTGAGCCCAGGAGATTGAGGCTGCAGTGAGCCAAGGTCACGCCACTGCACTCTAGCCTGAGGGACAGAACAAGACCCTGTCTTTAAAAAAAAAAAAAAAAAAAAAACACCCAGAGCCAATAAGGCTAATAGAGTTACTGTAACAAAACATTACTTAGCTATTTCCAGCCTCCAACACCAACAAAGGGTTGGCAGGGGGCAGAGGAAGTTATAGACTTCTTATTGCCTTTTAAAGGAAGATTGGTTACCGTTTATCAAGTGAAACATGAATTTTCCTTATACTAATTTGTGGTGGGAATCTATCACTTGACACTTTATATGAGAGACACTGAAAATCATCTCCAATAACATCCCCCACATTGATTTTACTAAAGGTATACAGATACGATTACTTCCCATGGTCATTTCTCGTATCAGTCATGAATAAGAGTTAAGGCATGACATTAAACTGTTACTCAGTGGTGCCTTTGTCTTGCAGGCAGCTGAGTTAACGCAGCTCAGGTATGCATGTTAATGCTGATTGGTCTTTACTACTATGGGGACATAGTTCAGAGTATAGGGATAAACGGATGAAACCTCACTCAGAGTTACTTCCTTAAACGAAAACAGTCCTGGCTGAACTTTGGAAAAGGTTGGTTCCATCCATCCTTAATGAGCTGCACTCCCTGGTGAGATCTAAAATTGTAGCTACTCTTTTACTGGTTGACAAGATTCATATCCTTTGGTGGCTATGCTTAACAAAATAGTACAGACCACAGAAATGACCAAAGATCTTGAAAACTATATGGCATAGTGGTAGTAATGTACGGTAATGGCCCCTAATGAATCAAGCATCCCTCAGGAAGTCCCCTCCTATACTGACTCCAGGCTTGAATATGTAACTTTCTTTGACCAATGAGATTTCCCCTTACTTGTTACCCTCAGACCACTATGTGCAGAAGCCCAGGCTAGCTTACTGGAAGATGAGAGACCATGCGAAGCAGAGAGGAGTGTCCCATCTGATGGCTTACCAACCCCTAGACATGTCAGTGAGGTCCTCCTAGGCCATCCAGCCCTAGCCCACTGGCCAGCTGACTGCGAAACTACCCAGTCAACCACTCACTCATGAACAACAATAAAATGGCCATTGTTTTAAGCCATTGTGTTTAGGGTTGTATTCGTACAGCACAGCTAACTGAAACAGATACCCATTGCAAGCAAATTACGAAGCAAGAAAAAGATTTCAAAGTATATTTGATCTTTTCTTAATCTCTGGATTGAGTGGTCCTGTGCCCCCAGTTTCCAAGTGGGTGATGTTACAACAATCTGTGGAAGTGCTCTACCAAACCCAAGATGCATTTTCCTACAGAAATTCTGACTAAAAGGATGACTGGATTCCACAAAAGTGTATTTGACCAATGTAAAAGACATTGCTTAAGAGATGAGGTATAAAAATGTTTAATTATTATAACTAAAGTTGAAAGTACAATTGAACTAGCAAATTAAAAATCTAAATGATGGTGCTTGAGAAAAACAAGTTCATTTTTAGATTTTTTTTTTCCTCAATTACCTAAGTCAATGGTTTCTGCAGTAAGCAGCGTCTACAGGGCTCCAGATGATTCCTCCTCCTGTTATTCATGCACCTGTCTACTGCCTCCTTTTGGGTGTGGACTGGACTTAGTGATCTTTTTCTAATGAATAGATTACAGCAAAATCATGGTATGTCACATTCATAATTAGGATACAAGACACTATGACTTCTATCTTACTGGCATGCTCTATTGCCTTCTCAGTTTGCACACTTTGAGGAAGAAAGCCACCATATTGGAAAGGATCACATGGCAAGGAACCGAGGATGGCCTCTGACCAACAGCCATTAAGAAACAGAGGCCTTCAGTCCAACAGCCTATGAAGCACTGAACCCTGCCAACAACCATGTGGAAGTGAGCTTAGAAGCAGATCCTTCCCCAGTCAAGCCTTGAGATGAGACCAAAGCCCCAGCCAATACCTTGATTGCAGCCTTTTCAGAGATCCTAAAGCAGAAGACCTAGGTAAGCCATGCCTGGATTCCTGACCCAAAGAAAGTGTGCACAACAAAATGTGTTGTTTTATAATGCTAAATTTTGAGATACTTTGTTACACAGCAGATTACAGATTATGATGTGTTGCATGGACATCAAAGTCACATGAAGAGTTTTTATGTTTTTAGTCATAATTTAATTTTAAAATATTATTTTTAAATTTTTCAAGTAGAAAAAATCCTTTACATTAAAACATTTTCCAAAGAAAAAACCCACTTTTCTCCCCAAAATAACCTCTCTTTACCCATTTGGAGCATATCCTTCTACATCTTTTTCATAAAATTATATACAGTAGGCCTTCTGTATCTACGGGTTCCACATCCATGGATTTAACCAACCACAAATCAAAAATACTCAGAAGAAAAATGGTAAAAAAATAACAATACAATAAAAAAAATACAAATTTTTTTACCCAATACAGTATAACAACTATTTACATAGCATTTACATTGCAGTAAATATATATGTAATCTAGAGATGACTTAAAGTATACAGGAGATGTGCATAGATTATATGCAAATACTATACCATTTTATATAAGGAATTTGAGCATCCTCAGACTTTGGTATCTGAGAGGGTCTTGGGGCCAGTACCCCAAGGATACTAAGGGATGACTTTATTATAAATGGTATTACACCACACATAGTGTTCATCAGCTTGCCGTTTTCACATAACAATGGCTAAGATCTGTTGGCAGACACAGACATAGTTATTTTTTACAGCTTCAGAATATTCCATAAAATGAACGAATCATAATTAATCATTTCCTTACTAAGAAACCGTTAATAAGTTGCTTCTAATTTTTTATATTGTAAATAGTA
This sequence comes from Homo sapiens, assembly GCF_000001405.40. Taxonomy (NCBI): domain Eukaryota; kingdom Metazoa; phylum Chordata; class Mammalia; order Primates; family Hominidae; genus Homo; species Homo sapiens. The sequence continues at coordinate 108,771,285 of NC_000009.12, forward strand.
CTTTAGTGAACATTCTTGGACATGTCTCTTTGTGCATGTATATGAATAAAGGATAAATATTTTATTTTTAGAGATACAGCAAAATGCTCTCCAAAGAGGCTATAGCAATAATCACTTTGACCAAATTATGTAATAATACAAGTTTCCCCTCACCTTTATCAATAATAAATAAGCCTTTGTTATTCTTGCCAATCTAACAGATGAAAAATGTTACTTCGCTTTCAATCATGTCATTTTACTATAACCTAATAACACTAAAAAACATGTGGATTTCATTTTCTTGCACACAAGTGAATCGTGACCGTAAGTATCATTGTATGTGTCTTCCAGAACTTCGGGAATTTTTTAATTTATGGATAAAATAAAAAGAAAAAAAGATTTCCTGAGGTAATTCACATGTGGCAGAAGATACAAAAGAAAAAGGAAAGGAATTTTGTTAAAAGATGGGTTGAGAAGTAAAGTAAGCCATGTTCTGTGGGAGGGGAACAGGGTTGCAGCCAGTGTCCAAAGGAAATCAAGGGGCAGTGGCCAGCCACCAGGTGGTTAGGAGTGAAGTGGACAGATTGGGGGAGCATGGGCTCCACCTGGGAAAGATATTCTTTAACTCAGGTGTTTAAAACTGTGGGCCTTAAAAATGCCAAATTTGTTTCTTGGGAGAACAGCTGCCTGTATCAATAATCCCTGAATCAATTCACCTGAAGAAGGTACTGGCTCAAAGAAAACCCAGCAATAACAACTTTGTCTCTGATGATCTAAAAGGAAGATGAAATATAGTATTTCTAATATCACGTCAGTTCTGCAAGGTATACACTATTCTCATTTTACAGATAGGGAAAACTGAGGCTAGGAGAGATGAAGTATCTTTGCCCAACTTTATAGTCATTATTTGGCAGAGTAGAAATGAGCATTTGGTACCAACATGCTCGTTCTTTCTATCAGGCTCTGCTGCCCCAAAACAGATGGAAAAACTTGGCCCTGGTGCTAATTTTTTATCATTCTATTGTATCATCTTGGAAATGCCATTTAAACCCCTTGGAACTTGAGCTTGATTTCTTTCTTTTTGGAAGAAGGGGGTGGAATTAGATAATCTGTGGGGTTTCTTCCAGATCTAACATTCTTGGACTCCATTATACTATCTCCTGGACTACAAAGTTGACTTAGGGCTGGGGAGAGAGAGAGTGCGTGCACTCTCATCTGGAGGCTAATTTAACACAGTCCATGTACCTTTTAGAGATACAATTCCAGAGCAAGAAATCATAAGTTTGGGAATGGGAATGAGAGCAGGACAAGGAGGCCACTCCTAGAGACTGTTCCAGAAAGCTTAACGTTTCAAGAAGCCTTTGACACTCAATGGGATGAAATAGGGTTCAGAGTCAAGCTTGTATAAAAGAAGAGACAAGCGAAGAAGGGAGGACTAAAAAGACTAACTTTTGAAAGGTCGTACTAAAAGCCCATTTATTCAACATGAGTTTTGACAAAGCCAATTTTTCAATTACTATTATCTATTTGGAACGGTTTCCTGGAGTGAACACAAATTCTCCATTTATGCATAGTTGGCAACTAGAAACGAAGAATGAGAAAATAACATCATGCTTAATGTAAGAAAAGGAAAGGAATCGATCTTTTTTAAATGTAACCATTTTTCTGATTATGAAAACATACTCATGATAAAAAGTTTTGAATGGACATAATCCCATTACTTCCATCATGTAGGTACATTTCTTACTAGTTCTTTTCCTATGCACATGTTTTTAAAACAAAATTGGGATTCTATTATACATGCAATTTCATCTGATTTTAAAAACTCAATATTATAAATACAAAACATTTTCCCAAGCTGTTAGAAATTTTTCAGAAACAGCATTTGTAATGGCTGCAAAATGTTGCATATTTTGGGCATGCCATGATTTACTGAACCCTTCTTCTGTGGGGGGACAAACAACAAACCTATGTGACAAAGAAATGACAGAAGCCAACCTGGGCACGATGGCTCAGGCCTGTAATCCCAGCACTTTGGGAGGCTGAGGCGGGCAGATCATGAGGTCAGGAGATTGAGACCATTCTAGCTAACACGGTGAAACCCCGTCTCTACTAAAAATACAAAAAATTAGCCAGGCGTGGTGGCAGGTGCCTGTAGACCCAGCTACTCAGAAGGCTGAGGCAGGAGAATGGCGTGAACCCGGGAGGTGGAGCTGGCAGCGAGCCGAGATCACACCACTGCACTCCAGCCTGGCCAGCCTGGGCAACAGAGAAAGACTCCATCTCAAAAAAAAAAAAAAAAAAAAAGAAATGAGAGAAGCCAGGGAACTACGGGATTTGGTGTTTTCATTCCCTATTGTTATGTAACAAACTACCCCAAAATTTGGTGGCTTAAAATAATGCAACATTTATTTCATTCACAGATCTGCAATTTGGACAGGTACAGTGGAGTGGCAGGGGGAACATTCCCATTTAGTGTCTGGAAGTTTGAGGCTGGCTTTCAGCTGAGATCGTAGCTGGTGCTGTCAGCTGGAACACCTACTCTACACATGGCTTCTTCTTGTGGCCTGGACTTCCTAACAACATGGCAGCTTGGGTTCCAAGGGTGAACGTCCCAAGAAGAGTGTAAGGAGTAGCTGTACCACCTTTTCAGACCTAGCCTCAGAAATCATGCAGCATCCCTTCGGCCACATTCTACTAGTTAGAAGTGAGTCACCAGCCACACTCGGGGGCTCACACCTGTAATCCCAACACTTTGGGAGGCCGAGGCGGGCAGATCACCTGAGGTCAGGAGTTTGAGACCAGCCTGGCCGATATGGTGAAACTCCGCCCCTACTAAAAATACAAAAAATTAGCCGGGCATGTTGGCACGTGCCTGTAGTCCCAGCTACTCAGCAGGCTGAGACAGGAGAATCGCTTGAACCTTGGAGGCGGAGGTTTCAGTGAGCCAAGATCACGCCACTGCACTCCAGTCTGGGCAACAAGAGCAAAACTCCATATGAAAAAAAAAAAAAGGCAGTGAGTCACCAATGGCCAGCCAGCATCCATGGGGAGAATTAGATTCCACCTTCTGATGGGTGGAGTGACAAAGAAACTGAGAACCTGTTTTAAAGCCACGTTTGGTACTACTATAAAACTCTCCCACTGGAGTTCTTTCCTGAAGCCACAATTCTAACCCAAGAGATGTGCATTCTTCTCCTCTGCCCATGCCCATCTGTAAGCTTCCTGGACAGATTCAACAGAGGGCTCCATAGATGGGCCTTTCTTGGAATTAACCGTGGTTCTTGAATCCAAAGCCACAAAACAGGATGGATCCTACCTTAGGGATACAAGCTTCTCCCTTTCTTGTCCCAGGCTAAGCCCACCACCCCAGGAATCCCCCGTGGTTTTAGTTCCTACTGCTCCAGGAACTTCCAATCCTATCAAGTTGGGTTCATGGGCCCCACTGCTAGAGCAGCCATGACTGAGCCTGAAGCACAAGCTCCTGGTCCCCACTTGCTGAGCCGCCCCTGCACCCAGGCAGATCTTCCTAAGGCCCCAAGCCTCACTGCTCCCATGGTCCAAGGAGACTCTGAAGCCAGAAGAGCCATCTCCTGTAAGCTCTTCTCTCTTCCCCACTAGATGACCTGGAAGGCTGGTTGAGCCACGTCTGACCCTCTTAGACCAGCTCTACAATATGCGGTCCCTCCCTCTAGAGCCTTCCTACTCTAGCCAGTGATTCCCCCGCAAGAACCTCTGTATCCTTTCTTCTCTGTATCCTCATTTCTCCCCACAACCAGGCAGATGGACTAAGAAACTCCTGTAACTCAGAGTGGTGTCCGAGGGAAAAACTCCTCGGATTTTAAATAGTCTTAGACTAGCTAGAACTCCGCACCACTCTCTCCCCAAATATTTCAGGCATTGTGGGGCCAGAACCCTAGGGGTGGGTTTTTAAGGCAGCAGACTGGGGAAGGAGAGAGGATGAATGAGCAGGTCTTGCGGAGCAATGAAAGAATGGGTAGCTGGCTGAAATAAGGAGGGGAAATCGATGGGAAAGTCAGGGGACACGGGGCTGAGGGGAAGAGGAGTAAGGAATGCTTTACAGAGAAGCTGAAATGGGATTTGCAGCCCGAAGGATGAGAAGGAACTATTAATATTACATCAGCGTAACTGCCCTTCATAATCACTGTTTGTTTGTGATCCTCCAAGTCTGCTTTGAACTACGCAAACAGTCTTTGCTGTAGCTCATTTTAAGGCCTGTCCAACCCCAGAGAGGTTAATTATGAAATCCATATTAGCAATACAACTGGGGATTCAAACTTGTAAATTCATTGGCCATAGAAAATCTATCATGTTCAAAAACAAAAAGCATTTTCTTTTCTCCGAGAAGTTGACATCAGGAAACAACTCTTCCTTTAATGTTCTTGAAAAAGACCCATTCCCCCCACACTATACCTTCTTTATAATTCCGTTATAAAAGAAGTTTCACCCATAGGTCTCTGATTTTTTTTAATAAAACTTCAGAGTATTATTTTTGGATGGTTATATTTTGGATAAACTCCTTCATCCTGGAGCCTGGTGAAGCTTTTTGCTTTAAACCTCGAAATCTTTTTTTTTTTTTTTTTTTCCCCAGTTTCAAGAGTTTAAGCCTTCATGGTTTGGATTTCACTCCAAGTTCAAACTGCTTGGAGGTCCAGTGGGATCACAACTTGGCAGAATACATTCTGGTTCTTAAAATTAAGCAACTGTTACCAACATCTGAGCTTCCACACTGAGCTATTGAAAGGGCATTTTCATATCACAAGTGGAGGCTTCCTGCTGGGCCATGGGTGGAGCAGAGCTGGAATAAGGGGAGGCAGACCCAGCTGAAACCCTTCTCAGCCCCACACAGCCCTCCCCCACCTCCCAGATTTGCTGGGCCTGTCATTTGAGGCTAAGTCATATAGACAAATTCAAAGTTCACTCTGGGACATGAGCAAGGGAAGACAACAAAACACACATTCTTCTCTCTGAAATCTTTTCCCAGGCTCTGGGATATTGCCTGGCACTCTGTAGGCACCCAATAACGTTTGTTAAATGCTTGAAAGAAACAAACTATGGGGTAGGGGGAGATAAAAGAGAGAGAAAGAAGGAGGGAAGAAGAAAAAAGAAAAAAATGGGAGGAAGGAAAGATTCTGAAGTTATTTTAAATAAATGCTCATTTATATATTTATATATGCTGCCTTACAGTAAATTAACAATAAATAAAATTGAGTGCTTACTATGTGACCAGAACTGTGCTAAACTGCATTATACACATTATTTCAAATCTCATGATGACACCATGAAGCAAGAAGCATTATTAACCCCATTTAAAGGTAAGGAAACTGTGGTTAAAGAGATCAAGTCACTTTGCCCATAGTGCCAAAAATAAGTGTGGGGCCAGGATCTGAATGCAGGTCTATCTGATGAGAGTCTGATCTCTTTCTTTCCCTTGACAATTTATCCTCAGGGATCCTGCACACTTTATGTCTCTTCATTTTTTTAAGGGTGAAAACCAATGCAGGTGAGAAATAAAATCCTAACCCTCCCAACCAACTGAATGGACCCCCCTTTTGGCCAAGGAGACCACAAAGAAACTTACAAACTGAGCTCTTGGCCATGACAGGGTGGGAGAGGAGGTCAGACAGGCCTTGCTGTGCCCCCTCCCTCACTAAACACCATTAGACTTTCTTTCCCAGAGTTCAGCTGAAACCAGCCCTTTCAAAAGATTTGCTCCACTGCTGATTTCCACCAACCACCTGATGCTGTGGCTGGACTCCTCGCCATTTTTGTGGTTTTGGCACAGCAACTGACCAGCATTCCTTCCTGATAAGAGACCACTGACCACAGACTGATTCTGGCCAGTCCATGGAGGCTGCACACAGGGACACTTCTGTGTCCTCCGTTTTCCCTTTTGACTTATGGAGCCTAAATTCACTGCATTTAAATGTTAAGTCTCCAACCCAAAGTGAACATGGGACATATGTAACATGCATGTTTGCTTACTATGCATGCACACCCCTTCATGAATATTCACAGTTCTTCCTATAACCTGTTGAATATGTATACTTAGCCAACCTGTTCAGTGTAAATTCCTGTCTTAGCCTTCCTCCTTCCAAGTGCTTGCTTTTGTTTTTTGCTGGAGGCTATGCTTCCCAGCCTGCAGGTGGCGAGCCTGCAGCTGCAACCTTTTATAAGAAATTAAGCTCTCCTTTCCCGATGTATAGATCTCATGACTTTAAGTCAACACAGGTCATGGGCACACAGGTGTAAGCTTTAGCATTAAGCAATCACATGGCTCATAGAGTTCAGCCACCAGAACCCAGGGGTTGCCATTCATAGGTTAGGTAGGCTGAGGCAGAGGCAGGCTGCTCTTTCATGTCAGAAGTGAGGGAATAGCACCCTAAGTAGAAGAGACAGTATTGCAGGTGTTAAGGCAGGAAAGAACATTCCAGAAACTGAAAGGCTCATTATGGTTCCATTGACAGTAATGAGATCAGAAGGAGTCAAGAGACACCATGATAAAGATTTTATCCTGAATGCATCAGGAGGCCCCCGAGGGGTTTTAAGCAGATGAGGGATATGGCACCATTTATGTTTTTAAAAGAATATTCTAGCTACGGTGTGAACATGGACCGGAGCCACTAGGAGGGAACGTGTGCAGATGCCCAGGGAAAACCCCTTGACCAATCACTCAACGAGCCTTCTGACTTAGGCTTGGTGCCAGGGGACAAAATGATTCCTCTGATCGTTTGGGGGAATCAAAATGGTCCCCAAAGGGGACCACCAAGGGACACCAAAATGATTCCAGCTTATCTCCTCTGTCTTCCAAGAATGCTTGGTCTGGAGAAGCAAAAACTAAACAGAGTAGTCATGCTATAATAGGGGCAATGGTGGCAGAAGGACCAGGAGGGGATCACAGGATGCTCCCCTGAGGTAGAAAGGTTTCCTTGACCAGGATCTTCAAGGGTGAATAGGAACTCTACAGGCAAATATGGAGGGAAAGGTACTCCAGGCAGAGGGACAGTGTGGAGAAAAGCACAGAGGCATGGAGCAATGCGCTACACTTAGGAAACCTGATAAGGTTCTGCATGGTGGGAGCACAGGATTGGGTGGGACTCGGGAAAAGGCAGTGGGGAGGAGGGCAGGGGCTAAGGCCCAGTACAGGTCCAGAAAGACCTTGTGCATCATCTTACAGGAACAGTACTTTCCCTCAGTGAATGGGTAGCCATGGAAAATGATTGAGCAGGAAGATTTTGCTTTTTAAATGATACTCAAGGGGAGGACCTAGAAGGGAGAAGCGCTGAGGGTCCAATAGAAGAGAGAAGCATACGCTGTCAATCTCTAACGCAGGTGACCTGGGATCCGCTGCCAGTACAATCCCATCCTGAGCAGCTGCCCCCAGTCCCTGGCTTCTCACAAAGGCCCACACACCTGCTGAGCACGCTCAGCTTGAAACAGCCCTCTCAGTCCCAAGAACCAGAAACCAGAGAAACCCCAGAAGAGGGAGGGTCATGGGAAACCAAAAAGAAACTGTGGTGCAATCCAACCTTAGAAGAAATCAGAGAATCCTGTGTCACTTCCACTCCATAACCCCTTCCCAGGGGAGCTCTACTGTTGGCAGAGCCCCTCCAGGCACCTGCCCCGGGACCCCATCCACATCCCTGGGGTTGTCCTGCCTACTGACCCCTCCCCTTGCTTCCCCACATCCTCTTTACCAAGCTCTGTGCGTCAGAGTGGGAAGAATACACTTTTACCCAGAAGACCAATGGCCTGGATTCCCAAGTTCCAGCTCCCACACTTATTAACTACTCGCCATCCGTGGGCCTTAGTTTCCCCATTTACAGTCCTGCTCCCTCATAGAGAACAGATGGAAATAGGCTTTGTAGAATAAAGAGCACCATCAAAGTGGAAGAAATCCTCTCCCCACCTCAGAAAGTATTTAAATCAACCTGATTTTAAATCAACTGCCTGATGCAGAGATGACCGTTTCCTTCAGTCCACAGCGTGGGTGCTTTGTAAGGACTGCTGTTGTAGGGACCATGGAAGTTTCCAGAAGAGCGGTTCTGAAGCTTAGGGCTCACCAGAGTTTCTCTGATGACTCCCTTTCAATTCACTGTCAACACCACTGAAGCCTCCCAAGGGGAAAGGATAGGCCAGGGTCACTTCAACCAGGTCCCCTGGAACATAAGTGGCTATCTCTGTTTCCAATGCCAAGGACCCACCTGTATAGACAGCCCTGCCCTCCTGAGACAGAGATGGGCACAGTGAGGTGGACTGTCCCGCAAAGAGAAGGAAACAGTCAGGCATTATTTGCCCCTCAGGGTCTGGCAGGGCTAAGCCTGAGTGGGCAGAGGAGTGGGCTGGAGGCTCTGGCAGACTGGGGGGCAGTCCCTGTGGTGTGGAAGGGAGCAGGGAGTTCTCTGTGGCAGCTGGACTTACAATGAAGACATTGTTCTCTCCCTGCAATACATCTGTTCCCCTAAGGATGGAGGCCAGAGAAAGAGAACTGAGTCAGGGAGCATCTGCCAAGACCAGGGAAAAAGCTAGAGTGCCCATCTAGAGGAAGCGAAGTGTTGAATGCCCCCATGGCAGCCCACCCTCAGCCACCTGACAAAGGTTAGAGACACAGAGGAAAATACTGACTCCCTTCCTCCACCACACCCCGTTCTCTCTGATCCTTTCTCTTATTTCAGTCAGTAATGCCATGCTGTGCTTTGTGCTTTGCCTGCTTTTGTGATTTTAACCTTTTACTATCTAAGCATTTCTTTTACTCACTTCCCTAAGTACCTTTTTGTAACGTATTATGTTGACCTTTGAAATCAGAAAATTCATTGCTGGTGAGTTTGCACTGAAAGCTGCATCGACTCATTACGTCAGTGATGAATCTACCTTCTGCAAAGGAATCTGATGACGTGGATCAAGAAGAATAAAAACGTCTTTCCCTTTCTGCCGAAACTCGCTCATTTGAGCATAATTACTACATGCTGGTACTCACATATCTCATGAAGTACGATATAATACAAATCAAGTTTACAGATGAGAAAACACTAGCTCAGTGACTTTAAGGAAGTTGCCCAAGATCACACAGGTAGTAGATCAGTGGTCAATCTCAAGCCTTCTGACTCTAAAGCCAGTTCTCCTTCCACAGTGCCAGCCTTTTCAGGTTACCCCATAATCCTACTCCTGGGGATTCATGCTGAGAAATTTTACTTGCTAATTTTAAAATCAAAACTAAAAAAGTGTTCGCTGTGTTGTTCATTGTGATTCCAAAAACTGGAAGCAAGCTAAATATCAATTATAAAGGAAAAATGAAGCAAACTGTGACAATATTATTCAACAACAAAAATTAAAATATTATAGACTGTAGCAACATAGAAGGTTTTCATGACTGAAAAATGGGTATATATATTATGAACATAACTGTGTTAAATTATGTAAATCACAGTAGGCAAGACACCAGGCAAAATGAAAATACTATTTACAGGGAAGTAGAATTCTAGATACATTTTTTACAAATTTTTTTAATACCATTTTGATATCTTAACGACGTCAAACAAGTAAGTTTATAATATCCCTGCTGGTTTTTCAGTGCCAGATGTGGGTGCTTTCCCAAATGATCTGTTCTATCTGCCGATTCAAGGAAATTTAATTTCACTCTACAGAAATAAACATACAATGTCTTTCTTTAGGATTTTTAATTCTATATTTTATATGGGATCTTTTATAATTTTTCACTTCCTCTTTTGGTACCTTAAATTACATAAAAAATCAAGCCAATATCTGTCATTGCTCCTTGACTTTGGCAGCAATGATTGCACCATAACAACAACATGTCATTCACCCACTCTGTGGAGAGAAGAAAAGACAACAGAAGGCAAGAGGCATGCTGAAACGGAGCTCTCCGTGGCTCCAGCAGCAGCCGGGGGACGTGGCAGGAAAGGTGCCTGCTCTGCACAGGGCTGCCTCTCCGCACCTCCACTGCTCCCAGTGTATGAGGATTTTGAGATTTCCAGTGTTTTCATCAGGGACTGGTCACAGGGAGCTGGAATCCCCTTAAATGTTTGGGTCATGTGAGACTTGATCTTAAGATTCCTGGAGATATCTGCAACACCCCAAAAGCACAGGAAGCTCAGGCGGGCTTTGTGAGACTCAGGAAGCCAGTGATCATCTCTTTCTTTCTCCCCCACTCTCTCTCACAGGGTACACAGCCCCGGCCACTCGCCGAGATCCTGACATTGGCAGTCTCCTGGCTTCCTCAGGCCAGCCTCTTCCCCACCCCTGCCTCGCCCCTCAGAAGGCATCAGGTTCTGTCACCATAAATGGGGGTCTGAGTCTGCCGAGAACAATGATTTAGCACAAAGAGTGCTCAGTGCAAAGTCCAAAGTGGAGGTGGGTGGATCAAGGAGGCTAATCCAAGAACACCCATTCTGTCCAAAGAAGCCAAGATCAGACTGCATAAAAAGTCAGGGCTTGAGAAAATACCCAGGGCAACAATCCAGGGAAGACAGAAAGAATATTTATCCTCAAAGTAAACAGAAAAAGGAAAATATCAGTAAATTGAACAGGGTCATGGTTTCGTGGGGGGCAAGAGTCCTCAGGGTGAGCCTGTGCTGAGGCTGTGCTTTGTGGGGATCGCGGGCCAGCTCCTCCCATGTGGTGCCCACTGGCCACCTCAGGTAGCAAAAGAAATCGGGTCCAAGAGGTCATGGCAAGAAAAAGGGAACTGCCAGGCACGGTGGCTCACGCCTGTAATCCCAGCACTTTGGGAGGCCAAGGTGGGCGTATCACGAGGTCAGGAGATCTAGACCATCCTGGCTAACATGCTGAAACCCCGTCTCTACTAAAAATACAATAACTTAGCCGGGCGTGGTGGTGGGCACCTGTAGTCGCAGCTACTCGGGAGGCTGAGGCAGGAGAATGGCGTGAACCCAGGAGGCGGAGCTTGCAGTGAGCCCAGATCTCGCCACTGCACTTCCAGCCTGGGCAACAGAGCGAGACTCTGTCTCAAGAAAAAGAAAAAAGAAAAATAAAGGGAACCGTGGGTGTTTACTGGGCAGCATCAAATGAGCAAAGATAGCAGAATTGCAGGTTAGGAAACCTGACTGTCACTAATTTGCCAAGTAGCAAATTGAGTAAACCATTCTCTTCTTTGGGCCTCAGTTTCCCCATTTACAATGTGAAGAGATTGGACTGAAGAACCTTCCAGCAATGGCCCTTGAAGCAGTGGTGTGCTCAAGTAATTTTTACTGGCTTGTGAAAACCAATTGTTAAATTGGGGGGAATTTTGTGAGGCTGGAGTTAAGCACATCCATTAGAAAAAATAAATATAAATATGCATTTTAAAATTAAAAACTAGATGTAAACATACATTTACAATTAAATACATTACACCAAAAACCAACAGTAAATGTGCTCAAATTCCTTACTTCCTAATTATTTTACTACGGTTCACTATTATCTATGCCAGGGGTCAGTGAAATTTTCTGTAAAGGGACAGGTAATATTTTAGGCTTTGAGGGACACAGACAATCTCTGTCACACTGTTGTGTGTTTTTTTAACCTTTTTAAAATATAAAAACCAATCTTAGCTCACGGGCTGCACAAAAACAAGCCACAGGTCAGATCTGACCTACAGGCTGTAATTTGCCAACCGCTGATCTCTGCCTGAAGGTTATTTACATGCATTTCACCTGTACTACGGAAGCCCTGTATAATTGTGTGCTGTTTGGAATCTTTCCCCAACTGTGTGTTGGGATATCGTGTTAGTAGCTTAAAGTCGGCCGTGGTGGGAGTCTTCACACAATGGAAATGGGCAAACACTGCAAAAGCAGGTGCTCTTTCCTGAAGGGTCAGTTATTACAACATTTACCAGCCCTCCACTGTCCCAAAGTCACAATAGAGAGAATCTTAGAAGCAGAAAGTGCTTTCTTTCCCAGCTCACCCAGGAAGCCCAGGCAGGACAGCAGAATGGAAAGGGAAACTCTAGGCCATGGAGTCAGAGGAAGAGCAAGACTGAGGGACACCCTACCCTACACACCTAGACACAGCCTGATCCACAGGTGATCCTTTGTGACCACCTCACATTTCAGGTTCACTTTTTTATGCCCGAAGTTTATGCTATTTTTCTCTTCTGTCACTTTGGAAAGGCTGTTTCTATCTTCGCTGCTGCCCTCGGTAGTAACAGAGCAGCTGAGGTCTGCTCAGAAGTCGCCAGGGACAGACACTGTACAAAGGGGTCACAGCTGCAAGGGAGACGAAGGGAAAGGCAGCCCTGTGTGGAGCAGCCACATCTGCTATTCTGGGGTGGAGTGAGTTGGGGCTTCTCCTAAAATAGAACAATAACGTGCAGGTCTAGACTAAGCAGCAATTTTGGTTTTAGGGAAAGCTGATACCCAGCAGGATGAGAATAACTCTGAGAAAGTTTGTTTTCAGCAATTTGGGCTCAATTAGGCAGGAAAAGTGCCTGGTAAGAAACACAGATACAACCAAAACCAGGAGGAGGCCTTTGGGGCATTTACGAGGGGACCCTCCCAGGAATTCCCAGACAGCAAGCAGCAGCAATGTTGCCTCTGCTGCTGAAGAAACGAGTCGCAGCCTTAACTCCGGTGGAAGAAGTGGTCTCTGTGCCCTATCCCTCTCCTGGACCAAAGGAAAATCCACCCCGGACACATACACTGCCTCTCACCCGCCCGCTCTGCTTCTCCCAGCTGACCGTCGTTAGGAAAACAGACGGAAACCAGGAAGAAGTCGTACTGTTCCCAATCCCCAGTTGTCTAATCCAAACAACACAAAATACTGGGGAAGGAGGGGACAAGAGAGCAAGGTTTGGTGGGGGAGAGAGATGCACACAGAAGTGGTTATGGACAGCTGCTTAGGAAAAGGGATCCTTTAACTAACCCTCGAAGGAATAAGCAAAGAATGAAAGGAAAGGGCATTTAAGGAGCACAAAAATGCTAGATGTGGCTGTTACACGTCAAGGCATTCTAACTCATTAGACATCAGAGAAATTCAAGTTAAGAACCACAGTGAGAGGCAAGAAGCCACAAAAGAACATTACTTCCCTTCTATCAACAAGAAAAAAAGCCAGACAATAGACAGTCCTAACTTCCTTTAACCCATCAGAGAGCCGAGATTACAAGGCAATCAGGAGAACTGAATTCCAGAGTGACAAGCCCCTCCATAGAGACAGAATATACATACTCTCCCACCTTTGCCAGAGCCTCTTTGGAGAAAGCGGTGGCTGCATATGAAAGAAGAAGAGCTAACACTGTAACAAGTTCTTTTTTTAAAATTGATACATAATTATTGTTCATATTTCTGGGGTACTTGTGATATTCTGAATACACATATACAACATGATCAAACCAGGGTAATTCGAATACCCATCACCTCAAACAGTTGTCATTTCTTTGTGTTGAGAACATTCAAAATCTTCTCTTCCAGCTATTTTGAAATATACAATAAATTATTCATTATAACAGATCTGAAAAGCCCAGTGTGGGTGGGTGTGACAATTGAGAATCCCCGGGAGCCCAGACACAGGAGATCATACTCCCAGCTCTTTTCCACAACCCCTACCAGGTGCTCAGAAGAAAGACTGGGCCAGGCAGAAGAGCCAAGAGAGCCCTTGCTGGCCCATAGGCATGAAACCCCACCCATTTTCCAGAACTTTTCCTTATAAGAACCCAAAGCCTTAAGGGTAGAAGCAGGCTACCCTCCCACTCCCAAGGCCTAAGCAAAGACCCACTGTCTGGAGAAGGGATAGAAACTAAGCCACCTGCCCCTGGATAAGGGATAGAAACCAGGCCACCTGACCCTGGAGGAGAAGGAGAAAATCTCTCTGCTCTATCATGAGCCTTACACCAAGTAACAAGCCACAGCCATTTCCTGTGGGGGGAGGAGGAGAAACTCCCCCACGACTGGTCTTAGAAAAGGAGCTATTGCTCCATACTCCACCAGAATGGCTAAAATTAGTAAAACTGATGATGCCAAGGATTGGCAAGGACATAGAGCAACAGGAACTCTCGTATGCTTCCGGTAGCAGTTTGAATTTGTGCAACCACTTGGGAAAACTATTTGGCAGTACCTACTAACTAAAGTGAAGCATGTGCATATCCCAGGACCCAGCAATTCCACTTCTAGGTATATATCCAAGTGAAATGAGTACACATGAGGCCCAAAAGACTTACAAAAGAAGATTCGTGGCAGAACTACTTGAAATAGCTCCAAACTGTAAACAACATAATAATCAACAGTATTATGTATAAATTGTATAATTATATTCTCTTCACACAATGTAATAACTACTATACAGCAATGATAATAGACAAACTACTGCTACCTGCAACATGAGTAAATCTAGCCAACATGTTGAACAAAAGAATCCAGTTGAAAAAGAATCCATGAACTCACTTATATGAAGTTCAAAAACAGGCAAAAGTAACATATGATGATGAAAATCAGACAGCAACTATCCTTTGGAGGGTAGTTACTGGAAAGGGGGAGGTGGAGGATTCTAGGGTCTTGGCAATGTCCTACTTCTTGATCTGGCCCACATCGTGAAAATTCATCAAGCTGTACCTTCATTATTTGAGTTTTTTTACTTCAATGTTATACTTCAAATAAAAAGAACAGGTTACTTTAAAGAGAAGTGCATAGTACGATGAGAAACAAATAAGTCAGCCAAGCCAAAGTCATGAGAAGACAAAAGACAGGTAGGGTAGCTAGAATATGGAAGGACCTCTTGAGTCCCAGACCAAGAGGTTTAGCCTTTGTTCCACTGGCAAAAAAGTGCCACCAAAGGCTTTTTAAAAAATAAGTATAGATTCATACGCAGTTGTAAGAAATAATACAGAAAAATCCTTCATCCAGTCTGCCACAATGTTGATATCTTACAGTACAGTATTAGAGCCATAAAATTGTCATTGATGCAAACCACCCACCTTATGCAAATTCTACCAGTTTTACATGCACTCACATGTGTGTGCGTGTTCAGTTCTATGCAATTTTATCACAGGTGTAGATTCCTATGACTGCCACCACAGTCAAGATACAGAATAGTTCCATCTCAGGGATCCCCAGTGCTACCACCCTTTTATAGAACCATTAAACAAAGAGTGGTACATCTAAACATGGAATACTACTCAGCAATAAAAGGGAATCAACTATTAATACATGCAACAACTCCAACGGATCTCAAGGACGTTATGTTGAGTGAAAGCCAATCTCAAAGGATTACGTAATGTATCATTCCATTTATATGCCATTCTTGAAATGACAAAATTATAGTTACAAAACAGATGAGTAGTTACCAGAGCTTAGGGAAGGGAGAAGGGAGGGAAGTAGCTATGGCAGATGAGGGACATGAATAACACAAACCAGAGAATCCAGCTTATTCCAAGTGCAACGCTGCTTTCCCAAAACTTCAATCCTCACCCTTCAACCTTACTACCCTACCGCATCCCACTGCCACCCCTAGCAGCTGCCTCTTGCTGCTTTAATATCTAGTAAATTAGCAATGGCTTGGGCCTTAATGAAAGGACCCTATTGATAATGGACCCTCCCTACTGGCATCCCAATAGGGTGTCATCTGTCCAGTGGAAAAGGGAGCTTGCCCCTGCATTCTGTGACTCCTTTTCATTCTCTTGAAGACCTCCTGGAAGAGCTGAGAGCCCTTTGACATACTTAATGCATGAGCTGTCTTGTGAGCTTGGGAGGATTACTTGGCTTTTTTTTTTTTTTTCTCTTGCTTCTGTTTCTTCCCTAGATGTAATTCTATTAAACAGCTTTAAAAATAAATATGTTGCTGTGGGAGGTTGAGTGAGGGGGTAGTTAGTATGACATTTCTGTTATTTTGAAATTAGACCCATGGGAAGCCTCCAGGCACACAGTAAAGTCTGACATAATCCACTTACAAAGGAGATTAAGGATGCTGATGAGCTCACACAGGCAACTCCCTGATGTACTCACGGATGGTACAACTGAGCCCCAGGAGCCAAATAAGAAGAGAAGGTGCATTTCACAAATGCACACCAGGGAGATAAATCCATGCCCTGTAGAGAGGTGCACCATGCCTCAGCAACAACCAGTCCCTGAATAAAACTTCAAATGGACTGAGAGGCTGTGAGCCAGACCCTGCAGTTCTGGCTGCACATACATCTCTGTAGAATGGAGACTACCTTTGAGATGGGGGGAAGGGCTTCTCAGATGAGGGACATTTGAGCTGAGCCGAAAGAATGAGTCACTTGCCAGGCAGTAGTTCGGAGTGGGGCGTGGTATTCCACACAAGGGGAACAGCATGAGAAAAGGGGCTGGCTGGCATGGGGCAGGGAGACTTGGAGCAGTCTGGTGTGACTGGGAAGTACGACATGCTGGGGGAAGTAGGGGAAATTGAAATCAGTGGAGGGCTTGCCTGTTATGAAGAATTCGGCCTTTAAGCATGAGCAGTTTTGAAAGCACCGGTGTGACATGGGATTTTAGAAAGATGACTCAAGTGGCCCTGTGCGAGCAGATACATTGCAGAGGCGAGCCTCTGGTCTGAGAGAGGTGAGGAGCCCCCTGCCTCCTCTCATCCTCCTCATTAATGAGAATGAGACAAAGCTCCAGCTTCCTGGGAGATTTACATGTTAAGGTGGTTTGGCGGGAAGTGCTGCCTTCTCGTGTTAAGACGGGACTTGTCAGAACAAGCACCTGGCTTTGGCTGATGAAAAAAATAAGCAAGCACAGTTTTAATTGCACACAGTTTTAAGAGGGGTGGGGGCTCCCAGCTTGAGGCTGCAAGATGCAGGCCTTCCTGAGTCTATACAGTGAACCATCAGTGGGCCACAAGGGTGCCTTGAGAAAGAGCCAGTGCTGAGCCCAGTGCTGGGTAGTCGGGATGTCTGGCTTATCCAACAGAGGGGAAGCAGCCTGATGGTGTCTATATGGAGGACTGTCTAAGGAGCCTCCTGGAAAGGGATATATCCTAAGGGAAGGAAGAGCCTATTAGGCTCTAAGGGTGGGATACAATCTCTTAATTCTGAGTTCAGGGAGGTATCTGCCTATCCAATTTGTCTCTTGACTCAGCTTCCATTGGGTTCATGTCAGAGTGCCCAGTGGAGCAAGAGGCTATAAGTAAAAACAGAAACACCTTGGGACTGGGGCAGCCCTCCTTTGGGGACCCTCTAACAGAATGTGGCAAAGATGAAGGAAACAGTCTTCCTCCACACACCTGACACCTGAGGGCTTGGGATGGCAACGGTAAGGAACTTCAGGAGAATTACAGCCATTTACAGACCAGCACAGAGCAGAACAGCATTTCAGCCATACCTACTGTCGTAGTCTGTTCAGGCTACTATAACAAAAATGCCATGAGCCAGGTGGCTTATAAATAACAATTATTTCTCACAGCTCTGGAGGTTGGGAAGTCCAAGATCAAGGTGCCCGCAGAGTCAATGTCTGGTGAGGGCCTGTTTGCTTCCTCATAGACAGCACCTTCTGTGTTCTTACATGGTAGAAGGGGTGAGGGTCTCTCTAGAGCCTCTTTTATAAGGGCACTAATACCATTCATGAGGACTCCCTTCTCATGACTAATCACCTCCCAAAGGCCCCAGCCCCTAATACTTTCACCTTGGGAGTTAGGATTGCAACCTATGAATTTGAGAGTGGGGCACAAACAGTCCACAGCACCTGCCCTACAGCAGCAAAGCCCACCAGCGAGACAGCCACACCCTGCAATCCTCTATGGTGGCCTGGTATGGACATGGGAACAGCAGACACACTCTGAGCTCATGGGAAACATGCCTTAAAGAGTTGCTGGGGGCCCAGCTAAAACCTCTGCATGAGCGGTCAGGGCCAAGGATTTGTGTCACATGCTCAGTGCAAAGGCAGCACTGTCTCCTGAAGTTCTCATTTGTCAAGTTCTGAACGACTGTTGTCAATAGAATGAAATACCAATAATCTTGAGACAGTCAAATGTTAAAGCCAAATTAGAATTTCAGTAAAGCAGGCAAAATACTTTCAAGACTGCACCCTCTACCACAATTTGACATTATCTCCTTTGAGCATAATAAGCCAGAGTGGCAGATATTTGTGTGATGATTCTCCCAGTGTTCCTACTGTTCCCTGTTATGTAAATGCTTCCAAATGCCTCTCTTATTTACCTACATCCCTTCTTAGGAACCAATCTGGCCTATATGCAAACATTTAGATAATTTGGGATTTTCAAGCACATGGTCATGATTCATCTTAGAATAACAAGTGTCAAGACCAAGGCCTTGGACATGATAGCAGAAGAGATTTTGTTTAACGGGTTGCCATGATGGGGGAAGATCAAGAGACTGAAAGCCATCTAGAAGTGATTGTCATCTGAGCTATTATAAAGTCTGTGAATATATCCAATATCCCAATCCATCCTCAACTAAGATAGGCCCTATATAAGATAGACCATGTGACCAATAAAATATCCTAAGACTTTCTGCTAAGACTCTCTCCTCCACGTTACTTTGATTATAACTGCAATTCCAAGACCATCCATCAATAAGCTGGGCCTTTGGGATCCCAAAGTGATGCTTCCCTTCCAGTCCCACACTGAAAACTATGCCACAAACACAAAACCCAAATACTGCTGGGCTAAATCAATAGACTGGTACAAATTGGCCTTTTTTCTTTTCCTCAAACATGCTAAGTTCTTCCCCTTGCCTTCTCATATTGTTCTTTTTTACTGGAACACTCTGAACCCAGATCGTTGCACAGCCACCAATTTAGCATTCAAGATCACTTCAAAAGTCACCTCCTCAAAGCACAGAGCTGCCTCTAGAGGATTGACAATGTCCCATTTCTTGATATGGGGGATGGTTATGGGTGTGTTCACTTGGCAAAAATTCTTCAAGTTATACATTTATGACTTGTGCACTTTTTTTATATGTGATATACTTCAGTGAAAAGTTTCTTTTACAAAATTAGTCACCTCATCAGAGAAGGCTTCCCTGACCACCACATGCTCCCCACCCTCGTCAGATGCATTCTAACCAGAGCAACTCCATCTTGAATAGGGGCTGGGTAAAATGAGGCTGAGAACTACTGGGCTGCATTCCCAGGAGGTTAGGCATTCTTAGTCATAGAATGGGATAGCAAGTTGGCAGGACT
Organism: Homo sapiens; assembly: GCF_000001405.40. NCBI lineage: Eukaryota > Metazoa > Chordata > Mammalia > Primates > Hominidae > Homo > Homo sapiens. The sequence continues at coordinate 108,790,392 of NC_000009.12, forward strand.
GGTATCACAAGACTCAGGTCACAAAGACCCTGCTGATAAAACAGGATACAGGAAAAAAAAAAAAAAAAAAAAAAAAAAAAGCCAGTCCAAACCCACAAAAATCCAGATGGCAATGAAAGTGAACTCTGGTCATTCTCACTGCTCATTATACACTAATTATAATGCATTAGCATCCTAAAAGACACTCCCACCAGCACCATGACCATTTACAAATGCTGTGGCAACATTAAGAAGTTACCCCATATAGTCTAAGAAGGGGAGGACCCTCACTTCTAGAAAATCTCTGTCCCTTTCCCAGAAAACTCATGAATAATCTACCCCTTGTTTAACATATAAGAAATATCTATAAGTGTATTCAGTCAAGCAGTCCATGCCACTGCTATACCTATGGAGTAGCCATTCTTTAAGAAAGTGAAGCTTTCTTAATAAACTTGCTTTCGCTTTACTCTATGGGCTTGCCCCAAATTCATTCTTTCAAGAGGTCCAAGAATGTTCTCTTGGGATCTGGATCAGGACTCCTTTCCGGTAACACTCTCACTCTCATGTTGGCTTTATGTATTTTCTTCATGGTGTTATAACTATATGATCTTGTCTATGTCTGTGTTTATTTATTTTCTGTCTCCTCTAGAATTTAAGCACCAAGAGACAACAAGGGCAGTACCCATCTTGTTGCATGCTGTATCCCTAGTGTCTATAACAGTGCCTGACAAAGAAGAGTTAACCAGGAAAGAGTGCACAAATGAATGGCAACTTTTACCCCAGTCTTGTCCTGAATTTTCTGCATAGTTAGAATGTCTCTGAATGAAGGATGATGAGGTCTCCTTTTGGAGGTCACTTAAGCCAGGGATTCTCAAGGTCTTTGAGGCCACAATACATTCTGGTCAGTGAAAGATCATACATCTCTTTTATTCCTGGTACAGCAACACACACTCTGCCCTGGAGTCCCTCGGTCCTGCATGTGTGACCAGCTGGGTGGGTGTGCTGGCTGTGTGACCTCCCTGAGCCTTTATTCTTTATGTATGAAGTGGTAAAAACAGTCCCTTATCTTAGTGGTGCTTTTAAAAATTAAATGAGAAAACAAATATAAAACTACTTCTAAAATAATTTAAGTGGAATATAAGATGCTTTTAAATGGACTTATTATTTTAAGAATAATTCAAGGAATAGCTTTGCATTTAGTAGAACTCATTTACTTTTGGATAGTATTAAGAATGTGATGTTGTTTGGCTGTGTCCCCACCCAAATCTCAACTTGAATTCCCACGTGTTGTGGGAGGGAGCCAGTGGGAGGTAACTGAATCATGGGGGCAGGTCTTTCCCATGGTGTTCTGGTGATAGTAAGTCTCACAAGATTTGATGGTTATGAGAAGGGGGAGTTTTCCTGCACAAGCCCTTTTTGCCTGCTGCCATCCATGTAAAATGTGACTTGTTTCTCCTTGCCTTCCACCATGATTGTGAGGCTTCCCCAGCCACATGGAATTGTAAGTCCATTATAAACTTCTTTTGTAAATTGCCCAGTCTCAAGTATGTCTTTATCAGCAGGGTGAAAATGACCTAATACAGAATGAATGAAAACAAAAAGATTTCCTTCCTTCTCTGCCTAAGAAAAAAGATGCACTTGTGTGTTTATCAAAAAAACAAACAGCAGGTGACTGCAAGGGGACCCAGAAGAACTTTCTAGGTACTAGTAATGTTCTGTTTCTTAATCTGAGTGCTAATTACATAGGTGGGTTCCATTTGTGAAAATTCAAGCTATATACTTGCAGTCTTTTTGTTTTTCTGTATGTATATTTTACTTTAAGAGCTTTTCAAATATATGGCAAGCCTAGCTGATACAGTGGTAGAGGCAGGAGGCAGAAAAATTCTAGGCAGACAGGGTCAGGTCCATGGCAAAACCCCAACTTTGAGCTGAAAAGCCTGAAACCCACAGCCCAAAATGAGAACTTCCATCCCTGTGCACCCTCTCTCTCCTGATTGGTTCTTTCTGAATAATGTCTTTTTACCAATCAAATGTTGCCTTTTCCAAAACTACCTACAGCCCACCCCACCCCAATCCTGTGCCTATAAAGATCCCATATGCAGCTGGCAGAGAGAAGCAGCTGGACATCAGGTAGAGGCAACTTTGAGACAGTGGCTGGGTGAGGCAACCTGACTTCAGAAGAGAGAGGCAGAGAGATGGCTTGACTTCAGGGGAGAGAGACCTTCCCTTCCCATCCCCTTTCCAGCTCCCTTCTCTACTGACAGCCACTTTCATCACTCAATAAAATTCTCCATATTCGACATCCTTCAATTCATCCTCATTCCTCTTGGGCACCAGTCAAGAATTCAGGATGTACCAGGTATGAGTACCCAAAAATGCTGTAATATTGGCCCTTCACCCTCACTGGCAGAAGGCAGCCACCCCATGCAACGAGGCAAAGGGTCCACTGAGCTGGTAACACACTGCTGTCTGTGGACAGCAGAGCTGAGAGAGCACTGTAACACGCCCTCTGGGGCCTTGGGCTTGCAGGCACCCCACCTGAATGCTGCTGTGGGGCCCACACAGAGTTTACTCCTGTCAACACTGAAGCAGCCAGTTCCTGCACTTGCTTGCTCTGGTTCCCACACTCACTTGCCTGCTTACTCCCTCTGGCAAGGAGCAGAGCCCAGTGGACCCAAGTGAACCAAGTTCACTCCTGCTAGAGCCAAAGTGGCCGGTTCCTGCGTTTGTTGGGTCACATGCTCCCTCCCGCAAGAAGTTGAACAGGGCAGGCTGAGTAAATGATGCACCCCTGTCACGAGTCCCACAAAGGGGTCAAGAAAATATCTTGCATCATCTGGGGGCTCATCTGGGATATGTCAGAAGGGTGAGTAAATGCAGATCTGTCGGATCTGTCTCTTCTTGCCCTCAAACTTTCCTCTGAAGGCAAATGACCCACCAAACCTCTGAGTGGCCAGTTAAGGGCAAATGGTAGAGCTGCAGAGGACAGAACGTGACCCTACCACCTCTCTTTCTTTTGGGTGAAAGGAATGTTGGCTGTTTCCTTTCACAGAGGTCTAGCCATCGCGTGAGACCAGGATAAGGTCCTGGGGCAACTGAAAGCATCTGGCTGAGGCCATGCCCCATTGTTGCCAGAAGACCCCTAGACTTGACCCTGTCCCCAACTGCCCGTTAGGGTGTCAGCCATGACCCCCAGACTTTTCTGTGCTATTTTTACTTCCTTCTTTCATGGCTCCTATCTCTTCTTTTATAATGTTAAGGGTGTTGCTGCAAATTGCAGAAACGTTTAGGTGGAATGAGCGTTTGGCCCAACCATCAGATATGCAATTCAGAACAATGTGATTTCCATCTGTTCTTAGAGGTTCCATCCCCACTCCCACCACAACAGCTGCAGGTACACAGTGGCTCCCCTCCCCGCTCCCAGCTGGGGTGCTTGGATGTGTCTGTAGCATGCATGTGCCACGCCCAGTGGCCACACAGGGTGGGAGAGAACCATGGCTGTCACCCAGATCCCAGGGCAGTTTCAGGGGCCAAGCTGGCCAGCATTTCCCACTCACCATCCCCTCCCACCATGCACCCAGAGTCTTTCCTCCCCTGGCTGAGGGGTCCAGCTTGGTCCAAACCAGAGGAAGGATACAGTCATTAAAGGAACCTATCTGCATAGAGCAAGAGGTTTTCTCCCACTTAAGCCATTTTTTTCCCTCTTTCCTTTTCTATGCAAGAGGGTTCTTTTCCCACCTCAGCACTCCGCTTATGATAGGGAAGCAGAGGAGGAGTGACCCCACTGGCTGATAACTGCAAATTTGGCAAGGCCCATCTGGGATTTAATCTAAATGAACCCATGCATCCCCTCAGACACCTTTTTGTTGCAAACTTAATTCCAAGCTTTGGGTTGAATCCCTAGAAAGGAAAGCCAGATCTGAGCAATCTAAAGCCAGGCAACAGGCACAGTATTAATGGGCAAGACTAATTCCTGGTGATTAAGCCCCCGCTTCATGGAAGGAGGCCATGCTCCATGGCATAGATGAGGCCCAGGGAACCCAAATGCTGCCGACAGTAGGGTGGATGGAGGTATAGGTGAGTGCAGATAAATCCTATTCTCTAGGCCCTCCCTGCTTTACGGGTGCAGGCCACACTGGCACCCATGGGCAGTGTCTGTCTAAGGTCACCAGGACTCAGGGATAAAAAGACAGAAGAAAAAAGAAGGACACCCTTTTTTCTCTTTTTCACACCCTGGGTTTTCACTGAAAGAGGGAAGAGAAATGAGGGGATCCTACTTCCCTGTCTTTAAGAATGGGCAACCAATCGTCTTCACCGTCCTCAGTCTATATACCTCTGGAGTGTATCCTGAATCACTGGGACTGCTTTGACCCTCAGACTCTGGAGGAAAAACACTTCATAGTCCTTTGCACAAAGGTTTGGCCAAATTATGTTCTGCAGGAAGGACTGGCTTGGCCTCAGGAAGGAACCATTCATTTTGATACCATCCTGCAGTTGGATTTTTTCTGTAAACGTGACGGCAAATTGCCTGAGGTCCCATATGCGCAGGCTTTCTTTACCTTGCAGGGTAATTCAGAAGCACAGTAGGACTGATCCTGCACTCCTGTTTTCCCATCTCAGGAGCTGCAAGAGGCAATCCCAGAGAACTAAGGAAATAAATCCCAGAGGAACCTCCAACAGGAAAGCCAGCTCCCTCTGGCCCTGCTTCTCCAGGTCCACCCTGTTCTCCCTATCCAGTTTCTCTCTCTCTCACTTGCCCCCTCCTAGAAATCCTTACCCTAGACAATTCCCAGTCTCACTCTTGCCCTTCCAACAGATGCCTGGTGAATTTGGCCCCAGTAAGGTCCAGGTCTCCTTCTCTGTACAGGACGTAAGGTAAATTAAGGGAAATCTTGGCAAGTTTTCAGATGACCCTGACAGATATATAGAAGCTTTCCATAATTTAACCCACGTATTTGAATTTTCCTGGCCTGGAAAGACATTATGTTACTTTTTTATCAAACCCTGACTAACACAGAGAAGCAGGCTGCTCTACAAGTGGCAGAGAGATTTGGGGATGAGTTTTGTACTCACATAGTATCAGGGAAGGTGACACACTTTACCCAACTGGGAGAGAAGCAGTACCATTAGATGACCCTAAATGGGATCCCAATGATGAGATGGGAGAATGGAAGAGGAAATACTTTCAGATGTACATAACAGAGGGCCTCTATAAGACTAGAACTAAGCCCCTCAATTATACCAAGCTATCCATGATAAACCAGGGATTTTATGAGAATCCCACTGCCTTCCTGGAAAGGCTAAGAGAGGCCTTGGTAAAGTACACCTACGTCCCAATTCAGTTGAGGGACAACTAATCCTAAAGGGTAAATTTATTACTCAGGCAACCCTTGGTATCAGGATGAAGCTCCAGAAAAGGCCCTGGAACCAAATAGTACTTTAGAGAACCTCCTGAAAATGGTCACCTTGGTCTTTCACAATAGGAATAGCAAGGCCCGAGAGAGAGAGGAGACATGGGAAAGAGACACAGGCTTTAATGGCCACCATGCAAGCCTACAAACTCCAGAATCCCCGAGTTGCACTCATTAACTGCTACAAATGTGGCAAGCCAGGGCACTTTAGGAAAAAATTGCCCAGGCAGCATGAGGAAGCCACCTCGACACTGTTCAATCTGCAGTGGGGACCACTGGAAGGCAGACTGTCCCCAGGGATGCTGGTCACTGGGTCTAGAGCCAATCTCCCAAATGGCCTAGCAGGATTGATGGGTCCCAGGGCTCCTCTCTCCAGCTCCAGTGGTCCAGACCACCATTACCATCCAGGAGCACTAGGGAATTCTGGAAATCGAAGGGAGGAAACTGGACCTCCTTCTGGACACTGGCGTGGGTCTCTTGGTTCTCCTCTCTAATGTGGGCCCCCCTCCTGCCTTAGCATGACCATGAGGGGTGTCTCAGGAAGGCCTTTAACCTGATACTTTTCCCAACCCCTTAGTTGTAGTTGGAGAGGCCTCTTGTTCACCCATGCCTTTCTAATAATGCCTGGAAGCCCAACTCCTCTGTTGGGCAGAGATATTCTGCCTCATATGAGGACCACCATTCTCATGGCCCCAAGACAAACTCTTTGTCTCTCCCTAGTGGAGATAGATATTAACCCAGAAGTTTGGGCGATTCAAGGGAAAATTGGCTGAGCCACAACCACCACCCTACTAGTCTTGATCTACTTTAATGGTCCCACCTCCTTTCCTATCAGAGACAATATCCCCTGAAACTAGAAGTTAGAAAAGGACTGGAAGCCATCATTGATAACTTAAGGTTTCAGGACCTCCTCAAACTCTGCAACAGCCCTTGTAATACCCCGATATTGGAGATACAAGAACCTAACAGGGAATGGAGACTAGTTCAGGACCTCTGCCTCGTTAATGAGACTGTGGTTCCAGTTCACCCAGTGGTTCCCAATCTATATACCCTGCTAGCTAAAATACCTTAGGGAACTAAATGGTGCAGTCCTGGACCTAAAGGATGCCTTCTTCTGCACACTGTTACACCCTGACTCCCAGTATTTATTTGCATTTGAGGATCCCTCTAACCAAACCACCCAGCTAACCTGGACAGTGTTACTTCAGGGATTCCGAAACAGCCCCCACTTTTTTGGGCAGGCATTGTCAAATGACCTGAGTTCCTTTATCCTCAGGTTGAAGTTTTACAATACATAGATGACATTCTCCTCTGCACTCCAACTGAGAAAAGTCTCTCAGTATGGCTCTTCTTCATTTTCTAGCTAACAGAGGATATAAGGTTTCAAAATTGAAAGCTCAGTTCTGCAGACTTCAGGGAAGTACCTAGCTCTGGTCTTGTCAGACGGGACAAGGGGGTGGGCGTTAGGTGAAAAAAGGATTAAGCCCATCTCCTCCTTTCCCTTCCCCAGAACCCTCAAGCAACTGAGGGGATTATTGGGCATTAAAGGATTCTGCAGAGTATGGATAGCTGGGTATATGAAATAGCTCTTCCCTTATATCACTTAATAAAGGAGACTCAGGGAGCTAAAACTCACTCCCTAGTTTAGGAACCAGAGGCTAGAAAGGCCTTAGACCAATTAAAACAAGCCTTGCTTAAGGCACCAGCCCTTAGTCTTCCCATAGGGAAGACATTTAATCTTTACATGTCAGAAAGGAAGGGAATGGCTCAGAGCTACTCACGCCCCGGGAGTTCTAACCCAGGCCCAAGATCCAGCCCAGTGGCCTGTAGGCTACCTAAATAAGGAGCTTGATTTGGTTGCCAAAGGATGGCTGGCCTGCCTCTGGGCAATTGCAGCAGTAGCCTTTCTGCTTGTACCTTTTGGGTACCAGAGGCTACTAAGTTAATGATGGGGAATAACTTAACCATTTACACTCCACATAATGTGGCAGGACTGCTGTCCTTTAAGGGGAGTCTCTGGCTAATGGACAACCACCTCCTCAGATATCAAGCTCTGTTATTAGAGGGATCTGCAGTTCAATTAAGAAACTGCCCCTCCCTAAATCCAGCCACCTTCCTCCAAGAGGAAGCTGGGGAGCTTGAACATGACTGCAAACAGATAGTAGTACAAACCTAACGCAGTCAAAGAAACCCCCATAAGTAGTACAAACCTATGCAGCCACAAAGGACCTCAAGGAAACCCCATTAAAGAACACAGACTGGATTCTCTTTATGGACACAAGTTCTTCTACAGAACAAGGGATCCATAAAGCAGGGTATGCAATAGTTACCTTGAATGATATTGCTGAGAGTGCATCTCTCCTTGGGCACAAGTGCTCAACTAGCCAAGGTAATTGCCCTCACGAGGGTACTTGAATTAAGCAAAGGGAAAGCAGTTAACATTTATACTGATTTTAAGTATGCTTTCCTAGTCCTCTATGCCCATGCTACTATCTGGAAAGAGAGGAACTTCCTCACAGCTAACATGTCTCCCATTAAATACTATCAGAAAATTAATAAACTATCATATTCAGTTTTCCTCCCATGGGAAGTGGCAGTAATACATTGTAAAGGCCACCAAAAAGGGATGGATAAAATAGCTTAGGGAAATAGGTTGGCAGACCAAGCAGCTAAATCAGCACCAAGAGGGCCCAGATTTCTGATTCACTTGAAGCCCCTCTGATCTGAGAGGGCTCCATAAGAGAAATAAAACCTCAGTATTCTCCTTCAGAAATAGAATGGGCCACTTCTTGAGGATATATCTTTCAGTTCTCAGGATGGCTACAATTGGAGGATGGCAAGCTTCATCTACCAGCTGCCAACCAATGGAAAGTTCCTTAAAGCCTTCAGCAGGCCTTCCACCTAGGTAAGGATAAAACCTATCAGTTGGCCCAGAGGTTGTTCTCAGGAGGAAAAAAAAAACACCTGATACAAATGGTTAAGCAGGTCGTTAATGTTTGTAAGACTTGCCTTAAAAATCATCCCCTGAATCAGTGGCTTCTTCCCCCTGGAACCCAAAGAACAAGAGGCTACCCAGGTGAAGACTGGCAAATGGATTTCACCTCTATGCCAAAGGCAAGGGGCACCCAGTATCTCCTAGTATGGAAAGATACATACCTTCACTAACTGGGTAAAAGCATTTCCATGTCAAACAGAGAAAGCCTCCGAGGTGATAAAAGTAGCAATTAATGAGATAAATTCTTGCTTTGGACTCCCTGAGTACCTCCAGAGTGATAATGGCCCCTTGCTCAAGGCAGCTGTCATCCAGGGGGTCTCAAAGGTAGTGGGCATACAGTACCATCTTCATCGTGCTTGGTGACCACAATCCTCAGGAAAGTAGAAAGGACAAATGATATTATCAAAAGGAACCTCAGGAAACTGTGTGAGGAGACTCACCTCCCCTGAACTACCCTTGTTCCCATGGCCCTACTATGTGTGAGAAACACCCCTTCAAAGCTGGGTCTGAGTCCCTTTGAAATTATGTATGGACAGCCTTTTCTCACCAATGATTTCTTGCTAGACCAAGAAACCTCTGATTTGATTAAACATATAACTTCTTTGGCCCATTTCCAACAGGAACTGAACTAGGGCAATGTCTGTTCAACCCAGGGGACCTGGTACTGGTAAGGGTAGTCCTTTCCCTTTCTCCCTCTACCAGCCCAGATTGGGAGGGACCTTACACTGTACTTCTTTCTACTCCTATGGCAGTGAGTGTCACTAGAATAGATTTTTTGATTCATTATACTCAAAGTAAAGGCCTGGGGAGCTGATGGTTCCAATTCACCCAGTGATTCCCAATCCAGAAGAGCACCCAAAGTGCTAATGTGAAGAAATTGGGGAACTCAAGCTAAAAATCACAAAAGAAGTGTTAATAATTAATTTTCCATGAATATCCTCCTTATAGTCTTGCCTATCCCTGATGTTCTTACCTTCATTCTGTTCTGTAACATGGGGTGCCTTTATCAAAGACTCCTTAATCCTGAACACCCATGGGAATATCCATTTCCCTAAACAGTTATTGCTCCCCTAAAGTGTAACTGATTTCATATAAGGTTTAATTTATTTCACCAGGGTGAAACAGCTCAGGGTGCATTATTTTTTTCAGAAGGATTAGTATATTTCACTTATTTCTGTAATCTTTGGCACTAGATTCATTCCTTTTAACTCCTTTTTGTATAATACACATATTCAATCCATGTATACTTAACCTCGTAAAACTTGTTTCTTCTTGCCTAGAGGCCATCAAGCTCCAAATGGTCATACAACCTCGGAGAATGGCTCCCTTTTGCCAGGGACCCTTAGGTAGACCTCTGAGGGAAATCTGACTGCCATTTTCCTCAAAATAACACCCCCCTGTTAGCAGGAAGTAGCTAAGATCAGTCATCATCCATATGCTAACAGCAGTTAGATGTGCCTCTTCAGAGGGGGAAATGATACAATGATAGAGGCAGGAGGCAGAGAAATTCTAGGCAGACAGGGGTGGGTCCCTGGCAAAACCCCACTTTTAAGCCAAAAAGCCTGAAACCCGCAGCCCAAAGTGAGAACTTCCACTCTTGTGTGCCCACTCTCTCCCAACTGGTTCTTTATGAATAATGTTTTAAACCAGTCAAATGTCTCCTTTTCCAAAACTACCTATGGCCTGCCCTGCCCCCATTCTGTGCCTATAAAGACCCCATATTCAGCTGGCAGAGAAAAGCAGCAGCTAGACGTCAGGAAGAAGCGACTGGACATCAGGGATAGGTGACTTTGAGATGGCAGCTGGATAAGGCAATTTGACTTCAGGAGAGAGAGGCAGAAAAGCAGCTTGACTTCAGGGCTCTACCCTGAAGGGCAGGTCTCCCAGACCTGTCCCCTTTCCAGTTCCCGTTTGCTGAGAGCCGCTTTCATCACTCAGTGAAATTCTCCACATTCACCATCCTTCAATTTAACTACATGACCTCATTCCTCTTGGGCACTGGACAAGAATTTGGAACACATCAGGTGCAGGTATCCAAACAGGCTGTCACACTGGCCCTTTGCCCTCACTGGCAGAAGGCAGCTGCTCCATGCAATGAGGCAGAGGGCCCACTGAGCTGCTGTCTGTGGATGACAGAGCTAAGACAACATTGTAACACACCCTCTGGGGCCTTGGGATTGCAGGCACCCCACCTAGATGCTGCTGCAGGGCCCACAAAGAGTTTGCTCCTGCCAGTGCCAAAGTGGCCGGTTCCTGTACTTGCTCACTCATATGTTCCTGCCTGTCTCCCATGAGGGGTTGAATAGGGCAGCCTGAGTAAATGAGGCACGCTGTTGTGAGTTCCGTGAAAGCGTTAAGAAAATATCCTGCATTACAGCTATATCTCCATAAGCCACTTACATAAAATACATGAGAAGGGTTTCCATAAGGTGTTCTTAATTGTTCTATTTTTTAATTGCATAAGCAAAAGATTGCCCTGTGGACTATAGGATTGACCCGATGAAAATGACCCATTTTGTCCATTAACAAATTCAAACTGGGCACCGTGGCTCATGCCTGTAATCCCAGCACTTTGAGAAGCCAAGATGGGAGGATCACTTGAGCCCAGGAGTTCGAGATCAGCCTGGGCAACATAGTGAGACCCTGTCTCTACAAAAAAATAAAAAAATAGCCAGTGTGGTGGCACACACCTGTAGTCCCAGCTACTCAGGAGACTGAGGTGAGAGGATCACTTGAGCCCAGGAGGTCAATGCTGCAGACAGCTGTAACTGTGCCACCGCACTCCAGCACGGGTGACAGAGTGAGATGCAAGACCCTCTCTCCAAAAAAAAAGAGAGAGAATTCTATTTATACTGCCACTGGGGAGAACCACTGAAACACTCACTTCACTAAAAAGTGCCTGATTACATTTATCTGTGTCAAAATAATTTATTAACTTTGGATCTTGCCATAATATACATGACACACGTAACAGAGTGCAGAAAAATCAAACATTTTTATTTATTTATAGGCATTGATTCTCTCATATAAAGCAACACCATCTGTTTAAAGCTCACAAGCGATTAGAACTGAAAGCATCCTATGAAAAAGCAAACTGATATTTAAAAAAAGAAGAATTGAACACAATAATATATGTGAGACTAATTAACTTGCAAATTGATCTCCCCCACAGAATGGCCAGCAGTCTATGCTTGAAATCGCCTTTGTAAAAGTTTTATCAGTGAGAAAATTATAACAGTAAGCTAAACTAACCCAACTCCCATCTTGCCTTTCCCCTAATTATTCCTGGGCTATTGGGCCAACAATGAAAGACATTTAGGCTACAGTTTAAATGATAACAGGCCTTGTTCAAAACTCAACTGCAGTTGTAAAGCTAATGGGAGGCCATCAGGGTGGGGGGAGGAGAGGAGCCTGAATCGTGGTGCATCCTGTGAAAAAGCAAAGGAGGTTGTAAGACATGCAACTTCCCCAATTACTCCTGCAAATAACACCACTATTGTAGATTGGCCTTTTGGGATATCTTTCCAGTTTTTTTTGTTGTTGTTGTTTGTTTTTCATGTCTGACACCCATATAGCTCCACCTGGACCCATGGCTCCATCCAGACCAACAACTCCACTTTTGTGGCCCCACCCAGAAGCAATTCGGATCCCAAGAGGACAGCTTCAACCCTCTATGATTTCCTCTCCATCCCAATCAAAAATTTTTGAAAAGCATTGTTTTCTTTACCCTTAATATTTTTTCAAAAAAAGACAATGGACAGTTGAAAATATGAATACTATTAATAAGTATGGGATTACAAACTGAATATATTTAAGAAATATTAGGGATGTTGAAAGTGGAAAATCTTAAACCTTATTGGTTTATTGAGCTAGTTAATGGTGTTTTTCAATTGTGACTACAATAACAAAATTAAAGAACTTATATGAAATGTTGGAGAGATAGCCTCAAAGATTGTGACTAAAAGACAAGGTATTATTTGAGACTATATTTCAGCTATTAGGTTTACGATCTTCACCTTATACCTGGTCTATCTATTCTTGGATGTGTTCAACTTTTGCATAAGCATTCAGGAAGGCGTATATGTATAAAAGTAAGGAATTGCCTACAACCTGGCCTTTTCCATAGCTGTGATAGTGCTTCACACAGTAGAACACACCCAGGAAATAGGCAAGCCAGTGCAGACCCAGGTGCAGGCAGCACCTAAACCACGCAGGTGTAGAATCAGATAGAATCATCCCCAGACACCAGGTCAAAGTGAGGCCCAAGTCAACAAACTCAAGAGGCCTTGAGAGTGGAAAGGAGAATTAGGAAGCTACTCCTAGCAGGCTGGCTACTGGGACTAAGGACATGAAATCGCCATTGCAAAATTATAACTGAGACAGTGACACAGATCTGACCTGCCCAACTCCATCTTGCTTCTAACCTCCAAGCTGTCCTTGTTCATTTCTAGGCGTAGGCTGAACTAACTTTGATAGGCACTTAGTTTATAGCTTATAGTCTGAAACAGAGATAACAGCCTTTTCCCAAAACAACACTGCCTTTGTGGGACTAATAAATTAGTCAAAAGATGAGAAATTACGGTTTAGGAGTCATGTAGCTGGAAGCTACAAGATTCTGACCCTCTCCAAATTGCTCCTGGGGATAACATCACTATTGTAAAACCTAAGATCAGTGTTGGAGATATTTTGCAGACCCTGCACTTGATGGATCAGCTGGCACCCCCCATATATTGATAAACTTGCTCATGTGACTTTGTGGCCCCCACCCAGGAACTGACTCAGCACAAGAAGACAGCTTTGACTCCCTATGATTTCATCTCTGACCCAACCAATCAGCACTCCAGACTCACTGCCAACACCCTAAATTATCCTTAAAGGCTCTAATCCCAGAATGCTCAGGGAGACTGATTTGAGTAATAATAAAACTCGAGTCTCCCACACAGCTGGCTCTGTGTAAGTGACTCTTCTCGACTGCAATTCCCCTGTCTTGATAAATCAGTTCTGTCTAGGCAGTGGGCAAGGTGAACCCACTGGGTAGTTACAGACAGAAGGAGAACTAAGAAGCCTCCACACAGCTATGATCAAACCTCAATGAGCAGCCACAAAAGAGTCTCCACTAGTTCAGAAAGAGCAATAATTAGTCAGCACCTAATATATACAACAGGTTGTCCTGGAAATTCCTTATGTGAAACAAAATGTGAAATTTGACATATGATTTGTACTGTTCTGGTCTGGAAATCCCTAGTTAACACAAATATTCTTTCACAGCTAATTCTAGAGCAGTGCCGTCCAAGAGAAATAATACAAGATACATATATAAAGTTTTCCAGTAGCCACATTAAAAAACAAAAAACAGATGACATTAATTTTAATAATCTATTTCATTTAAAACAATATATCCAAAGTGTTATTTCAAAATGTATCACTATAAAAAATTATTAGAGATATTTTACGTTACATCTATCATATAAAATCTAGTATATTTTACACATAACAGCATTCAATAGAATACTAAATTTTCATGGGAAATACTTGATCTGTGTTTACAACATAAAATTTATAGCTGAAAAAATGGATACACAATTCCCTATTGTTTCAAACTTACTTAAAAGTTTCCCAATAAATAAATTGAATATCTACTTCTAAATTTAAATTTATTAAAGTTCAATAAAATTTTAAAAATTCACTTCCCCAGTACTATCAACCATACTTCAAGAACTCAGTAGACACATGGGACTAGTGGCCTCCATAATGATCAGCGCAGTTCTAGATAAGCAGACTTCAGGTCTGGCTATCTTCAGAACAGAACTCTTACTGTACAGATGTCCACTCAGAAACAGTAACACCACAGAAATAAGAATTCTTGGTGTACCAACCCAAATGCCCATCAGTGATAGACTGGATAAAGAAAGTGTGGCACATATACACCATAGAATACTATGCAGCCATAAAAAAATGAAATCATGTCCTTTGCAGGGACATGGATGAAGCTGGAAGCCATCATTCTAGTTTGTTAGCAAACTAACAGAACAGAAAACCAACCACCACATGTTCTCACTCGTAAGTGGGAGGTGAACAATAAGAACACATGGACACAGAGAGGGGAATATCACACACCAAGGCCTGTTAGGGGTGGGGGGAAAGGGGAAGGAGAACATTAGAACAAATACCTAATGCATGCAGGGCTTAAAACCTAGATGACTGGTTGATAGGTGCAGCAAACCATCATGGCACATATATAACTATGTAACAAACCTGCACATTCTGCACATGTATCCTGGAACTTAAAGTAAATTTTTTTAAAATGAAAAAAAGAATTCTTTACTTTTGCACAATGCTTTGAGATCTGTAAAATGCTGTATAAGCCCAATGAAATATGATGGGTGGAACTTCCTATAGGCTTTTATAAGAAAAATATTTGAGCTCAAATTCCAGCTCAAACACTTCCTATTTGGACCTTTTACATTAGGCTTGCCCAGCCGCAGTTTCCACGTATGTAGAAAGGGGTGATGATTATTCCCCACCAAGCTCAAGGAGTTGATGTGAAGATTAAATGGGATGATATGCGGGAAAAAAAACCCATAAAGTTATAGAGATGTTAGCTGTCATTATTACTGTAACTATATGAGGTGGGTATCACCCTTGTTTTACAATAAGGAAACAGTCTGGAGAATGTAACTGAATAACCCAAAGTCAGGACATGGTAGAGGAGGGACTCAAAATTGTATCTTCCAGCTCCAAATCAAATACTTTTTCCACTATTGGTATCACAAATGCCTTACATAAAATCTAAACAACTCAAATCCGAGGATACTTAGAAGTTAGTAAATAAAAGAAATTTAAATCAAGAAATTAGAATTCAATATAGCAAAAGATGATGGGAGAAAAATGAGAAATCTTCAACACGTTCTAAAAGGAAATACTGATCATGAGAAGAATGACTGGTTTTATCAAGCAAAATTTTTAAGGCTCATTTATTAGCAAATTCTTTCTCAGATCAGAAAGATAGCAGAGAACTTTCAAGTTTTTAAATACAGGTGGTCATTTGTCTCTTACAGAAACATCCATTATCAGCTTCCTGAAGAGACTCAGGCATGTCTTGGAAAGCCACAGACCTTTGGGGATAGGTCAGAATCAGAAAACATCTCTAAACCCAGCAGCACTTTTCAAGACAACCTATTGTTTGAAACCCAAGGTTTAAATATAACAAGTGAGACAGTGTGAGAATCTCCTTGCTTTAGTTTACTGCACTGATTCATCATGGATAACTCTGTAAAAGTAGAGAATTGTTCAGTTAACAAGCTAGCTATCCTCTAGGGGTCTGAAACTAGGATGTCGGGCAGGATCTGTGCTCTCACTAAGCCTCTAGAGAAGGATCCTTCCTTGCCTCTCCCAGCTTCTGGTGGTTCCCAATAATTCTTGGCATTCCTTGGGTTGGATGCATTGACCCACTGTCTGTCCCCATCATCATGGGCATTCTCCTCCTATGTCTATCTCTGTGTCTCTTCCTCTCCTTACAAGGCTGTCATTCATATTGGATTAGGGTCTACCCTAATGATGTTATCTCAGGATATTACTAGGATGTCAACTTGATAACATCTGCAAAAAAAAAACCTATTTACAAATAAGGTCATATTTACAGCTGCCAGGGGTTAGAACTTCAACGTATCTTTTGGAGGGACACAATTCAACCCGTAACAATGGGAATAACCCTTGAATTTGTTTTCTGAGTCTATTTCCTCTCAGATAAACAAGGACTTTTCATTCATCCCTTCCTGCACCATCATTTTTCTTTCCTTTTCACTAAATCATTCCCATCAGCATGCAAAATACCTAACATATGCAAAACAAAAAAACAAAGCCCTCCCTTGACCCCATCTCTCTCTCCAACTATGGCTCTAGTTCTCTCTTCTGTTATAGCAAAACTCCTCAAGAAAGAGTCCCCTTCCTTCACTTCCTCATAATCCAATTCTCTCTAACCCAGGTCTACTCAGGTTTCTCCATCACGCTGTTTGTCAGCATCACGGATGACCTTCACATTGCCAGATTCCAATGGTAAATTCTCCACCCTTAGGCTCCTTCTTAGTCTCATGAGCACTGGTCACACTGATTGCTCCATCCTCCTTACAAGCCTTTTCTCCTTGCTTCTAACACCTCACACTCTCCAGCTTTTTCTCCTATCTAATCACCACTCTTCCCCTTCCTTTGTTAGATTCTTCTCCTCTTCTCAAATTCTAAGGTGGAGTGCTCCAGGTCTCAGTTCTCTCTAAATGAACTTATACAATCCCATAGCCATAAATATAGTATGTTCACTAGTGGCCTGCCCTTGCCCATTTCCATATATCCAACTGCCTACTTAACATCTCACTTGGATTTCTAATAGACATTCAGAGAAGCACTATGAAATGTGCACCTCCAACCCCACCAAAATGTTGACTTTCCCTGTCTAGTGAACGACACCATTATTCACCCAGTTGCTCAAGCCCCACAAATCCTGGAGAAACAGCAAAGGCATGATCTCTACCTCAACTTTGCCTTCCAAATCTCACAGGAGTGCATCTGATAGGTGGAACCTGAATTACATCCAGAACCCTAGCTACAAGGGAGTGCAGGGATCATTTTTCTCATACCCCATATACAGTCCAGTAAATTCCCATAATTCCATCTTCAAAATATATTCTGAATCCAACTACCTCTCACCCTGTCTACCAATACAAACCACCATCATCTCCATCCAGGTGACAAGAGCTTCCAACTGGCTCCCTATTCCAATTATGCCCCCTTACGGTCTATTTTCCACATAGTAGTAGGCTGCATGATCTTTAAAATTATATCAGATCGTGCCCTGCCTCTGCCCTCAACCCTCTCCAGTGGCTTTCCATAGCCTGTCCCAACATGGCAGGAAAAAATCAATGGCCAAGCTCCTAAGAAAAATGCAGGAGCAGCACAAGCATGACCTCTGCCTCACTTTTACCTTGCCCATCTTAGGTAAGTGCAAGTGCTTTGGTGCAACCTAAATTACATAGAGAGCTCCAGCTGTGGCTGGACTCAATGGCTCACGCCTGTAATCCCAACACTTTGGGAGGCTGAGGTGAGTGGATCACCTGAGGTCAGGAGTTTAACACCAGACTGGCCAACGTGGTGAAACCCTGTCTCTACTAAAAATACAAAAATTAGTCGGGCATGGTGGAGGGTACCTGTAGTCCCAGCTACTCAGGAGGCTGAGGCAGGAGAATCACTTGAACCTGGGAGGCAGAGGTTGCAGTGAGCTGAGATGGCACCACTGCACTTCAGCCTGGGTGACAAGAGTGAAACTCCATCTCAAAAAAAAAGAAAAAGAAAAGTAGTACATTTAGTCTCATCCCAGTTTTATGGATAACTGGGGCAATTTGAATATGGCCTATAAGTTAATGATATTGTTGAATCAACATTAATTTTGCAGGTGTGATTATGTATACTACATGATTATGTAGGAGGTCCTTGTTCTTAAGGGATGAATGCTGAAGTGTCTTGAATTTTTACTTTCAAATCATTCCAAATTAAAGCAGAGACAGGGAAATGTTAACAATTGACGAAATCAGGAAAATGATATATGGGCATTCATTGTACTATTATTCTTTTAACTTTTCTTTTGGATCAAAATTTGTCAAAATAAAAATTTAGAGGCCAGGCACAGTGGCTTAATGCCTGTAATCCCAGCACTTTGGGAAGCCAAGGCAGGTGGATCACCTGAGGTCAGGAGTTCAAGACCAGCCTGACCCATATGGTGAAACCCCATCTCTACCAAAATTACAAAAATTAGCCAGGCGTGGTGGTGTGCGCCTGTAGTCCCAGCTACTCAGGAGGCTGAGGGAGGGGAATCACTTGAACCCGGGAGGCAGAGGTTGCAGTGAGCCGAGATTTCGCCACTGAACTCCAACCCAGGCAACACAGCAAGACTCCATCTAAAAAAAAAAAAAAAATTTAGACAGAAAACTGCTAGGGAATAGTGACTAGTTTTATTTATTGGCAAGGCTGCTCTGAGTTCAGGGCTGTTTCCTTTGCTCATGCCACATCTTAAGTATATGCTCTCAGAATGCATGTATACAGAATGCATGTAACCCAGTGTGGATTTAGGCTGTTCTTTATTCCTTTTTCCCACTCTTAGAATACGTGGTGAGAAAATACAACTGTTCCAGGAAATGATACACACACACACACACACACTCTCTCTCTCTCTCTCTCTCTACGCCCCCCCCAACCCCTTTCTCAGGAATTAAATGAATGATAGCAAATGCATGGTGTATCAGCCACCAGAACCCCTCCTACAGCAATGGCAGATAAACTAATTGATCAAGCACTCTTTCCTGCCAAACCTCATTATGCCTCAGAATCCTTCAACACAGCTCTCTAGAAAGCCTTGATTAATGAACAGGAGCTGGTATGAGATGAAACATTTGCCATTCCTTTACTAAATAGTCTACTTTAGCAAAACCTACAAAAAAAAAAAAAACACTGTGGTTGTCATGAGTATCTTTGACGCAGCTATGAAAAAAAAGACCTGAATCTGGAACCAAAAGACCTGATTCAAGCCCACCCTATGCCTCTTACTTCTAGCACTTGGGAAAGCCTCTTAAAGTTATTTGCCCTCCATTTCCCCATCTGTAATAGACCTTTCTCACAGGGGTGTCAGGTGGTTAAAAAGAGACAATGGACACTTTGTAAATGCCAAGGACAGTTACATGTGAGGAGTGAGATCATACGAAGAGTGGCATCATGAAGAATGGAAAAATTTGCTCAAGTATTATTATAAATCAGGATAGAAAATGAGTTATAAGAGCCTAAAGTGTTATTTGTTTTTGCCTGTTCGTTTTTTAAGCCAGTGCAGAAGGACAAATTGTGAATGCACTTTCTCAGTATCCATCGTTGGTTCTTCATTTCTCCAGCTTCTAAAAGCCTAAGGGTTCAATCCTCGGACCTTTCTGCTGTTCATTCCATAGGTGGTTTTCTCTAATCTCATGGCTTTAAGTATGATTCTTCATATGCTATTGACGCGCAAATTTTGAAAATGTAACAAGATGTTAAAAAGGAAGTTTGGCCAAGACTCCAACACAACAGATATCAAATACTAAGGTCAGAAGCTAATGCAAATGAGTATTTCCAAGGTAGATATCTGAGAAGAGTTTGACTTGGGCCCCTCACTGTAATCAAGGGCATAAAATGGTCTCGTCACTAGAGATTAAGGCGGGTAGTAAGGATTTGTGAAAGGTTTTCTTTGAAGAAAGCTGTGCTGTGAATAATTCCTCTCCATGGAAAATAGAGATCTATTGACAGAGGATGACTTGGAGAGCCGACATGTGTTCCCTGCAGTTTGGAGAGGGGGAAGAAGCACTTAATTAATTGGAGTGTGACTCCTACCTGGGGAGTGTAAAGGTAGGAGGCTGCTAAAGCCGTGGATGGCAGCAGAAAAGAGATGACCCCTCAGGGATCAGCCAAGGTACAGGGTGTGTGTGTCCCGTGGACAAGAGGTGGGCCGTGCAGGAGAAAGAATGGGCTAGGACCCTTATCATTCTTGCTCAAGTGTTCTGCTTGGCAGAATAATAGGACAATACTTGAGAAAGTCTGTGTGTAGTGAGCTGCAGAAAACCCAGCAGCAGCTGGAGGAAGAGGATGCATTACCCACGCCAGCGGTGTTGCAAAGGGGAGCCACCAGAGAATCCACAAAAGAACCAAGGAAGATTCAGCGTTGAATATTAGCCAACCCCAGGGAAAGTGTAACCATGTTAGGACAGAACTACCCAAGTAAGAACTTTCTGATCTCTTTTTGCTCTACCCTCCAAGGTCTCCAACTCTGGAGTGGTTGAAACCATAGCTAATGAGAAGATAAGCAAGAAAGAGAAAAAACCTGACCATAACTTCTTCCCCAATGTGGTAGCCTACCTGCTATAGGCACAAGCTTGAGAGGTATAAGATGGGGGAGTTGGAAGCAGAAGAACCATGACCTCTTCATATTAAAAAATACGTATTTTTTTAATCAGCCTCTACATTGGGTATACACCATGACCTTTTTATGATGACATAAGTGTTGATTAATAGAGTGAACTGGACATTTTTTTCTGGATCAACATTGCATTTTCCTAAAGTGAACGATGGAACTTTCTGATAGACGAGAATGACGAGAAAAATCATGGTGCCTGCCAGAGTTTTTACCCGACTGCAAAGAAGACCACTACTCCACCAAATGTTAAAGGGACATTCAGACACAGAAATAAACTTGCACTCAGGTTGCATCCCTGGAGCCGTGCTTCTTCACAATACCTGTCATGGTCATAGAAGAGGCCTTTCAGAATCACCATAGCCAAAGACAAATTCTTGATGTTCATCCCCCAGACCTGCTCTTCCCCATCTCATTAAACAGGAACTCCACCATTTCATTCGGTCAGGCCAAAATCCTTAAAGTCATCTTTGAATTCTTTCTTCCTTTTACATCCAAGAGCCAAACTATCAGCAAATCCTATAAGGTCTACTTTCAAAATTCTGAATCTAACCACTTTTTTTTTTCTCTTTGATGGAGTCTTGCTCTGTCGCCAGGCTGGAGTGCAATGGCACGATCTTGGCTCACTGCAACCTCTGCCTCTGGGTTCAAGAAATTCACCTGCCTCAGCCTCCCAAGCATCTAGGACTACAGGCGCAAGCCACCACGCCCGGCTGATTTTTGTATTTTTAGTAGAGACAGGGTTTCACCATGTTGGCCAGGATGGTCTCGATCTCTTGACCTCGTGATCCACCCGCCTTGGCCTCCCAAAGTGCTGGGATTACAGGCATGAGCCATCGTGCCCGGCCGAATCTAACCCACTTTTGACCACCATCTAATCTAAGCCACAATCGCGTCTCCTCTGGATTATTGCTGCATCCTCATAAGAGGTCTCCCTTCTTCTACCCTTGCGTTTCTACTACCTTTGCCTTTAGGTCTGCTCTCAACACAGCAGCCCCAAGTGACCCTGTACAGCATGTCGGAGCTGCCCAAAATCTTTCAATGCCTTCACTTTTAATTTAGACTAAAAGCCAGCATCCTCAGGATGCCTACATGATCTAGCCCCTAATCGTTTTCCAGCCTCATCTCCTATGACTCCCTCCATGCTGGCCCTGATCTGGCTGCTCCAGGATCCTGCTTTCCCTCTGACATGCTCAGCACTCTTCCATCTCAAGCCCTTTGCACATGCTGTTCCTTCTGCCTGGAATTCTCTTCTGCTTTTAGGTTTCTGCTGAATGATCACCTTATTAGAGAAGCCTCCATGAACTGCCTAATATAAATTGCAACTCCATCCTACCTCTCCCCCCACTCCCTCCTGAACTCTCTCTTCCTCCTCTCACTGTGGTTACACCCATGTCACTTAAAGCCACTTGAAATACTAAATATTTACTTTTTCATTGTCTGCCTCCTCCTACCAGCATGTCAGCTCTCCTAGTCTAGGATTTTACTTTATCCACTGTTGTAAGCACTCAAAATTGTTTGAACGGATAATAATTTATATTAAAATTCTTATAAGGCCTCCTAAGTGCCAATCATTATATGAAAAAAAAAATCTTCCATGGCCTCTTGCAATATTTGGAAACAGATTCTGAAATGGAGAGGAGCGAGGCACTCTGGAGCGAGGCACTCTCAGTCTCTTCCTGACTCCTTTCAGGCCTACCCTCCCCGATTCATATCTTTTAACAGGAACACCCCCCCTCCCACCCTGGGAGCCTTTCCAGGATAGATGGGGGCGGAGGGAGCCCAGGGGGTCTCTTCTTGGCAATTGCAGCTGCACATCAAAACTTGACTCTGACACAAGCAGGAACCAGGGCCAGATCCTGGGCTCCCCAGGCCTCTGTTCTGACCGCCAGACAAGAATGTCTGTCTCTGTTAATTTGACTTAAGCTCTGTTTAATTACTAACTTGGTAGTTTCTGTACTCTGCTTAGCTGCTTGTCAAGTATGTGGCACTTTTGATAATTTAAGGGTTGGAATTTAGTCTATTTTTGCAATTGAAAATCAGCCTGGAGCCAGAGTTTCCCTTTTATTCAGAAAGACGAAACAGATGGGACATCAAAGGCGGTCATCCTGTAATTTTGTCTTTTCTGATACATTAAAAGCAGGCCTTGCACACTGGCTGCTTGATGTCATTGGAAACTTCTATTGGGCCTGTAAATATGAAGTCTAGTGCTTTCATATCATTAGTTTTTATCTTTCTGCGTCCAGCTTAAGAAAAATTACTCAGCAATGTCCGATGGCCACACCCAGAGGCAGCATGGAGGATGCCTAGGAAGCATGGGGACTGGGAGCAGGAGAGTTTGGGTTCCAGGACTGGCTCACAAGCTCTGGGTTCCATGACTCCAGTGCTTACCTAAGATCATTTTAACTGCTGTTATACATTCTACAGCATTTGTTCATTCAAACCAACACTTATTTGGTATCCCATAGATTTTGGGGCAGATTCCACAAGCAAGGAGATCTGGTTCCTATTCTCAGAAAGCACTCAGTCTAATAAGACGACAGATGGGGAAAGAGACCAGCTCACTCTACATAGTTGTTGTAGCCAAGGTGTACAGAAAGCAAACCAGGAGCATGGGAATAAGTCAGTCTACTTGAAGGATGGGGAGGTATTCACCAAGTGTGGCGTACTCAGGACAAAGGACAGCCTGCACCCCACAGGAAAGTTTAGTATAGGCTGTGATGGGGAAGGGAGGCAGAGGAGGAGTGGAGGCAGGGGACTGTGAGGAAAGGAAGAGGGTGTAAAAGTGAAGAAAGTGAAGTTTGACCTGTTAGGTTGAGGTCAGATATTCTGGAAAAACAAAGTCACTTGGTTAAATGGGAATGACAGAAATAATAGCTAACAATTATTAAGCTCTTATTGCTACTATTTTAGTACTTTCCACTTAAATCTATGATGTTCAGTGATGGCAAATTATAATACTTGCCCAAGATGATTCAGTTGGGAAGAGGTGAAGATGGGAATTTGAAGGCAATCTGCAGACCTCAGAGCCCAGCCCTTAGCCATCACACAGTCTTGCCAGGGCTTCGCAAAATATTCAGTGAACTGATGAATCCAAAAGTACTTTGCCAACTGTGAAGTGCTGCCCAAAAGTAGCCACTGCTGTTTACTAGTTTTGTTACGAAGATCTCCAAAATAAGAGATCTTTCTTCTTCCTTGATATTTGACAGTGCAAACCCTGAGCATTTTTTCCCAGGTTCAGAATAGCAAGCAAGAAAGGCTATGAGATTGTTATGTGGACATATTATGTAAACAAACAAACAAAAGGCTATGAGACAGAAATCACTCTGGATGAAAGGAAAGGAAGTCTGGGCTTTCATGAGTCACACTGAGAGACAGAAAAAATGATAAAGTCAGGCCAGGCAACCCTTCTGAAAGCTTAGCCTGTACTGGCACCTGCTGGTGCCCACAGTAGCTGTGCCAGCTTTACTTTCAACCAGGAATTATCCCTTGGAGGGTAAATGCCCCAGGGCAGTTTTATGTGTGAAGGGATTAGGGGCAGAGGGAAGGGTTGCAGCTTTTCTTCTTTTCTTACTCAAGAGGCTGCTGTGCATCTTTGGAAAAACCTCCAGGCTAAAATTCACTAGTAATAAACTACTGAGCACCTTTTATGGACATGCGTGGCACTGAGGGTCTCACTCAGCTCCCCCAAGAACAGTACCCCCAGCCCACCTCTGCAAGACACAGAACTGGAGGAGGTTGCTGCATTTGACCAAGATCATGCAACTAACTACTAAGTGGCAGCTCTAATTTAGGCCAAAATTCGATTTCATTTATACTCTTTTTTACAGCACCAGGTTATTTCCAAAGACTTAAGTTCACAGTCTAATTTTCCCATTTGCTATGTATGGGATCCTGGCCCTACCAATTCACCACTGAGAGTTTTGTCTTGGTTGACTGATCCCCTTACCTTATTCCAGAAGAGGTCAAACATGCCTACCTTACTCAAATCCTTTTCTGCAATGTGGGGAGAAACCCCTCTCACGGTGTTTGTAATGATCCTAAAAAGAGGTTGGATCTAAAAACATAAATAACAATACAATTACCTTTAAAACCTGAAGACCTGCTACGCCATAAATGTTTCTTTGAACTTCCTGGCTCCAAATGGAAAGAAGAATTCAAAGGTATTCCCTGAAATAGCTCCTAAACTTGTCAGTTGATGTTCGCACCTGGAAAAATCTCTTAACCCCAAATGTGTCCAATCAAAGATCTAGAAAACTTATTTTCCAGAGCTCAGTTGAAATTTAAAGAAAAACAAATAAAAGATACACAGTTGAACCATATGAAATTGCCAATATTTGACCATTCTGACTTACCAAAAATAAGTAAAAGCAGCACATTGAAGGGATTCAATGTAATTTACGCAGGCCCTCAAAAAGACAGGGTCTTTATCACTGTAGTCATTGGACAAGCCCCCTCCAGGCCAAGTATCAGCAGACAGGCACAAGAGTCACCTGGGTGATTGTTTAATATGCAGGTTCCCAGGCCCACTCCAGAAATGCCGATTCAGGACTGGAGTGGGGTGAGTCACTCAGGAATGTGCCTGTGTAAAAGACATCCCAGGTATCCCAACACAGGGAGGAGGTGCACCTTGCTCTGGAGTACTACTGGGCTTCTAAGGCAATCACCCAGGTGACTCTTGTGCCTGTCTGCTGATATTTGGCCTGGAGGGGGCTTGTCCAATGACTTTACAGTGATAAAGACACTGTCTTTTTGAGGGCCTGCGTAAATTACATTGAATCCCTTCAACGTGCTGCTTTTACTTATTTATTTTTGGTAAGTCAGAATAGTCAAATATTGGCACTTTCATATGGTTCAACTGTGTATCTTTTATTTGTTTTTCAGAAGACAGCATTCCAGGATGCTGCACTCTCAAAGGGCATCCAGTCTACGGTGGGCAGGCTGATTTAAGGATTTATGCTGTACAAGTGGACAAGATCCTGGAGGGGCACAGTTTCAAATCTCATTTCCATAACTTGGCCGCTGTGAGAAGTCTTTGGAGTACCCAGCTTTTTTGTTTTAATGATCCAACCCTGCTTTTTGTTGTTTCCTTTTGTTTGTTTTGTTGCCTGAAATTTATTATTATTATTAATTACTGCGAGGGGACCTGAAACACTTTTTGAATAGCTGCTTTAGGGTGATGTGTTCAGTCCCCATCCCTCTACCCTCCAAGACAGAATTACTGCGGCTCTACTTGTTGGTTTAAAGACTATTTATAAGCAAGGTCCATCTTCCACATTGCAGATCCAAACCAAAGCCTCATTATTTCCACTGTTTGTTTTGCTGCAGAATGGTTAACATTTACATGGAAATGGGTCTTTTTCTCTATCCTGTAATTTGGATTGTTTAGTTTTCCTTTTTGGACTTCTTTGATGCTGCTGAAGAAAGAAGTCCGCAGGAATCTGGAGAAAGGAAGAGTGAGCTGCCGGGGGCCGAGTGGGCGGCAATGCTGTTTGCTTCCGTGCCTGTGTGGCGCCCCCCCGCCACGCCGCCCCCACCACTTCCCCTAGTTGGACTAAGCTATCTCCTTCCTGTTTCTGCTTTTCTCCCTCCTACAGCTGGGCTAAGATATGTCAGCACTTAGGGCTGGAGGTCCAGCTTTACCACTAACTCAATATGGAACCTGGATCAAGTCTCCCTCGGAAGCTTTGCTTCCCATGTGAACAGTGAAGGTGCTTAACCAGATGATCTCTAAATTCCATTACATTCCTAAGCCCACTGAGCTTCCCTTTTCTACACCCTTTTCCTTTCTATCTCGGATGAAGTAAAAAAGTTGCTTTTTTTATACCCAAAGCATGAAAATAATAACCAATGAATGTCCCCCAGATGTCCCTGAGTTTCAAAGATGACATCATTGCTATATAAGATTTTCCAAAGACTTTCCAAGGCTTTAAATCCTCTAGCATTTCTACCTCACCTACTACCCCCACAACCATTCCCCATTAGCCCCAACTTAACTGCAACCCTAGAACTTTCTAGGTTTAATTTCTGTCTCTCCTCTTCCTTTTATTTCTTGCTAGAGGATTCTACAAGAAATATAACTCCACTTCCAAGTATCTACTCTAGAGAAGCATTTTGCCAATGTCTACGATAAGGCATAAGGAAGTGTGTTCACTGAGGCCTTGTTTACCATAATGAATAAAATGGATGTCTATCAAGCAAAAAAACAAACTGGGAAATCCATTTAATGGAATACTATGCAGCAGTTCAAAAGAATGTGACAGAGCTATATGTATTAATATGGGTAGACTGACAATATACATTGTTGAATAAAAGCATGCTATAAGATGATATGCATAGTATACTAACTTTTATGTAAAAACTATATCTATTCTAAGTGTATATATATACACACATATATATACAGACGAATACATATACACACATATGTAAAGGCATAGCAAAGATTTGGAAGAATATATAAGAAACTGGTAACATTGTGTACCACCACAGAAGGAATGGTCAAGGGGACTTTTTAAAAACTTTTAGGCTGGGCACGATGGCCACACCTGTAATCCTAGCATTTTGGGAGGCCAAGGCAAGCAGATTGCTTGAGCCCAGAGTTCAAGACCAGCCTGGGCAACATGGTGAAACCCCATCTCTAAAAAGAAAAAGAAAAAAACTTTAAAAAATTGTTTGTAGAGACAGGGTCTCGCTGAGTTGCCCAGGCTGGTCTTTAACTCCTGGCCTCATGTGATCATCCCTCTTCTGTGTCTGCCAAAGAACTGGGATTACAAGCATGAGCCATTGCAACTGGCTGAGGGGACTTTGACTAAAAATATTAAAACATTTCATGTAGCTAAATAATTAAGTAATCACTTAATAAATTTAAATTAATTTGAAAAATACAGCCCCTGAGTATATGACAACAGCACAAAGAATGAGAGAAAAGTATTCTGTTGTAAAGTTCTTATACTATATATGAAGCAGTATATTATTTAAAGATGGCTGTTTGTGAATATTAATGATGAGTACTTTAAATCCTGAGACATACACACAAAAGAAAAATTAGGAAAAGAGATTTAACAAATAAGACAAGAGTGAAGATAAAATAGAATTGTAAAAAATATTCTATCCAAAGGCAGGTGGGCAAAGAGGGAAAAGGTAACCAAAAAAAAAAAAAAAAAAAAAAAAAAAAAAAAAAAAAAAAACAGATGTAACAAACAGAAAACAAATAGTAAATGATAAATTTCAATATAACCATATCAAGCACTAAGCACTCCCCTTGATAACTGGAACAAGACAAGGATGCCCACTCTCACCACTCCTATTCAACATAGTACTGGAAGTCCTAGCCAGAGCAATCAGGCAAGAGAATGAAATAAAAGGCATCCAAATAGGAATAGAGGAAGTCAAACTGTTTGCAGATGACATGATTTTATACCTAGAAAACACCATAGTCTCTGCCCAAAAGCTCCTAGATCTCCTAAACAACTTCAGCAAAGTTTCAGAATATAAAACCAATGTAAAAAATTAGTATCATGTCTATACACCAATAATATCCAAGATGAGTGCCAAATCATGAACACAATTCCATTCAAAATAGCCACACATGGCCAGGCACAGTGGCTCACGCCTGTAATCCCAGCACTTTGGGAGGCCAAGGCAGGCGGATCACCAGAGGTCAGTAGTTCAAGACCAGCCTGGCCAACTTGGCGAAACCCTGTCTCTACTAAAAATACAAAAATTAGCTGGGTGTGGTGGTGGGCGCCTGTAGTCTCAGCTACTCGGGAGGCTGAGGCAAGAGAATCGCTTGAACTAGGGAGGCAGAGGTTGCAGCTAGCTGAGATCATGCCACTGCACTCCAGCCTGGGTGACAGAGTAAGACCCTGTCTCAAAATTTAAAAAAAATAAATAACCACACACACACCCCAGGAAGTGAATGAGGGAAGTGAAAGGTCTCTACAATGAGAAATTACAAAACACTGCTGAAAGAAGTCAGAGATGACACAAACAAAAGGAAAAACACTCCATGCTCATGGATAGAAAGAATCAACGGTATTAAAATGGCTGTACTTCCCAAAGAAATTTAGAGATTCAATGCTATTTCTATCAAACTACCAATGACATTCTTCACAGAATTTTTTTTAAAACTATTCCAAAATACATATGGAACCAAAAAGGAGCCCAAATAGCCAAAGCAATACTAAGCTAAAAGAACAAAGCTGGAGGCATCACATTACCTGACTTCAAGCTATACTACAAGTCTACAGTAACGAAAACAACATGGTACTGGCACAAAAACAGATACATAGACCAATGGAACAGAATAGAGAGCCCAGAAATAAAGCTGTACACCAACCATCTGATCTTTGACAAAATCAACAAAAACAAACAATAGGGAAGGGATTCTCTATTCAATAAATGGCACTGGGATAACTGGCTAGCCATATGCAGAAGAATGAAACTGGGCCCCTTCCTTATACCATATACAGAAATGAACTCAAGATGGACTAAATACTTAAATGTAAAACCTAAAACTATAAAATCTCTTGGAAAAAAACCTAGGAAATACCATTGTAGACATGGGCCCTGGCAAAGATTTCATGACAAAGATGCCAAAAACAATTGCAATAAAAACAAAAATTGGCAAGTGTGACCTAATTAAACTAAAGAGTTTCTGCACAGCAAAAGAAACTATCAACAGAGTAAATAGACAACCCACAGAATGGAAGAATATATTTGCAAAATATGCATCTGACAAAGGTCTCATATCCAGAATCTTGAAGGAACTTAAATTATCAAGCAAAAAACAATCCCATTAAAAAGTAGGCAAAGGACATTAACAAACACTTATTGAAAGACAACATATACATGGCCAACAAGCATATGAAAAAATGTTCATCATCACTAATCATTAGAGAAATGCAAATCAAAACCACAATGAAATGTCATCTCACACCAGTCAGAATGGCTATTATTAAAAAGTGAAAAAATAACCAATGGTGGCAAGATTGTGGGGAAAAAGGAACATTTATACACAGCTGGCAGGAATGTAAATTCATTCAGCCACTGTGGAAAACAGTTTGGAGATTTCTCAAAGAACGCAGAACTAATTTGACCCAGCAATACAATTATTGGATATACAACCAAAGGACTATAAATCGTTCTACCATAAAGACACACACACATGTATGTTCATCACAATTTATTCACAATAGCAAAGACATGGAATCAACAGGTACCCATCAGTGGTAAACTGGATAAAGAAAATGTGGTACAAACACACCATGGAATACTACCCAGCCATAAAAAATGAGATCACGTCCTTTGCAGTAATATGGATGGAGCTGGAGGCCAGTATCCTAAGTGAACTAACACAGGAACAGAAAAACCAAACACAACATGTTCTCACTTATAAGTGGGAGCTAAACATTGAGTATACCATAGACACAAAGAAGGGAACAGTAGACACCAGGGCCTACTTGAGGGTGGAGGGTGGGAGGAGGGTGGGATCAAAAAACTACCTCCTGGGTACTACAATTACCTGGGTGAAATAATATGTACACCAAACCCCTGTGACACGCAATTTATCTATATAACAAACCTGTACATGTAACCCTGAAACTAAAATAAGAGTTAAATATATATCCACATTAATAACAATGTGATATGGTTTCAATCTGTTTCCACCCAAATCTCATGTTCAGTTGTAATCCCCACTGCTGGAGGTGGGTCCTGGTGGGAGGTGATTGTCATGGGGGCAGTTTCTCATGAATGGTTTAGTACCATCTCCCTTGGTTGTGATAATGAGTTATTGTGAGAACTGGTTGTTTACAAGTATGTAGCACCTCCCTGGCTCTCTCTCTCTTCCTCCACCTCTGGCAATGTGCAGTGCTGGCTCTCCCTTCATCTTCTGCCATGATTGTAAGTTTCCTGAGGCCCCCTCAGAAGCCAAGCAGATGTCAGTATCATGCTTCCCATATACCCTGAGGAATAATGAGCCAATTAAACCTTTTTAATATATGAATTATCCAATCTCAGGTATTTCTTTACAGCAATGTGAGAATGGACTAATACACAATGTAAATGGTCTACACATCCAAATTAAAAGGCAGAAAGATTCTCTGATTGGATTGAAAAAAAAAAAAAAAAGCAAGATGCCACAATATACTGGCTGCAAGAAAACTACCTTAAATATAAAGGCAGCTAGGTTAAAAGTAAAGGAATGAAAAAAGCTGTATCATGCAAACACTAACTAAAAGGAAGCTGGAGTACCTGGTATTCATAAGAACACCAGACAAAGTATGCTTCGGTACAGGAGTATTACCCAATATACAGAGTCATTAGATAATGAGGAAAGGGACAATTCATCAACAAGATACAAGAATCCTAAATGTATATACGTCTAACAGCAAAGCTTCAAAATGCATGAAGCAAAAACTGATAGAACTCAAAGGAAAAATAGACAACTCCGTGATTACAGTTGGACACTTCAATAATCCTCTATTAATAAATGACACAGAAAGAAAACTAGGAAGAACACAGAAGACCTGAACGCCACCATAAAGCAACTAATTAATATTTAAAGAAAACCCTATCCAGAACAGAAGATGAGACATTCTTTTCAAATATTAATAAAACAGTCACCAAGATAAACCACATATTGGGTCATGAAAAAATCTCAATAAAGTTCAAAAAAGTAAAACTGCGAAGTATCCTCTTTCACTATAGTGGAATTAAAATAGAAAGTAAGAACAGAAAGGTATGTAGAAAATCCTCAATACCTGGAAATTAAAAATATAATTCTAAATAATTCAGAGGAAGTCAAATGAGGAATTACAAAATAATTTAAATTGAATGAAAATGAAAAAATATATTAAAGTTTATGACATACAGCTAAATCACTGTTTACAGGGAAATTCATAGCATTAAAAGTTTATAATGATAGCATTCTTGAGAACACGAACATTCCTAAAACCCGCCATGCTTTCAGTAAGAAGAGTAGCAAGCACTGAGCCCACAAAATGACACAGCACAGGAGGGCACAAACTCTGTATGCCCAGGGAGAGCAGTGTTGCAATGGGAGGCAGGGTGGCTATGGTAAACAGACCAAGCCCAATTTCCAGAAGAAAAGCTGAAACTATGTAGAAGATTATGCTGAGGCTTGAATGCTTGATCTAAGAAACTCCAACTGCAAATCTAAGAAAATGCTGGCTATTAATACAGACACAAGCATTTTGAACTGAGAAGACATAATAAGAGAAAAGGCCAATGATCCAGATCTGAGCTGCAACTTTTGTTAACTCTGAAAACAATAAAATCATGCGGTTATGCTCACTTAGAAAAAACTGTATATTGAGAAAAGAAGAATGATCTAAAGTGAGTAAGTATTCAGTTTAAGAAACTAGAAAAAGGAAGGCAATATAAACCCAAAGCAAACATAAGGAGCAACATAATAAAGATATGAGCAGAAACCTATGAAATAAAACCCAGAAAAACAAATTAAAAAGAAAAAATTCCATGAAACAAAAAGGTTTTTCTTTGAAAAAATAAATAAATAAATCTTTAGTCAGAATGATCAAGAAAGAAAAGACACAAATGACCAATATCAAGAATTTAAGGCCAAGGACAGTGGCTCACGCCTGTAATCCCAACACTTTGGGAGGCCAAGGTGAGTGGATCACTTGAGCCTAGGAGTTCAAGACCAACCTGAGCAACATGGTGAAACCCTGTCTCTACCAATAAATAAATAAATAAATAAATAAATAAATAAATACAAAAATTAGCTGGGCATGGTGGCACATGCCTGTAGTCCCAGCTACTTGGGAGGCTGAGGTGGAAAGATCACTTGAGCCCAGGAAGTGGAGGTTGCAATAAGCCATGATCATGCCACTGCACTCCAACCTCAGTGACAGAGCAAGATCCTATCTCAAAAATGAAAAAAGAATATAAGAAGGAACATCACCAGATCTACCAACATTAAAAGAATAGTAAGAAAGTATTATGAATAACTGTATTAGTCTGTTTTCACACTGCTAATAAAGACATAACCAAGACTGGGTAATTTATAAAGGAAAGAAGTTTAATTGGCTCACAGTTTCACACTGCTGAAGAGGCCTCACAAACATGGTGGAAGGCAAAGGAGGAGTAAAGTCACACCTTACATGAAAGCAGGCAAGAGAGCTTGTGCAGGGGAACATCCATTTATAAAACCATCAGATCTCATGAGACTTATTCACTACCATGAGAAGAGTATGGGGGAATCGACCCCCCATGATTCAATTATCTCCACCTGGCCCAGCCCTTGACACATGGGGATTATTACAATTAAAGGTGAGATTTGGGTGGGGACACAGAGCCAAACCATATCATTCTGCCCCTGGCCCCTCCCAAATCTCATGTCCTCACATTTCAAAGCCAATCATGCCTTCCCAAAAGTCCCCCAAAGTCTTAACTCATTTCAAAATTAACTCAAAAGTCCACAGTCCAAAGTCTCATCTGAGACAAGACAAGTACCTTCCAGCTATGAGCCTGTAAAATCAAAAGCAAGTTAGTTACTTCCTAGATACAATGGGGGGGTACAGGCATTGGATAAATCCTCCCATTCCAAATGGGAGAAATGGGCCAAAACAAGGGGCTACAGGCACCATGCAAGTCCAAAATCCAGTGGGGCAGTCAAATCTTAAAGTTCCAAAATGATCTCCTTTAACTCCATATTTCATATCTAGGTCATACAGACACAAGAGGTGGGCTCTCATGGTATTGGGCAACTCCACCCCTGTGATTTTGCAGGGTACAGCCTCCCTCACAGCTGCTTTTATGGGCTGGCGTTGAGTGTCTGTGGCTTTTCCAAATGCATGGTGCAAGCTGTCAGTGGATCTACCATTCTGGGGTCTGGAGAAAGGTGGTCCTCTTCTCATAGCTCCACCAGGTAGCACCCCAGTGGGGACTCTGTGTGGGAGCTCCTACCCCACATTTGCCTTCCACACTGCCCTAGCGGAGGTTCTTCATGAGGGCTCTGGCCCTGCAGCACACCTCTCTGCCTGGATATCCAGGCATTTCCATACATCCTCTGAAATCTAGGTGGAGGTTCCCAAACCTAAATCCTTGACTTCTTTGCACCCATGGGCTCAACACCACATGAAACTTGCCAAAGCTTGGCGTTTGCAGCTTCTGAAGTGTGGCCCAAGCTGTACCCATTTAGCCACAGCTGGGACACAGGGCACCAAGTCCCAAGATTGCACAAAGCAGCAAGGCCCTGGGCCCAGCCCACAAAACCATTTTTTCCTCCTCAGCCTCCTGGCCTGTGATGGGAGGCAGCTGACATGAAAGTCTCTGACATGCTTGGGAGACATTTTCTCCATTGTCGTGGTGATTAACGTTTGGCTCCTCATTAGTTTTGCAAATTTCTGCAGCTGGCTAGAATTTCTCCTCAAAAGAAGGGGTTTTCTTTTCTACTGCATCATCAGCCTGCAAATTTTTCAAACTTTTATCCTATGCTTCTCCTTGAACACTTTGCCGCTTAGAAATTTCTTCCACCAGATACCCTAAATCATCTCTCTCATGTTCAAAGTTCCACAGATTTCTAGGGCGGGGCAAAATGCCACCAATATTTTTGCATAGCAAGAATGACCTTTACTCCAGTTCCTAACAAGTTCCTTATCTCCATCTGAGACCACCTTAGCCTGGACTTTATTGTCCATATCACTATCAGCATTTTGGCCAAAGCCACTCAACAAGTCTCTAGGAAGTTCTAAACTTTCCCACATATTCTTGTTTTCTGAACCCTCCTGGTCTCAAGGAAGTTCCAAACTTTCTACATTTTCCTATCTTCTTCTGAAACCTCTAAACTGTTGCAACCTCTGGCTGTTACCCAGTTCCAAAGTCACTTCCATAGCACCCCACTACCTGGTACCAATTTACTGTATTAGTCTGTCCTCATGCTGCTAATAAAGACATACCTGAGACCGGGTAATTTATAAAGGAAAGAGGTTTAATTGGCTCACAGTTCCATATGGCTGAAGAGGCCTCACAATCATGGTGGAAGGCAAAGGAGGAGCAAAGTCACATCTTACATGGAAACAGGCAAGAGAGCTTGTGCAGGGGAACTTCCATTTATAAAACAATCAGGACTCATGAGGCTTATTCGCTACCACAAGAACAGTATGAGGGAAACTGCCCATGCCAGGAAGAGAGAAACAGGAAAGAAAGGAAGGAGAAATAACCTCCAGAAAAGGTCCCATGTCACCACAGCTTTTCTGGAAAGTTCCACAAGCTGATAAAATAGGAGACTGGGCTACATGTTGGGAAAGTGAAAATCCATTTAACCTGAGAAAATGAAATTTTGCTATGCCATTCATCAGGCTGGGAAAACAGATGCAGATAAAGCCAGCTGAAAAGTTATCAGAAAATTCTATTTCTCCCAAGGAAACACTGCAGCTGTGAAGCCACCTAATGACACTTACTAACACGACTACTGTAGCATGACTACTACTTTGGTACTAAGAAATCTAGTTTTCTAAAATCCTGGTTTATCAGAAACTTTGTTTTTGAAATCATTTCAGTAAGAACAAAACATCTCACTCTTGGCTGCAAGATCTATTTCACTTTGACACAGAGGAGCAGCCTTCATTTTCAACCCAGGTACAGATTCCATTAAGGGGCTTTTGGACCTAACATTTCACATCTTGATTTGTTTCTAAAAGAGACCTTGTGTCTACTTTGCCATTCAGACGTGACGTTGTCCCTTTACACACAGCCCTGCTTTGCTGTCACCTACCAAAATACCATTTCATCTCAGCTTCACCTAAACACCACCCTTCCGCAAAATCGTATCATAATTTTGCCCTTTCTTGGTGATACAGTCCATGGTTCTTCTGGTGTGTGATCTCGCTCATTGCAATGAGCCAATAACCCTGACTTTTTCAGACTGTAAAAGTTTACTCCTGGTGGACTGAGGCTGGCCAGGTGAAGATATGTAAGATTCCTTTGAGATTTGGCCAAGACCCCCAATACCATGGATTGGCCACCTTAACTCAGTAATAATGTGCACATCTGAGACTCCTTGAGTCAAGTTCAAGTTCTCTGTCTTTAATTGTGTGGTTTTACACTGAATTTAGGCTCTGCTTATTTCTTTGGCTGTTCAGTATCAGGTTTATTATTTGTTTCCTGAAATTTTTGGTTTCCAATCAGACTTTGGTGTCTCTTGGTGAAATTTGTCTTTTAACACTGTCTCCTGCCTTCTGTGTGTCCCTATCTTTTGTTCATGTAAGAGAACTCCCCCCAGGCTTCCCTGGGTGTGAGAAATTGACTTTGGGAAAGATCTGTCCACACAGTCTGTGCCAAATGCCTGCTAACTTCTCAGGTCAGCAAGTAGAGGCAGTTTAACCTCGGGGCTGAGGGTAGGAAACACAAGTAATATTTTACCTTTGATCAACAGTCAAGCAATTTCTCCCGGGCTTGTCTGCTAATAAGCTTGGGATACCTCCTCACATAACTTCACTGAGGATGAGTTAGAACTATAGTGGCCACTTAGAGAACTTTGACATGAACAAGGATGTTCATTTGAGAAGTACCTGAGGCCAAAAGGGCAAAGAGACCCTCAAGAGGAGATTATATATCTGGTCTATCTAGAAGGAGATCACTGTAATTCATGTAGGAGATTTCCTCTCCATCTCCATTCTTTGAGGATTAATAAGCACTGGCTTTTAATTGTATGTTTTGATAAAATTGTTGAGGGCTGGGGTTACTGTTTAAACTGGCTATAATGACTTTCTCTTTTGTGTCTATGTATAGATGAAAAAAGGGGTCCCTGTGTCTAAATTTTGTCCCTTCTTGTTACGGAAGGAAAAATAACCTCTTACAGTAGTAACTTCATGTTGTTCTATCCTTCTCCCTTCCCCTCACTTGTCACTTGAGAAATTATAAAAATTAACTGCTCAGAACAAAAAAAATCATTGTTATTATGGTACACACTGGGTAGTCAACAATGTCATTAAAAAGTTAAACTTCCTTTTCCATTAAAAAAGTAAATAAATATCCTCCAGCCTAGGTGACAGCAAGACTCCATCTCAAAAAAAAAAAAAAAAAAGGTAGACAAATATGACTGGTGTTCTCTGCTCAGGGAAAAAATTAAAAGTACACGAATGTATTTAAAAATTAATAGGCTTTGTTACTGTAGTTATGGGAGAAAACATCTTAGTTTCAATATAAATGATTTTAAATATGATTTTAAAATTTAACATCTGTGTCATGAATACAGTTTATAAAATATATTTTTAAAGTATCCTGTAATATTTCTGATAAATTTTGGACAAATTGGAGTGAGTTGTTTATGTTGATCAACGATAACTCAGTATCTGTATTGCCCTCATTTTATTATATAAAATAATGCTAAGACAATATTCTAGTTTATATAAGACTGATATAGTCTTTTACATATTATATTAATATTTATAACTTTGTAGTTTCAATATTATACAATATTTATAACTTCTCAAGATTTAAACTCCTCAAGATTTAAACTTTTGTAATTTCCTATACAGATTTTATGGAACAAGGAAGGGATCATTGTTGGAACAAATTTTTTAAGCTTACAAAATATAAAATTGCTTTTAAGTGAAATCATAGCACAGATGTCTTTTAAAATGGTTTTGATCTTGTAAAATTCTTACAATACTACAAATCATGAGAATTTATGTTTTAGTTAAAATTGTAATTTCCAAATATTAGTTAAAATTTTACAATCATGGAAAATGTTAGCTTACTTGATATATAATATTTGGATTCCTGAAGTTTCCAAGCTAAAAAAAAATACAAAACATATATATAGTTTTAATTTATTGTTACTTATATACATTATATAAAGGCTATAGATTAATAGAATGTGTAATTGCCTTTAGATGACGTGTTCATTCTGCTGCCTGAAAACATAAAAGGTAATATAAAATGCGAACTCATGAAAACTTAGCTAGGCTTGACAGAGCAAACAAAAACAAAATGGGGAAAGGACACCCTATTCAATAAATAGTGCAGGATAATTGGCAAGTCACATATAGAAGAACAAAACTGGATCCCCATCTCTCACCTTATGCAAAAATCAACTCAAGATGGATTAAGAATGTAAATCTAAAACCTGAAACCATAAAAAATCTATAAAGTTAACGTTAAAAAAGCCCTTCTAGACACTGGCTTAGGCAAAGACTTCATAACCAAGGACCAAAAAGCAAATGCACCAAAAACAAAGTTAAATAGATGGGACTTAATTAAACTAAAAAGTTTCCGCACAGCAAAAGAAACAATCAGCAAAGTAAACAGCCCAGAGTGGGAGAAAATATTTGCAATCTATACTTCTGACAAAGGACTAATATCCACAATCTACAAAGATCTCAAATCAGCAAGGAAAAAAACAATCCCATCAAAAAGTGGTCTAAGGACATGAATTCACAATTCTTGAAAGAAGATATACAAATGGCCAAGAAACAGATGGAAAAAAACGCTTAACATCACTAATAATCAGGGAAATGCAAATCAAAACCACAATGTGATACCACCTTACTCCTGCAAGAATGGCCATAAACAAACTTAAAAAAAAAAAATAGATGTTGGCATGGATGTGGTGAAAAGCAAACACTTTTACACCATTGGTGGGAAAGTAAACTAGTACAACCACTATGGAAAAAGTGTGGAGATTCCTTTAAGAACTAAAAGTAGATCTACCATTTGATCCAGCAATCCCACTCCTGGGTATCTACCCAGAGGAAAAGAAGTCATTATACAAAAAAGATACTTGCACACACATGTTTATAGCACACAATTTGCAATTGCAAAAATATGGAACCAGCCAAAATGCCCATCAATCAACTAGTAAAATATGGTGTACACACACACACACACACACACACACACACACACACCATGGAGTACTACTCAGCCATAAAAAGGAACAAAATAATGGCATTCACAGCACCTGGATGGAACTGGAGATAACTATTCTAAGTGAAATAACTCAAGAATGGAAAACCAAACATTGTATGTTCTCACTCATAAGTGGCAGCTGAGCTATAAGGACGCAAAGGCTAAAAGTGATATAATGGACTTTGGAGACTCAGGAGAAAGGGTGGGAGGGGTTTGAGGGAAAAAAGACTATACACTGGGTACAGTGTACATGCTTGGGTGATGGCTGTACCAAAATCTCAGAAATCACCACTAAAGAGCTTATTCATGTAACCAAACACCACCTGTTCCCCAAAAACCTATTAAAATAAAAAAATCTATAATAAAAATTAAAAAGAAACAAAACTTAGCTAGGCAGTTCCTGGCCGCTTGCCTTCTAGTGTTCTCCGTATTTGGAGAAGACAAAAGTTGGTTACCTTGTCTAATTGTGGCAATTAATAAAATGATTAAGACTATACTAGTATAATGTAGAATGAATATTCCTTATCCATAAAGCTTAGGACCAGAAGTGCTGCAGATTTTGGAGTTTGGGGATTTGGTAATATTTGCATATACATAATGAGATATCCGGATGATAGACTCCAAGTCTCAACATGAAATCCATGTAAGTTTCATATGTACCTTATGCACATAGCCTGAAGGTAATCTTATACAATATTATAATTTTGTGCCTGAAACCAAGTTTTGACTGCAACCTATCACATGAGGTCAGATACTGAATTTTCCACCTGTAGGGTCATGTTGGCACTCAAAATGTTTCAGATTTTGGAACATTTTGGATTTTCCATTTTCTTATTAGGGATGCTCAACCAGTAATTGCAGAAAAGTATGAATGTATATGCAAGATGGTGAACATGGTTTGTTAAGGAATTATTACTTTATTTTTAAAAATGGTGATTCAATGTAACATATACATCTATTGTAATATGCTAAGATAAATTATATCTTAAAACTAAAATTTTGTTTTATGTTTATTTATGTATATCTACATATATAAAGATATACTAACATTTTAAAAAATCCTATAAATGATAAGACAAATTTCAGGCTATATTCCATGTAAATAGAATATGCCTGAAATTACAGAAAAAACACTTATACATTTTTTTCTGCAAATTATAATATAGATACACCAAAAGAGTAAAATTAGTGTTTCCTTTCCATAAAATGAGCAAGTTATTTGATGCCCACATAAGAGTTTTCTTTTGAATAACCAAAACATTAACTGTGTCCTTCTGGCATTATCTTGAATAATTTTAACTCAAATTTTGTTAGTGGATCAGACATCAAGGACTGCTGTTGAACCTCAATTAGAAGGACCTTACCAGGTACTATTAACAACATAACAGTAAATCCATACTTCCCAAATATAAAGACTTAAGTCACACTAGAATCACAAAAAGGTTGTTCGAACAGAGATCTCAAACAGAGGTATTGAAGTAATCATTCTGAAGCAGATGACCTCAGGAAGGGGAACCTTCTACCCAAGATCGAGACTAAGCTGGTGACTTCATGATGTATACAACTCCCCCCCAACCCACTACCCAAGAAGACCGGAGCCAAAGATTATTATGCTATAATCTGCATGTCTTTTTGCCGTATTTCTTTGTTCTTTCCTCTTTGCCAAGTTAAGATTTAAATTGCTGATACTTCCTGTTTATTAACTATGATAGCTCTAAGGTCTTTATCCTTTTTTCTTTTTTTTTTTTTTTTTTTTGGCAGCCTTAGTCACTCCTTGGTATGAGTCCAGCACCAGGCTACAATTTGCTCATGATGAGGCTACAGCATGCAATTACACTGTCTGTTGAGTTTGTACCTATTCTCCTCCGGGTGCCACCCAACTTCCTTTGCTACCAATTTCTTGGAATTAATCAGCTGATTTCCTAGGTAATGAGACTCAACCAAGAAGTTATTTGGGGATGACAAATACTGTCATAGGCCAAACATCCAGAACCCTGAAACTCCCATCACATCACAGGCAGAAGGGAAGGTTTCAATATCAAACAAAACAATTCTCAGAAACCTTTTGTGAAACTGAGCTTTTCCAACCAAGTTTTCACAGAAGGAAAGCTGGTGATGGGGATAAGAGGTGTGATGGTGAGGTGCTTTGAGAAAACAGAATACAATGAGAGGACAGGAAAGAGTAAGGATTCAGCGAGGGAAAGTGGCCTCCATGGGATCCTCAGACAAGAGGCAGGGAAGGTCAGGAAGCCTCTGGGAAGGCACAGAGAAGATGGTGACCAGCATTACGGTGCAGCAGATGATGGCCTGGAGCTTGGACCTCTGTAGAATCCAGTGAGAAAGCAGAGGTAGAAGAAGGCTCAGAGAGAAGAGCTACTTTGGGTCCCCGGGAGGCTGGTAAGACGTTGAAGGCAGAGATTAAGATGGATCCACAGAGGAGCAGTGCAAGCCCTGGGTCTCCAAGGTAGCCATGTCTTCCACAGTCTCCCCTGACAGCAGACTGCCAGCTTCCACCGCCACTACGCTGCACAGCTGGGGAATCCTGAGGAAGCTGTTTCCACAAACTGCCTATGGCAAGGATCTTGTCCAGGGGGCTGCAGAAGACAGGAGGAACAAGCAAAAACCAAAGGAGCTGGGTGGGAGCTTGGCAGAGCAGGAAGCATGCCACATTCTCCCACCTGCCAGCTTCACAACAGTCTGCCTGTTTGTCACCGTGTCTATAGTCCCAGCTACCTGGAAGGCTGAGGCAGGAGGATCACTTGGACCCAGGAGGCAGAGGTTGCACTAAGCCAAGATCGCACCACTGTACTCCAGCCTGGGTGACAGAGGGAGACTCCATCTCAAAAAAAAAAAAGAAAAGAAAAGAAAGAATGGTGAGATCAAGGTTAGCCCTTGGGCAGCCTTGCATTGATGAAACAAAATCTTACCCTTTAATGTTAAGCCTGTTTCTCTTTTTGACTCTGCACTGATATTGAGAGACAAGAGTGAGTGGCTGGGATCCAGTTCTCACTGTCCTCTCCCCTCCAGGCAAGCTCCAGACATTCATTATTCATGGGTCATCTGATGTTCTATCTTGAATAAACAGAGCTCTGTGATCCATCTTGTTATTCACTTTAAAGTAGATTAAAATATGTTATTTTTCTTTGAAATTTTCAAGAAGGGTTTTCTGTCATACTCAGTTGACTTTTCCAGTCCCTACCCTCTTTTCTCATGAAGGGCACAGATTCCCAGAACTGCGGGAGAATGTGTACTCCATCCCAGGGGACCCTGCCCCTGATGACAGAGCTTGAGCCCCAGCACCTGACTTGAGGCTTTCACAGGCTCAGAGCATTTTTCTGCCTATCAGCCCTAACACAAGGGAAAGTCTTGACCCAGAAACCCTAAGATGGGACTGTGGCCCATGACTAACAGTTGAGGAACTCAGTTCTCCTACAGGTACCCTGAACTTTCTTAATAATCCAATCTGTGGCCAGTGAATCACTGGGATTAGGGTTTTATCCTGGAGCCCTAACCCAGAGAGAGGATCTGTGGGCTTCAGATATAAACCCCAGCTCCCACTCCTACCTCTGCTCTGTTCCCCTTGATGATATTCTAATCTTTCCTGGGAGTGTCCATGCCAGGTGGCTCTCTGTGCCAACATAATTGATCTAGAAAACTTTGGAAGGGAAATAGGGTAAGGTTGCACTCTGCTGGAAGTTGGCCCTAGGGTTCCCTTGCCAGATTGATGTGTCTGTGCTTTCTAAGTGTTGGTTGTATATATATATATATATATTTTTTGAGACGGATTCTCACTCTGTCACACAGGCTGGAGTGCAGTGGCGTCATCTTGGCTCACTGCAACCTCCGCCTCCCAGGTTCAAACGATTCTCCTGCCTCAGCCTCCTGAGTAGCTGGGATTACAGGCATGCGCCACCACGCCCAGCTAATTTTTGTATTTCTGGTACAGATGGGGTTTTGCCATGTTGGCCAGTCTGATCTCGAACTCTCAACCTCCAGTGATCCACCTGCCTCGGCCTCTCGAAGTTCTGGGATTACAGGTGTGAACCACTGCACCCGGCCTAAGTGTTGGTTATATTTTGATTCCTCTGTAAATAGTAGAGGAACAGCAACAGAAGCCTCACAATGCACAAAGGATGGACAGAACTAGTGCCCCAAGGCTGAGGTGCGCCCGACCAGAGCTGATCCGACAGCTGCCTCAGACAACTGAGCACAGAGAATGTGTGCTCTGGACTAGAGGTCTGGGCCCATGTCATGGAGATAGAGAACAGTGACAGTATCCTTGGGGGTGACAGAGGGCCCTTAAAGAGGAAAGTGAACCCACAATCCCTCCCCAATAGCATCCAGCCAAGCAGATCTTGCCACCCTTCCTGGGCCTTCTAAATCCTTCCATCCTCTCTGGACCTTGATATTTTCCAATTCTACTCTTTCATCAAATCACAAATAGACTGCAGTACTATTTTCTCTTTATTCCACCTACAACCCAGATGTTAGCTGGGTTGTCCTTTACCCTTTGGGTCATCTCAGCTTTGACTCTACCGATTATATAGCCTTTGAAAGTCGGAAGTTCTCCCAGGAATTTTTGCTGATTCCCAGGGATTTTGCACTCTCAGGATTCTCTTTCAACTTCAGCTTCCCACCTTTCATGGACCCAGACATAGGACACGACCCCACCTTCATATTCACGCAGAAGAGTCTACTAGGACATAAAAGCATTAGTAAGCAATGCAGGCTTTACGAAAGATATTTTAAGTGATGACGAGGGCCAGGGAAGAGAACTGGCAGACAACTTTAAAATCCCCAACTGCAGAATGAAGGACTAAATTACTTCTTTACCTGGCTGGGGACAGTGGCTCACGCCTGTAATCCTAGCACTTTGGAAGGCCAAGGCAGGTGGATCACTTGAGCCCAGGAGTGAGACAAGCCTGGGCAACATGATGAAACCCCATCTGTGCAAAAAATACCAACAAAACAAAACAAAAAAACTGAGGCGGGAGGATCACCTGAGCCTAGGGAGGCTGAGGCTGCAGTGAGCCATGATGGCGCCACTGCACTCCAGCCTGGGTGATAGAGTGAGACCCCATCTCAAAAAAATAAAATGAAATAAATTACTTCCTTACAACCTTGGCCTGGCATCCAATCCCTTCCCACCCGCATGATGACACTTTGCCAGAACTGGCAGCAAAACTATCAAGAATAAGGGAAAGATTCTGTTAACATTGCTACTGGAATATCGTTTTTTATAGGTTAAGTGAACAGAGGA
This sequence comes from Homo sapiens, assembly GCF_000001405.40. Classification (NCBI taxonomy): domain Eukaryota; kingdom Metazoa; phylum Chordata; class Mammalia; order Primates; family Hominidae; genus Homo; species Homo sapiens. The sequence continues at coordinate 108,833,909 of NC_000009.12, forward strand.
AGTAAAAAAATGTTTTACCATGAGTTCATATTAATATGTCCTATACAAATTTAACATTACAGAGTGTTTACATTTATTTTATTTGCATCTCCTTTCTCTCCTAATCAAAACCTTGGATCTTAATAATATTAGCATTCATTAAAATTTTTTTGTTTTTTAATAAGAGACAAGGTTTCAGTGTTGCTCAGGCTGGTCTCAAACTCCTGGGCTCAAGTGATCCACCCACCTTGGCCTCCCAAAATGCTGGGATTTGATGTGAGCTACCACGCCCAGCCAATATTAACATTCTTATTTTTTATCCTAATTATATATGAAATACTTTAAAAATTATAACACAAATATTACTTGTAATAATAAAACTACTGAGGGAAGTTTAAAATTATTTGCAATTCTTTTTTTCTTAGAATATGTCCCACCAAGAATATATACAAGAGAAACATGTTCCAAAGTCACTTGGAATAATTCTTTTCTCTGTGTGATTATGTAACCAATTTGATAGAGTTAAGTTTATTAATGTCAATTTATTTTCAATTTTAGGGTTAACTTTATTTTCCTTGATTTTATTTTTTTGAAAAATGTCAAACACTTTATGTGGTTCAAAAGTAAATAAGTTATATTCAGACAAGTCTCACTTCCAACCCTGTCATTTGATGCTTAAAGTGGTTCATAAAAACATCATGGGGATATAGTCTAGATTTTACCTTTTCTCTCAAGATGTGGAGGAATGTGAGGAGCACAGAAGAGCAGCAACTTGTAGAAAGAGACACAGTTCAAATCCCATTTCATGTTGGAACTGGGCATTTCCCAGACTTTTTGAGACTTGGTATCTTCACGTGAAAATGAGAACAATAGTACCTGCCTCCTAGAAATAGTCTCCAGATTAAATGAGATAATATGTGAAGCACTCCCACCTCACAACTATTTTGGTAAGCAAAATTTGTAAGATTCCACGTGTTAAAAATCTCTTCCTGTTTACAGTATTCAGAATGGATTCTGTTTCTTGAACCCAATTCTTATGGATATGGTACAAAGCAGACTTATACCGGCTCTTGTGTTTCCAGATCACTCCTTTACTTTCCATACTCCATAAATGCAATCTAGTCTCCTAGCAATTGGACCAGGCAGCCAAGTGTCTGCTTGCCTTTTGAAATTATTTCCCTGCCTTATTCTCCTTTCTATTTTAAACTTTGTCTGCAGGAAGTAAATGTGGTCAGTAAGATAACCTAATTCCCTAGACAGATGCAACCATGCTTGTGGACCACAACTGCACTGCAATAATATACTGTAGAGAACACAAACTTTTCTAAGTCCACCATAGTGAATGACCTAGATTTTCTTAGATAAAAATCATGTCAGCATATATCAGTTCAGGCAGATTGTTTTGTTTATTTCTGTATGAAATGAGACCAAGCTAGGCATTTGGTTGAATTGTAGGGGAGGTGGCAATCTGAGACCTGGTATGTAGCAACCTGGAGGCAAGGCAGGCCAAAAGCATAGGCAGAATGGGCATGGGGTTGTCTGCTCATTGGAGGATCATAATCTCTACCGTGACTCTCTTTCCTTGCCCCTTAGACCTCGACCTGAGGCTATGAGTTAATTGAGTCTGGGGATGACATGTGTCACCATGAATCACACTGATTCTGTGGAAAAGCATGATCTGAGCCCCAAGCAACAGGAATATAAATGAATCGTCAAATCCCTGGTCATTTATAATTGGGTATGTAAATTACAGCTTCTTGATAATACGAAATAGCCAAGGCCTTTTCATTTGTGAAGTCAGAGTAAAGGGTATGTTACTATATCCAAAGACCTCAAAAATAGTTCAAAGGAGATGGAAGTTTGTTCCTGTCACTAACAATGCTGAGGTCCAGGTTGGTGAATGCTTTTTCTACATGCAGTCACTGATGAACCCAGGTTCCTTCCATCCTGTTGCTGTCACCAAGGGCATTGTCTTTGTCTGCATAGTTAGTGCTAGGCCACAGGCACATTCATATTCAGCTCAAGGGAAGAAGGAAGAGAGCTGCTCCGGGACAAGGAGCTTCTTTACATTGAAGATGACTCAGAAGTTGCATTTAGCACTTCCATGCGTCCCTCACTGGCCTGAACTTAGTCACATGGCCACACTTAGCCGCAAGGGAGACTGGTAATGCAGCCTCCAACTGGGCAGCCATACGCCCAGCTAAAATTTCATTACTGTTGAAGAAGGGGAACGTTTTCCTAGACAACTATCAGTCTCTGCCATGCTCTTCGTCCTGCTTCACGTTCTCCTTCTTGTTCTAGCTGTGAGCCTTTGCCATTCACTAATTTGGGCCTTAGCTGGGGGAAGCCTCCTCAGTGTCATCAGACCTCCTGGTGAGGTGCAATTAGCCATTCAAGCTTCTTGACACTGAAAGAAAAGCTGGGCCCCACAGCTGGTCCTCCAAGATGGTATCAGTTATACCAGTGAAGGAGAAGAAACTCCTGGATGTCAAACTAGGGGAGCTGCCAAGCTGGATACTGATGCAAGATTTCACCCCTAGTGGCATTGCTGGAGCATTTCAAAGAGGTTTCTACTGGTACTACAACAAGTACATCGACGTGAAGAAAGGGTGTCTCAGGGGGTTCCACGGTACTGGCAGCTTACATGCTCTTCAGCTACTGCCTTTCCTACAAGGAGCTCAAGCATGAGCAGCTATGCAAGTACCACTGAAGAGGGGCCTGCACGGACAGCACGCTCTGTCGCCCTGACCACGACCTCCTTTGCCCACACCTGTCCTTGAGGAACGCGATCCTTGCTGAATCTTTTTATATCCTAATGGGAATTAACCTCCACATAAAAGACGACTGGTTAAAAAAGAAAGGAAAAGCTGGGGCCCAAAGAGGGATCCCTGGGAGCTCGGACCAGGGCCAGAGCTCTTCTCAGAGCACAAATCTGGCTGTTTTCTAAAAAGACAGTTTTGATACGTGGAGCCTTTTTCCACAATATTGTAAGAGATGCTGGCTTGGCTGTGACTGGAGGTGACTCACACCTGCTCTTTGTAGAGAGCATAACACTGTTCCTGCAAAAGGAAAGCTCATGCCAGGTCACTGGTACCCGCAGACAAGTCTGTTCCTCTTTAAGAGATTCTTAAAGGATTAAAGAGCACGCAGTGCAAAGGCTTTGGATGTGCTGAGTTGCACGTAGCTGAACTAGAGGCTTCAATAATGTGGACAGAGTGCAAGACCAGAAATTGGAAAATGTTACAGTGGTCTCAGCTCCTCCATTTGTCAGCTATGTGTCCTTGGTCAAGCCACTTCCCAACCATGGGCTTCTGTTTTCTCAATTAAAAAATGTTGACTAAATTGGGTTTATTACTAATCTTTGCGCTTCTACAGATTATTTCTGAAACTCTTATCATGTTCCAATTTCTGCTTGTCCACTGTGATATAATAAAAAATAAATAAACCTCTGGCCTTTGTCCCTGGCTCCTGGTGTACAGCTCCTAAACCCTTAGAATCTTTGGGGTGATGAGAGTTTCTTTTGTATGCTAATGAAAGACTGCTGGTGGGGTCCCCTAGGTAGCTTCAGGATGGGGGCTGGTTGCCAGAAAGACCAAGGATGATCGGAGGTTTGGAAATTCCAGCCTCCCTCTCTACCCTCAGACCTCGAGGGAGAGGAAAGGAGCTAGAGATTGAGCTAATCACCAACAACCATTGATTTAATCAATCATGCTTAAGTGACAAGGCATCCATAAAAACCCTGAAGTGATGGGGTTTGGAGAGCTGGAGGTGGTGACCACACAGAGGCGCTGGAAGGGTGGTACACTCCAATAGGGCACAGAAGCTCCACACCCCTTCCCTATACCTCGCCCTGTGTTCTACCTCTCTCCCATTTGGCTGTTCTTGAGTCATATCCTGTATAATAAGCCAGTAATAGTAAAGCACCTTCCTGATTTTATGAGTCATTATAGCAAATTATCAAACCTGAAGAAGGGGTCACAGGAACCCCCAATTTATAAGCGGTTGGTCAGAAGTGCAGGTGGAAACCTGGGACCTGTAACTACCCTCTGAAGTTGGGTGAGGAGAGCGCAATCACCTGGTGACCACTGAAGAGGCCCCAGAGACAAAAACTCCTCAACTGAGGAATTTAGAAGGAAACGAAGACCACCTGGTGACTATCAGGCAGGCCATCCAGAGGCAAAACTCCGTATCTGGGGAAATGAGAAGTAATTAGACTTCCCTATTATCTAAAGCAGGCACTGGTACCAGGTCTTTCCCCGCCAAAATTTATAAGTAACTAGAATTCCTATACATCTCCGGAATGCTATGCCGAAACTCATTGTGCAACCCTTGCTGACATCAGGGCACAAAAATGTCTACATATGTAAGCATTTATCATGACCTATGTGGCTAACATGGTCCAAATTATCCTTAAGCTCCCACTTTAAGGTCCATAAATGCTCCTAAGGAAAAAATCCACTGTGGCACGCTCAGTCCTCTCACTGAGGCACCAAGTTGCACTCATCTTTTTATGAATTTTATTATTATTTATTTTTGAGATGGAGTCTTGCTCTGTGGCCTAGGCTAGAGTGCAGTGGCACGATCTCAGCTCACTGCAACCTCTGCCTCCTGGGTTCAAGCAATTCTCGTGCCTCAGCCTCCCAAGTTGCTGAGAATTACAGGCGCCCACCACCACACCCAGCTAATTTTTATATTTTTAATAGAGTCGGGGTTTCGCCACACTGGCCAGACTGGTCTCAAACTCCTGACCTCATGTGATCCACCCACCCTGGCCTCCCAAAGTGCTGGGATTACAGGTGTGAGCCACCATGACTGGCCTCCATTGCAGTCTTCTGCGGAGTTTTTTCTAACAGACTTTACTTTTCAAACCTATACTATTGTCAGTAATTCTTCTTACCAACCCACAAGTCCACCACTTCTCAATGCCGGGGCTCTGACGCCTCGCCCAGCATGGGTGACAGTTTTATAGGACTGAGCCCTTCACCTGTGGGGTCTGTGCCAACTCTAAGTACTTAATGTTTGGATTGAATTGAATTGCAGGACACCCAGTTGACGTCTAAAGAGTTGTTAAATTAGTTGGTGTGAAAAATTAAGGGAAATCCCACACATTTGGTGTCAGACATGTTGTGATTAAAAAACGTTCATGTCCATGGCCTCTTCTTATCTCTTTTCAGAACAGTACAGCAGTAACTATACGGAATAGACAGTTTTTCCCTTCTCTCCTCACTGTTTCTCCTGTGTCCATTACCAAATGTGGAAAATCCAAGGACTCCCAAGTGACTCTCCCTTTGTACTTCCTGGGGACCAGGATCCTGGGCTAGTACTTTGGGCCAGGCTCAGCAGGTGTCTAAGGGATTTTAACACAGCGTTGACAAATGGTTCCCACAATCCAAGTTTATGGAGAGACTGAAGTAGACATCAGGCACTGACAGAAATGAAAACTGTGTACAACTGATCATTAGGGATATGAAAATCAAAACCATAATGAGATTCCATCTCACACCAGTGAAAACAACTATTACTAAAAAGTCAAAAAATACAGATGCTGGTGAGGTTGTAAGAAAAGAGAACACTTATACACTGTTAATGGGAGTATAAATTAGTTCAACCATTGTGAAAAGTAGTATGGCAATTCCTCAAAGAGCTAAAAGCAGAACTACCATTTGGCCTAACAATCCCATTACTGGGTATACACCTAGAGAAATATAAATCATTCTACCATAAAGATACATGCACGTGAATGTTCATTGCAGCACTAGTCACAATAGCAAAGGCATGGAACCAACGTAAATGCCCATCAATGACAGATTGGACAAAGAAAATGTGGTACATATACACCTTGGAATACTATGCAGCCATAAAAAAGAATGAGATCATTCCTTTTACAGGCACGTGGATGGAGCTGGAGGCCATCAGCCTTAGCAAACTAACACAGGAACAGAAAGCCAAATACCACATGTTCTCCTAAGTGGGAGCTAAATGACAAGGACTCATGGACGCAAAGAAGGGTACGACAGACACTGGGGTCTACTTGAGGGTGGGAGGAGGGAGAGGAGCAGAAAAAATAACCATTGGGTACTAGGCTTAGTACTTGGGTGACAAAATAATCTGTACAACAAATTCCTGTGACACAAGTTTACCTAGACAAAAAGCCTGCATTTGTACCTCCAAACCTAAAGTAAAAAAAAAAAAAAAAAAAAAAAAAACAAAGAAAAATGTGTGCAATCATTGGAGCAATATTTCTTAAGATTCTATGGACACATTCAAAGCGTGAGTGGAGGCATCCTGAGGCAGAGTCTTGTTTCCAGGGGTGAAAATGAAGAAAGTCATAGATGTCCACAAAAGTCATTCCAGGATGACGAAAGAAATAAAATGCAAATAGGAGCCACTTTTTGCAGGTTCTTACACTAGTTTACCAAAATCTCTAGTTTTTAAGATTTTTAAAAACAATTTCGGCCAGGCACGGTGGCTCACGCCTGTAATCCCAACACTTTGGGAGGCTGAGGCAGGTGGATTGTCTGAGGTCAGGAGTTCAAGACCAGCCTGGCCAACATGGTGAAACCTCATCTCTGCTAAAAATGCAAAAATTAGCCAGGCATGGTGGCAGGCACCTGTAATACCAGCTACTCTGGAGGCTGAGGCAGGAGAATCGCTTGAACCCAGAAGGTGGAGGTTGCAATGAGCTGAGCTAGCACCATTGCACTCCAGCCTGGGCAACAAGAGTGAGACTTCGTCTTTAAAAAAAAAAAAATTCACACTTGGAGAGAAAAACAAAAGTAATAAAAAGGTAGAAAGCAAAAAGTGACTTCTTCCTTCACCCCAGTTCCCTGGTTTCTCAGTTCTCTCCAAGACCTGCCTTCCAGGTCAGCCCACACCCATCCAAGCATATATGCAGGTCCGTAACTTTGTGGGGATTTCATGGTTGCCCTGGGTTTTATGGGATTGCCTTACTAAGTTAAATCAGAGAAAATCAGAGTTGCAAGTAGAGCACTGGCCAGATGGCGACCTCAGCATTCTTTTTCATCTCTCATTCAGTCTTTTGGAAATTTCATAATACATGTCCTTGGCTTTCCTCACATCTAATCTGAAGCTTCCCAGACCTCTACACCTGACTCTGGCCTTTTTTTAGAGCCTGTATTTAATTCCAGCCACATCTCTTCACATAGACTGGGCACTGAGGTACAAACAGAATTGATCACCTTCTCTGAAACCTACTTCTCTTTGCCTTTTCCCAGACTCCAGCTTTTCCCACTCAACCCCATTGGGAATGTCATTCTTCTTTTTCTCCACCTTCTGCCTCATGGCTCTGCTCCTCCAGTTAGTTGAGTCCAGGAATAACTTGAAACTCTGGAATGCTTTTTTTTTTTTGAGACAGGGTCTCACTCTGTTGCCCAGGCTGGAGTGCAGTGGTGCAATCTCGGGTCACTGCAACCTCCACCTCCCGGTTCAAGTGATCTCATGCCTCAGCTTCTGAGTAGCTGGGATAACAGGCATGCAACACCATGCCTAATTTTTTTGTATTTTCAGTAGACAGGGTTTTGCTATGTTGGCCAGGTTGGTCTTGAACTCCTAGGAGGCCTCAAGTGTTCCAGCCACCTCAGCCTCCCTAAGTGTTGGGATTACAGGCATAAGCCACCGTGCCCAGACTCTCTTTTTCACCTTTTTCCACTGCTCTCATTAGTTTTATCATCACCACTCACTCTGTACCAGGCATTCCCCTAAGTGTCTTACGAATGTAGACTCATTTTATCCTCACAACAACCTGACAAGGTTGGTACTATTATTATATCCATTTTATAGATGAGAAAACTGAGACTAAAATAATAAAATCTCCATTCCCTAACTTCCCAGACTCCAATGTGCCTCCTGTACCTAGATCTTCTGTGGCCTCTGCAGCATTCAAGACCCAACTCAGCTGTTAATTCCTCCAGGAAATCTTCCTAGAGTCCCTACTATTATCATAATTTCAGACTTTTAGTCTTTCGTCTCCCATGCAGGGTTGTCAAATAACATACTGCCCCAAAAAGTTGCATGGTTCATATTTACACTGAAAAAATACTTTTTGTTTATTGAAATTCCAATTTAACTGGGCATCATTATCTATATTTGCTAAATCTGACAACCATCCCCACCTAAAACCATAAACAATTTGACAGCAGGGCTTATGCATTTTTACTTTGCACCTGCCCACCCTCAGGGGCTGGCAGAGTGTGGACCAAGTGAGTACTCATTCTGCTCATTGTACCGAATTGAAGTCAGGTGCTTAAAAGAGGTTTCTGGCTGAGGCAGAGAATTGCTTGAACCTGGGAGGCGGAGGTTGCAGTGAGCGAAGACCGTGCCACTGCACTCCGGTCTGGGTGACAGTGTGAGGCTCCGTCTCAAAAAAAAAAAAAAAAGGTTTCCTTTGTCTGCTTTTATCACCCTGCCATAAGGAATAGTCTTCTTAAGTACTCCCAATGCACCAGACACAGTGCTATGTGCACAGCAACTAAATCCAACACAAAACTGAGTTCAGTTTGCCCATCTATAAAAAGAGAATACTGTTAAACACCCACCTAGTAGTCTTTCTTCTGGGATACTTGTGAGAATCAAATGTAAAAAAGGAAGTGCAATGGTGCTTTGTAACTGCAAAGTGCTGCTGTGAAGGATGACTATCACTAACATTGGCAGCTCAAATTTAGCAATAGGGAAATAGACAACCTATATCTAATTCAGTTTTTCAATAGTTTTATATATTGAAAGCTACTGATGGTTTGCTAAGGAATAGCATGGAATTTGGCAATCTAAGAGCCAGGGTGAAGTGAAAGCTCAGATAAGGAGGGAGAAGGAATTGAAAAGATGAGAGGAGCCAGGTGGTCCCTGATAGCCAGGAAGACTGTAACAAGAAGAGCAGAGGGGAAGTATCCGTTGGAGACAGTAGTAGGTACTGCCTAAATACTGCCCTGATAGGTGCCCATGCAGAAACCCCAATCCACAGGGACCCAGGCCGATGCCAGGAAGCTCACACAAGATTGCCAAATGGCTTTCCATGTCATTTTTCATAGTACCTTAATTAGTTCGTTCTCACAGTGCTATAAAGAACTGAGACTGGGTCCTTTATGAAGAAAAGGCTTGACTGACTCACAGTTCCGCAGGCTGTACAGGAAGCACGGCTAGGAGGCCTCAGGAAACTAACAATCACGGTGGAAGGCGAAGGGAAAGCAAGCACGTCTCACCTTAGCGAAGCAGGAGAGAAAAAGCGGTGAGGAAAGCGCCACACGCTTTTAAGCTGTCAGATCTCGTGAGAACTCACTCACTCTCGCGAAAACAGCATGGGGAAAACTGCCCCCATGATCCAGTCACCTCCCACCAGGTCCCTCCACTGACACATGGGGATGATAATTCGAGATGAGATTTGGGAGGGGACACAGAACCAAACCATATCAGTTTGTTTCTTTAAAGAAACTGCCTTCCTTACAAACAAAACAAAACTGAAAATTAGCAGAGTGAGGTTCAGGTTTAGCTAGGGGCATGAGATTATTTTCCCTGCCTGAAACTCCATTGTCATGCTACATATAATGTGGTCCCAGGGTGGCAGCATCTGCCTCACTTGAAAACACGTGAGAAATGCAAAATCAGAATCTACATTTTTGGCAAGATCCTCAGGTGATTCACATAAATATTAAAATTTGAGAATCTTTTCCACCTTCTGAATCCCAGGTGATGTTAGTTCAATTAACATTAAAACTGACTCCTCATGCTCCACACAGTTGGCTAAGATATTGGTTTTCAAACTTGGCTGCACATTGGAATCATCTGAAAACTTAAAACAAATATTAATACCTAGTCCCAGCCTTAGAGATTTTGATTCAAAAGGTCTAAGGTGTGGCTTGGACGTTAGGATATATATTTTTTCCCTGTCTATTTAAGTTTTTTCATGTTGTACAATTCAACATGAGATTTGGGTGGGAAACAGAAAGCCAAACCACATCAGTACCATTTCACCAGTTTAGGAAAATAAAATCAAGAACAGTGAAATGCCTTGTGCAACTTCTTCAAGGCTCAGACATCCTCAAGTTAGGACTGAAACCAGCCATGTCTCTCCAAGACCTGGGCCGGTAGAAAGGTTGCTTCTTGGTTTCAAAAGGAAAAAGAGAATAGGATGCAAAAACATAAAAAAATCCTTTTTTTTTTTTTTTTTTTTGAGGTAGGGTCTAGCTCTGTCACCCAGGCCACAGTGCAGTGGCGTGATCATGGCTCACTGCTGCCTTGACTTCCCAGACTCCAAGGATCCTCCCACCTCAGCCTCCTGAGTAGCTGGGACCACAGGCACATGCCACCACACCCAGCTTATTTTTGTGTTTTTGGTAGAGGTGGGGTTTCACCATGTTGCTCAGGCTGGTCTCAAACTCCTGAGCTCAAGCAATCCTCACCCTGGCCTCCCAAAGTGCTGGAATTACTGGTGTGAGCCACTGCACCCAGCTGCCCACTGACTTTAATTATACCTTCTCCAATCTCTTAAGATTCATTTGGTGAGTTGCTCCTAATTCATTGAGCCAGATTGTTAAGGATTTAACTTAACTGGGAACCAGCAAACCCAAATAAAGTGAATGAAAAAATGTTCTTCAGAGGTGGAAAGATGGTGTGTAGCTAGTTTACGCAAAGCTCTAAATTCTTGGGAGATGATTAGAAAAACTTTGCCAAATGGCCAGTTCTGAGGCTGATCCCGTGCTCCAAATCCCTTTGGGAGGTAGAAGACCTTGAATTACTTGGTCTCTATATAAACACAGCTGGTCAATCAAGTAATTGTCTTAATAATCCAAAAAAGCATCTAGACATTTGATCCAGACATTTCCAGTTGCATATATGGACTTTTAAACATAAAATTGTCTCAGTTTTCTGTTATATTTTGAATAGATCCCTCTTTGACTTTATTTTTACAAATGTTCTAGTAATTTAATTGATTTAATTTATAACAGAAGCACATACAAAGAGAATAGCTTCCTTCTCCTTTACATTGTCATTATTTTCACTTGGTGAAAGCCTGATGCCAGAATCACCTTTTTCCATACTTAATGTGTTTTTAACTACCTTTGTAATCAAACACAGGCATGAAAAGGGATTTAATATTCACTAATGGGATGCCGCAAGTCCTAGCTTGTTCTTATCCCAGGTGGCCTCTCACTTCTTGCTGGGCATAAATTATTTGTGAATCAGGCACTTTCTCATTCTCAACATCCATTTTTCTCTCTTATGCTTAGCTTCATCTGTATTGGCAAAGTGAAGTGCACAATTCAGATGATGACCCAGATAACGCAACCAAAATTGCCCTTACAGGAATTTTATTTACATATTCATTTAAGTCTCTTAGACTTGAAAGCAGGGACTTACTTTTAAATCTAAGTGACCTTGACAACCACCTCTGTTGGGTAAACTATGGCAGATGGAGTTTTGCTGGAACAGAATCTGTACCGCTAAAGCCAAAAGTATTATTATTTATTACCTTTTGTGTGCCTCAGGCTTCTCGTTATAAAATTAGGATCACAACTCCTACACTGCTGAGTTGTTGATGAGATTAAATGAGATACTAAACATGAAAATATCTGCCTACAGCACATACTTAAAAACACACATATTTGTACATATGTACAATATACATTGCCCGTTGATCAGGAGATTTACATTA